>NC_000011.10:11935000-12560000 GCF_000001405.40 Homo sapiens
CACCAGAGTCACATTCTTATTAAAAATGCTAATTGCTGCAGATGAATCAGAATTTCTCTGTTGGAGCCTGGAAATAGGCATTTTAACACATATCTCAGGTGATTCTTAGGCATAGTCAAGTTTGAGAATCACTTATATTATACATCTGGTCCTGCATAGCACTTATCAGTATTGAAATTTTACATTTAATTGTTTGACTATTTTAATTAATATTACTGCCCCTCACTAAACTATAAGCACATACAAGTGCAAAAACCATTCTGGTTTTGCTCACAGTTTTATTTTTAGTACTCTTCCCTGGTATATAGAATAGTCAAAATTGGTTGGGTATGTTGAATGGATAAATGAATGAACAAACATTAAGATGGATGGATGGCTCTGGATTTGCTTCATTTTGGTAAAAATTCTTTAAATATAATGGTGGACTGCAAGCATTAGTCTTGAAAATAGGAAGTAAAAGTTCGCAAATAAAAAGAAACAAACAAACAGAAAAGAGAAATAAGTCAATCTTATATGCCAAAAATAGAGCTTCATTGTTGGGGATGGGGGTTGGGGAGGAGTAGAGATCAATGGGGATACGCTGAGGCTTACAAGTCCTTCTTGAAACTCATAATCACAACCTTAAATGAACATTGAATACTTCTAAGCAATCCTACTGTGTTTCTCTAGGAGGCTTATTTCCTATCAAGAGAGTTGTTGCAACCAGGGTATGTCATCTATTGGTGACATAAGCTATAAGGAAATGTTATGATAGAAATTCCTATACCATGAGCTTTAAGTATTCTGGAGGCTAATATTGAAAGGGGATATCGTAGAAGCCAAACCCTTTGTGATGGCTTTATGAGACATGCTGTCCTCCTGTACTTAGA
Source organism: Homo sapiens (assembly GCF_000001405.40). Taxonomy (NCBI): domain Eukaryota; kingdom Metazoa; phylum Chordata; class Mammalia; order Primates; family Hominidae; genus Homo; species Homo sapiens. The sequence goes on from NC_000011.10 coordinate 11,935,870, forward strand.
TTGTTACTAGTTACATGAATTATCAATTCTACTCCAGATTGGATTAAGAAAACAAAAGGTGCATATTCTAGTTGGCTGTTTGGTTGTTTTCCTCTGTGTTTCCAGATTAGTTGATTATGAACAATAGTTACAATACATTGATTTTGTTTCTACACCTAAAGTTTATGATGTTAACTTTTTAAAAAATAAAAAATGTATTTAGTACATGCTTTATATGATTGGAGGGATAATGAAACATAATTATTTAAAAATAACATTTAAGTTGTGCCTGTAACTTTGATGTCTTTGATGCAAATCATAAATGTGTGGATTTTGTTAGGGCCTATTGTAATGTTATTCCCCAACAGACTAAAACACTGTGTATTTATATATGTATATATATAAATATATATGTATATATATTTTTTCTTTCTGGGGGATTACTTTCTTTTAGATGATGGATTTAGAAGAGGTAATACCCCTGGATTGCTGTCGCCTTGTTAAATATGATGAGTTTCATGATTATCTAGAACGGTCATATGAAGGAGAAGAAGATACACCAATGGGGCTTCTACTAGGTGGCGTCAAGTCAACATATATGTTTGATCTGCTGTTGGAGACGAGAAAGCCTGATCAGGTTTTCCAATCTTATAAACCTGGAGGTGAGCAATTTTACACTATTTTTAGTTGTTCTGTACTTAGAATTTTCATGAGAAAGTTTTTTTTTTTATTGTAGAAATGAACATAATTTAAATTTTGTATATGGTCTTAAAATGTAGAATAATTTTGACAGGTTGAGAAGTACTCAGCAACAGCTTGGAATTAAGTTCTAGATTACTTGCAAAGAGTTGTGTACATAATTTTAAAAACAACAAAAAACAACAAAGCTTCTAGCTTACGGTCTTCAGTGGGTTTTTTCTTCTCCAGTGGGCGGTACTGAATCATTCTGGATGCTGTCAATCCCTAAAGTTATCAATTGCTCTCTTAGGAAGATCTCTCTTTCTCTTTCTTTCTCTTTATGGAGAAGACCTTGGTCCAAAAAAGTATATTCCCATAAAGTCTCAGAAGTAGAGGCTGTTTTTCAGGTCTTCTTTGGAAGGGTGGATTCATTATCCCATCACTGTCAGCATTTACAATTTTTCGTCATCCTCTCTATTTCTACAGGTCCCAGGGACTTCATCTTTTCTTTCTTCATTAAATCTATCACATTCACTCAGCACATTGAGTTTGTTATTTTTTTTTCTTTGAGACTGCTTAGGAAAACCAAAATATCATGCCCCTAGTTTTCCCAGAGACAGTTTCCCTATAGACAGTTACATGGTCTGTTTTTGTCCAGAGTTTTCTATAATTACCATATGTAAATTGTAACAAATAGAAGAAAAGCAGAATGTTTATATAATTTTACAAAATCCATACTGTTTTGTCTTGGCCCTAACTCCTTTGCATCAGTGGTTAGTGAGAATTAGGTTCTCTGTGTTTTTTCCCTAAAAGTTGAACTTACAAAACTTTATTCTGCCCTTTTACAATAATGTTCTTCTGTGGATCCTGTATATCTCCTTTTTAAATGAAGGCCTCTGTTTACAGAGTAGGTTAGATGTAGTATTCTTTCAAGGAGTCTACGGCTCTTAAGTGGGAAAATTTTATTTCTGGAAACCTTATGATGTCTACTTCGACTTCTAAGACTCTACCCTATCTATAAAGAGTCCCTTAAGGACATTTCCTTGCTTTTTTTTTTTTTTTGCTAGACAAGAAAAAGAATGATTAGGATATAACATGAGTCAGCAGTAATACCACTTATTTGAAAGAGAACTCTAAATGCAAGTGTGGATTGTAAGACTTATAAAGTAGTCTTTATTCATTAATAATCAAGATCTTAGCAGAATATTTTGTCAAATTTAGATTAACAACGTAGGGAAAAAACTGAGGATTGACATAAAACATGAGGTTAAAACAGATACAGAATAACTGTGTATTAAGTACAATGTTTGAAGATCATTTATTTTTCAAGTGATTAAGAGTTTAATTGTAAACATAACCTTCTGAAAACAGAAGAGAATGGGATTAAATTTCAATATAAAAGATTTAAGTGAGAAAACAAAGGCATAATCAGAACAGTTTTTGTGTGGAATTTTCCTTGGGATATAGGAAATATTATTTTGAGGATAAGTCTTTGATGATGAACAAGGTGGCTTAATAAGGGGTTTGTTCAAAAGCAAGCAGGAGTGCTGTGTCACCTTTAATATTTGTTTTGCAGTAACTGGTGATTTATATTTATTCAGTGTTGTTTTCATCTGTACTTGGAAGTTTGGATTTGTCACCTGTTAGAAACACATTAAGAATGCATTACTCATGTGAAATACATTAAAAAATAACCTCCAATTCTGTGTTTATGTCTTCAAATGTGACAGAAGTGATGGTGAAAGTTCATGTTGTTGATCTAAAGGCAGAATCTGTAGCTGCTCCTATAACTGTTCGTGCTTACTTAAATCAGACAGTTACAGAATTCAAACAACTGATTTCAAAGGTAAGTTTTAAAAGGGGTCTGTAAATAAATTTTTGAGAGCCTGCTATGTACAAGACACACTATGTGACAGTTATGAATAAGATACATGCTTTACCTCCAGGAGCTAATTAATATTTGTAGTTAGGAGACAACTGTAGTTAAAAGAAACAGATTGAGTAAAGTGTGGAGGTAAGAAAGTGTAAGGCAAGTACATATAACAACTTATATGTGTTGGCTGGATTATCATAAAATACAGGATTGGAAATGTAAGTACAGTTTATTTCATGAAGAGCTTTAAACAGTAAACACGAAAGTTTGGGCTCCTTTTTGGCGTAGGCAATAAGTCGAGTTTTTGTTTTCGTCATTTTTAAGTGCGGCAATGCTGCATTTAGTGTCTGGTGACACTAGACTAGCGTTCCACATGCCTTGAGGGGAGTCAGGAATGGAGAGGAGGAAGCTGTTGAAATAATTCAAGTGCAGTTGTATGACTGGAAATGAGAGAAGGCATGGATTCCAAGAGAGATAGAATCTGTAGGACTTGTAATTGTTAAATGTTGGGGTAAAGCAGATGCACCGATGACCTGAGCCAGGGGTTTCAAACTTGGGTAACCAGAAAAGTAGGGATACATTAATAGAAATAGAGGAGGAAGGTGAGGCTGTAGACTTGACAGGGAAGGTGATGAATTAAATACTGGTGCCATTATGTGAGCTAGTGATAAAGAACATAGGCTCATTCCGATTTTTTGAGCTGGAAAAATATAACAATGAAAACATTCAAATTTTGGGGGGCAAAAGGATTAGTCCACACCAGACAAATGATTATCATCCTTACAAGGGTCCTGTACTCTGCAGAACCCTGAGCATACAAACGGCAGATTTTGCAGGGTTCTTGAACCGTAGGTTAATATTCCCTGGTGTAGTGGAAATTGTTCCATAATTACAAGTTGAGTCCAGTTTTCAGTCATTCATCTTATGGTAGTCTTGTCTTTCATCTCATTATCTGGGGTTGTAAATACCTGTTTAGCAGAGTTGTAGTGAACATTAATGAAAAATAAATAAATGCTCTGAGGAAAAAAATTGTAAGGCATTATGTAAGAGTTGGTGGTTATTATGTTCTAAAAAAAAGTCTATATTTTGACTTCTGTATATGACTTCTAACAATTTTGCTAAAGTAATAACCAAGAAACAAATCATTTTGTGAAATTATATTTTATGATTAAATTGCTTGTAAATGCATACTATGTTGGTATAATATACTGTATATTACATTTTTAAAATATGAATGACAAATGTAAAAAAAATTAGTTTAATAAGCACTCACACATAATACAAAAGAAAGAGACACAGTAGTTTCTTCCCCAAGAAGTTAATAATCTTACTGAGAAAAATATGTCTATAGAGAATAAAGGCAGTCACAAAACATCATGTAAACAAATACAGTATTTTTAACCAGCCTGCTTAAGAATTAGGTATTTATAACTGATGACCTTAGTTGCATTGAAAAGAAATTGTGTTTTTTAAATGTAAAGTATTTTTATCTGCTGCTTTCATGTCAATTTATAAAATGACTCCAAAAATTAAAGATGTGGACTTTCAGAAAAACTTAAAATTTTCCCTACTAATCTTCTCATTTTACACAAAGGAAAATTGCTTATTGCTTTAATAAAAGTATTAAAAACTATTCACAGACTATAGAAAGGCCTGTCAAAAGCCAAGAAGTTCAACATTTTGATATCAGCAGTCAAAAAGTCAGTTACGCAGTTTCTTTGGAATCAGATCACTCATTTACTTGGCAAGTTTGAGAGCAATAGAGATTCTAGGAAAAAATCCTTACCTTTAAAATAGTTTCAGAGCATACATTTATAAATGGTACTTTGTTCTCCTGATTTGCAGTATAATTTATGGCTATAAGTAATTTTTCCCTTCAATTATTCAAAAATTTTAAAACCTCTACTAAAATTATGTTTCTCTCTGCTGCTTTTAAGAAGAACTCAGCAGTGTCTTGCTTTCCCATATTTTTAAGTCAAGCAGAATTATTTTTGAAAGAGTACTTTTTATTAAATTGCTTTCATTATAGGCCATCCATTTACCTGCTGAAACAATGAGAATAGTGCTGGAACGCTGCTACAATGATTTGCGTCTTCTCAGTGTCTCCAGTAAAACCCTGAAAGCTGAAGGATTTTTTAGAAGTAACAAGGTATGTCATTTACTTTTTCATTACTATTTTCTATGCTGGTAGTAGTAAATGAAATTAGGTTCAATATTATAAGCCTGGCCTCCACAGCTGTTCAACATCTGTCTGGAACTTAATTTAAAATTCTCAACCCAGTAATTACCTTCCTTTGTAGTCAGGTCAGGTCAGGCTCCCTTCTGTCCTGTGAATCAGTCCTACTGGTTCTCCTCTTCTTTGCCTTTGTTCATGTGCACTCCCACCTGGAGTGTTCTTCCTCCTCTCCCTGCATTTTTTTTTTTTCAGTCTCCAGATTAGTCCTACCTCTTTGGTGAAGACTTCATAACCATTTCTTCCCACAGTGATTATGTCCCCTGGATTGTGTTTATTCTTGAGCTTGTCCCATAAAGCAGTGCTTCATGGTGAGGGTCAGAGGCATACCTGGTATAGAGAAAATTATAATCTTGAGTTCACCCAACATTATTCCTTTTGCCTACTTATTTTTCTCTGTTGGAAATGAGAAAGTTCATGTTAATCCTCTTCTTTTGTCTTGCTATTATTATGTGTTTGATCATTTATCATTTTTCATATGTGTTTTTATCACTCTAGTCTCATTCATCTTAGTACAGTCTAGTCTTTTATCTCATTTAACTTTTTTAGTATTTTATTACTAATATGTAATTTTTATTCACCTACACTTCTAAAACTTTTGTGTGGTGGGGGAGGGGATGTACGTGTATATGTGTGTGTATATGTAAAACATTAAAATTTCTAATCCCCTCCAGTACATTACTTTAGGGTAAGAAGTGCAGTAGGGAAACTTTTCTTTTTCCTTAAACGGTTAGCGTACTGGTTTCAATTTGTAACATTTACTGAATAGGATAATGATAGTGTTATCCTTTTATGCAAAACCCAACATGCTATTTATAATTGCCAAATTTATGCCAAGTACGAATTTCATTTTAAAAAAAGATTTATTATGGAAAATTTCAAACGTAAACAAAAGTAGAGAAAATAGGGAAAATAGAGTGAACCCCCACACATCCCCATCTCTCAGCTTCCACAGTGATCATCTCGTTTCATCTATAATTTAACCACCTACTTCGCCCAGATTATTTGATAAACTTCCTCAGGATCATATCATTTCATCTATAGATAATATGAACATATATATCTAAATGAAGAGAACTCTTTTAAAAAAATGACAATTACATTATATACCTAAGAAATACCTTAATATCAGTCAATATCTAGTCAGTGTTCAAATTTCTCTGATTGTCTTAGAAAATTTTTTTCTGTAAATTTTCCTGTGTCTTTTTTGTTTGCTTCCTTGCAGTTTGTTACAAAGCCAAGTCATTTGCCCATTAAATTTTTCCATGATCTGGATTTTGGTGTTATATTCACAAGGTGTCTTTACACATGTTCCTGTGTCTGTAGTTCAGGCTAAACTTGGATTTCCTAAAGGTGAAAGATTTCTACAATCTAAAGAAAAACCAGAGTATTAATTTCCTAAAGAGAAGGATATATAATACACAACTTTCTGAAATTGGACAACCCAATAAACAAGATGTTTGTGTGTATGTGTATGTCCATACCGTCTATCTTAGTGTAGTTTTATGGCTAGTTACAAAGACATTTGAGCCTAATGTTCATTTTATTCAGTCTCCAAAACAATAGAGTCCTTCAGAAACTATATCATCACACATGTTATAACATAACTGTGTATTGTGTTGTATTGATGCAATATAATGATGATGATGAATGAGCATGTCACTAAAATTAATATATAATAAAACTCTGACTTACTATGTAGGTGTTTGTTGAAAGCTCCGAGACTTTGGATTACCAGATGGCCTTTGCAGACTCTCATTTATGGAAACTCCTGGATCGGCATGCAAATACAATCAGATTATTTGTTTTGCTACCTGAACAATCCCCAGTATCTTATTCCAAAAGGACAGCATACCAGAAAGCTGGAGGCGATTCTGGTAATGTGGATGATGACTGTGAAAGAGTCAAAGGACCTGTAGGAAGCCTAAAGTCTGTGGAAGCTATTCTAGAAGAAAGCACTGAAAAACTCAAAAGCTTGTCACTGCAGCAACAGCAGGATGGAGATAATGGGGACAGCAGCAAAAGTACTGAGACAAGTGACTTTGAAAACATCGAATCACCTCTCAATGAGAGGGACTCTTCAGCATCAGTGGATAATAGAGAACTTGAACAGCATATTCAGACTTCTGATCCAGAAAATTTTCAGTCTGAAGAACGATCAGACTCAGATGTGAATAATGACAGGAGTACAAGTTCAGTGGACAGTGATATTCTTAGCTCCAGTCATAGCAGTGATACTTTGTGCAATGCAGACAATGCTCAGATCCCTTTGGCTAATGGACTTGACTCTCACAGTATCACAAGTAGTAGAAGAACGAAAGCAAATGAAGGGAAAAAAGAAACATGGGATACAGCAGAAGAAGACTCTGGAACTGATAGTGAATATGATGAGAGTGGCAAGAGTAGGGGAGAAATGCAGTACATGTATTTCAAAGCTGAACCTTATGCTGCAGATGAAGGTTCTGGGGAAGGACATAAATGTATGTACTTCAAAAGAAAAACGGTCCTTGAAACAGCATCAGTTTTTCTCTCAGTTTATTTAAATTTTCAGTTAAGTGTTAGGTACTTAGTTCTAAGATCATTTGTAACTTTCTGGATTATAAGATTATTGACGCAGTTGTAATGAACACTGTTCTTAGACCTGTGCAGTAAATTAGATGGTAATTATATCAGAACTCTGAGATAAGAAGTAAAAAAAAATAGTATTCAATGTTAGGAAGGAATTATGATATAATTACTAAGTAAAAAATTAGGGAATATATTAAAAAGTAAATAATATTTTTTAAAAGCTGAGAAACTTTAGAAAATTTGATATTCAATGCCCAGGAAAATGTTTTATTTCTACATGCTCTTCCCTCTCTCCATTTCCAATGCAAACAACAATTCCCTTGCCATACCCCCTTAAAAAGTCCTTAATCAACTGGGAAAGTCAGAGAAAGAAAAAGCGCTCTTAAAATTTTTTCTGTTACTTTGAAGTAACTCCAAAGCAAGGAGTTACTAGAAATTCCAATGCATAATCTCAGAAAGAGGGAAAAGATCTGAGAGTTTGGGCATTTGGCATAAGCAGTAACAACAAAAACATTCCAGCATAGTATGAGACTTAAAATAAAAGAACCTTTATAAAACCTTAGACTGAGGCCAGCCAAATAATTAGCAAGGCAACCAGGTTTAAGATACAAAATCTTTCTTCAAGTGTAAAGGAGAAGTAGCTGGAAAAGTAAGTACTTTGCATTAGTTCTAGCAAAGCAAATATTAATATTACTCCTTATATTTTTATATTTTAGTTTTCAGAATGCTTATTTGTTCTCATTTAAAGCTTCTCCAAACTTTGTAAAGCAAACATTAGTATCCTGATGTGACAGGTAAGAAAGCCAAAGCTCATAGAGGATGAATGACTTGTCCAAAAGTGCATATATAGCTAGTAAATGGGACCATTACTAGAATTGAAGGCATCTAATTGTTCCTTTTACCTTTGGAAGGGAGCCCCACTCTTTATCCATCCAGTCATCCACCCATCCAAGTAACATTTTCTAAATCCATACTAGATGCCAGGCCCTATGTAACTGTTAGAAGCAGAGACAACTGAGATGCAGCCTTATGCTTCATCTCATGGGGAGGAGGTGCACAGTCACCCACTCTGAAAATTAAGTGCTATGATGCTTGTAGTCTCAAAATTCTATCTGCTAAAACAAAGTAGTAGAAATTATGAAATAATACAAGTATTTAAATTTGTGTTTTTAACTAGTTGGGTTAAATAACACTGGAATCATACAACATTCATACATATATCTTGCAGAAACTCAAGTATGAAAACGTGGATTGGCAGAACAAAATAGAGGGAAATCGTATTGTAATAATGTTTTAAATTTCTATGGAGTATGTACCTCATAAGGCTCATTAGCTTACATTGTTTCATTAGTTTTTTTAACAGCTGTGTGAAATTGATATTGTTAGACCGTTTTCACTGATGACGAAACTGGTCAAACAGATTAAGTAATTTGCCTGCAGTCACATAGCTAGTCGCTCACACTGCCAGGATGAGACTCAGATATCATTAGCCACCACCCCATAGCTGCTACCACTGTTCTTTCCTTGCATCTTAGTAAAGGAAAAATAGTAGTAACTGCTCTGCTTTTTTACCATACTCAACCCATCAAGGACATTAGAAAAATTAAAAGTAGTTCCTCTTTAGTAGAAGGTTGGAAATTTCTTTTAATTGGTTTGTTTTAGAATGATGTGCTAAAAATTTGACTGGATGATAGTCTCAACCGTAGGAAAAATTTGATTCGATGGGAATACTTAGAATTATAGTTTGAAAAGTCTCATTTCCATCTTAGAACAGTTAATAAAATCTTTTAAATGGAGAATGTTGGCCATATTTGGAAATTCATACCAGGCTAATTTCCTAGTGTTCATTGAAATAGTAAACATGGTGAAGAAGAGAAACCATTCACTACAACTTATGTATTTGGGCTTTTAGAAGCCATAGAAAAGGTCTTGTTTGAAAAGAAAATGTGACCCCGGAAAATGTCTTCTCATGTTTAGAAAACTGGTTTGGAGATAGGGGAGTAGGGATAGCAGCTAGCAACCAGGTTTTTCTTGAGTCTGTGCTAAGACTGATTCATTGCAGCTCCTCAGTCATCTGAAAGAAGGTCCCTGGGAAAACATGGGGATGATGAGTAGTAATACACATTCTTCAGAGTGATAAAATGGCAAGGAAGAACAGGTAGACAATGAATTTGATATTTAAAGAATGATGCACTATGCACAGTATACGCAGTTCACTCAGGCAATAATCTGTACTTAAAATGATGGTCCTTAAGATAGCAGTTATAATCCAAGAGTTGTTTCAGAGAATAATTACAGATCATTCTCTGAGAACACTGTCCTAGTAGGACTAGTTATAGTTCATAGGCACTTGGGTATAAACAGGAAAGCCAAGATAAATAAAGATGGTAGTGCATTTACACTGAAATTTCTCCGTACAATTTTGGTTACCGCTTCACTTAAGAAATTCGTAAGGGTCAGTTACAGTGCCTCACACCTGTAGTCCCTGCACTTTGGGAGGCCGTGAGGGGAACTGCTTGAACCCAGGAGTTAGAAACCAGCCTGAGCAACATAGTAAGACCCCATCTCTACAAAAAAAATTTTTTTAATTAGCCAGCGTGGTCATGTGCCTGTAGTTCTAGCTACTTCGGAGGCTGAGGTGGAAGGATCACTTGAGCCCAGAGGAGAGAGGCTGCAGTGAGCTATGATCGTACCACTGCACTCCAGCCTGGGCAACAGAGCGAGACCCTGTCCCCCCCCCAAAAAAAAAAGAAAAGAAAAGAAAAGGAAAAAGAATAAAAGAAATACGTAAGAGAAAGGACCAAAAAGGAAAATCATAAATACATTTTAAGGTTGTTCTGTGAAGACATAGACTCTTCAGTCTGAAGAGGTAGATAGGAAAAATGGTACAATAGTAATCTCTAAAACTACAAAGTAATTATAGCCAATAAATTAACACTCTTTGCCAAAGCTATGCTAAACATTTTACATGTATTGACCCCAGAACATAACTTTGAGGTTTAAATACTATTACCTGTATTTTATAGTAAAGGTAATTGAAGTACAGAAAAGTTAAGAAGTCAGAGTCACAAATCTAATATATGAAGAGGAGCCAGGAATTCATTCAGGCCAGGCCATCAAATTCCAGAACCAGTTGGTCATAATCACCATATTAAACGATATCAGTAACCAGCAAACATTTTTGTCTTCCTATGACACAGCACTACTAGAGGTTAGGAAAGAAACCAAAATGGCAATAAAAGCTTGTATTTGAGTAATGCTTTAGAAAAGACTTTTACTACATTTGTCACAACAATGTTATATGTTATGATCACGTGGGAAAACAGGTTGAGGGAGATTGGATGACCTGCCTACAGCCATTTATCAGAGTAAAGTGACAAAACTGAAATCTAGCCATAGGCTTTCCATTTCTAATCCGGTAATTTTTGCATTACACCCTTCTGTTAAGAAATTTAGTACCTCGTTGGATAGCATAGACAGAAGCTTGTTTGCCATAAGCTGGATTATTGACATAGAGGGGCACTCCTTAAAGCTTAAAAAGTGACATTTTAAACAAATTAAGAGAAATGCTGCCTCAAAACTCAAAAGGTAGATAGTAAATAAAGCTCATCACCCTCTTCATACTTTCTTCTAATTTGTTCTTGTCACATTTTCTATTAATGAGCCTATATTTTATAGCCAGGAAAACAATGAACATTAATTTATTTGACAAGTCATCTGAGAAAAATTCAACCCAAGTGTTGATATGACATGGGAATGTTGGTTTACCAGGAGTGTTTTAAGGCCTCATCCTTTACCTTCCATGTAGCTTTAGCAGAAAAACCAGACCTAACATGGAGGGAGCCTTAGAGCCAGGGAGGTCCAGTGGCCTGAGGCAGCGAGGCAGCACTGCCTTATTAACTGAGAGTCTGGTTTCTGCTTTCTTCTACAATATGAAGACCACAGTCAATAGAAGCATTCCAGATGTGTCCTCATGAGTGGCTTATAAAATTAGGGACAAAAGATTAAAATAATAAGCATTAGGGAAAAACGAAGCTCATCAAAGATAATCCTATTACAATACCAAGAGAGCTTAAATTTAAGCCGGGAAGAGGTAAGAGTTTCTGATCCATTTAAATACAGTTCCTGTTAATTACAGCCCAACCACATGATAAATCAGACATCTTAGTATGCCAGTCGTGACTTTTTTTCTAGTGAAAATCTGAAAATTAAATAATATTACTAACAGTTTTTGAGGCAATCACGCTGTATTTGGCACTGTGCTGAAAGCATGATAAATGAATTACCTCACTGAAGTCACATTGCAACACTCAGGTGGGCACTATTATCATCTCCATTTTTCTAGTGAGGAAATGGAGGTACGGAGGCTGGCGCCGTGTCCCATATAGTAAGTAAGCAGAAGAGGTGGGATTGGAACCACCAGAGCTTACACTATTACTGTGTAGAGCTAGAAGTGTATATATTTTAAAAGAATTCCTAGAAGCTTGTTTTTGAGTTTGGCAACCTAAACAAAGAAACAAGCACTTAAATAGCTCAGAACATTTTAAGCTGTCAGATAAAACCTATCAGAAACCCTGTGTCCATGTTTTTTGTCCATTCAGTGTGGTATATTAGCTAAAGTCTAACTGAAAAGGGGTACTCTTTACTGCATACAGTGTAATAAAAAGTATATGATCTGTTTTATTTATACTCAGAGGTTTCTTTTACATTTTTGTTCCTGTTTTGGTTTTTTTTTTGTGCTTAGGGTTGATGGTGCATGTTGATAAAAGAATTACTCTGGCAGCTTTCAAACAACATTTAGAGCCCTTTGTTGGAGTTTTGTCCTCTCACTTCAAGGTCTTTCGAGTGTATGCCAGCAATCAAGAGTTTGAGAGCGTCCGGCTGAATGAGACACTTTCATCATTTTCTGATGACAATAAGGTTGATTAAAATAATCTTCGAGTAGTTAGAGTCTATTTTAAATGATAGATTTGAGAACAGCTTTTACTACTTCCAAGTGAGGTGAAGTAGATAAACTGGAAGGATTTTTTTTTAATGATTAATGGTAATTTGGGGGGTTTTTTGTTGTTATTTTTCTTCACTCATCTAACAAACATTTGTGAAATGTTAGCTGTGTGTCAGTTACTATTCTAGGTGCTGGGGATTCAGAGGTAAAAGATATGCCTGTTCTCAGAGAGCCTATAATCTAGAGTATTTTGGAAAGTTTAAAAATGGGATGAGAATGGGTTGTTTATTCTGCTGAGACAGCATGTCTAAAAAAATGTTTTTAACTTATAGATTACAATTAGACTGGGGAGAGCACTTAAAAAAGGAGAATACAGAGTTAAAGTATACCAGCTTTTGGTCAATGAACAAGAGGTAAGTAATACGTTTAAGAATAATATAAGGTTACTTTTTACAGTTACTGAAAACATAGAATATATTTTATTCATAGTCATTTTATTTCTCTGAAGCAAAGGTCAGCAAATTTTTTCTGGGCCTTGCAGTTTAGCAGGCCATACTGCCTCTGTTGCAGTTACTCACTTCTGCTATTATAGCACAAGGAGCCATAGACAATAATAAGCCAATGAGATGGCTATGTCTCAACATTTTATTTACAAAAGCAGGCAGCAGTGAACTTGGCCCTCAGGCCACTGTTTGTCATCCCTGTGCTCTAAAGTGTTGCTACAAATGCTGAAATGAGACAAAATTTTCCTGCTTTTAAAAGGAAAAGAAATTTTTTTGTGCGTGTGCTTGCTTTCTGGAAACAATCATACAGTGCTACAGGTGAATAGCAGTTGCAAGTCATTTTAGTATGTAACAAGCATTTATATAGTGTCTACTGTGTGCTTTAGGTGCTTGCAAATATTAACTCATTTAATCATCAGTTAACTAAGATACAAGCACTATTTCTTATTCTCATTCTATAGATGAAGAAACTGAGGCACAGAGAAGTTAAGTATCTTGGTCAAGGTCACTGCTTGTAAACGGTGTGGGTGAATGATCTAAACAGGCCGTGTTTTTTAAGGGGTCAATAAAATATTTTAGTCCTGTGGTATACTAGCCTTACCACAAATACCCAAAAGAATAAGGCAAAGATCATATTTTCAGAATGTTATAACATCCTATTGTTATAACATTCTGTTATAACATGTTATAGCATCCTGTTGAAGAACTAGACAAATGTGAAAACCATAAATTTATCATAAAATGCCTTTATTCATATAAGATATTTTATCTGGCATCTGTTATTTCTCTTAATGTGACCCATTACAGTCATTTTGATTTACATATTTAATCTGAGTTTGTGGAAACTGTCTCTTTTGAGACAATTGGTTAAAGTATTTGGAGAATTAGTATACATTTCCCTCATTTTAGTCCATAAAAGTGGTTCTTTTTGCTTTCAAAATTATAACTGTTAAAAGAAGGAAAATACAAGTGTGTTATCCTATTTAACCTTTACAATGACTCAGTGAGGAAGATACTGTTCCCAGTTTACAGAACTGAGACACAGAGATTTTAAGTAAACTTGCCCAAGATAGCTGAGCTCATAAATAGTGGAGCTAAGGTTTCAAAAAAGGAAGATAGACTCTGAAACTCAGGCCCTTAATTGCAAATAAAATGTTTTGGTAATTTTTATTTTAATGTGTTAATATTAATGTACTTAAGGTATAATTCAAGCTCTGATTGTTTATGTTTATATTTCTAGCCATGCAAGTTTCTGCTAGATGCTGTGTTTGCTAAAGGAATGACTGTACGGCAATCAAAAGAGGAATTAATTCCTCAGCTCAGGGAGCAATGTGGTTTAGAGCTCAGTATTGACAGGTAAAGTAAAATTAATGTCATCAGCGATTTGAAGAAAGACTATGTGGTCAGTTGAAATGGACTGGTATGATTTTCTAAAACTAGGAGAATTAAAATTTCCTGTGCTATTCAGAATTTTAGTATGACAGATTAGTTTAATAGGACTAAACAAGAGTATTAAAATTTTGTTTGGATTTCCTATACAGAATTCTAAATTTGAATTACTGGAAACATTTCTTTATTTCCCCAGATTTTAACAACTCATTATTTGACTTTTGTATTTGAACATAGTTCATTTTTCTTTGGTGTCAGATTAGTGTCAATCTTTAAATTGAGAGTTTCAAATTATAGTCGTTTTAAATGTCTTATCACATTTGTAGGTTTCGTCTAAGGAAAAAAACATGGAAGAATCCTGGCACTGTCTTTTTGGATTATCATATTTATGAAGAAGATATTAATATTTCCAGCAACTGGGAGGTTTTCCTTGAAGTTCTTGATGGTATTTTCAATATTTTTGGGGGGAAGTATCAGTTAGAAATACTCTAGAACTAATAGAAGCCTATAGTTTTTAATCAAATAATGAGTTACGAGGAATCTAATATACATTATAGTGTTTTGTGTTATATTAAGCATAACGATATCCTTATTATGGATTGATGTGATTCCTACCTACGTCTTATCCTTGGGAGTTTTATTTTCTTCCCCTGTGTCCTAATGTAACTGCTTAAGTTGTTTTTGAAAGAATAATCAGTGTCTTTCAGCCTTCTGCTATCTTTCTCTGGTTCCCATTTGCCTTTTAAGTATTCTTTTTTTGAATGTTGAGAATATTAATTCCCCCTTATGAGGAAATTACAAAGTTAGGTTTTTAATACATTTTAAGAAAACTCTGCTAATATTTTCTTAGCCACGTTTGTTCTTTAGTTTCTTTTTTACTATTATGGCTTATTTTGTATTGAAGACATGGTACTGATAATTTATCAGAGACTCAAGAACAATGACTATTTGTGTCCTAAGCCAGGTGGCTTAAAGAATAGAAGTGTATTGTCTCACAATCTGAGATCAGGCTGTCAACAGGGTTGGTTCCTTCTGAGTGCTGTGGGGGAGAATCTGTTCCATACTCTCTCCTAGCTTCTGTGGTTTTTGGCCATCATTGGCAACCTTGGCTTGTAGATACATCACCCCAGTCTCTGCCTTCATCTTCATGTGGTGTTCTTTCTGTGGGCTTGTCTGTCTGTATTGTTTTCCCCTTTTTCATAAACCACTAGTCCTATTGTATTAGGGCCCACCCTGAAGACCTTATTTTACTTTGAGTATCACTGGAAAGACCCTATTTCCAAATAAGGTCACATTCTGAGGTACTAGGGATTAGGATTTCAAAATGTCTTTTTGTGGGGGGCACAATTCAACCCATAGCAGTGACCTTGAGGAGGTCCAAGTAGCAGACATACTTGTCACACCTCCCAGTTTTCGTTATCAACATTGGCACATTTAAAGTATTGGTGTTTGGAGGGAGGCTTATAGGAGGAAAGTTGGCTTTTAGAAGATCACATCAAGGTAAACAACTAGTTCTATATTCTTTTTTTGCTGTTGCTTAGGAAAATTTTAATTTTCCTTTTCTTCTGTAGAAAGTAAAATATGAATTCTGGATATTTTGTTACAAGATTATCCTAGTTTTTAGAGAGCTCAATAATACTAACACCTCATGTATTTCAGGCTGCTTCAGGTCTAATTCAACCATAAATTTAAATGGTTGAAATTCTGATTAATTGACAAGTTAAGTTGGGAGGTAAGGAACAACTAGGATACCATCTACTATGGTGTGTAGGCAAGTGCTCCAGATTGTGATTTCTTTGAGTATCTGGGGTCGTAGGGAATAATCACTGTGCCTGGGTAAGTCAGGAAGAGATCATAAATGACAAAGAAGTCACCCTTGTAAGGATTGAGTATGTATTAGCAGAGATGGATTCATCTGAAAATGGTACTAGATGGTGGGTGCCTGCATCAGTATTATTTCAGTATATTTTCACATCAAGATAGTTGAGTAAGAAATGTCATGTGATTAAATCCAAGAGGTATTTATTGACCTGTAATTTGCCAGACACTGCTAATCCCTTGTGCTACAAAAATGAGTAAGAACCACTTATTGGTGCACACAGTCTGTGGAAGAAACAGAACTGCAAACCTGTCATTCTAAAATAATAGGTACTAAGGGACTGAATCAGTAGAAGTTCTTCTTGTGTACACCAGAGAAAAGTGACAATTGAGTTGATGCTTGAAAAGTGACAATTGAGTTGATGCTTGAAAAGTGACATAATGGAAAAGTGACAATTTTGAAGAATCACTAAATTGGGGAGTAAATGGAAAGAGAAGGATTAATAATAGCTTTAGTGAAAAAAGAGGATAAAGTGAAGTTGATTTGTTTATGATTTTAGATAGGGATAGGAGCCAATAGAGAAACAAAGATTGGAAATCCAGAGAAGAGAGTAATTGGTAATGCAGTGTTCAACAGGAGTCAGGAGGGAGTGGAATTAGGAGTACTGGTTTGAAGAAGAGAGGAATTATCTTCTGAGACTGGAGAGAAGAGAGTAAATATTTCATTCTCAAAAACTCCTTGGGATAATTGGGTTTTTTCTTGTGCCCACTTTTTAAGAGTAACACTTGAAGTAAATCTTTTTGTTTAGTAAGGCACTAAGGGAAAAGTCAAATTATGAACCTTCAGAGGAAATAGAATGATGACCTAATCTTGCATATTCTTAGGGGTAGAGAAGATGAAGTCCATGTCACAGCTTGCAGTTTTGTCAAGACGGTGGAAGCCTTCAGAGATGAAGTTGGATCCCTTCCAGGAGGTTGTATTGGAAAGCAGTAGTGTGGACGAATTGCGAGAGAAGGTAAGTTCATTTTAAACAAAACATGTATCTTATGTTGTATATGTATATCATAATATTAATAAAATATATAATATATAAACAATACATTCTTCCTGTGTTGCGTAAGAGAAAACCTAGGAAGTAGTACCAAACACTGGTGCAGCAACCTTTCTTTTTGGTTTCTGTCACACCTTGTGGCACACTCTGGTTGTTCAGGCTCCTGATTCTTTGAAAAATTACTTTGGCTCCTGGCCATTCAGAAGTGGATCCTCACTTTCTGTTACTTGGACCAATTTTGTCCTAAGTAGTTAGAATTAGTTAGAAGTTACTAGAGTGAATTGCTTTATGTCTAAAAAAAACCAAATGAAGTCGAATTGTGTAGAGAATCCAGATGAAGGTCTGTTTTGCATTTTAAGATGGGATATCTAAGGATCTCTGGGGAAAGGGTGAATTAGTCAATCTGTGGTACTAGCACAATGAGCATTTTGAAAAAGATTTATTTCCATACTTCATACTAAACACAAAAATAAATTCTAAATGTATTAAGTTTATATATAAAAAAAGTAAATGTACTAGGTGAAAATATGTAAAATATTAAATACTAAAAATATTTTCATATTCCTGGAAAAAGATATTTGTAAGCATAATACCAGAAGCCAAAAAAAGAAACTATAGACCACGTAAAAACCTATCCTCTGCATAGCCAAAGAAAAAGGTATTTAAAAAGCAACTCATAAACAAAGCTAAAAGACAATAAACTAGGAGGAAATTATTTGAAGCAGTTATTAAACATGCTGTCCATAATTTATAAGGAGCTACTACCTTAATAAGAAAAAGACGGAACAAATCTAATTTTAAGAAAGACAGCATGAATAGGCAATTTATAGAAAAAGAAATACAAATTAAAGAATAACGTTATTTTTCACTCTTAAATTGGTGAAGATTTAGAAAATCAAAAAATACCTAGAGTTCTCAAGGTTTAGGGGATACAGACAATATATACCTTTGATAAGTGTATAAATTGATATGATTTTTTTCAAGTTCAGTTGGCATCATTTGTCAGTATTTCGGATTTGCAATTAAACATCTGGGAATTCGATCTGTAGAAGTATTTGCAGGTTGGGTGCCATGGCTCACTCCTGTAATCCCAGCACTTTGGGAGGTTGAGGTGGGCAGATCACTTGAGTTCAGGAGTTCGAGACCAGCCTGGCCAACATGGTGAAACCCTGTGTCTACTAAAAATACAAAAATTAGCCAAGTGTGGTGGTGCATGCCTGTAATTTTAGCTACTCAGGAGGCTGAAGCTGGAGAACTGCTTGAACCCAGGAGGTGGAGGTTGCAGTGAACCAAGATTGCACCACTGCACTCCAGTCTAGGTGATGGAGTGAGACTCTGTCTCAAGAAAAAAGAATTTATTTATTTATGTATTTATTTTTGAGACGGAGTTTCACTCTTATTGCCCTGGCTGGAATGCAGTGGTGCGATCTTGGCTCACTGCAGCCTCCGCCTCCCGGGTTCAAGTGATTCTCCTGGTTCAGCCTCCCGAGTAGCTGGGACTACAAGCACATGCCACCACGCCCGGCTAATTCTTTGTATTTTTAGTTGAGACGGGGTTTCACCATGTGCGAGGATATTCATGGAAGTATACAGTAGAGCTTTGTAACTTGGAAAAACTGAAAACAGTCTCAGTGTCCATCAGTAGGAGATAAAATGTATATTGTTCGGTTATTGAAGAGAATGTGGTCACTTTGTATCCTATTCCTCTAGGAACAGAATTATTATATAGAGATATTAATCTGATTTTACATGTTTTAGAAACGTGGGTGTAGTTTGTGTATGCATAGGAAAAGGTCTGGAAGGAATATACTAACTTGGTATTTCTGGGACATGGTATTTGCAGGGTGGCCGCTTTCTGCTTTTTCTTAATTTTTTTACATGAAACATTTTTTAAACTGAGCTATTTCTGTTTGTGGGGTAAAAGGAAAATAACTTTTCTAAGCAAGTTAATTTTTTAAATGAACTCAAATAAAATGTTTTATTTTACAGCTTAGTGAAATCAGTGGGATTCCTTTGGATGATATTGAATTTGCTAAGGTAAAGCCCTGAGAATGTTGCATCTGTGTATTGTGCATGATAAACACAGCTAGTGGCATGATTTATTCATTCATTCTTTTTCTTTTTAGGGTAGAGGAACATTTCCCTGTGATATTTCTGTCCTTGATATTCATCAGGATTTAGACTGGAATCCTAAAGTTTCTACCCTGAATGTCTGGCCTCTTTATATCTGTGATGATGGTGCGGTCATATTTTATAGGTAACATTCACAATGTTTTTGTTGCTGTTAGTAATACATTTTTGGCGTGCATACATATCTTATTTTCCATAAATATCTTTACTGTTTTTATGATATGGAGCGGCACTAACCGGTAGAAATACAGTGACAGCCAAACATGATTATAATTTGAAGTTTTCTAGTAGCCACATTAAAAACAATAAAAAGAAACAGGTGAAATTAATTTTAAAAATATTGTAAACCCAATATATCCAAAATATGATCATTACATGTCATCAGTATAAAAAATCATTTGTATTTTGCATTTTTTTATTGTACTGAGTCTTAGAAATATTGTATGTCTGTTATATTTCCAGCACATCTCAATTTGAACCAGGCATATTTCACAAGCTCAATAGCCACATGTGGCTAATGGCTGTTGTATTGGACAGCACAGATGTAGAGGAAAAAGAATAGTCATTGGAGCCTCACAAATCTGGGTTCAAAACTAGCTTTCTGATTTACCTAGCTCCTCATCTATAAAATTGCAACAATGATGTCTACCTTGCAGGATTTTATGAGAATTAGAGCTGTTGCATGTAAAATAACTGGCACAGTGCCTATTATAGATGTTCAATAATGATAGCTGTTACTACTGCTAATAACATGGAAGTTATTCTCCGCCACTTTTAGAAGTAAGCAATATGTTCCTGTGATTAACACCTTAGAAATCTGGGACATCTCAGTATATAAAATAATATTACTTCACCAGTAACAGATTTCATTATCTTGCTGAGGAGCATCATAGCATTCAAGCATACATTAATAGAGGTGGAGGGCTCTACTGGACTAATATGTGATTAATATTTTATATGTAGGGATAAAACAGAAGAATTAATGGAATTGACAGATGAGCAAAGAAATGAACTGATGAAAAAAGAAAGCAGTCGACTCCAGAAGACTGGACATCGTGTAACATACTCACCTCGTAAAGAGAAAGCACTAAAAATATATCTGGATGGAGCACCAAATAAAGATCTGACTCAAGACTGACTCTGATAGTGTAGCATTTTCCCTGGGGGAGTTTTGGTTTTAATTAGATGGTTCACTACCACTGGGTAGTGCCATTTTGGCCGGACATGGTTGGGGTAACCCAGTGACACCAGCACTGATTGGACTGCCCTACACCAATCAGAAGCTCAGTGCCCAATGGGCCACTGTTTTGACTCGGAATCATGTTGTGCACTATAGTCAAATGTACTGTAAAGTGAAAAGGGATGTGCAAAAAAATAAAAAAAAACAACAAAAAAAGCTAACCTTCTATTAGAAAAGGGGACAGGGGAATGAGTAAACTTCTTTTATTGCGGACAAATGTGCACATAGCCGCTAGTAAAACTAGCCTCAAACAGGATGCTCATAGCTTAATAATAAAAGCTGTGCAAAGGCCATGAATGAATGAATTTTCTGTTTATTTCACTGATGCACACATTACCTCATTGACAATTCAGAAGTAAATCCAACGTGTGTTGACTCTTGGAAAGCAGCAAAAACAGGAGCTGAAGAAAAGAAATTCTTGGAACCAGCCGTAACCCAGTAAGGAATTGTGAAGTTGTGTTTTTATTTTGTTTCATTTTTTGCAGAGTATTAAGAACATTATTCTGGAACATCAGAACGTTTCCCTTAGACCGATCCCAGCAGGTGGCAGCTCAGATTGCTGCAGTGTTGTAATTATAACTGATTGTACTTAAGTTATGGATGTAGAGAATATGTTTCATTCATTTATTCAGCATGTAAATAAAATTGATCCTGTTGAGTTATCATAATTGCAGTTCAACTATCTGCCATGATTATTCTTTTCACGTATCATTCATTCTGTACATTTGTGTACATTGAGAAGTATAGCAATCTATGTAAATGTAATCCTCAGTGAGGTTCCTCAGTGCTAGGTCCCATAGGATTGTCGTTGCCCTTGTTAATGAGGTTTCTCTGTTCAGCGGCTTCAATTTTTTTCTCTTTGTACATCTAGTTTTGAAGATTTACTTCAAGTTTGAATCTTCTAGAATGCTTGTAAGTCCAGTTTTAATTTTTAGAGTCAATTTGTAGTTACATGTAGTTTAACTTTTGGGAAACGTCTTAACATTGTTCTGAATAAACTTGCTAATGAGGTCAGGTCATGGTACAGACTGATGCAGTCAACATGATTTCATTGCAGAGTTTATTAGTATCAGCAAGTTTTTGCTTTGCTAAATAAAAGTACTCAATGAACACAATTCTACATAAATTTTGACATACCATCTAATTTATAAAAATCAATAAAAAAGGTTTTGGTAAAACTTTTTCATGCCAGATGCTGTTTACAACAATGAACATGCCAATAAAACATTTGTTCATTCTGTTGTGTTATTTTAGTCATTAAACTTCTGTGGATGAAGAATCTGGGTTAAGAATAGATTTGTCATCTTTAAATATGACATTTTGTAATGTGTATTGGATATCTCATTTCTATGATAAAGGTATATTTACAGTAAAGTTCTCATAAGAGAAATGAAAAGCTGTGTTAATATCTAACTTTGGGGAACCCTGTCAGTATTTCAGATCCGATTTTTACCCTTTTTTTCTTATAAGAAAGATAAAATTAGAAAATACTGTTAGCAAATGTGGCTCTGCCATTTGAATATAATCACCGAGAATTCCATGTCTTAAAAGTCTCCTGGAATCCACAATGAAAAAAAAAATCTTTTCTAAGGTATTTTTCTGGCTAATTTTTATTTGAAGAAAGCTATAGCATTTAGCGAAATTTGACTGAAGTAATGTTCTGAGTTTGCATTAGTGGGATTGGTGATGTTCTCAGAAGAAAATTGGAAACACTTGTGATGAATTGTCTTTCAGATCACTTAGATTTTCTGATGTAAGAGGACAGCTGTTTGGTTCTGATACAGGCCTGCTTACTTGGGATGTAGGGTTAGTAAATGGGGTTTCTGCTTTAAAGGACTGACTTGCTATCACACAAAAGAGGCAGACTTGTAAACACAATGGGCTTTGGAGTTTGGTCTGATTGGGTTTGGTTTAGTATTCCTATGAGCGTAAATGGTAAAATTCTTCTGATACCCACTCTTTAGACTGTGCCTTCTGCTCTGTTCTTTGTTTTATGTTTAACTGCTGTTTCTAATTGCAGGTGTATTACAGATACAAATAAGAGTAAAGAAAATATATTTCATTATAGAAAAGAAAAAATTAAAAGCTTCTTGCTTTTCAGTGCCTGATAGAGTGAAAACACAAAGTTGCACTTTAATAATTTCAATAAAAGCTAATCTGTGTCAGCCTCCCTCTGCTTCAGAGAGTCAGGTGAGCATCCATAACCTAACAGGCAGAGCCCTAGCGATGTGGATCAAGTTTCCTGAGCCCGGGGGCGGTGGAGCCTCATGATCTCTTATCTTTTGAGGCTGAGGCAGGTCACATGCAACAAATTGTGACCCTGCTCCCCACAAGTCATGCAAAGGTTTTGAAGAGCTTTTACCGTGGGGCAGATGAACTTGTGTCAACCATGCACACCCTGTGAGAACCAAGTACCTGTGTTTCTAAGGCGGGCACTCAAGGTGAGGGGTGCATTCTGGCCAAAGAAACAAAAGCTGTGGTTTCAGGACCATGCCGTGTGTAGCTGATCTGTACGGGACGTGTATGTAAGGAAGAGCAATCATGATAGATAAGAACAGTGTGTGAAGCAGCCTTCACACTAGAGTGTTTGGTCATCTCTTATAATGTAAGGGAAGGTACTTTAAAATTCTGGGAAGATGCGATGAACTCATGTCCCAGTCAGAAAATAATCCAATGAAATAAGCATTGGTTGCCAGGCCACAGTTAGGAATTGTATTGTGATACATCTAGAGGCCAAGAGAGCAGGAGAGAGCTACCAACTTACACTGTGGTTTAAGCTAAATGACCGCACAGCATCATAGCATTGCAGTGTTGTTACTAAATCTGGAAGTGACCTGTGAATGTATGGAATACAATAAAGTCTTTTATTCTGGTTCATTTGCTAGTACTTCCTTTTTGATTGGATACTGTAGTTCTTCCTCTGGATTTTATTTTGTTCAGCGTCAAGGCCCTAATTTTGCAAATGTAGTCTAAACCACATTACGTGGACTAGAGGATACTCTGAATTAGCAAGTTTTTTGTTTGCTGAATAAAACTATTCCATCTTAACAATTCTGTGTAATTTTTGAAAAACATCAACATTTTGGTCACTAGTAGTCAAAATCTTATAAGGCCATATGTCCTGAAAGGCAAAACTCTGTGTATGTGCGATTTACCAGGGAGATAGTAGGACAGTTTTTATGAGGGTTTCAAAGGAGTTCATGGCCCAAATGAAGCTTGTGGCCACCTAGGTTTAGTGTACATGAAATTGGAAGATGCTTCTTGATTGTAGTTCCCATGGGGAAGAGGGAGGCTGTGATCATTTGGTTAGATACAGCATTAATTGTCACAACTTGACTTTCAGAAACAAGAATACTGCACAAACTCAAGCATGCATTGGAGCATGTGTTACTATTTAGAAAAGAGTGCAGCCATCAGTAGGTCAAGCTAGGAGGGCAAAAGAGAGTTGAGAGGAATGCTCTGCCCCTTCCCCATCACAGCACTGCCCCTTTCCACCTCCTCACCAGCTCACCTGTACAAGAGAATTGATCTCAACTGAGTGTCAGCTCACCAGGTCAGAAATTGTTATTGGACCCTAAAACCTTGCCTCACAGGTGGGCACCAAGCTCCCCTTCCCTCTGCTTTCCATGTTTCCCACCTGCCCTCTCCCCACCTGTTTTCAGCCTCTTTTATAATGCTTAAGTAACCTGCTTGAAGAGTATAATTTATGGAGATAAAAATACTCAATGCTTACATTTTTTTCATAACTGTGCCAATTGTTTTGTCAAATGCAGTTACCCACTGGGCAGTGGGCTTATCAAGTGCTCAGTGCAATCCTGTGACTTTTAAGTCATTTTGCATTATTAAGACAATCTTATCTTAAAGTTCAGTGGTTTCATTCAAAGCTCCCCTGAACCTCCATAGTGCCTCCAAGATGTGCTGTCCCTGCCAACTCCTGCACCAGCTTGACTGGTGGTGGAAGAGGCCAGGAAGAGCGGGGGGAAGACATGTGCTAACCACTTCTTAGCAATGAGGCTGGTAAGGTTACTGTCCCCTTGTGCCTGGTCACTAGTAACTTTTTTGTAGACATGAAGGTAGATGCCCTGCAGGTCCTATCAGCAAAGGACCCAACTCCTAACAGCATTGGTGCTCCCTCATGAAATTTGACAGTGTCTTGCCAGCCTCCTGCTGGCAGACACTTCTCTGCAGTGAATACCACTATCCCATGCTGCACTAGTCCCTACCAAGTCTTCAACCCTCAATTTGATCTTCCATGAGTGTCTCAAAAAGTTCCCCTCAGAAGTTTCAGCCAAGGGAATAAAATCTAACCTCTCCTCCCTCAACGGAGTGTCAGGGAGGGGAAGAATCTGTTTTCCAAACACCACAATCTCCCAAAAGGGGATTTCACCCTCCCTTGGTCATCTTTATACAGGGCAATTGTGCTGCTGCTGCTGAGGTGGCCACTTTCAGCAAGCCCTGTGTGCAGGGGCCTAGCTGCATTTAGAAACCAAGCATAGCTATCAAAAAGTAATCTCCAAATAGTTGAATTGCATTTCTTGAGTATCTGGAGAGGATGTGCAGACCACAGGAATACCTAATGCCTTTTTTCTCTTCCTGTCTTTGTCCCTCACACTACAGCAGGCCCCTCCCTTCCCTCTTCAACCTCATCCTCCCTCCCCACAGGCCCAGAGAACCAGTTGGGCTTTGTTCTCCTGCAGGCTATGGTTCATCATGCAAATAGCTCCTGTGTCAGAAATGCTTTTTGGCTTCAAATAACAGAAAAGCTAACACCAGCTTTATCAATAATAATATCGGTGGTTTACTTAAGGTGTCCAGAGATGGTGGAGAACAGGATTGGTTTCCTCCTCAATGTCAAGGACTCAAAGACTCTTTCTGTGGTAGGGCCACATCCTAAACCCTGTATCCTGTGATTATTTACCTGACAGGGCAAAAGAGATTTTGCAGATGCAATTAAGGTTAAGGACCTTGACGTGGGAAGATTGTGATTATTTACCTGACAGGGCAAAAGAGATTTTGCAGATGCAATTAAGGTTAAGGACCTTGACGTGGGAAGATTATTCTGGATTATCTAGGTGGGCGCAATTTGATCACATGGGTCCCCAGAAGTGGAGAACCTTTCCCACCTGTAGAAAGCCAGAGAGCTGGCACCTGAGAAGGACAGAACTGTCATTGCAGGATTTGAAGATGAAGGGGCCCATGAGCCAAGGAATGCCAGTGACCTATAGAGGCTAAAAAACAGCAAGGAAATGGACTCTCCCCAGAGCCTCCAGAGGAATGCAGCCCTGTTGATCACATGATCACCAGATGGCTGCCCCAGAGCCAAATGTCGCTTCCTGAGCACCATACTCAAAGGCAGGGGAAGTGGATGGAGGGCAGGAGCTCCATTCTTGTTTGCCACTCTCCTTTTGTCAATTGGGAAAAAATTCCAGAAACTCTGGGAGCCCTCCCCTTACATTTCCTGGGTCATGGGGCCAGCCCTAGCTGCTGGAGGGACTGAGAACAGCTGTTGAGCAGTTTACCTGACGGCATCTGCCATGGCTTGGCAGGAACTCTGGCTTTGGGAGAGAGCAGCAGCAAGGTATTCAAGCACCACCTCCACCCAGCCCCTCCCACATTTCACTCAGGACTGAGTAAAGGAGACACTCAGATGCTACTCAGATGCTGGCTTCAGCTAAGTATTTTGCAAAGCCTCTCGTGTTCTTACAAGTTTGTGGCTATCATGACAAAATGGAGCAGCCTACTATATCTACATATACAACTATGGGGGACCTAGTTTTATCTCATTTACCACAATGTTTTCAATCATTTTTTGGATGACATAATTTTTAGCCTCTTCTCTAAATGCTTCCTCAAGCTTTCCTTGCCTTCCAGCCACTGCAAATGACTTGCAGTTTCCCCTACATGGCACCTGACCCTTGTGCCTCCCTCCCTCTGCCCATGGCCCAGAAAGCCCTTTCCTGTGCCCTCTGGCTTCCTGATAAACTCCTATCATCTTCAAGAGCCAGTTCCCATGCCAGCTCTCCCCAAGTGCTCCACTGAGGCTTCCGTAACACCTCTGTTCCCACATCGGGTTGACTGTCTTTGTTTTGTCATTGCTTGCTCTGGCTGTGTCTCCCTCATTAGACTGGGATGCCTTCAAGGTAGGGACCCTATCTGGGTCAGCTTGGCACCCCAAAGCGTACCACAGCACCTGATTCTGAGGAGGCTCTCAGTAGATATCTGTTGAGTAACCAGAATGTAGGGTGGTCCTGATGGTTTCTGACATTGAATAGAAAACAGCTCCCTATTTGATCTTAAAATAATCACTATAACCTGGACATACTGTACTAGATGCTGTTTTTGTCTGACTTCTACTCTGTCAATCTCTTTGCACCTCCATTTGTTCATCTGTGAAATGAAGAAAATGCTCATGGAGTTCAGTGAAGATTAAATGAATGAATATAGGTAGACTGCCTAATCTGGCACTTGCCACGCAGCTGACTTCAATATAGTAGCTCTAATATTATGGTCCTTGAGGATCTTACTGTCTTATGGCCCAGAACTGCATTTGATTAAAGAAGGCTCCCCTAAAAAAAGAGTCATACATATTCCATTTGTCCTTTCAGAAGGCCGTGAAGCATTTACACTCTTTAAGACAAATTCCCATCCAAAAATAGTTAAGATTTCTAAAATATTTTGATGCTGAAAGAGGTGTGCTTCAGTTGGGTGGCAAATTTGCTTCTATGGAAGATTTTTAATACAGGTTGTTTCTATTTTACTTTTTCTGGCTGAAAGGATTTTACATTTATTCAAAGTCAAAAGGGAAAAGAAATCCAAGAACTACAGAAGAGCAGTTGAAGTGATTTATGCTTGATTTCTAAATGCAACTTATGTTTATACATAATTTAAAACTCAAAGAAAGCATGCTTATACAATCATGTGCAACTTTAAACTTTAAGAACTCTGGATGAATACATGGTGGCAACAGTCCATGACACCTGAAAACATCATTTGTGGAGTGGCGTAGAGTTCAGTGTTCGCAGTCGCATATTACAACCATGTTTCACACAGCCCTGCTCGGTTTGATTTTCTCCACGTGGTTGATAATTGTCTTCAGTTGCTGCTAAGTGATTTTGCAAATTTCATTTATAATCCTCGCCCTACAATTACCTAAGTACTGTTTCTGCAGGTTAACCTGTATGCTACGCTCAGTCATATACCTTTCAAAGTTACTAATGCAACTGCCAAAGAGGGACAGTGTCAATATCATTGTCTTCATTAGAAGGACGGCTGCCCCACACTGTGAGAACACTGCTGTTCCTAACAGTAGTTTACTTTTAGAGGGATGTGAGAATTAGTTTGACCTTAATTCCAGATGTGCATGCCTCAAAAGAAAAATCCCATTCTCCTTCCTTTTGGGGAGCACTTTTGGTGGCACCAAGGCTGGTGTGGGGTAGTGGAGAGAGCACTGAGCTTAGAGTCACAACCAGATGAAACTGCTCTGGTCTTCACTAGCTGTGTGACTTGGGCAAGCAGCTTGCAGTCTCTGAGCCTCTGAGATCCCTGATGGACGAGGAGAACAATGACCCCCTCCCCAGGCTGTGCTGAGAGAGGGAATTGATCTTGGATATGAAAATGCTGCCCTGGCACAGAGGTAGGAGCTGAGCAACACTGCTGGATGAATAAACACATGTAATGCAGGGTGAACAGAACATTTCATCTGCAACAGCTGAAGGCACAGCTTACCTATGCCCATGGAAAGAACTGCGTGGAAAATTCATTTGTTGCATTTTTGCCAGGTTGATGTTTGCAAAGCAGGGCACTCTTCTCCACATTTCCCCAAAACCAATCAGAGGGAGACTCCACATTGTTTCCATCTCCTCCCCTCAAACAATTATCAAAGCCATGTAGAACAAACGGCTGTCTGCCAACTGGTAGAGGCAAAGCAGCCAATAATCTGGACAGGGGTGGCAAACTGCTCCTGCAGTTTAACCCTGCCTGACTCTCCCAAGCACCAGACTGTGAAGCCTGGAGAACAGCCTGGGGGAGCTGAACAAATGCACAACACCTCATGCTGTCAAGCCAGAGGGGAAACTTACTGGGAAGAAGATGTAGGAAGAAGCCTGGTCAGCCCACGCCTAAAGCACACACCTGGGGAAATAAATTAGCTATTTCTATTGCACATCTACCCACAGCCTGGTCCAGATCTAAATCTCTTCCCCTCCCAGCAGTGCAGCGGCGGCAGCCGCAGGCTCCCTCAGCGCCATCTCTTCAGTCAGGCTCCTCTCCAGGTCCTCCAGCTCCTGGCGCACCTCCTCCATGAAGCTGCCAACTTCATACTCATCGGGGACCTCTCTGGGCAGCAGGATCTCCCCATCTTGGTCACGGCTCCCCACGAAGGTCGGCTTGCACACATACACCAGGCTGTGGCTGGGGAGAGATGGGACAAAGCCAGGCTCTAAACGTGGGAGCCTGCCCAGGCCGAAAGCTAAGGCGCCCTGACTCTGTGGGGCTCCCAGCCTCACCTTCATGCCCCCTCCTCTCCTGTCTCTTCAACAGAGACACTTCACTTCCCGTCAACATCTATCTTAAAATGATGGCTGAGGGAGGCTCACTTTGGGAGAATGTGCTGGTGGGGGGCAGCTTCCCCTCCTCCAGCGCAGGCCTGACCTCCTGTGACTCTCAGGCCCCGCAGCCCAGGGGCAGGACCTGAGTGCTATGTAGCAGCACCACAGCCCCTCAAAGACTGTGGCCCATTCGGGCCTCCAGGCAGGAGTCAGCCTGACTCTGGGGTGTAGTCTAGCCACATGCAGGGAGCCATGGACCTCTGTGGGAATAGGGAGGAAGAATTCCTTTTTTTAAAAAAAATTAATGTGTTTGGTAGAGACGGGATCTCCCTATGTTGCCCAGGCTGGTCTTGAACTCTTGGCCTCAAGCAATCCTCCTGCATTGGCCTCCCAAAGCTCTGGGATTACAGGTGTGAGCCACTGCACAGAGCCGTGGGGAATGGGAGTTCTGCCTGTCTGCCCAGCAGCCCTGGATTCTGTTGGGAGAGAAGACTGAGTAGAGGCTGCGGGGAGGACAGGGAGATGTGCCCTGAGAAGCTGGCCAGGCTTGAGCCTCATGCCTCATGGAGTCTCAGCAGCCTCAGACAGTGTGGGCTGCACCCTCCACCTTGGTGGCCACTCCTGGCCTCCCCGTGGCCTCTCTGCCAGCTCCTTTTTCTCTGCTTATCTGTCATTGTGACAGGTCTGGGGAGGGAGCCCAGGCTTTTCTCCCTCCATGTCCTCTCCATGGACCATCCACTCATGAAGCTTCAGCCACCAGCTAGATGAGCCCCAGATCTGTGCCTCCTGGGCAGCCTGGGCTCCAGACCCCTAGAACCGACTGCTGATTGGACCCTTCCATCTGCATGACCCAACGACCTCTCAAACCAATCCTAAAGGGAATCTACACCTCCCCCAGGGAAAACCTGCTCCTGCTCCTACGCCCCTGCTGGATGGCACCTCCTCAGCCCTTGGCTCCCTGAGAGTGAGGGTTAGGGGGCCTCACCTGTGGGGCTGGCAGAGGAGGCCACTGGCACAAGGGCATCGGTCCAAGGCTCCATCAGGCTCTAGCTCCCAGGTGATGAGGTCCAGAAGCCGGCTGGCGGGGTCATGGCAAAGCTCGCCCTCCACGGGCAGGGGTGTGCACACAGGGAACAGCAGGCCTGGAACCAGCCCAGAGTCACCCCTGTGTGCCCCGTGTAGGGTAGAAGGGCTCCAAAGGGAGGGGCAAAGAAATGGAGCATAACCTCCCACCTCCCACCCTCAACCCCAAAGTGCAGGCTAGTTTTGAAGATACGGAATGACAGGAAACAAGAATAGCAGCCTGGGCTCAGGAGGGAATGATTGGTAGGGCTGAAGCAGGGAGGACTGCCTGGAAGAGGTGGGCTTCTGCTGGATTTTGAGGGCCAGAAAGTCTGGAGAAATTAAGAGGGAGGCAAAGGCATTCAGGCACAGGGACAGCACCAGCAAAGGCCTGGGGTTGAGCTCAGTGGAAAATGTCAGGGCCGGTGAAATTCCCAAATAGGCCAAGAAGTAGTGGAGAGAAAAGGAGGGCAAGTAAGTTGGAGCTGCATGAGGCCTCACAAGACAGCCTAAGGAGTCTGAACATCGTGGGAGACAACAGGAGCTGCTGCAGGTCCCAGGGGAGCAACACCCAAAAAGCAGCCCTTTAGGAAGATCACGGAGGCGGCAGGTACAGGGAGGACTAGTGGGCTGGGGATGCAGAGCTGGGGAGGCGGCAAATGAGAATTTTTCAAAACCCTAGTGGGGGCGGAGAGAGCCTGAGCAGACCTCACCTGGGAGAGGCAGGACGGAAGATGGGAGTGGAAGCGGGTGATTCACAGGTAGAGGAACCTGGGAAATAAGGAGTGGTGGGAGGGAGGGGGCTGCTAGTCCCACCCCATTCCAGACTGGGCTTTTGCATCCTGAAGTCATTTAACTTTTCTGAGCATCAACAGGGGAAAAAAAAGAGGTGGTCTTCCCACTCCGGGCAGAGGCTGTGGGAGTGCAGCACACACTGATGAGCATTTGGGAGCCTATCCAAGAGGTGGGACGCGAAACCATGTGGTTGGCATGGACGTGGCTCCAGGAGGTCCAGTGTGGTGGAGCTTGGGACAGGGTTTTTCCTGCATCTGAGGGGAGGCCACTCACCTCTCTGGAAGGCACAGCACAGCCCCGGCTGGCAGTCCCTCTGGTTGTCACAGATGGTCCCATTGCTGCCCCTGGTGGCCATTTTGGTGCAGTGACCCCAGACACACAGCTGGTCTCCACAGCACTCACTGTCCCGGGTGCAGAGCTGCAGACAGGTGGAAAGAGCCTAGAGCCAGCGGCTTAGGGACTGGGGGCCTGCTGAGAGCCCAGCCTGAAGATACCACAGATAGGCCAACCTGCATCCTCCCATTGTAGAGACAGGCAGACCAGGCTGAGATTTCAGTGAAAGTCAGTGGGACAGAGGTGGGAGCTTGGCTGGCGAGACATGGGGGTCAGAACGCTGGAAAAATGGCACCGGGAGGACTCATGGATCTGAGTCTTTCTCCACAGCTTAAGATTTTGCAAAGAACAGCAGGGGGTCTTTGTGGTCCCCACAGACTTGTGCTGTTCCCTTTTTCCTTAGGTCCCTAGGTCCAGGCCCAAAGAGGCAAGGCCCAATGATGAGCCGATTAAACTAAGGCCCAAGCCAGCCCAAGATGAGGATGGCCTGTGGGTGCCAGGGTCCTGCAGCCACACAGGGCATGGCAGTTAGAGAGCAAAGTGAGGTCCCCACGGCTGTGCCCAGTGACGGTACCGAGTGGGGTTGGCTGCGAGGTGCAACAGCAGTGGCCTCACCACAGACAGTCGGGTAAGGTAATAAGAACTGCTTGACTTTCCAAGCTTATTAGCATGCTGTGTTATTGTCTGAATAAGGAAAAATGACTATGAAAAGTCTGTGAGTCCATGTGGCTTCGTCCAAAATGCCTGTTGGGTGAAGAGTCTCCTTTGCCCTGGCTCCACATTTCCCAATCTAACCTGCACTGGGGCAGTGCCCTGGCCTCTTCTTGCCCTGTCCCTCTGCCCTCTCTTATTGGCAGATTGGAGAAAGATCTGGTGGGTGGGGTGCAGGTCCAGAAGGAGAGCAGCTGCCGCTCTCCCTGCCTGGGGGCTGCCGGAATGTCTCTGTTTGTCTATTAGGATGGGTCATCCCCAGGGGAAGCAACAGGTGTAGGGACACCTCCTCTCCCTTCCCTCCCCTTCTCGAACTCCCGGCCTCAATAGATCCTTCTGCCTTGGTCTCCCCAAAGTGCTGGGATTACAGGTGTAGCCACGGTGCCTGGCCGTCCCTCCCCTTCTCTACCATCAATGACACAAACAACATGACCAGAGGACATGGGGTGGATGGGAGTGGCCCTGGGTCTGCAGATGGCTTCCTGTCATCCCAAACTGGAATGAGTTCCTTGTCCTCCAGGAGTCAGCCCTCTGGGGAGCCCTCTTGGGTCCTCCCCATCATGGTGAGGCTCTTCTGGGAAGCCCAGCTGAGAACGCTGGGGCCCCTGGCTTTCTCCCCCAGGTGCCTGAGACCCTGGTGCCACAGCCCCAGAGGCCCTGGCATACTCACCATCCTCTGGCCCCGGCATGGCTGGCAGGTGTACTGGAAGCTGGCAAACTGGCAGTACATGCTGGGCCCACAGTCCTCGTCGATGATGCACTCCTGGGGAAGGGCACAGGGAGCAGATGTGTCAATGGAGAGCAGAGCAGCAGGCCCACAGTGCCCAGGAAGGGCCAGGCCCGCTTCCATTCCCCATTCTTGACCCCACAGGCTCAGCAGGGTCAGGAAAGGCCTCCAGACTCTAGTCGCTCCTGATCCCTGCCTGGCTGCACTGCCCTTCAGCATCTCCATGCCTAGGAGGCTTGGCAGCCCAGAGCCTGGAGGATCCCACACCAAATTCACACAATCGCCATCTGTGCACAGTTCTCCCCCACCCACACCCAGGGCGGGAGCACAGGGACTCAGGGCTGGTCTTCCACACAGAACATATGGATTTAATAAAAAGTGCTAATGAGGTCCAGGCCCGCCCGACTGCACAGGAAAGGCTGGAAGACAGGCCCCAAGGGCTCTGCTGACTGTGAAGACTGGGAGGCAGCAGAGGGGGCATCGCTAGGGACCCTGCCAGAAAGCCACAGCCCTGCCCACAGAGAGCGCCCTCAGGGTCCTGGGTCTAGGGTCCCTGCAAGAGGGAAAGGCAGCTGCCAGCTTGGAAATGAATTAGAGGAGGGTGGCTGGACTCCAGCCCTCCCAGCCCAGGTGCTGTCTCCTCATGGCTGCCAGCTCTGCCTGGCTGGAGAAACAGGGAGAGAAGGAGTGAGGGGAATCTGTCCACCCCAAGGCCTGAGTCACAGAACAGGGAGCCATGGCCGAGGGCACTGTGACCTGCCATGGTCGCCGGTCACTGGCAGAAGCAGGGCTGCTTCAGCTCCTGGACCTGCTGTCAGGCTCAGGCCTACGAACCGGCAGCTTTACAGCAGGGGAAGGAGGGCAGGGGAGGAGGGAACATGATGACAGGAATGGCCATTGATCGCCCTTTTGAGGTATCAGGCTTGACGGCCCTGATCTTGTTCAGTGACTCCTCCCAGCAGGAGGCAGGTAGGGACTGCCTTCTCTATATTGCCAGCCGGGAAATGGAGGCAGAGAGGTCCCTCCAAGATAATGTGACTAGTTCAGGGTGGAGGGTCTCTTTCCACCACCAGCCCTTGAGCCAAGGGGGTTCAGGGCTCCACATGTAGCAGCCAGTGGTGAGAAGGACCCTCCTGAGGCCTGGTATTCTGGGGCCCAGCAGACCTTCTGGAAGGGTCTTGAGGAAGGGAAGGACCGGCTCTCCCCTCTGACCCAGAGCATCCTCCCCATCCTGAATGCAGGTGTGGAGCCCCACCTGGAAGAGCCTGGCCGGGCAGGCCTGGACCTCCGGCAGCTGCCTCCAGTCCCCTTCCAGGGGCTCTGCTGCTCTGATCAACACTGCAAGTGCTGGCGGCCCAGCAACCAGGGTGCTCCCTTGCCAAGCATTGATGCTTTTGTTTCAGTTACTTTCCCAGCACCCCTTAAATGTCAGGCATGATACCATCGCTGTTTTTACGGATAAGAAAACCGAGGCTCCGAGTAGGGTGAACGGCCGCCCAAGTGAAGGGACTGAGTCTGAGCCAGAGCCCCAGCGGCCAGAGAAGTCCCAACAGGGCTGGGAACAAATCACAGACGCGCTTTGTCTCAGCCCAGCACACGCTCTTGTGCACAGACACAACTCAGGCTGCTCAGCCGGAAGCCTCCCGACGTTCTTTCCAAAGCAGAATGGCAAGAAAATGGAGTGGGAGGGACGACATTTGGGAGAAAGGAAGGGCCAACAGGCACAGAATCCCTTCTCTGAACCAGCCATATTTTGAGGGACTGGGGACACAAAGGTGAATGTGAGGAGGCCTCTGCCCTTAAGAAATTCGTAATTCAATTGGAAAAAGAGAGAGAGAAAGAGCAACCCAGTGGCAAAGGAGACAAAGGGTATGAACGGACAACTTAGAATAACAGAAATTTGCCTCTTCAAATAGAAAGGCGTTCAACCTCACCAATGAAATCAATCAAGAAATGCAACTTAAAAGAGCATAACACCATTTTTTTCACTTAGAATGGAAGAAATTAGAAAGGTTGAATGTCTCCATGGTGGGTGGAATAACAGCACCCCCAAAGATGTTCACATCCTATTCCCCGGAACCTGTGGGTATGTTATATTACATAGGAAGGGGAAATTAGAGGCAGAGGGAATGCAGGTTGCTAATCAGCTGACCTGAAGGTAGGGAGCGCACTCTGGATTATCCAGGAGCACCTACCTGACGGAATCACAAGGGACTTTAAAAATGGAAAAGGGAATAGAGGAAGAGACAGTGTCAGAGTGATATCATGCCAGGTGTCACAGACACTCCATTGGCCATCCCTGGCTTTGTAGATGGAAGGGGGGCCAGGGGCCAAGGAGCAGAATCTCTCTTAGAGCCTCCAGAGAGGAATGCAGCCCTGCCCACTCTTTGCTTTTAGCCCAGTGGGACTTGTGTTGGACTTCTGACCTCCAGAACTGGAAAACAGTAAATTTGTGTTGTTTTAATCCAGTAAATGTGTGGTAATTTGTTACAGCATCAATAGGAAACTAATAAAATATTCAATGTTAGTTTCAGGAAATAGGCATTGCCAAATGCTTTGGGGTAATTAAAATTGAAGATTTTTTTTTTTTTTTTTTGCAGGCAATCCATCAGCATCTATCAAATAGTTAAATGTATATGTCCTTTGACCCAATCATTTCCCTTCCTGGTGACTACCCTCAGAAACACTTGTCCATATATGTAAATATCTGAGAACAAGTGTGTTTAAGGCTATATCGTTATATTATTTATAATCCAGAAATAACAAAAATGTCCAACCAGAGGGAACTGATTATTGTACAGTCATTTCACAGAAAAATCCCTCCATGCAGACATTAAAAAGAATGCAGTTGTTCTTTGCATAATGATTTCTAAAACAAGCAAGGGTTAGAACCATAAACAAAAGCAGGGAAATTTTGAAACCATAAGCTTTTGTAAAGCCCTTCTGTAAAGCAGAATAATACCACACTCATGCCTGTGCCCAGTACTGTGGCTGGAACATCATGGGCGCACAATAAATATGTGTTGAGTGGGTGAAAGCACTTGCATCTTACTGTGGCAAACAGGCCAACAAAATGCAGATCATTAGCAATGGTTTGAGAACTAGAGCAAAAAACATACATTCCATTAATTTGGCTTCTCATTCCCCCGAAAGGCCTTCGTAGACTTGCGATTTTCACTATACATTTCCTCTCCCAGATCTTTAATTAAAAATATGAGCTAAGATTCTTCTAGCATCAATTCCTATAAGACCCTGCTGTTTACAATTATCCATCAAGACGGGTGCATTTTCATCCTTAGGAATATCTTCCTTTCCCTAAACAGGCTCCTATGCATGACAAAGCATATTCCCTTCAAACTTAATTGTTTTTCTAGGTACGGAAAAAAAATTTTGGCATGGAACTTTGCCAAAAACCTTTGAAAAACCTAAATATACCAAAGCTACTGGTTTCCTTTGGGGTATCAGCAAGGAGTGCTGGTAGGTTAGTTCCACATGACTCCCCTCAAGAAAGCTTGAGGCTTTTGTTATAATCGAGCCCACCAGCTTGTCTAGTTGGATGTGCAACTGCCATTCCCAGCAGGAACACACTCTTTAAGAATTGTGGTCATACTAGAGACTTCCGGACTCCAAGGTGCACAAACTGAATCCTAGTTTTGCCACTTAACAGCTGTGAAACCTTGGGCTGCTGACTCTACCTCTATTAAAAACAAAGATGAAGGCAGGAGCTGTTTTGCAGGGCTGTTGTACAGAGTTCATGCTTGGTGAACGGTGGCCATAGCAACAGATAGCTATGCATCTGCTCCTCCACACATCCAATGCCTGATCCCGCTATGGTGCACCCCTGCCAGGGGGCCAGTCTGTGAGCAGAAAGGAAGGTCTAAATCAACAGGGCCTTAAGGCATCCACCAAAGCTTGACATCTCTGTCCTGGTCAGCACTCGGGGATCAAACATCTAGTCCTGACTTATCTACATCCTGAGGGTGTCAAACAGGTGGGAAGTGGCCTGTATGTCCACCCCAGGCAAGTCCTGGGGCAGAGTGACCTTTTGTTGTACAAAGGCCAGGCTCTCCATCCAGTAAAGCTGTTTGTATTGAGTCTCTCCTGAAGACCGCTAGCAGTAGGGGCTGGCCTCACCTTTCCCAGTGTTTGTTAGACCTGAGGAAGAGGTCAGGCCCTCTACCCTTAGTAGAACTGAGTGGGTGGGTGGAGAGGACATGTGTCAGTGCCCTCCAAGCACAGACAGGCCCTGAGCTGAGAAATCCAGGTTTTTTTCTTTTCCATAATTCTAATTGCTCTTAGCTGTGCTCAAGGGTTCTGTCCACATTTGAGCCAAGGTGTTAAAGGGGCCTCAGCACCCAACTGGGCTCTGGATGGCTGAGAAGCTGAAATCAGAAATAAGAGGCCTGGGAGGGAAGGCGGGGGCTCTGGGCTTTTTAAAGGGGCCTCAGCACCCAACTGGGCTCTGGATGGCTGAGAAGCTGAGATCAGAAATAAGAGGCCTGGGAGGGAAGGCAGGGGCTCTGGGCTTGGGGTCTTGTTTTAGTAAGGAATGAGTACCTTGCAGGGCCTCTATCTACCTCTTAGCCCTGGGACCAGAAGAGGGACTCCATCCTGAAGTGAAAGGCACATCAAAAAGCACTTCAAAGGCTATGCCTGCAATCCATCACATGCAGGCACAGAGCCCTGGCCAGATAGGACCACTAGTGCCCGCCACCTGGCACAATTTCTCTCTAGTCTCCTTGACATAGTCCTTATCCCTACTTCACAGATGTGGAAACTGAGACTTAAGGATAGAATCTGCCCAGAGGTCACCCAGCTTGACTGGACTGGAGCCGACAGACACTTTTCATTTCCTGCTGGGGAGATCACCATTTCTCTCTCCTCTTCTTCAGTCACAACTTAGTAGCACCTGCCCGGGACAGGGCTCTGGGCCCCATGCATCCCCAGAGACAGAAGGCAGGAACTCACGGTCAAGGCCATAGCCACTGAGCGTCTGGGCCCAAATGTCATATGGCTGGAAGACAGCACCCTGCTGCATGGACTTCAGCAGCTCCTCTCCAGTCCTGGCCACTCCTGTTTGCCCCCACTCCTCCCTCCCATCCTGCTGGGGGAATCTGACAAACAGCCCAGAAGCTGGCCATGGGGAATGCAGTCATTCAGAGGATGGCTTCTTTGTTGTCCCGAGGAGGGAACTATATTTAGAAAGCTCAGAAGCTGGCGGGAGCGAGGGCTGACCGGGAACACAGCATAGATTTGGCAGGAATGTCAGGCTGGAAGCAGCCCCGGTGCTTTGACACTATCATGAAATAGTGGAAAATGGCAAAGGAGCCATTCAGAGTCTTTGATTTTCCAGTTTAGAGTTGATCAGAGGAGAGAGGCTCTGAGTGAGCAGAAGTCAAAACTTGGAGGAGGGAGAGGACAACAATGAGTCCCTGGAGGCTTTCCCAGAGTCTGTGTGGGGCCCGCAGAGGCACCGCTTCTTTGGGACCCTTCTGATGCTGCATCTCATTCCTCATACTGGCTGGGCACTTGGATTTCCCACACTTCTCAGGAATCCCAGACATTCTTGTTCACCGGAGGCCCAAAGGAAGAGGCTGCTGGGGATGGATGCCTCCAGGGCCAGGGCCTTCCCCAAGCTCCTCTCAAGCCCATGGCTCTGGAGAGAACATCTTCAGGGCAAGAAGTGAGGGTCAACTGCATGCAGAATGGAGGCCCAGGACCTCCACCAATAGGATGCACTTGTCCTCAGAGCTCTGCACACTGTGCAGGAGGAGAGGACAAGAGTGAAGTTTAGAAAGCGCCAACCAGTTGCCTGCACATCCTTCAGGCTTTAAGTATAGTATGCCTCTCGGATCCTCACAGCCACCCTTTGAGGTCAGTCACCATCTTAGTCCATTTTTGCTGCTATAGCAGAATACCTGAGACTGGGTAATTTATAATGAACAGAAATTTATTGGCTCATGGTTCTGCAGGCTGGCAAGTCCAAGATTGAGGAGCCAGCATCTGGTGAGGGCCTTCTTGCTACATCATCCCCTGGCAGAAAGTGAAAGGGCCACAAGAAAGGGCAAGAGAAAAGGGGACCAAACTTGCCCTTTTATAAGAAACCAACTCCCACAATAATGGCATTAATCCATTTATGACTGTGGAGCCCTCAGGATCTAAATACCCCTTAAAGGTCTCACCTCTTAATACTGTTAAAATGGAAATTGAATTTCAACATGAGTTCTGGAGCAGTCTCTGACTCTAATTCCCCCAGCACGTGCTTGACTCGCAGCTGCCATTCACTAAAAGAATAACAGAAAGTTAGCTGGGCATGGTGACATGCACCTGTGATTCCAGCCACTTGGGAGGCTGAGGTGGGAGGATCGCTTGAGCCTGGGAGGCAGAGGTTGCAGTGAGCCAAGATCGCACCACTGCACTCCAACCTGAGTCAGACAGTGGACCCCATCTTGAAAAAAAAAAGAATAACAGAAAGAACGAACTGACCAGTAGATGAACCACTGGTCATAGAGCCTTAGAGCCTAATGGTGTTGATGGAAGAAAAGCTCAGATTTACACACACATTCATAAGAGCACACATCCTTCCCTCACAGCTCTCAGAAGGAAACAATCCTGTTGACATCTTGATTTCAGACTTCCAGCCTCCAGAACCGTGACAGAATAGATTCCTGTTAAGTCGTCCTGTTTGGGGTACTTTGTGATGGCAGCCCTAGCAAACTAATACATGCACCTTCCCCCGATACAAGCCAGCAGCCCCAGTCTCCTCTGTTTCGGATCTTCCACGCACAGTCAGCTCTGTTCCTAAGCCTTCAGCATCTTATTGCTAGAAGGTGACAGAGGGGTGGTCAGTGGGGAGGTGCTGGTACATTCCAAAGGATGTGGAGCCACAGGGACCAGAACAGCGTCTCTTGGCTGAGCCAGGCTCTGGCACTCCAGCCCCGTACACATTCTAGTCACTGAAGGTTTGGGTGGGGCATGTTATCTGTGGATTACCATTTCCTGGCACCCTGGGGGTGGTGTGGTCATGCCAGGCCCTGAGTGCTCCCAGGATGAACAGATGGTATAATTTGTGAGATAAACAAATAATCCTCTCCTGGATGTGGGGCTGTTCCCAGAACCCACGGGTGGGGAGGCAGCTTGGCCCAGGCACCCTCCTGAGCAGAGGTGGTCCTCTGGTAAAGAGTCAGCAGTGTGGGTGAAGTGGCCAAGGTCCTGGTTCACCCAGGGCTAGGGGTATCCTGGGATGCAGGACTTGCAGTGCCAACACTGGGAGAGTCCAGGCACAGTTCCCCATTCCCCACTGGGCCCCCACACTCCCCTCTACAGGCTCTGTCGCTGCACTTGCCATAATGCTGGGTCACAAGTCAAGACCATATGGCACAAGTGCATCTGGGGCCATGTAGGGCTGAGACAGGCTTTTGCGCCCACACCTCGGTTCTAATACACGTTCACTTACAAGCTAGGTGATCTTGGCCTAATTACTGAGTCTCTCTGGGTCTTATCTGTAAAGTGGGGAACCTCATGAAGTTACTGGACAGATTAAAGGAGATAACAGATGCAACAGTGCTTAGTGGCCTCCACCCACTCTACCCCTAGCGTGGATCTCTATTTGCAGTGCTTAACTCACGGCAGGAGCTCAAAGGATGGCCTCTCCTGAGCTTAAGTGTGGGCCAATGGG
Source organism: Homo sapiens (assembly GCF_000001405.40). Classification (NCBI taxonomy): domain Eukaryota; kingdom Metazoa; phylum Chordata; class Mammalia; order Primates; family Hominidae; genus Homo; species Homo sapiens. Next base: position 11,976,130 of record NC_000011.10, read on the forward strand.
TCTTGTTTGTTAATGAATACATTTCTACTGAAAAGGCCCAGAACATCAGGCTTGAGCCAGTGCCCTTCCCATTACCAACAGCACAACTTCCTGCTTCATCCTAGAGCCCTCTGCTCTGGAGGGGAAGACAAGAAGAAGGAGGACAGTTGCAATGGAACCAAGAGAGGGCCCAGGATGGGCCAACTACCAACAAGGACAAGGAGGCTGCACGGAACAAGAAAAAACAGACACAATTCGATCACCCCTGGGGGCTAGACCCCTGAGCATCCATCACCTCAGCTCGTCCTCACACTATCCTGTCTTCCACAGTAAGCAAGAGAAGCCCCATTTGACAGATGAGGAAACTGAGACAGTACAATGAAGTCACTTGCCAAAATCAGAAGTGGCAGAGCTACACTCAAGCCAAGTTCTGCTCAACTGCAACCCAGTGCTCTGTGGAGCTCTCTCTGGGAGTGGTTGGGCTGGGTCGGGGCCCCAGCCAGGGGGCAGGAGGTGGCAGTGTGAGGCAGGAGGGAACTCTGGAACTCTCAGGGAGGTGGAGCACTGCCAGCTGTGCCTGCTGCAGGAGGGCAGGGTCCACAAGGCTGGCCCTGGCACAAGGTGACTGGAGGATTAGCAACAGTGCCCTGAGGAAGAGCAGCAGGAAGCTTCCCTTTTATCCTACAGGATTCCCAAGTCAGGTTTTCCCCATTCCTGAGAGTCCTTTTTTGACCTTAAAACCAGGCCAGTCGCAGGAGCCTGTAAGATGCACATTTGTCTGGAACGCAGCAGGGCGCCTCCAGTCTTTCCTGGATGCTACACTGGAAACTCTCAGCCAGCTCAGGGGGTGGGGGCCCCAAACCTCACTGAGGGGCTCTAGCCTGACCCGCTGCAGAGACTGCCCTGTGGAAAAACCCAGGCAGGAGCCAGGAGCCCATCAGTGCCAGCTATTATTATTCTAAAGTGCCAATGTCTGCAAAGGCCTGGCTCGCCTGGGGCTGCTCCCACCAATTTTCTTCCCCCAAGTCACACTGCCCAGGAAAGAGGAAAATGCACCCCCGAGCAGAGCTTGGCACCCCAGGGTATGGAGAACACTGCTCCTAACCCTTTAGTGCCTGTCATGCCTTCCTTAATCAGGAAAGAGTCCTGGAGTTCTCTCTCTCCTCCTATCCTCCCTCTTCTCCTTCCAATATATACAGACAGCTCCCACCTCCAGAGCTCCTCTGGGAGCCTTCTCTCTTTGTCGGTCCCTGGAAAAGCTTGTTCCTTCCTCCAGGAATCTTGTCCTGCTGCCAGGCCACCGAGAGCCAGCCCTCCACACACAGAGCCTCCCAACATTCTTTCAGCCTGAGTGGCATTTCCTCTGGAGAAGTTAGACGCATATTTAACTCCAAAGGAAGCAGCTTGTCTCTACTCATCCAAGTGCCTGTCATCCCACCTGGGTTGGCAGCCGTTGGGAGAGCCCTCTCTACCCACTCCCCCCAACACTTCTCCGGGGACTTAGGGTCTCCACAGCCCCGACCACCTATCCAAAGGCACGCTGTGTGGGTGGAGCCACTGAGCCTGGCCGGGGTCTATTCCCCAGACACACCGAGTCCACAGTTAGCACTCCATATGCAGAAGATCAGGAGGCTGATGGGCATTTCAGGCCCAAATGCACTGACAAGTCCAGCAGCACTTCCAGGTCTCCCAGACCCGCTGCCTCCTCCATGGCTCCTTATTCCACTTGCATGGGACCTCTTTGTTTAGGGGCCTCAAAGTGGGGAACCTCATGAGGTTATTGGACAGATTAAAGGAGATTTAGCCAAATTTAGCAAATAATTTAGCTGAATTTTATTTGTCAGATTTAGCAAATAAAATTATAGGATGCCCAGCCATAGTTGAATCTCAGATAAACAATGAATAATATTTTCATACAGTATGCCTCAATTATTACATGGGACACACTCATACCAAAAATTATTTTAGATTCTATAGGGTGTCTTGTATTTTATGTGCCAATCCGATCAATGTGAAGATTCAACAGGTGCATTTCTTGGAAGAGAGAAAGTGGGGTTGGCCTTGAGCAGGAGAAGGTTGAGAAGGAAGGGCTGGTGGCCACAGAAAGAGAGGTGGCCTCAAAGACATCCATGAAGATAAGCCAACAAGGACATCAGGGTGCCTGCTCCTGACCCCACTCCAGGGAGGAGGCTGGGAAGCACTGCCCTTCCTCCCCGTACCCACTCACGACCCCAGATTCTGGCCTGTGCTTCAGGGGCTTTGTGAGCATGTGCAGCTTTTCTTCTTCTTCTTCCTCTTCCTCTTCTTCTTCCTCTTCCTCTTCTTCTTCCTCTTCCTCTTCTTCTTCCTCTCCTTCCTCCACTTCTTCTTTTTCTTCCTCTTCTTCTTCTTCTTTCTTCTTTCTTCTTTTTTTTATCGTTTTGTTTGGTTTTGTTTTTAACTTTTTTTTGTAGAGATGGGGTCTCTCTATATGTTGCCCAAGCTGGCCTTGAATTCCTGGCTTCAAGTGATCCTCCCACCTTGGCCTCCCAAAGTGATGGGATTATAGGTGTGAGCAACCATGCTCAGGTGCAGCTTCTGTACTTGGAGAAAAGCCTCTGGATTGTGTATGATAACAGGGGTTGTCATGAAACAATCATAGCCATAATGGCCGATATTTATATTGCTTCCTAGATATTATTCCCAGAGCTGTCCTGCATCCTAAGCATTAACTCACATGATCTCCAAAACACTCCACTGAGAGAGGGCTGTTACTATTCCTTTCTATTTTACAGATGAGGAAATGGAGGCACAGAAAGGCTGAGTAACTTGCCAAAGTCACACAGCTAGTGAGTGCTGGAGCTGGGATGTGAAGCAGCAGCTGGCTCTCCTGCTAGGTCAGGCAGCAGATGGGGTCCGGGATCCAAAAAGATGGCCAGGCTGAGTATCCCACGGTAACAAGAGCAGCTACAGAGGTGGGGAACAGGTTCACCGACGCAAGGAAAGGCATGAATCACAACAGCGAGAACCTCAGACTCTCCCCAGCCTGACTTTTCCCATCCATTCAGGGGCCTTGGCCTTTGTTTCCCAACCCGCAGGGAGCTCCAACTGTCCTACCCTTGTGTCAGGAAATGGAGGCTGGGTGGGGAAGCCTTGGCAGGAGCAGCCCCCTGACAGCTGCTGCTGTATCTGCTCAGGGCCCACAGGCCTTTCAGCTGCTCCAAACTCCAGGCTGCAAACCCCGCGGGACCTACAGCGTCTGGATGCAGAGCAGGAGAGCCAGCCCAGGTCAGTGTGAAGTCCCCCATGTGACTCCGGGAGAAATGCTTCCGGTCACAGGCGGGTAGCCAAGTTCTCACCAGGTTCTCAGGAACTGAATCCGGATGTGGATCCCAGGAGATGAGTGCCAGAGAGAAAGGAAGCTGGCTTCACTCCTAACTCTACCCTCCTGAGAAGTCTCTATTCCTGCCCAGCTCCTGCTAAGGCCAGGAAGTTGGTGAGGAGGGACTCTGGTGGTTTGGGGCTCACTGTCCTGGGGTTTCCTCACAGGCAGAGAAGGGCCTTTGCTACCCTCACAGATGCTCCCACCAAGTCATACCTCATCCTATGCACAATGTGGCAGCAAGGAGGCCAGCGTCCAGCCACCAGCCTGCCTCCCTCTCCACCAGACTCCTTTCTGCAGCTCCAGTTATCTGCCTAAAACACAAACTTGATTATGCACGTCCCTGATCATAATTGTTCAGAAAGCTGCTCCAGCCGAGGGGCCCTGGAGAAGGCTGAGGGTTGCACAAATTCAGTCAACACATAATCGGAGGAGACAGCCTGCCTTCCAGGCCCTGGGAACAGTCAGCCCGCATCTGTGATTCTGACATCATAAAAGAATGTGACAAGGAGAGAGGGAGTGAACAAAAGGTGTGTCCCAGTGACCCGGGGAGAGGGAGGCCTGGAGCTCTGTGGCAGCTCTCTGCTCTGACTACACCAGGCACCCGGGAACCCATGACTTCCCTTCAACAATCTCAAGCTCCCTCGGCTCTAATTCTCACTCACCCAGCAACCTACAGAAAACCAAACTTGCCCCCCAGGACCCTGACACCACATAGGGAGCATCCCGGATGGGGGTCCCCACATGGAAAGAGATGTTCCTCAACCCTGCAAATTAATAGCCTGTGCTTTTGGTTTACACATTAGTGAGGTCAGAATTTAGTTAGCAAGATTGCTGAGCAGGTCCGGTCTCTGAATCTGCAGGGCTTACGGGTTCTGGACTCTCACAGACTGACCAAGGTCATGAGTTCCTGTAAGACTGTCACCCTGAGCACATTCTACCTCACAACTGACTGTCTCCACCTACTCCAGCAACCATGACCTGGAGTCCAAACTGCATGGTATACAGAGCTCTTATTGGTCAGCTCCCAACCTGTTTTCCAGCCTGATTTTTCTGACCTCCCTAGGACCCAGATTTTTGGCCCATGCTTTTAGAATGCCCTTACCTCCCTTATCTGTCAATCAATCTTTAGGGAGCAGCACAGATGTCTCCTCCTCAAGGAAGCCTTCCCAGACTCTCCCACTGGGCAACTAGCGCCTCTCTCCTGGGTGCTCCCCAGTCCTGAGTACCCACCCCAGTTGGGTACTCAGGGCTGGAGTGATGAAGAGAGGAATAGTTCAGGGTTCAAGGACCAACAGGTGGTTATAAGACATGCCAAGACTCATACTGGGAAAGGCAAGATTCAGATGGGAGGGCTGTAAGTGCCCACAGTTGGCTTTTCTCTCTGAGGGGTGGTCCTGTCCAGGCGACCCATGGCTGGTTGGTCACTGGTGTTTCCAGGCAACCCAAGGAGGGAAATGCCTCAGTCCCTAAAGCCCCCAAGACCTGCACTGAAATCACTGGCCTCTTCTCCACCCAGAGCACTCACAGCTTCTTCGACCAAGGGACTGCTTCCAGAAACAGAAAATAGCAGGGGGCTGGAAGGCAGCATGCCCAGCCCTCAATCATACCGTCCTCATCCTAGCAGAGCACTTGGCTCTAATGACTCACTTCTAATGAACTAACTGTGGAGGAAGTAATGCTGCATAACTTCACAGCTGGGTTCTAAGAGGCAACATAGCTTCCATTTGGCTCTTTCCCTTGTCAGGTGCCTGCCCTTTGAACCAAGCCACCATATTGTGAGGAAGTCCAGGCTACATGGGGAGGCCAACAGCACTGCCTAGGGTTCCAGGCAACAGCCAGGAGCTTGGGTGAAAAGAGCCTCTAGATGGCTCCAGCGCTGGTCATTGAGTACCCTGGCTTCAAGTCAGAGGTCTCAGGCATTACGGAGCAGAGACAAACCATCCCCATGGTACCTGTCCAAGTTCCTAACCCACAGAATCCAGGAACATAATAAACGGTTGTTTTATACTGCTAAGTTTGGGTAACAGATGCCCAGAACACGGTGCATCCAAACTCACCCTCTGCCTTGCCAGCCTTCCTGCTGGGCACTTTGAAGGTGATGATCTCAGAGCTTGGCAGGTATCACCAATGCTTACGGGGCTGGGGGTGGGGCTGCTCCCCTGCAGCAAGGCTAACCAGAAGCATAATCATGGTGGGGTTTGTGCCCTCAGCAATCACACACAGCCGTCTAGAGAAAAAAGGCCTGTCTCATATCCCTCTGCCTTAGCCTTCTCTCTATGCCTCCACTTTATAGCCCCATGACTGATGTCAGCAACTTTTCCATCTCTACTTTGACCCTGCCTGGCCTTGGCTAGGACCCCTGGGCCTTCTTGGTTGCTCTCCAGGCCAAACAGGTTTATATTATCATCCATGGCTAGGCAGCTCCCCCACCCCCAGCAGAGTTAGCATTCCTATGAACCTGAGGACTTTTCATAAGATATCTGTCCTTGTGGATGTCCTGGTCTCTGGATCAGCTGCTGCAGGTGCTCCCCATGGTCCTGGTTGGTCTCTGAGGAAAGCACCACCCCCATTCCCAGCATTGCCCCCGGTGATGCTGGAAGTCCATGGTGAGGGCCTCTTTTAAAAAATAAGCGTTCTGGGCAATGAACAGCAGACATCTGGAGCTGCCTCTGGGGAGTGCTGTGGGCGCTCCAGGGTAGTCGGAGTCACGGGGGCTCCCTAATCACCATGTGTCAGGGGCGTGGGGACAGTCCTCCTGAAAGAAACACTGGAGGAGAGAGGTCTGGGGAATCATAACAAGCCCTCCTAGGGGAGATGACAGGCCCTGCTGGGTAAAGGGTCTGGGTGACACGTCAGGTCTCCTAGGAGTTGGCAAGTTGGCAGAAACATGTCCCACCAGCTTCCCCGTGGCGCTGTCTGAAGGGTGGTACCTGCTCTACCCCAGCCTCTCCAGACACTCAGCTACCTCCACAAATCTCCATCATCTTTTCCTCCTTTTCTGGCTTCAGGGTGCAAATAGCACTCTGGCTCATGCTTCATCCATATCCTGCATCTCCTAGTCTCCAGTCTCAGCCACTTTTTGGGACACACCAGAATTGGCGGACCTCTCAGAGCTGACATCTGCCCCAGGCTAATAGTGTTCAGCCGTGGAGGGTAGCAGCGCCCGGCCGTGGCCACAGAGTTCTGGGCCTTCCCGCTTCCATGGGCCAGGGAGAGCACAGCCAGTCCTCGGGCCACAAGTGAGGACGATGTCCCGCCACAACCATGGTGAGCAGGGTCCATACAGGGCCTCCTGGGGTGGCCAGAGCTTGTATCTCTTCCCTCAGAAAACTCCTCTGGAGGCCCTAATGAAATCCCCTTTCTCTCAAACACGGCAATTAATGGGATTAAGTTTAGAGTGAATCTCATGATTTACCTGCACCCAGATAAGCCTAGGACTGTTCACGGGATTGGTTGTGCTATTCCTTCATTCATGCAAGGGAAGGAATGATGCAGGGGATGAGGGCTAGGAATTGGGCAGGATTCAGGGACAGGGTGGAAGCGCATGCTTCTGTTTTTCAGTAATTACAAAAAGCCAAGCAGGCTCTGATAGTGTCCTCACTGCCCAGCCTCATTTTGATCACATTCAGGACACTACCCCGTCCTTGGGGATGGATAGAGTTTCTCCAGATTGACTCAATTGGTTTCTTGTTTGCCCTTTTTAGATGAGTCAGTGAGCTGACTTGGCCTAGCTCAGTCTCTTAAATTTGGTTTTCCTTTGCCTTGGGAAGAAAGTAATAAATGTGCCAAGTCCCTCCACACTCTCAGCACTTGGAGATAGCACCTATGCAAGAGCTGGTTCCTCAGGAGACAGTGCTTCTGAGACACAGTCCCTAGGCACATGGACTTGAGAGAACTGGGAGGTGACAAAAACTGCATCATATTTTGTATTTTCTCTGTCCATCCCAAAGGCTTAGGGCTGGAGCCTTCGGTGGGGCAGGTGAAATCTCTCAAGAAGAACAAGGTTCCAGGGGCTGTGACCTGTAATCCCTCCTGACATATCACAAGTCTCCACTGGATGTCATGTCTGCATCCTCCAGCTATGCCATGGGTAAGACAGGCTGCAGAGGGAGAAGGGAGTCAGAGGATGCTTCACGCAGCAGTTCAGGCTGCCAAGCTGCAGCCACAGGACAGAGGCCTTCTCCACCGAAGATCAGCCTTGGCTGCAGTTGTGGGCAGCAGGAGTCAGTGCAGGCCCCTATCTGGGCTACGCTGCTGTCAAATGGTCCATCTGGGAGATGCCCCAGGATGAGCTGGGCACTCCTACATCTGAGACAGAGCCCAGGCCCAGCATTTTCCAGACCAACCCCCGACCCAATGCCTATACAACAATGCTGGTAATCAGAATCTTCTCAACCTTCAGTTTCTTCAAAATGGCTCTTCATAGTCTTTAGGATTCAAACCACCTGAATGGGGAAGCTGGCATGATTCGAGGAACCTCAAGGTTAAGTCTTATCTACAATGGTGGGGATGTCACTCCAATGAAGGCAACAGACAGATCCTTCTACAGCCTCCCTGCTGCCCACTAGGCCATGTCTGTCTCTGTGACGAGGAGTGACTAGGAGGTCCCAGTGTGGACACTGGCCTTTTTAAAATAAGGGGTCTTAACTTTTTTTGTACTAGGGACCCCTTTAACACCTAGATGAAGCCTGTTCTCCTGTTCTCAGTATAACAGAGTTAGATGAATAAAGGTAAACATACAGGATTACAAAGAAAAATGGTTGTGTTGAAGTCGAGTTATCAAAATATTTTGAGAGACAGTATTTTATGGGCTTCTTATGAACACACTGGATAGCAAGACCTATCGGCAACTCTGACAACTCTCTTCATCTCTAAGTGCTGAGCATAAATGCTATTTTAAGATATGTATAACAACAGTAAGAGAAAATAAAAATATTTGTGATTGCTATTGGTACGAAGTACTGCAAATATTGTGGTTTGTTGTCCACATTTCAGATTAAAGGAAGTGCTCAATTTAATTTAAAAGTAAGTGAAAATAAAAACGCATTACTTTTCCCATGAGTTGTATCCAGATTAAGAAAATAATTCTGCTGTATGCCCAAGCTGAACAACCACTGCTTCAGTGTCCCTAATCCATTGCCCTCTTTATAAATTCAATTCAAAGAATTTGCTCAATTTCCTTTAAAAAAAAAAAAAAAAAGAAAAAGTGAAGAAAATCTAAAGCAGAACAAAACAGAAACCAGTTTGTTTTCCCCTGGGCAGAAAAAAAGTCACTTCCCCAGCCCCCTGGCAGGGCTGCTGGGTGGGGGACGGCGCCTGGGATTCCCTGCTGAGCCTCTAAGGAGCGTCCAATCTCCTGCCTTCCAGTCTCTTCCCTGCCCTGAGGAATTATTCTTTCTTTTGCCCCCAACACTACCCACAAAGTTCTTCCACAGTGAGGACGGAAAGGGGTCTCCCAGAATTTTTTAACTTTTCAAGTTGAATCGTTTATGCTAATGAGCCTGGGAAAAACTTTAATGTTTCAGTGGTGGAAAAACATATGCTTTGACCTCATTTTGCTCACAAGAGGCCACGTCAAATTTTGCTTCACTTTTGTGGGATGGCAAGAAACGTGGAACTCCAGCTCCAAGGAGGAGGCCATGTGCAGATGGTCTAGGGAAGGTGGTCTGGGCACACCCAAGTTTCCTGCCCCAGAAACCCTGGAGCCGCCCATCCTCATAATGGTCTTGGTGCTTCCGGCTGGGGCTAGGAGATTCCTTTGTGCTCCAGCACCAAGGAGCCCGGCCACACCACCAGGGTTGCCCCGGCTCTCCAAGCCAAGACTCAGACAAAAGGCTCTAAAATGACCCGCTCCCCCGACAGTGAGCTCCCCAAGCTCTCTTCCTCAGTTCTTGCTGGGCAAGCCTGGGTAAGTCATTTAACTTCATTGGGTTGCAGTTTCCTCATCTGTAAAATGGGCATGATAAAACCTAACCAGTTATGTTGTCAGAAAGATTAAGGGTGATAAGTATGACCACATTTCATGGCATGTACCAGACATTCCATTACTATTAGTGACCTTCCCACCATCTGATCATTTTGCAAGGCAGTGTTCAGTGCACTAGAAGGAGTCTAGGCTTTGGAGTAAGACAGACTTATTTGGAAATAATTGTAAATCCCAACTCTGCCACTGACTAGCTGGGTGACCTTGGCAAGTCACTCTGAGCTTTTCACTCCTTATCTTTAACTCAGGGCTAGTACACTGTGTTGTAGGTGGGTTTGGTAAGAGTGAAGGAAAGTAGCTCATATGAAATGGTCACACAGCATCTGTGTATGTGCTTAATGAATATTTGTTCTCTTTCCTTCCTCTCACCTTCCAAATCCCAGCAAAACCATGGGGATGCGGGGAGAGGAGAGCAGCTCTGCACAAGGCAAGCACTGAGTATGACTTCTGGCCTTTGATTTGAACTTTCTGCTACAGGATGTATGTTCTTTCTGGGGAAGGAGGTCCCCATAGATTTAATCAAAAAGGGAGGACCCTGGAAACAATGGAAAAAGCAAAGGCTACTAGGAATCTCCTGCTCGTGGGGCTGAGCCTAAGTTCTGCTTGCCAGGCATGAGAAGGATGGAATCTGCTGGCCTCTGCCCACCCCAGCCACCCGGGTACCCCTGGCCTGGAGGGCAGGCCCCTCCGCCATCTTCAAGCCAGGGTGTTTTTCTATCCTAGCCACTACTCTTTTGTTCCTGCCTCCTTTCTGGGAGGCCCTGAATTATGAGACTATGGAAAATTCAGGCTGTTTTCCCTGTGGCTGTATTTTCCACATCGCATCACTGAAATGTGTCAATGGCCAACCTCTTCAGACACGGGAGCATGCCACCCACTTAAAATGCCCCTCTACTGGTTTAGAATGTTCCTTTTCAGCAGCAGCAAGTCTGACACCCCATCAGTGGTGAGAACAAAAGAAAGTAGGTGTGAGATTCCACAGTTTCCTAACCATCTTCCACTGATATCTTCTCCCCTGAGCCCAAGGAGCTCTGCCATCCCTGGGAGAGGAAAACCATACAGTTGTCCTTTTGTGATGTTGGTTTTCCATCTGAGGCCTTTGGAAGGGGGAGGGGCTCAATGACTCTTGATGTTAATGACACAAGCTGTAACCCGGGAATGGAAGGCTGGGGATCAAAACAACTCAACATTATGGCTGCAAACCACCATGACTTTATCAGAAATATATCTTTTAATTGAAATGGCCAAAATTTACAACTGGGTTCATATTCCAGTTCTACCATTTTACCGTCTGCCATGACTTGCGGAATTTAACTTCTTTAAACTCCAGTGCCCTCATCTATAAAATAATATTATATCTACTTCATAGTGTTTTAAGAATTAGAAAACACGTAAAACACTGGGTATACAGCCCAGCAAACAGTAGGTGTCCAACAATGTAGATGAATGAACAAAGGCAAGAAAAACAGAGGTTCATTTTTTAAACAAATCAGACTCATTTACATACTTACAGCTCTTTACAGAATCTTACCTTCAAGGAATTTTACTTCCGTTTCTATTCCCCAATTTGCAACTAGGTCACACAGCTTTCATCTACTAAGTATGTATTCAACTACTCAACCCCTATCCATGTCCAGCACAGACACAGGGATACGGAGGTGGCACACAACAGGTGAAATCCCTGCCTCCCCAGAGTTCAGTCTTCAGACAATCCTTTATGAACTTCTAAATTTTTTCCCTGGGCCTGAGAACACCCTTTCCCAGCTGGTCTTCACCATCTTTCTCAGCATTAGGTGGCCCATCCTCTCAATTATTAATTTTTTGAGATATGATAAAAACAAGGGCACCAAGACCCTGCTTCCTGAAAAAGGAAATTCCATGTCCACCATGCACTAAAAACTGAACTGAACTGGAAATAAGTTTCCAGATCTGATGGCTGCATGATTTGGAGAAAACTACATCCCTCCCATCTCTGATTTCTCATCTGTAAAACAGGAGGTTTGGTCTGAAGCAGGGGTGGAACACAGGTTTCAAGGATAGTCCTTTCCCAACTGTCAGTTGCTGCTTGGAAGTGCTGTGCTGCCTCAAGTGCTGAGGCTATCTGGGCTCATAAGGAAACAACTCTGCAATTGATTAGTAATGTCTGCCATGTGCCCGGAGGTGGGGTATGGCAGTGGATGGGCCACATGTGTTCCTTCCTGGTTCAGAGGAGTTCAGGGGACCCTGTGAATTCTACCATTTATAATTGTGTGACTCAGTGATATACTGTTTTACTTTATCTTTGGCATGAGGCCTGTCTTTACACAAATAGCTTTTTCATCTGTTTGGTCTAGCACCTTAGCCACCATCATCTTTCAGAAGCCTTCTCAGTTACTCTTTCAAAGCAACAGCAACCTTACAACAAAATAAACATATTTACTGATTCATCACACTCAAATTCAGTAAACTACTGCTTCCTGCCACAAGGGGTCCAGGAAATTAGGTCAGAAAGGAGAATTTACACTTATTCAGCATCTATTAAACACCATTCTCCAGACATGGCCTCCTACTTGTAAAATACCCTCCTCGGGCAGTCATTAAATCCTCTTTTCACAGAGCAGCAACCAATGCTCAGAGCCATGAGGGAAGTTTCCCCAGAAGCAGGGATTTCAACTTGCAGCAGTTTGGATTCCAAATTCTACCACTATGCTCCCCTAAAACGTACCCAAATATCTTGTTTATTCTTTCTCTTCCAGGAGGTGGAGGTGAAAAATGAAACTGACAGTAGACAGAGCAATGAGATCTGAACAAACATTTAGATGACTCAATCTCCATCCATCATTTTTCCCATAGTCTGCTGGGGATGTGACCAAGAGTAGAGGTTTCCTGCCTGATTGGAGAGACCAGCTCATTTATTAGATTCGGGGGCATGACTGTGAATTCCCTGGGAGCATTAAACATGTCCTTCTGCATTCCCCGCTTCCCATCCTGACCCACTTCCCTTCCACTGCTCCGGGCTCTGACCCTGGAAGAGGAGACGGTGTGACTGGGGCCTCTGTTGGCACTGTCCCCTGGCCTACCTCCCGGGAAGCCCTCGCTACCACAGGTGGGAATTGATAAACAACCATCATCACCACAAAACCTCCTTGGAGGCCTGAGTCCCCCATAGGACCTCTTGGGAGTCTGGAGCCCCTTTACAGGGAAGTGGGAGGCCCCTCATGCCTCTGGGGAGTCTTTGAGGACACCATGGAGGGGTAAGGGTGGGGCTCATAAAGGAGGGTGTGGAGTGGGTGTTAATTCCTGAATGGTCAAGGAAATCACATCTCTGGATCCCCACAATCTCCACGATGCAGCCTGAGCCTGCATACGCCCAGGCCTAGGGAAAGTTTTCAGCATGTTGGCTACAGACCAGGGTGAGGGGTGAGAAACTCAGGTCAGTGGCATCAGTTAAGCTTTAAAAACACTCCCTGAGACTATGGCTGCCACACTGCAGAGGCAACCGCTGGAAACAGAGTTGGGGAACGCACTGCCTTATCCAAGGACAGCAGGGGCCAGGAATTTTGAGACAGTCCTTCAGCTTACATTGGGCACTTATGTCCTCTAGTGCCTACAGTCATGAAGACTGAAAGGTTGAAAAAAAAACTTCTACCTTGTGCCCTGCTGGTGGGAATGCAAAATGGCGCAGCCACTATGGAAAACAGTATGGTGTTTCCTCAGAACATTAAAAATAGAATGACCTTATGATCTAGCAATTCCACTTCTGGGTATATATCCAAAAGAAGTGAAAGCATTTGATATGAAAGAATATCAAAGAGATATTTGCATACCTGTGTTCATAGCAGCATTATTCACAATAGCCAAAAGGTGGAAGCAACCCAAGGGTGCATTGACAAATGAATGGAGAAACAAAACATGGTATGAATATATGAATATATCTATGTATATACACAAACCATGTATTATCATTCAGCCTTAAAAAGGAATGAGACTCTGATACCTGCTACAGCATGGATGAACCCTGAGGACATTACACTAAGAGAAATTCACCAGTCACAAAAATACAAATACAGTATGATTCCACTCATATGAGGTACCTTGAGTGGTCAGAATCATACAGACAGAAAGAAGAATGGAGGTTGCCAGGGGATTGCAGGAGGGGGGCATTGTTTAATGGGTATAGCATCTCTGATTTGCAAGATGAGAAGAATTCTGGAGAATTCTTTTCTCCAGTATAATTAACCCTGCTGAATTATATGTGTCAACATTGTTAAGATGATATTTTATATTATATACATTTTATCACAATTTTTTGTATGTTGCATTAAGAACATGAGTCTTGGAAGTTTTGGAATCCACAAGACCTAAGTGCTTCATTTTATTTCTCTTTTTTAGTACTGGCTCAGCCACCTACAAGTTCTGTTTTATAATTTTCTCTGAGCCTCAGTTACTTCATCTGTAAAATGGGGTCAACTGGGTGTCTGCCTTGTATCATTGTCATGTGGATCGTGTGAAGGAATGCAAGTCAGATGCCTGGCACAGCGCCTGACTAAATAAGGGAATACTGGGACATGTTGTAGCCCTTGATGTTATTTTAAAAACAAAACAAAATGGACTCAATGAGTTTTTTGGAATGATGCCAACAGGTAAAGAAGGACAGGGCCACAAATTTGGCAGCCAGGATACAAAGACCCTATGGTGAAAGTTATCCAGGCTTGTCTGGAAGAATCCCCAGGTCCTGAGAGCAGTGGACAGCCACACACCTGCATGGAGGAGCTGTTGGGCCCCTGACATGCCCAGGCTACTCAGAGACCACAGAAATCAGCTTGTTCTGCAGCCGACACCATCAACCTAATGAGAGTTCAAGTTCAATTACTGTCACTTATCTGTCCTGTCTACTGGCACCAAGCAAAAGCAAAGTGCTCCATTTCTAAGTAACGGTTTCCAGATTTCAAGGCCAGAAGCCAGGCTTTTTGCAGGGTACAGGCTTTGCAGCCCAAAGGGGCTCAAGCCTTCAGCTTCAGCAGGATTAAGCAAAGCTCCATCGCCACGAATGTCTGTCTTCCAAACCACATCTTCCTGGCTCTTTCCTCTAGGGATTGCATGAAGTCTCATTACAGTATACAGTACAGGACATGGTAAAGCACTGCAGATGCAGGATATGTTCCTAACTCAGCATGTATTCCTAACTCCTTGGCATGGCTCTCAAAGGCCTGCCTGATCTCATCCCTGCCTCTCCCCCAGCTTTACTTGCTGCTCCCCCACGCACATCTCCAGCTCTGGCATTCTAAATTGTTTAGCGTTCCTCCAACATATTCTTATTTCCACATGCCTCCTTGACTTTGAACAAGAAATACTTGTTCAACGAATACCCTTTTTCCCCACAACTGAGAATTCCTAGACAACATTCAAAATACAGCTCAACTGCCACCTCTTCCAGGGAGCCTGTCAAGAAGTGTGAAGGGTCTAAGATTCTATTCTACTTGCAAGATGATACATGTTCCTGCCACGGTTTCATGGCTGCTAGCAGAAGACATGAGACTTCTGGGTCAGAGACAAAGGACTTTATTTCAGCAACACGGAAACAGCATAAGCCTCTTGTCTGTATCAGTTCTCCTTGCCTGCAGGTTCCACACTGCCCCATGGAGGGGTCCAGACGGATGCTGCACATGCATTGGGTTTACATCACACCTAAGGGATCTCAAGCTCAGAGAACCCAAACCTTTGATAATGGACTGCAAGCAAACCTGCCCTCTGCCAAGGAGGGAGAGCTAGCTCTGTTTTTCAAGGCCACCGCCTAGAAAAGATGGCCTGGAACAAGAGATCAATTAGTGTCAGATATAGTTTGGATATTTGTCCTCTTTAAATCTCATGTTGAAATTTGATCTCTAGTGTTGGAGGTGGGACCTAGCAGAAGGTAGCTGGGTCATGGGGGCAGATCCCTTATGAGTGGCTTGCTGCTGTTCTCGCTCTATTAGTTCCCATGTGTTCTGATTGTTAAAAAGAGGCTGGACATAGTGGCTCATGCCTATAGTCCCAGCACTTTGGGAGGCCGAGGTGGGAGGATCTCCTGGGGCCAGGAGTTCAAAACCAGCTTGGGCAATATAGTGAGACACTGTCTCTACAAAAACAAAAAAACAGAAAAAAGCCTGGCACCTCTCCTCTCTCTCTCTCTGTCTCTCTCCTCCCTCCCCTCACTTCCTCTCACAATGTGATGCCTGTGCACCTTCATCTTCTGCCATGAGTGAGGGCTTTCCGAAGCCGTCACCAGGTGCAGACACTGGTGCCATGCTCGTACAGCCCGCAGAACGGCAAGCCAAATAAACCTTTCTTTGTAAATTACCCAGGCTTGTGTACTACTTTATAGCAATGCAAATGGACTGAGAAGTGCCTTTGCTTATAAAATGAGCAGAAACAGAGACCCGTAGAGAACTGTCTCCCAAGCAAGTCTTCCATGGCTACCTGGTTTTCCCCTGCACCATGCCCCCACAATGCCCTGTGCAACCTTTGCCTTTCAAAATTATGCATCCATATTGTAATGACTTGTTTATTTTTTTTGTCCACTATAGCCTGGATGCTTCTCCGATGTTAGAGACTGTCTTTTACACTTCTCTGCCAAAAACGTAGCAGGTACTCAAGGAATGTGCAAATAAATGAATGAATTAATACTGATAATTTTGATAGCCAAGGATTGGGCTACCAAAATAATCAAATCATAACAAATGCCTGCTATTTACTGACTTCTTACTCTTTATGTTCCAGGTATTGTATAATATTTTGACCTGGGTTATTTTATTTTATCTTCATGACAATACTATATGGAAGGTACTGTTATTAAGCCCATTTTACATATGGGAAAACTAAGGCTTAGAGCAGTTCAGGAACTTAACCAAAGGCACACAGCTAATAAGCAATAGAATTGCCATTTGAACTGGATCTGCCTGTGCCCGAGCTGTTAACCACCCCCTCTGAAGTGCTGCTTCTATCAGCAGTCATCTAAACCTTGTCTGTATTCGCAGGGGTGGAGGCAGTAGCCTGCATGTCCCCACCACCCACCCTCTGTGACTCAGCCCATCAGCCGCCTCACATAGACATTGAGCACTCAAATGTTCCTGCTAGGACTTCCCACCTCCCTAATCACCTCACACTGGAATAGATGGTATTTGCTCTTGGTATTTGCTCTTGGGCATGGCCTGGAATGCAAAACTGACCTTTCTCCCTGACAAAGAAAAGAAGGGATAAGATAAATTTGCAGACTCTACATTTGATAAAATTTACAGTTCTCAAACAGCCATCCCCCTTGTTTATATTTCTTTGATCTAATAATCAAAGAAATATAAACAAGGTGCCATGCTCGTATAGCCTGCAGAACTGTAAGCCAAATAAACCTCTTTTCTTTGTAAATTACCCAGGCTTGTGTACTCCTTTATAGCAATGCAAATGATCTTTATATTTCTTTGATCTAATAATCAAAGAAATATAAACAAAACGAAGATATCTTTTTTCTTTGCCTATCATATGATCACGCACTGTTAACACCCACTGTAGGTGAGGGCTGGTGAAACACAGCCTCAGAAGTTGATGCTAAAAATAAAATGGGTGTAGCCTTCCTAGAGGAAAATTTGTCAGTATCTCTCAAAATTTTAGATATGCATACCCTTTGACTTAGCAATTTAATTTCTAGCATTTACACTGAAAGTATTTGCAAAACCATTCAAAAATATAGAGATGTTTAGACCAAAATTGTAAATTCACAAACTCTTTTGAAAATAAAGAAATCTATAAAGGGTCTCTGCAAGCTTAAAATCCTCTGGAAAGATCTACTAATGATTTAATATATGTCTTACCAGGATTTTTTATGCATACTTTTTTCTAAAACTAAGAGATTTCATATACCATATATGTATATTTTATATACTTTAAATATTATATATACTGTTCTGCAATTTTTTTTCACTTAATGTTTGATTGAAGACAACCTTTTATACCATCTCCACAGTATTAACTCCAAAGTATTTTGATTTTAGATGTGGAATCGCTTCTATTTAATGAATTCTTTCTTGGAAGATATTGAGGTTGAGGAGAGTACAACTTAATATACCAGGTAGCAGCACAAAAAGAAATGCCTACCCCATAAAAATTGCTCACCCACATCAACTTTATTTATTTGGGAATTATTTACCCATTTCTCAGAATGATACAGAGCTCTTCAATTTTTCTTATATATCTTTTCCTACTGAATAATGCAAGTGGGCCTTATATTTAGACATAAATCACGAAGTCAACGCAAAATATAAATCTCGAAACACAAATGTACCCAAACTCTGTGTGGTTGTCAGACTATGGAACTGAACATTCACACAAGCCTTTGCTATCAACCTTAGGACAATAAGTCTGTTTCTTTCTGCAGAAACCAGTATCACCCCTTGCCAACTTGGGGCCCCAACTTGGAACTTATCAGTACCCAACCATCGCCTAGTCCCCTGGTCGTTCATTTTGACCTATCCTTCCCTTTGTCTGTATCCCCAATCCTCAACCTAGACATATAGGACAGGCACGGTTAGGAACAACAGCGGGATGAGTCAGCCTTGTGGCCAGGAACACAGAGCTCCTGGCAGAGCACATCACTCAGAGAGCGAGGCAGGCTGCTGCAGAATGAAAGCAGCCCGAGGCTACAAATGTCAGAGGAAAGACGCCTGTGCCTGTGGAGACCTTTCGCATCTCCCCCCAGTCTCATGCCATTCTTTTTTCTGTAAAGTTGCTGGGAACCAGCAAATTAGAACCCAGTTTTAATTACTCTTCAGTAATAATGAACCTCACACAAAGAGCCTTTATAAACCTTGCCACACTAGATTCTCACTCAGTCTTGTGAAAGGGGGATTATTAGCCCCATTTGATAGCTGAAGAAACCGAGTCACAAAGGGCAGAGCTTGTAAAAGGCAATGCAGGGCTCGAACCGAGGTCTGCATCTCACCTTCTTCAAACTTCTTCATTCTGCCTCAAAATGGACAGAAGGGAAGGGCTGCATTTCCTGGGACTCAGCCACCACCCTAGCCTCCCTGGACCTTGCAGGTCTCCCCAGGAGGCAGATCCTCTGGGAACTGATTGAGTCCCTCTAGAGGTGCCGCACCCTCCCCTGGTGCACTTCTGTTAAAATCATAAGCCCCCAGCGATTCCTCATCATGTTACCTTCTGACACTCCATTAAATGGATTGAGTCCAGCATCAAAAACCAGGGCGCAGGGAGAAAACAAAGCCAGCACCCCACTCGAGAGTGTATGAACAAGTTGGGGTCAGGGAAGAACTTGAGACCTGAGGGAGAAAGCGCTTGTTCGATACACTTTCCTCTCCCACTTTCTCGCTTGGTCTCTCTGGGCTTGGAGGTGATGGGTGCTCACTGCTCCATGGGAAAAGACGGTCACGGCTTAACACCCCATTCTCCCCAGGCTCCAATACATTTAACAGGCAAAGTATCCTCACAACATGCGGTCTCACACTTGTCGGGAACTCCATGATCACTGTCCTCAGTCTGCTGTCCCAGTCAAAAAGCCACCACCAGCACTGGAACAAGGAAGTCACTGGGTCACTCAAATCTCTACAAGCTGGGTGCTTTTGGCAGGAAAATCCATCCACCTGTGGCCTCAGAAGTCTGTTGTTTGTTTGTTTCTAGAGACAGGGTATTCCTGTCACCCAGGCTGGAGTGCAGTGATGCAATCATAGCTCACTGCAGCCTCGACCGCCTGGGCTCAAGCGATCCTCCTGCCTCAGCCTCCTGAGTGGCTGGAACCACAGGCATGTGCCACCAGGCCCGGCTAATTTTTTTTATTTTTTATTTTTTGTAGAGGGGTCTCAATTTCTTACCCCGGTTGGTCTTGAACTCCTGTCTTCAAGTGATCCTCCCACCTCAGCCCTCCAAAGTGCTGGGACTACAGGTGTGGGCCACTGTACCCAGCCTTCCAGAAGTCTTGGCCAGTATCTTGGAGTTGCTTGTACATGATTGAACTTACAGCTTCAAACTAGGTGTGTTCACCTAGATACAAACCAGCTCACTTTTTAACATCAAATTCTAATGTGAAACCGGAAAGACAACACATGCAGGACATGCTAAGCCTTGTAGCTGCGAGTTGGATTTTAAAGAGGATGTGTGCCATCAAAAGGGTGCCTTGGCTAATTGGGCCAGACTCTTCCTATGTGGGGACACAGTTCCATAAATAAAAGTGTCCTATTAATGCACAATGGCTTGCCCATGCTCTAGCTTCTACATGCTGCTTTCCTCCTCACCCCCAGCACAAAAGCAGCACAGCATCAGTGCGTCTGCCACTGACCTGTGAAGTGGGGCAGGCGGCAAGTGCAGCACAAAAGCCTCACAACAAAGACGTCAGACCACATCCCCATCAGCCGATGTGCTCAGGTGCAATAACATGCTGCGGTGTCCTTTTCCCCTTTCACATTTGAGTGTAAAAACAGACCAGGGCCTTGCACATACTGCGTGCAATTTCTAGACAGGCATATAGTGTTACTCTCTGTAACTTTCTGTGAGCCTCCTTGGGTTACCATACATATTAATACACATTCCAGCATTTGAAGAAAGGAAAGTATAGGGTGTGTGGTGATTACTTTTAATTGAATTCATCTGGAAATTTTAAAGCCTGAAAATTTAGCTCCTGTGTATAGTATTTTAAGGTTTACACAGCATATGATTTGTCCTTTGCCATGGCAAATCTCCCTCTTCCCTCTGAGAGAAAGTTTCTGCAGTGTGTAATGCATTTCAGAGCCAACCGTAAAAATCATTAAATTGCAAAATGATAGAATGAGACAGTGGTGACAAAGCACAGTCCCCTGCATTCCCTTGATAGTAAACTAGTCTTTATCGCTTTCTATTCAGAAAAAGAGCTCCGTGTCTCTGTAAAGACGATGCTGAAGCCCTAGGTCAACTGTGCCCAGGAATAGGAAGGTGGTTGAATGAAAGAATTCTGTGGACATGGGAAACTAGATCTCACTTCCCTGACTCTGGGCAAGCCACTGCGACAATGAGTGCAGCTCTGTAGTGAGGCACACATGCCACATTCTCTGCCATATGACATCCCTCTCACAGGTGGCTTGAAAAGTCTCCAATCTGTTCTCCAAAGCCCTGTGGGATCGTCCAGACACTGGCCAGTCAAGCATCAGATGCCCCCGGTCTCCCTTCTAGTTAATCAAACGGGAATTTAGTCTAATATAGAAACCCAATATGCTCATATCCTGAGGGTCTGAGCAGGCATCAAGACAACCTTGGCAAGCCTCCAGCACGTGGGGTACTTAGATCTACCGCTCCCCTCAACCACCTGCATTCTCAGGACTGTCATATATGGGGGTTCGGATTCTGCCCTGCACAAGGGGGCCAAGGTGTGTCCTCCATCACACAATGGCCACAGGAGACTGCATGGGCAGGTGTGGAGATTCTGGGCCTCCCAGATGAGATCTGAAGAAGAGTACACAGGGGCACACAAGGCCATGCATGCTTGGGAAAAGTGACGCACAGCACAAAAGTGCAGGCAACCAGTTTCTGCCCAAGCATGCCGTTGGCATGTTCAAGATCTTGTCTCTTCCCCATCCCACTCTCAGAGTCTCAATTCCCCTGACTAAAAGGCACCAACTGGACACAGCTGCCTCGTTGAAAGGGTGGAGGGGGCAGCATGGGATGCACATGTGGCAGCCTCATGTATCCTGGTCCTCCAGCAGGTGCAGATGTGCTCACAGGCACGGCTGCTGCCCTCCCCAGAGCACGGCTGTACCACTGTGCAATGATAGATTAAGTTTTTTTTTTGACTTGAGAACAAAGGCTTTTTTCCTAATTCACAACCCTGTGAGTTCTGCTTCCCCTGCCCTTTTCATTCTACAACTCTGCTCAGGCCTCAATCCTTCATCAAACCCCAAACACAGCCTGAGATCTGGAACACTCTAAACCACTTCCCTCTAGGACCATGATCATATCCTATGGCTGGCTGGTTTTTGTTTCGCTTTCTTCTGTCTCTTCCCACCTTTGGAAGCTGGCCTCTCTTCCATCCCTGCCTTAGTTAACCTTGTCTTCGTTTCAGAGGCTTCTGTGCTGCCAGGGCTGGGAGAGATGATGGACATTGTTACCTCACTTGAAGATGGGGAAACTGAGGTGCCCTAGCTGGTAGGTGACAAAGTGGGGCTTCTAGACTCCACAGCCAGTGCCCTTTCCACTTCACTGCACAGTTCCTCCCCCCACCCCCAGGCTCCCTTGAATGGTGGGTCACTACCATTGCACACAGCCAACTGGACCCCCAGCCTGCTGTAAAAGTCGGCCAGCTCCCGACATTTGAGCACTGTGCCAAAAACAAGGGAAAAAATCCATCAGCTACTAACCAAGACAACACCACCTTCCTAACTGTCATCCATACACTGGTTCCCTTCCAGCCATCAGACCAAAAGACGTGGGGAAAATCCTCAGTGCCCTGGGAAGGCTGAGGATGCAGAAGCCATCTGGATACAGGGGGGCTGGCTTCCTGCGGTCTTCATAAAAAAGGCACACTTTCCCTACTGGCCACTCCTCAGCAGGCGTGTGCATCCGAAGCCAGCACATCTTTGGGAAGATGAAGTGCAGTTGAGCCACCTCTGGTCTGGGAGTTAGGAGACCAGTGACTCCAACCAGGTCATCCCCCGACCTGTGCCCAGGTTTTCTTTCTGTGAAATCACACCCCTTCCAAATTTATGACTCTATAATTCTGTGAAATCCATTCTGCCTCTGGACTAAGCAACAGGCAACTAACAGAAGCAATCACAGGGGACCAGAGCCTAGCCCTGAAATGGACGGACAGCCTTTTTCCCTTTAGGCCATTGGGCTCCACATAAGGTGTTCTTGTTCTCAAACTGCCTGACCAGAGGTGGGATTACAAAAGGGGTAGCCATCCCAGAGGCTCTGGGGATTTCACCACCTGATATACCAGGTCTGTCACCAAAGTCCCAGTCAACATGTCTGGTACTTGCTTGTACCCCTTTCAAAGCTGAGATGGGCCATGCAAATGACCACTCAATTTAATTTATCTGTTGTTTCTGATGCCAAGTGCATGGAGGCGTAACCTATTACTGGACTACATCTGTCTGGTCAGAAATGTAGGAATTGAGGAATCTCGGTAGAAATGAGTCAGGAGACTCCACTCCCTCCTGCCCATGGTCTGCATCTGAGTCACCGTTGGCAAACTGAATGAAAATGAAAGTGAGTGTGTCGGGGTGCAAGTACAGGGGAAATGACAACTTACGTGGCTCCTTCTGCCTTCTTCGTCTCCCACAGATGTGATAACTGTCTCTGAAAAGACCATTTGTCCAGTCTGGTTGTTGGTTATCTACAGTAAAACAGGTACAATGAAAGTAAAATAGAAGGAATTCTGGACAAATTCCACAAGTTGTTTTTGTGTTTTGTTTTCCATTTTCTGAAGCAGGAGCATCCAGTATAGGAGTCGAAATGCCCACCCCGCTTTCTTTCTGAGTTCCCCCAGCAGCTGTGAGATGGACGGCTTCCCCTGGGCACAGTGATAAGAAATGTTAACAGAGTCAGCCTCATAGGGTTGCTATGAGGAGGAAATGAGGGGATCCGGAGAAATCACTCCGCACAGTGCCCAACACCCAGCAAAACGCTCAAAGATGTCAGCTGTTTCTATCTTTCTTGGGGCTCATCACTTGAAACTCAATGTCAACTTTATTCTTGACAAATTACAAGTCCGGGTGTCTAGTTGAACATCTTTCATGAAAAGCAAGCAGGTTTTAGCTCTAGCAGCCCTACCTGATTCTAGTGAATGGCTTCATTTCATCAAGAAAGTGCTTAAGTATAATGAGAGACTTGTTCCAATATTCCTGTATCTGTTGTCTGCCTCTGATTCTGTAACCAGGTGCAGGCATCTCAAAGCTAAGTCTAACATAGAACCCAGGCTCTTCCTGCCCCATGAAAGGTCACGTCTAATGTCTGATTTGGTGATGAAGGACAGAAAAGATGTTTGGTCACCTGGCCAAGATGATGAAACCCCATCTCTACTAAAAATACAAAATTTAGCCGCAGTGGCAAGTGCCGATAATCCCAGCTACTCGGGAGGCTGAGGCAGGAGAATTGCTTGAACCTGGGCTGCAGAGGTTGCAGTGAGCCGAAATCGTGCCACTGCACTACTCCAGCCTGGGCGATAGAGTGAGACTCCATCTCAAAAACAAACAAACAAACAAACAAACAGAAAGAAAGAAAAGAAAAGATGCTGGCTCAGGAGCTAGGAGATGTGTGTTCTTTGAGCTCTGTCTCAGTCACCAGTAACCATCCAGTATGTCACCTGGAACAAATAATATATTTTCTCTGATTCAAAATTTTCTCACTTCTA
The DNA here is from genome assembly GCF_000001405.40 of Homo sapiens. Taxonomy (NCBI): domain Eukaryota; kingdom Metazoa; phylum Chordata; class Mammalia; order Primates; family Hominidae; genus Homo; species Homo sapiens. The sequence goes on from NC_000011.10 coordinate 11,999,797, forward strand.
CATCATCTTTAAGGTCTCTGCCAGCTCTAATATCACAGGAATCTGCAGCCAGGACAAAGTGGAAACTCTTGTACTAATTTGCAGAAGGGAATCAAATTCTAGTTCTGAGAAGGTAAGGATCATGCTTTTACATTTTTACCTAAATAATTCCTCTCCCCAAATGAAATGATCTCTTCCCTTATGCCAGCTTTTTATAGAATTAACCAATGTCATATTTTAAAAAATTCTACAAGCCTGTATGTATGGGTTGCATGACTTATTAGAACCTTTATTATAACAATTTGTATTTTTCTTAAATCTCCAGAAGAAGAATATAAGTTTTCCAAATATGTTTCACTACTACTGAGCTTTTCTTCTATGAAGCATTGCATAAGACTAGTGTTTTTTGTTTGTTTGTTTGTTTGTTTGTTTGTTTGTTTGTCTTTTGACACAGAGTCTTGCTCTGTCGCCCAGGCTGGAGTACAGTTGCGATGATCTCGGCTCACTGCAACCTCCGCCTCCCAGGTTCAAGTGATTCTCCTGCCTCAGCCTCCCTGAGTAGCTGGGACTACAGGTGCGTGCCACCATGCCCAGCTAATTTTTGTAGTTTTAGTAGAGACGGGGTTTCGCCATGTTGGCCAGGCTGGTCTCGAGCTCCTGATCTCAGGTGATCCGCCCGCCTTGGCCTCCCAAAGTGCTGGGAATATAGGCATAAGCCACCGTGCCTGGCCTTTTTTTTTTTTCTTTTTTTTGACAGTCTCACTCTGTCACCCAGGCTGGAATGCAGTGGCATGATCTCAGCTCACTGCAACCTCTGCTTCCAGGTTCAAGTGATTCTCCTACCTCAGTTTCCCAAGTCGCTGGGATTACAGGCACGTGACACCATGCCTGGCTAAGGCTAATTTTTTTTTTTTTGTATTTTTATTAGAAGTGGGGTTTCACCATGTTGGCCAGGCTGGTCTCGAACTCCTAACCTCAAGTGATCCTCCCACCTTAGCCTCCCAAAGTGCTGGGATTACAGGCCTGAGCCATCACGCCTGGCCGAAGATTGGTGTTCTATGAAGCCCAGTTGAGAACTACTGCACTGTGTTAATAACATAACTTTATTATAATAACAGTAATAATAAGAACAGTGGTTTTTGCATTGCATTTTACAGTTTACAATGAACTTTCATATACTTTAGGTCATTTGACCTGCACAGTACTGTAATGTAGATGTTGATATCCTTATTTCATAAATGCAGTTAGTGAGAATCAGGACATTTAAGTAATTTTTCAAAAATCACACTAGTGACTGGTAGGACTCACACTCAGGTATTCTGACATTTACAAGAAGCAACTTTAAGAAGCAACCAAACCTGTTGGTTAATTATTGTCAGAAAGGGTGACTTGATATTGGTTTTGACAAGAATAAAATAATCACTTTGAAAACATTCTTCAGTCGCAGATGAGCAATGCCAAAGGATTATGTTCTGCTGGTAAACTCATTCATTTACCTGGAGCTCATACACTCTGTAGCTGATCCATCTAACTGAGCCCATTACGATGCAGTGGGAGAAGTGCCACACAAAAGCTACTTTATAGTCAAGGCAACGGCACATAAAAATTGATCCCCTGTGCTCTGTGGCACAGAAACACTATTGTTTCAACCAAGTAATTACCTGCGCACTTGAATAAAAGTGAGGCTCTTTTGTGAAGCCGCTGTGCCCTTGCATACAGGAGTTGAGATGAGCTGAGGGGGCAGGCTCCTTGATATTCACAACGGGATGCTCACAACGACCCTGAATATCTGCACAGCACACAGTCTTAGGCAGTTTGCTCTCAGAGTCCTGCCAAATCATGTCAGAGACATTGCACACCAGGGGCAAGCTAGTGCTATGTTCCTTGAGATTCGCAGAGCTTTCTTCATCAGGTCAGAATGGGAATGAACCTGGTTGTTCTTCATGCATGATGTTAGACCAAGAGGCACTCAGACAGGTGGTAGTTTGGGGAAAAATCTGCCAGAGAATTTTGAACGCACAACCAGCAAATGAATGTTTAATTTTGTAGCAATAGAGGGTTTCTCTTTTGGAAATGGGGTATATCATATTTACATTCCTCCTAAAAAAAAGTGAGGGTCAATTCACCATAACGTGGTCTCTAGTTCAATCCCTACTGAGACATACATAAAAACCTATGAGATAGATCAATTCCACAAATTCAATGCTAGGAAAGGGTCTTTTTAGACATCCATTTGCTTTCTTTTTTTCAAATGATAATCCCTGGACATTCCTTTGCAACTGGACTGGCAGGAAGCCTAGGGTTAAATATATTGCTTAAATGCAAAAGCAGTTTAGGATCCTGATACATTGTCTCTCCACTTTCAACAGTAACATTACTCCTTCTGGTTTTCAATCCGTATTTTATGATTCTCAATTGTAGTTTGGGCTTGTATATCACATATGAAAAAACAAAAACAAAAAAACCTTAGTTCTCTGATGGGACTGGACGCTATAGAAAGGAGGAAGTGCTGGCCATGACTTACCTTGTGAATTTCTCGGTGCACATGGATGGTATTATTTCCAACCTTCGTGTCTGTGTTGGTCTCATTGTGATAGCTGGGAGGTAAGTTTGCCAGGTTCACTTCTGATGATGCTTTAGCAGCAGCTTCTTCTGCCTCCATCTATTAAATCGATGAATTTAATGAGCAAAATTATTTTCTCTTGTTACAAATGGGAGTCTATTAGAAAAAAAAAATCTCTTTTCCTCTTCTGCAATTACAAAGAATGATGATGATGATAGGTGCTATTAATTGAGTACTCACTATGATAAGATATTATACTAAACGTTTTACATATATTACAGCACTGAAATTTCACAATCTCTCTGGGAGGTGGGTGTTAATGTCCTCATATTACAAATAGGGAAACTGAGGCTCAGGAAGACTAGATAAATTCCCCAGAGTCCCAGGAAAGGGTGGAGCTGGGATTTGAACATGTTTCCACTAGATAGTCTTGCTCCCTGTGTAAACGCTGTTGATGCCCTGCCCATCTCCTGGTGGCCTAATCTGGAGGTCACCTGTATCCAGTTCCCATACATGCCAACAACCAACTCTGTCTCTCTCTAAGGGCATTCTCTGGTCACCAAAGTATGCTCAGTCTGCAGAGGCCCCAAGTGCTAGGGAGTTAACATCCTAGCAATGAAAGTCAGGCTATGGAGGTAAACAGTCTAGCTTCTCCCTTCGCTAGACAATTCTAAAGCATGTAGAATCTACGTAGTCTCCCTCTAAGGCCTCCAGTGGGATGGAGCCCTAGATGCCCGCAGCAGTAACCTGCTTGCAGGCATACCGTTGATTGTCTTTCTTTTCTTTCATCACACTTTCCCACTTCCTGCTAGTGTTTTCTGGGAGCACATCCCAAATGCACTATTTGCTCTTAAGTCCTTGTGGCAGGACCTGTTGTTGGTGGTGGTAGGGGCAGGGGATGGAGGGAACCTAAACTTACTCCCTGTAGGTAGGGCCACAGCTGTGTCTCCTTCCCCACCCTGCCTCTTGGGTACCCTTGTAGGAAATCCTTGCAGAGGGACCCTTGTAGAGGGTCAGTTAACCAGTTCCCGGGGTCCACACCCCTTCTGGTTTTCTTAGACATATGTTCTTCTCTGGTGTCAGGTTTCTGTGGCCGCTGTCCTCAAATCCTCCAGGCTCATGATCCTCCATAACATCTATACCAGATATGTCAGTGACCTCATATCTGCACCCAACTTCCCCTTCCAGATTTATCACCCTGTCCTGGCCCTGATGAGTGGGCAGTTGACAATGTGACCTGTTCACAGCTGATGGGACCCAAAGGGAGGCCACATCATAGACTAATTGAGCCAATCAGATACTCTCTCTAGGAATTTCAAATGAGAGACATAAAGAGAAGTTCTACCTGATAGTTGGCAATTTTCCAACACTGCTATTTTTGACTATGGGCTATTTTTATTTTTTTTTTTAAAAAAAGAATGCTCAAAAAGTATTTTCCTATTTAAAAAAATCACTGTCCTCTATCCCCTTAAGTACTAGATGAGCCCCTGCTTTAACCACCAGGTTTGCTGAGCTGAGGAGGATAAGAGGAAAGAATCCTCATGTCTCAATGCAACACAAAAACACTAAACTCAAAGTGTGAATAAAACCTGGTAGGCAGAAAGGCTCAACAAGGACTTAGTCAGTGGCCGGATTCTGTGCTGGATTCTGAGATGGCTGCTGAGATGTTTGAAACTTGATCACTGGCTTCATAACAATAATAATTCTAAGAATAGCCCCCACGTTTGGGGCATTGACTATGTCTGAATCGTTGCACCAGATGCCTTGAATATTGACAGCAACCTTATGGGGAAGCTGTGATTATAGAGTCAGGTCCAAAAGTTTAAAAAATTGAAATATCTGGATCCCTTCATGGACCCGCTGAATTGGGATTTCTAGAGATGAGACCCTGATAATACTGAGCTTCTCAGCTTATTCTGAGGATTTCCCTCCCCTCCCTCTGATCCCCAGTTAAGAATCTCCGTTCCAGGCAATAGGGAACTACAGCAAGTTCCAGAAGGCTAGCGGGAAATAATATAAAGAGTAGATCAGAAAGAGAGGGGAGTCAGGAAACTGGCTAGAATTAGGTCTAGGAGATGGGAGCTACTTCTGGGTAGGGACCTTCTAGGTGGGAAAGACTCTAAGTAAGTCTAGAAGGATCAAGCCACTGAGAGATGGCCACTGGATGAGTCAAGTCATTGCCTGCAGCATCCTCGGAGAGGAACACAGTGGAAAGTACCAGGATTCTGGAGTCAGACAAGGTGGGTTCAAGTCCTGGCTCTGCCACAAAGTAGCTGTATGACTTTAGGCAAGATACCAAATCCCACTAAACCTCAGCTTGCTCATTTGTAAAATAGGGATGTCCTACTTTGTTGAGTAGATATAAGAATTAAGGACCATGCAGTAGATATAAGAATTAAGGCATGAAATACACTATCTGCCACACAGCAAAGATGAAATACACAGCTGTTTTTATCCCGTTGCCCTTTAAGAAGGCAGTTTCAAAAGAAGCCAGTTTGTTTTGCCAGAGTTCTGAAGGGAATGGGTAGCTAGAAGCAGGAAGAGCAAACGTTGATATCATGTGTTTGAAGAGCTTGCCAACAAAGGGGAGAAGAAATGGGGCTGAGATAGAAGACAGAATGGGCAAGAAAATGACTTTCCTTAAAAGCAAGAGACCTTGCCCTCAGTTACCACTCTGGTTAGTGATAGAAAAAAACGCAGCTGGGAAGAGAAGACTGAAGGTGCTGGAGAGGACCCACCCAGAAGAAGAGAATGTTTTAGTGTTTTTAAAATTCCCATCGGGATCAGTTTGGCTTTCAAATAATTGACAAGTTGCCAAACCTAGAATTTGCTCTGGGCTGAGCAGATAGTCTTTTTATAAAACTTTTCCCCCCAGCTCAGCCACTGGTTATTTCAACAGAATGAGCTAACGGTTCTTAAATGGCACCATGAACTAAAAGTATAGTTTACAATGGAAATTTCAACCGCAACTATTATTGCCACTAGCAAGAGAAACTTAAGTCTGAAGCAAAAGGAGCTGTTTCGTAGAGGAGGAATGTGAATGCTATTAAAAATGGCACTTATACTAGAAATAGGTGAGGCAGTAAGAACATTCTAAAATGAGTGAGTTACAGAGCTGGCCATGAGGGGAAGAGAAACAGAGTGGTTATATCTTCAGAATACATTGATTGGTAGCATATAGAATAGTAACACAGGAAAGTAGGAATATCCCAGATTGAAGCCATTTGAAGATATGCTTCTTCCAATAATGACCGTACAAGTAGAGCTGCTTTGTCCTTCCCCTTAAGAAACTTCAACAGCTTGATTCAGCTGGAACATTGAAAATGCCAGGAAGTTACTTGAAAGGAGATTCATGATGCAACTATGTAAACAAATAATGCATCTGGCCCAGGTCCTTTTTGATTTTTCCCCTGAACAATGACTAAATACCAATTATCCTGTGTCTATGAGATTTAAGGGGCATTCTGGCAGTCTCCATAAAAAGTTAATACTAATAACCACAGTCTATAAACAATCTATTGTATTCTATTTTTGAAGATATCTAAAAGATACTTTTAGTATTTTAAGATTAATTTTTAATGGTTTAAGATATTTTAAAAGATAGATTCTATTGAGAATCTATCAGACACTGGTGGTGTTTTGTTATCATTCATACTGCTACTAGTAATATGATGATAATGATACCTGTTACTTATTTACAACCAACCATCATGTCATCCTTACAGCCACCTCACAATGAAGCTACCTGTATTACACGTGTTTTACTTAACCCCATTTTAGGCAGTCAGCGGATGGCCTGCCCTAGAACCACAGGCATCACAAGCTCAATTTAATGTGAAGCTGCAGAATTAAGAGACATTGGGGCCTATATGACTCCCTTCACCCTTTAATTGTTCCATGTCATGATAGTTTCACAATCACAGGAAACAAAGATCATGGATCTTGGGCTCTTGACCTGACCAGTGGATATTCAGGGATAGCTGCCCAACTCACTGATTTGCTTTACTTGCAGCATCTCATTTAATTCTCACCTTACCCTAAGAGGTGGACATTTCTCCACTTCAGACTCGGAACGCCACTGCCAGTAAGTGGCAGAGCAGGGACTGGATGAGGGAAGATCAGTCCCCACTGCCTCTTCTCCTGCCATGGTGTTCAACCTCTCTCATCCTGTACCCACTGCCAGCGAGGACACCTCTGGGAAAGAGTGGGGTAGAAGTGACAGCCCACATCTCCTCTGGTGGCAAACTTCAACCCCCCAACCTACACAGAGCCACATCTAGAGGGAGGAAAGCTGGGGTCTTGGCAAAATCCAGTCTGGATAACGCCCATGGAGAAGACCCCGTCACTAGGTCCTGCAGGGCCCCACACTGCTCTGCTCAAGAAGAGACTGAAGAGGCCCTTGCTGCTCTCTCTCCTCCCTCAGCAGAAGCTAACGTCAGAGGACCACGCTGCAGACTTTCTGAACAGTGGTGGGCACAAAAACATAGAGGTGACTTAGTCAGTCTTACCGGGAATCTGTGTGCAGGAGGGAAAGTCCTAGAACCTGGATAAGGAAAGCAGATGGCCTGCCCTAGAACCAGAGGCATCGCAAACTCCACTTAATTTGAAGCTTCAGAGTTAAGAGACATTGGGGCCTATCTGAATCCCTTCACCCTTTAATTGCTCCATGTCATGATTGTTTTGCAATCACAGGAAACAGAAAGATCATGGGTCTTGGGATCTGGGCCTGTCCAGTGGATATTCAAGGACAGCTGCCCATTTCACTGCCTCCCAAGCCAGTGTCCCCTTCACTGCAAACTCCACAGGCTAACTGTTGTGGAGTGGGAGGGGAAATAGCCCCAAACTACAAAGGGCTGCGGGGAGAAAGCAACTTCCCCCTGGAGACAAGGGCCAGCAGTTAAGGCTTTGCCCAAGGGGGATACCAAGCTGGAGACAGCAGGGATGTGAAGCCAGACCAGGGGCCAACCAGCCTGGACATTGGTTTCCTGCTGCCTCCTTCACTAGGACGGCTGGCTCCTCTCTATAGACACAGGCTACAGACAGATTGGGCCCAACAGCGCCCTCGTCTACCCACCCCAGGCACCAGGGACAGCTCCCCGCACCTGGACAGAGAGGGCTGGGCCAGTGACATCTCCTGCCCAGGTAGCCCTGGGCATGCGTGGGTGACCATCACAGAGGACAGAACAAGATGCCACCCACAGTGTTTAGACCTGGAGGTGATGGAGGGCAGAAGCTAGGCAAAGCTTTGCTAAGGTACGTGGTATCTGATAATAGTTGCTAAATACTGCGCACCTATTATTTGCCAGGTGCCCACACATATGACATTTAGTTTTCACAGGAAACTGAGGTGCAGGATATTAAGTGATTTGCCCAATGTCACCCTGCTACTGAGTGGCAGAGGAGGACCTGAGCCCAGGACAACTGCGAAGCACCGTTGGGTGGAGGGGGTATTGCCTCTCACATCCTCATCCGCCACTCATACAGTGCTGAGATTTAGGATTTCCATCTTCCCTCTCTGCCCCCACATTGCGTGAGAAGCAAGACAGCCCAGACAGACTGCCAGCAAAGCTCAGGGCTCTTTGCCTCTTTGTCCCTGCATGGCATCCTAACAAGCTCAAAGCATAACGGACAAGCTAGAACTTGGCGATGCCTGGAGCTTGTCCCGGGTTTCTGTGAAACCACAGTGCTGGAATACCAGGGGCCCTGCAAACCTCTGCTGACAATAGGGAAGGCCAACGGCATGCCTGACGCCAACTGCAGGCAGGTGGTGGCCCCAGCTACCTAGGGAGGGTCCAGTGCAGAGCCTCTCGGTGGACAGGCTCAGATCCAGACTTTTTGGCAAGGAGGCAAAACGAGGCGGGAGTAGGGATCACCGTGCGCTGCCTCCAGGTCACTCCGCATCTGCTGTCGGCCCTTCCCAGGCCCTGCGCGGGACCCGAGGTCCCTGGCCAGCGCTCTTCCATGCCTTCCCAGACTTCGCTGCCCCCAGTCTGGCGCTTCTCAGAGCCCCGCGCCGCCAGGGCGCACCCACCTCTTCCACCGCGCTGCGCAATTTGTGCTGCGTGTCCTCCATCAGTTCCTCAACCTCGCGGAACATCTCATTGAGGGTGGCCTCCTCCTGCGGGTAGCTGAGAGCCGGGCCGGGCTTGACTGGAGCCGAGGTCGCCGTCGGAGCGGGCGCGGGGGCCGTGGGGACCGCCGCCGCCAGCAGCAGGCACAGCAGGGTGGCCCCAAGCCGCTGCATCTCCGCTCTGCGCCCGCAGCCGCCGCCTGTGTGTCCCGGAACGCGATCAGAGGCGCGCGGACCACCCCCCTCGCTGGGCCCGCCGCCCCGCCCCGTTCCGCCCCGCCGCCCGCCCCTGGCGCCCCTCTTTCCCGCACCCGCCCGGAGACGGGAGGAAACCGAGGCCCCTGAAAACGCAGCTCCCCTACACCCGAAAAGACGCGACCCCACCCGCTCCAGCCCGAGCCCCGATCGCCCCAGGACCCCGCACCCCCATCCTCGAGCACAAGCTGAGCTCTGCTCCTCACCTGTGATGCTGGAGCCCTCGCCAGAGCAACCGAACCCGGATCCTCTACGCTAATAGCTCCCAAGCCCCAGCTCACCTAGACTCTGTCCCCGGTTCAAACCCTAGCCCCTCCTCGACCAGGTCAGAGTGCCCGACCCCCACTTCCACCTCAAGCCTCTCTCAGCCCCTACCTGGGGTGGACCAAGCACAGGTCAGCCCCCTCCCCTTGGCGTCGGGTCCTACTCGAGCGCCCCGCCCCACATCCACCAAGAGAGGCTGAGCTCAGCAGAGTCGTCCCCTCCCCCGCCGCCGCCCCTCACCCACCCCGACTGGACCGAGTTGCGCTGCGGGCCGGACTGGATCTGCTCGCTCCCGCCGGGAGGCCGCCGGGCTGCGGGTGCAGATGCGGGAGCGGCGCGGTGGGCGGGCCGCGGGTGCGGGAGCGCGGCGGGGTGCGGCAGCGCCGGTACCCGAGGGAGCCCGCAAGACGCGCCCCGCCCGCCCACCAGGCTCCCTCTCCGCCCCCGCCCCGAGCCCCGCCCGCCCACCAGGCCCACCCCGCCCCGCGGAGGGGCCGCAGCCCGGCCATTGGCCAGCCGGGGCGCCGGCCACCTCACGCCCCACGCCCCACGCCCTCCTCTTCTGCCTCAGCGACCAGCTCTACCGAAGGCAGCCATCTCCTTCACTGCCTGCCCCTGCGCCCGCGGCATCCCAGGCCCGTCTTCTCTGGCCTCCAGGCTTGCAACAGCCCACCGAGGTTGGGGGTAGGGGGAATGTTCCTCAGTCCCACCTTGGTCTTTCCAAGCCAACCTCTGTCCTGTGAAATCCTCAGGAAAAATCCCAGCCCCCAGCCTGGCATTCAAGCCATCACCGCTGGCCTTAGTCTGCCGTGATTGACACCGTGCTCCAGCCAGGATAACGCACTTGCAGCTCCTGGAATGGGAGAACGTCATGAGAAAGTCAGCAAGCTCCTCAAGGGTGGCATAGAGGAGTGGTCAGGACCAGACACCTGCAGCCAGCTCTGCTCCTTCCTAACTTCCCGCCCTGGCGAAGTTACCAGATTTGTATGCGTCCCAGTTAGCCCTAATATAAAACTTTGACAAGTCTCAAAAACGTAATAAGGAGTGGGTAGTGGAGAATCAGAGAAGTTAGACGATCAGGCCAAACAGCAGGTGAAGGCAGGGATGGCCAGAGGTCCTGAGTGTAGCTGACTGCTCTCCAGCTTGAAACCCCAAGACTGCCTTTCTCTGCAGCACTCCCCACATTACTGTTTACCGCCAAAACAGCCGCTTTCCCTTCTACTTCTGGGCCTGGGGCAGGGCCCTCCTGAACTGCAAGGAAAGCCCCATTCCCCGGCATCTCCTGCTCTGTCCCCTGGGCATCTGGAAGCCCTGGTTGAGCATTCATTAGCTTTCTGGGGGTGGCTGAGCCCGTCCAGGAACCTGGAGCTGAGTCTCCACATGCCCCCGCTTGTCACTTCGGGCAGAGTGGACATTAGGAAGAAACTAATGCCGAACTGGAGGGTGCTGTGGGGGCATATTGTGGGGCCGAGCTAGGAAATGCAGTGCTGCGGGTTTACAGAGCACATCATGCTCTTCCAGTCCTTCATGTTGCTGGCTTAAAGACCAGGAATTTCCCCAGCTGAGATTGTCTTCTGCCTTACACCTTCTACCATGCGGTCTGGAGGTCTTGACTTTCAGAGTCAACCTAAAAATCTCTCTATATCGAACTGCCCCAAGTGTCAGGCAAAGGGACGCTTGTTTTCTTGTGTGGAGTCTACATTTTGTATTCCCAAATGTAATAATTTATCAGTAGTTCAATTATTAGGTTAAACTACAAACGAAAAAAAGAAAGGAAAGAAAAGAAGGAAAGAAAGAGAGAAAGAGAAAGAGAGAAAGAAAGAAAAGAAAGAAAGAAAGAAAGAAAGAAAGAAAGAAAGAAAGAAAGAAAGAAAGAAAGAAAGAAAGAAAGGGAGAGAGAAGAAACGGTAAGAAAATCTACAGGTCTCAAATATAAGTGGTCTTCCTGCCCAGCTCCATGCCAGTCCGCGCACCAGCCTGAGACATTCATGGGCTCGAAGGAAAAGCCCTGGGGCCAGCTGTAGAGATGAGCCCAAACCAGATCTGGACAAGGAGTGTCAGCTCCAAAGAACTCAGACTGGGGAGCCCAGTGGGGTCGGGGACTTGTTGGAGAAAGGGCCAGTCTGGATGGCCATTGTGAGGTGAGGGGCACAGAGCAGGCAGAGAGTGCAGAGCCATCCAGGACAATCATAGGTAGAGTAGAGAACATTCTACATTTCCACAATTCCCATTGTGTCACTGGCTAAGCTCTGTATCCACTGGGAACAGTTGATTTTTTCTTTTAAGTCATTGGAAACACATTCTGGAATTATTATTTAAAATTTTAGGTTCTCACATTTTCTCTATGAGGGAGCTCCCAAGTCATAAACTGGGGACCCATTTCATGGTTGAGGAAATGGCAGCAAAGCGGATATAACTGGCTGAAAATTGCCTAGAAAGTGGCCACACAGCAATTTCACAATTAGCTGTCCACCCTCCAGAAACTCATGACCATGTGCAAAAGAAGACATGTATAAAGATGTTTACTGAGGCAGTATCTATAATGGCAAAAAATGTGGAAACTACTTGCTGGTGTTTTCCAGCAGGAGAATGGATAGACCGGGGCTTCTACAATAATAGAATACTGTACAGCAGGTAGAATAATGAACAATATTTATAGGCAGCAACATCACCAACTCTCAAAAATATAATATGAGGTGGAAAAGGCAATTTGCGAAAAGACATATATGGGATACGATTTGTGCATATCTTAGAAAAACAGAACAATAGCATTCATTGTTTATGGATTCTCACATATAATAAAAATATAGAAATGTGCAGGCTGCCTCTGAGGTGGGAGGCAAGGAAGGGATGGAGGATGTCTTCAGTTGTATTGATAACATTTTATTTCTTCAAGAAAGGGAGTGTACCAGCATGGAGGAATTCTGAAACAGAAGTGTCCAAATATTCGCATCTGTTTAATCAACCATGATGATTACTTACATCAGGATATATGGGTGTGGCTGGTTCTTTTTATTATTTTTGGTATATTTAAAATATTTTGTGAATAAATTGGTAAATAAAAGCAGAAGGCACCATCCCATCCTCCAAACAAAACAAAACAAAAACAACTCAAAAAAACCTCTTGTAGTCAAGTAGACTTTTTTCTTATATCTGTTCTTGGCAAAATGCTGACCTCCCCAAGGCCCAGCAGTGGCCCCCTTTACTGTGAGGTGAGGAGGGGTATCCACACCAGGCTGGAGTAGAGGTATCACATTATCTGACTTCAAACAATACTACAAGCCTATGGTAACCAAAACAGCATGGTACTGGTACAAAAATAAACACATAGATCAATGGAATGAATAAAGAACCCATAAATGAAGACACACACCTATAGCCAACTGATTTTCAACAAAGTCAACAAAAATTAACAATGGGGAAAGGATTCTGGGAAAACTGGCTAGGCATATGCAGAAGAATAACAATAGATCCCCTACATCTTACCATATATAAAAATTAACTCAAGATGGATTAAGACTTAAATGTAAGCTTTGAAACTATAAAAATACTAGAAGAAAACCTAAGAGAAACTGTTCTGGACATTGGTCTAGGCAAAGAATTTATGACTACGACTTCAAAACCAAATGCAACAATAACAAAAATAGACAAATGGGACTTAATTAAACTAAAAAGCTTCTGCACAGCAAAAGAAACAATCAACAGGGTATATAGACAACCTGTTGTCTATATACAGAATGAGAGAAAATATTTCCAAACTGCATCTGACAAATGACTAATATCCAGAATCTATAAGGAACTTGAACAAATAAAAAAAACTCCAAATAACCCCATTAAAAAGTGGGCAAAAGACATGAATAGACACTTCTCAAAAGAAGACATACAAGTGGCCAACAAATATATGAAAATATGCTCAGTATCACTAAATTCATCAGAAAAATGCAAATTAAATCCACAATGAAATAGTATCTCATACCAGTCAGAATGGCTATTATTAAAAAGTCAAAAAATAACATGTTGGCAAGGATGTGAAGAAAAGGGAACACTTATACAGTATCGGTGGGAATGTGTATTAGTTTGATATGGTTTGGCTGTGTCCCCACCCAAATCTCATCTTGAATTGTAGCTCCCATAATCCCCATGTGCCATGAGAGGGACCCAGTGGGAGCTAATTGAATCATTAGGGCAGGTCTTTCCCATGTTGTTCTCATGGTAGTGAATAAGTCTCACAAGATCTGATGTTTTTATAAGGTGATTTTTCCTTCCTTTGCTCTGCACTTCTCCTTGCTGCTGCCACTTGAAGAAGGACGTGTTTGCTTCACCTTCTGCTGTGATTGTAAGTTTCCTCAGACCTCCCCAGCCATGCTGAACCGAGTCAATTAAACCTTTTTTAAAATATAAATTACCCAATCTCAGGTATATCTTTATTAGCAGCATGAAAATAGACTAATACAGTAAATTTGTTCCTGGTAGTGAGGCGCTGCTTTAAAGATACCTGAAAATATGGAAGTGACTTTGGAACTGCATAACAGGCAGAAGTTGGAAGAGTTTGGAGGGCTCAGAAGAAGATAGGAAACTGTAGGAAAGTTTGGAACTTCCTAGAGACTTGGAGGGCTCAGAAGACAGGAAGATGTAGGAAAGTTTGGAACTTTTTAGAGACTTGTTGAATGACTTTGACCAAAATGCTGATAGTGATATGGACAATAAAGTCTAGACAGAGGTGGTCTCAGATGGAGATGAGGAACTTGTTGGAGACTGAAGTAAAGGTCAGTCTTGTTATGCAAATAGACTGGCAGTATTTTGCCCCTGCCCTAGAGATTTGTGGAACTTTGAACTTGAGAGAGATAATTTAGGGTACCTGGTGGAAGACATTTCTAAGTGGCAAAGCATTCAAGATGAAGCAGAGCATAAAACTTTGAAAATTTTACAGCCTGATAATGCAGTAGAAAATAAAAACCCATGCTCTGGGAAGAAATTCATGTCAGCAGCAGAAATTTGCATAAATAAAGAAGAGCAGACTGTTACTCACCAAAACAATGGGGAAAATGCCTCCAGGATATGTCAGAGACCTTTACAGCAGCCCCTCCCATCACAGGGCTGGAGACCTAGGAGGGAAAAATAGTTTCGTGGGCCTAGGGCACCCCTACTGTGTGCAGCGTGGGACTTGGTGCCCTGCATCCCAGCCACCCCAGCTGTGGCTAAAAGGGGCCAACATACAGCTCAGGCTGTGGCTTCAGCGAGTGGAAGCCCAAAGCCTTGGCAGCTTCCGTATGGTGTTGGATGGTCCTGCAGGTGCACAGAAGACAAGAATTGAGGTTTGGGAACTTCTGCCTAGATTTCAGAGGATGTATGGAAATATGGAGACACCTCTATGTCCAGGCAGAGGTCTGTTGCAGGGGCAGACAGAGGGTTTTCCCTCATGGAAAACCTCTGCTAGGGCAGTGTGGAAGGGAAATGTGGAGTTGGAGTCCTCACACAGACTCCCCACTGAGGCAGTGCCTAGTGGAGCTGTGAGAAGAGGGGCACTTTCCAGAATGGTAGGTCAACCAACAGCTTGCACTGTGCGCCTGGAAAAGCCACAGAGACACTCAATGCCAGACAGTGAAAGCAGCCTGGAGGGGGGCTATGCCCCGCAAAGCTGCAGGGACAGAGCTGCCCAAGGCTGTGGGAGCCCACCTCTTGCATCAGCATGACCTGGATGTGAGACATGGGGTCAAAGGAGATCATTTTGGAACTTTAAGGTTTAATGACTGTGCTATTGGATTTCGGACTTGCATGGGGCCTGTAGCCTCTTTGCTTTGGCCAATTTCTCCCACTTAGAATGAGTATATTTACCCAATGCCTGTACCCCCATTTGTATCTTAGAAGGAACTAACTTGTGTTTGATTTTACCAGCTCATAGGCAGAAGGGACTTGCTTTGTCTCAGATGAGACACTGGACTTGGACTTTTGAGTTAATGCTAGAATGAGTTAAGACTTTGGACAACTGTTAGGAAGACATGACTGGTTTTGAAATATGAGGACATGAGATTTGGGAGGGGCCAGGGGTGGAATGGTATGGTTTGGCTGTGTCCCCACACAAATGTCATCTTGAATCGTAGCTCCCATTATTTCTACATGTCATGGGAGGGATCCAGTGGGAGGTAATTGAATCATGGGGGTGGGTCTTTTCCATGCTGTTCTTGTGATAGTGAATAAGTCTCATGAGATTTGATGGTTCTATAAAGGGGAGTTCCCCTGTACACGCTCTCTTGCCTGCCATCATGTAAGATATGGCTTTGCTCCTCCTTCACCTTCTGCCATGATTGTGAGGCCTCCCCAGTCATGTGGAACTGTGAGTCAATTAAACCTCTTTTCTTTATAAATTACCCAGCTTCAGGTATGTCTTTATTATCAGTGTGAGAACAGACTAATGTATAGTTCAACTCCTATGGAAAACAGTATGAAGATTTCTGAAAGAACTGAAAATAGAACTACGATTCAACTCAGCAATCTCACTACTGGGTATACACCCAAAGGAAAAGAAATAATTTTACCAAAAAGACACCTGCACTCAGCAGTTTCAGAATAGCAAAGTCATAGGATCAATCTAAAAGTGCCCATCAACAGATAATTGGATTAAAAAAGTGATATATATATATATATACCATAGAATATATATGTATGTACCACATATACAGCTATAAAAAGAACAGCCATAAAAAACCCATAAAAAAGAATGCAATCATGTCCTTTGCACATGTTATTTCCTTCTAAGGTACAGTGGAGGTACAGGCATTGGGTAAATACACCTGTGATGTGTGCATGGATGCAGCTGGAGGCCATAATCCTTAGTGAAATAACTCAGAAATAGGAAATGAATAGCACATGTTCTCACTTATAAGTGGAGCTAAACAATGGGTACACATGGACCTAAAGATGCAAACAACAGGCAATGGGGACTCCAAAAGTGGGGAGGAAAAGAGGGGGCAAGGGTTGAAAAACTACCTATTGGGTACTGTGCTCACTACCTGGGTGACAGGTTCACCAGAAGACCAAAGGCCAGCATAATGCAATGCACCCCCTGAATCTATAATTAAAATAATAATAATAATAATAAAAGGTCTCCTGTCTGTCTGAATGGTTAGGTTCTTCCTGTTGTGAGTGGGGAGCTGGTAAGGATTGAGGAATGGTTGGGACTTACCTGTCTATTCCCCCTCAGCCCTGCAGGGATGGAATACTCCTCAAACAAGGAAATCTCAGATATCTGGAACATAAGGGCACTGAGTCTGGATAGATGACTGTTATTCACTGATTTGTAAAACTTTAACCATTCTGCATAGTAAATTAGAAAAGGGGAGAGTTTATTATATATTTCCTTCTCTTTTTCTCTCTCTTCCATCTTAGACTACACTGACCATAACTTGAGAAAAAAAAAATGTGAAGAGTTGTGATCAGAGATAATGTGCCTGCATGACTATTTAGCATCTGTTGCCCCTGCTAGAATGTAAGCCACGTGAGATTGCAATGATGCTGGTCCCTGCAGCCATCTTCAGGGCAGTGCAGGTCCTGCAGAGAAATAGCACTCAATATGGATAGATAAATAAAGGCAGGCCTGCTAGGGGCTGAGATCCCAGCCCTCAAAGAATCTACAGTGCAACAAAGAAATGGGTAAACAGGCAGTGATGAGACAGTAAGATGGAGGAGTGAACAAGGAGAAACCGGCAACTAAAAGATGGAGGGTGAAGAAAATAATAAAAGTGGACTCTTTTTTGAATGCCCATGAAGGGTGCCTATCCCTGGTCTCACTATGATGGGAGTGGGAAGTCACATGGTACCAGCATGGATGAGCACCCCACTTGATTGAACCATGGGTGAAGATCTGACTAAAGCCTGATCCATCAGATTCTTCCTTGGACTTTGAAATTGGAGAAACCATTGAACTGAGTAAGAGAAAAACTTAGCTGTCCTTGAACCTGGGCATGGTGGGGGATAGGGAGAGTGAGAGGAAGAGAGTAGCTGTTTCATTCCACAAAGTCACTCTTGGTCTTGGTTCCAGCCTTGCATGAGCCTTTCTGACATCCAGCTGCACCATCGGCCATGAAGGATGGTAAAATGTTTTTGGTGTTCTTCTCATATACTTCCCTTTCGGTTTGAGCTATGTTTGGTGGCTTTCTGTTACTGTCTATCAAACTGCCTTAATTTAGACACGATCATTCTTACAAACGTTTGTGTTGGGGCTGCTTATATTTTAACAAGGCATTCCTCTATGAGGAAGGTCTGCTTTAGAAGAAGTTGCCATCCTGCCTTGAAACCCATGAGTAAGAATCAGAGGGCTACCAGGTCCTGCTGAACAGGGAAAAGACACCAGGATCACCTCCCCCTGGTTAGCCCACAGTGCCAGCCACTAATGTAATGGAGGTTTCCCAGTTCCTGCCTGTAACTTGCTATTGTTTTGAAGAAATTGGTGCCAAGATTTTCTGAGTGGAAATTCCATCTGGCTTTGGAAAGAGTGTTCACGTAGATTCAGGGTTTCCATGAGTAACAGCTACTGAATGTCCAAAACATACATTTAATTTGCCAACTTTCTGTGGGTGGGTGAGCAAAAGAGACCCAGAGGACCATGTTCTGGCCATCACCCTTGAAACGCAGCACAGGAGGGACAAGCCTCAAGCCTGGCTGTCTTGCTTTTTTATTCAGCAGGTGGATGCATGTGCTCCGTATTTTCTTGCACGTGTGTCTAAAGTGGAGGATGACTAAGGAGCGAGAGAATTTTAGAAGATTCAGTGCCACAAAAGGAAAAGCAAATAATTGATGTTATTAGGCAACTTCAGAGGAAGAATATCTAGAAATGTGTTTCTACCCAATTATCTCCACCACTTGGGACAGAATGATATGTTTATTTCTTCTCTGGAGCAGTTTTTGATACTGGCTGCATAATAGCATCATCTTTTTAGAAGTTTGACCAAAAAATACAGATGCCTGGGTGCTACATGCAGAGGTGCTGATTCAGTAGGTATGAGATGGGGCCCCTTAATGCTGTGACCCAGTCCTAGTTCTGCAGACCGTAAGGGAAGATACTTGCTAAGGAGTCTCTTATCAGGCCTCACTACAAAGCACTCCTCCCACCCCATCAACCTCTCTTCTAACCTATAAATAGCCTGGTCAGGCCCAGCAGTGCTTGCCTTCCTGTGGATGTGGTTGGAAACTGCTGGAGTAAGGGAAAGAGCTGAACTTGGACTAAACATGGCTGGGTTTGTGTTCTGGCTCTGGCCCTACCTACCATGACTTGACTATCCCAGGGCTGTCTAGTTCAAACCACAGGGCTCCTAGCCCCCACCAGCTGTCACTCAAGCCATCTAGGATAGCTCCACGGGATATGTTTGTGCCTTTAAGATTTCCAGTCACCTTCATTCCCACTATCTCCAAGACAGTTGTGCCATCTTGAAGACAGTAGCCAAGACTCACAGGTGCTGCTCTCAGGGTGTTTCCAGTTAGGTGGGGCAGCTTCTGTTGATTTTTTGCTACGTTAAGATCCTTGTAGGTTAGCAGTGAAAAGCAATGAACTGCTTATATACGCAACACTGTGGATGCATCTTGAAAGTATTATGCTAAGTGAAAGGAGCTAGATTCAAAAGGCTGCACACTGATCCCATTTATATGATGTTATAGAAAAGGCAGAACTATAGGGACTGTACATAGATCACTGCTTGCCAGAGGCTATAGTCCTTTATAGGTGGACTACAAAGGAGCCCGGGAACATTTGGAGATCCTACACTTTGATTATGGTGGTAGATACATGACATTGGTATACATTTGTCAACACTTGTAAAATTGTACACTAAAAATATTGAATTTGATGTATATAAATTATACCCAAATTAAAATAAAATGGAAGAAAAGTAAAGTTACTTGCCCAAGATCAGAGCCAGGGATTCAAATAGGTGTGTTTCACTCCCAACTCCTGGCCCCTGACCCCTCAAAACCCTCAGTCAGCTCTGCAGGGGAGAAGGACCACTTCTTACGGAAGGCAGCTTTGTCTGTGGTCAGGTTTGTCAGAGAAAGAAGCAAGCAGTGGGGCATCATACTGTGGGGAAAGGAACTGTGTTCTAGTCATGGTTTTGCTACCTTCTAGATTTGTAATATTGGATAAACTAATATATATCTTCAAATATTAATTCTCTCATCTTTTATGTAGTTTCTCCTTTGAGAATAATGAAAGCCTACCTTTAAACAGATACATGTTGAGAGGCCATGCAATTTAATTGTAAACTCAGGGCCTTGGGATCAACCCCAGCTCTGCATTCCTCCTGGCCCAGGTGACTTGGACAAATTTCTCCACTTCTCTGAGTTTCATTTTTCTCATCTATAAAAGGAGGACAGGAACGGTCTCTATCTCCTGGGACTGTTATGAGTCTTACAAGAAATGGTTCCTTAAAACACTTAGCAATATGCCTGGCAAGGAGTAAGCATTCGTGCATGTTAGCTATTATTATACTATCAGCATCCACATCATTACGAGGCCTAGCCAACAAAGCTTTGCAAAGTGATCGAGGAACAGAGCTGCCTTTGTGTGTGCTCAGCTGGGGCTCATGGGAAGGCAGGGAGAGGGAAGTGTCCGCAGCAATTTTGCTTAGACCACAAAGGGTTATGGAGGGTCTTGGAGCAGACAGCTCTTTCTGTTTATGCAGGCAAACCTTTTATCAGCCTCGGCACACAATGCTGCCAGGATGGCTGGGTCAGAAGAAGTTCACATAATAAACATGCTCTGTACCCAGAACACGCTCCCGTCCACGCCTATGTCCTATGGCTAAGGCGCTCACATTTTAGACTCCTTTTTTTTCCTCAAAATCTCAGGAGCTCCACATTTCTCCCTGAAATATGATTTCCACTTGGCCCTCTGATGAAATGTGAACAAGATTCAAATTAAGGGACTTGTCTAAAGTCCCGCTGGTAACAAGGGAAAGACTTCGCAGGGTTGGAACAGTTTGGATAGATACTGCTTTTCTAAAATTGTATCTTCTCATTTTGATTCCTCTATCATTGTCATGCTCCATTTATTCCTTTCCAGGAGTGGGTGTGTTCGCTTCATATCTCTGCAAGATGATAACCTCTTGCCTGTTTGGCTGTGCTGCTTTGGAAATTCACTCACTGACCACCACTGCCAAGAACACATACCAACATCTATCTTCTTCAAACTTCAGCAAGTGTCAGAATCACTTGGGGGCAGAGGGAGTGGTTGTTAAACACAAGCTTCTGGATTGAGCCCTAGACTTTGCAGTTCTAACAAGTTCCCAGATGATCCTAATACTATTGATCCAGGGACCAAACCTCTAGTACTGGGGAAACGAGTTTCCCCTGGTGCAGGCATTTCTGGCAGCATTCTAGCCCAAGTAAAAGAGAGATTTTGACTGTAGATAAAGTTAAAAGTTGAAGTGTTTTGCATGCTTTACATTCTACTTTAGTTTACCCCTAAACATGCTTGATTGGATTCAAATTATAGGACCAAGATAGAAGAAGTTGGTAAAAATCTGCTTAAGATAATGAACCAATGTAAAGAGTTCTAAAACGCAGGAGGACAAAAAGTGATATTTACAAAACACTACTGATATTCAAAGAGCAGAACTGAAAAAAACGCTGAGTGTCACATACAAGGCAAAGGGAGGTCAGAAACAAGAAGATAAAAAGAGAGCAGATTAGCAAGTGGTTTGGATATGGTGCCTGACACATGTTAGCATAAGTGGTTCATTCCCAGGTATATAAAGGTTAGTGATATGGTTTGGCTCTGTGTCCCCACTCAAATCTTGTCTTGAATTG
Source organism: Homo sapiens (assembly GCF_000001405.40). Lineage (NCBI taxonomy): Eukaryota > Metazoa > Chordata > Mammalia > Primates > Hominidae > Homo > Homo sapiens. Next base: position 12,020,724 of record NC_000011.10, read on the forward strand.
TAATCCCCAAGTGTCGAGGGAGGGAAGTGATTGGATCATGGTGGTGATTTCCCCCATGCTGTTCTTGTGATAGTGAGTGAGTTCTCATGAGATGTGATGGCTTTATAAGCATCTGGCATTTCCCCTGCTTGCACTCACTCTCTCCTGCTGCCTTGTGAAGAAGGTGCCTACTTGCCTTCCACCACGATTGTAAGTTTCCTCAGGCCTCCCACATGAAATCTTCCTCCATGTGGAACTGTTAAAACTGTTTCCTTTATAAATTACCCAGTCTTGGGTATTTCTTTTTTTTTCTTTTTTTTTTCTTTTTTTTTGAGGCAGAGTCTCACTCTGTCACCCAGGCTGGAGTGCAGTGGTGCGATCTTGGCTCACTGCAAGCTCTGCCTCCTGGATTCATGCCATTCTCCTGCCTCAGCCTCCAGAGGAGCTGGTACCACAGGCGCATGCCACCACGCCCGGCTAATTTTTTGTGTTTTTAGTAGAGACGAGGTTTCACCGTGGTCTCCATCTCCTGACCTTGTGATCCACCCGCCTCAGCCTCTCAAAGTTCTGGGATTACAGGCATGAGCCACCGCGCCCAGCGGGTATTTCTTTATAAAGTGTGAAAACACACTAGTACAGGTAGGCAGATATTGAAGAGAAGTCTGCCTTTGCCAGCTGATGGCTGCATACATCTCAGAGAGGACAGTTGATAGTTTAAGGGACCAAATAGGACTTAATATCTCTTAAAACTTAAACATTAGATGAGCAGAGAAATTGTGTTTTAAGGGTCACAGTTTATCAAACTACAATGATATACTGTCTTCACCTATCAAAAGAATTAGGCAGCTCTATCTATTCTCATTCATTCATTCTACAATTGTATATTGGGAGCTTAAATGTCATCAGCTCTGTTCTAGGTGCAGGAACAGACACAAACAAAATAGCAAAACCCTGTTTTAATACCACCATCCCCCCCCCCCCCCCAAAACACACACAGAGAAATAAATAATACTTTAGGTAGTAATCAATGCTATGAAAAAAAAAGCAGAAAAACAGCTGAGGAGAATGAAGAAGAGTTGCCTTTTAAAATATGTAGTACTTTGGAGAGACTTTTCTGATAAGGTGACATTTGAGCAAAGACACAAAGAAAGTGAGGGGATGGTGTCTGATAATGGTCTGGTATCCAGAATAGATAAAGAACTCTTATAACTCAACTACAAAAAGACAAAAAAAAATTAAAAATGGGCAAAGGATTTTAATAGGTATTTCTCTAAAGAAGATATATAAATGGTCAACAAGCACATGAAAAGGTGCTCAACATCATTAGTCATTAGGGAAATGCAAATCAAAACTACCATGAGATACCACTTCATACTTATTAGGATGGCTATAATAAAAAGGAAATGGAAAACAGCAAATATTGGTGAGGATGCGGAGAAATCGGAACCCTCATACATTGTTGGTGGGTGATATGGCTTGGCTGTGTTCCCACCCAAATCTCATCTTGAATTGTAGTTCCCATAATCCCCACATGTTTTAGGAGGGACCCTATGGGAAGTGATTGGATCATGGGGGCAGTTTCCCCCATGCTGTTCTCGTGATAGAGAGTGAGTTCTCACAAGATCTGATGGTTTTATGTGTCTGGCATTTCCCCTGCTGGCATTTCTCTCTTCTGCCACCATGTGAAGAAGGATATGTTTTCTTCCCCTTCTGCCATTATTGTAAGTTTTTTGAGGCCTCCCCAGCCATGCTGAACTGTGAATCAATTAAACCTCTTTCCATTATAAATTATCCAGTCTTGGGTACTTCTTCATAGCAGTGTGTGAACGGATCAATACAGTAAATTGGTACCAGGAGCAGGGCACTGCTATAAGGATACCCAAAAATGTGGAAGTGACTTCAGAACTGAGTAACAGGCAGAAGTTGGAAGACTTTGAAGAACTTGGAAGAAAACAGGAAAATGTGTGAAAGTTTGGAACTCTAGAGACTTGGAGGGCTCAGAAGACAGGAAGATGTGGGAATGTTTGGAACTTCCAAGAGACTTGTTGAATGGCTTTGACCAAAATGCTGGTAGTGATCTGGAGAGTGAAGTGCAGGCTGAGGTGGTCTCAGATGGAGATGAGGAACTTGCTGAGAACTGGAGTAAGGGTCATTCTTGGCATGTTTTAGCAAAGAGACTGGTGGCATTTTGCCCCTGCCCTAGAGATCTGTGGGACTTTGAACTTGAGAGAGATGATTTAGGGTATCTGTTGGAAAAAAAATTCTAAGTGGCAAAGCATTCAAGAGGAAGCAGAGCATAAAAGAGAGGAAAATTTGCAACCTGACAGTGCAATAGAAAAGAAAACCCCATTTTCTGGGGAGAAATTCAAGACAGCTGCAGAAGTTAGCATAAGTAATGAGGAGCTGAATATTAATCACCAAGACAATGGGGAAAATATCTCCAGGGCATGTCAGAGACCTTCATGGCAGCACCTCCCATCACAGGCCTGGAGGCCTAGGAGGGAAATGGTTCTGTGGGCTGGGCCCAGAGCCCCTTTGCTCTGTGCAGCCTCAGGACATGATGCCCTATGTCCCAGCTACTTCAGCTCCAGTAGTGGCTAAAAGGGACCAATGGACAGCTCAGGACATTGCTTCAGAGAGTGCAAGCCCCAAGCCTTGGCGGGTTCCATGTGGTGTTGAAACTGCAGGTGAACAAAAAACAAGAATTGAGGTTTGGGGACCTCCACCTATATTTCAGAGGATGTATGGAAGTGCCAGGATGTCCAGGAAGAAGTTTGCTGCAGGGACAGAGCCCTCATGGAGAGCCCCTGCTCAGGCAGTGCAGAAGGGAAATGTGGAGTAGGAGCCCCCACACAGAGTCCCCATGGGGGCACTGCCAAGTGGAGCTGTGAGAAGATGGCCACAGTACTCCAGACCCTAGAATGGTATATTCACCAACAGCTTGCACTGTGTACCTGGAAAAGCCAAAAACACTCAATGCCAGCCTGTGAAAGCAGCCAGGAGGGGGGCTATATCCTGCAAAGTCACAGGCACAGACACTGATCCAGGTCCTGCATCAGCATTACCTGGATGTGATACATGGAGCCAAAGGAGATCATTTTGGAAATTTAAGGTTTAATTATTGCCCTATTGGATATTGGACTTGCATGGGGCCTGTAGCCCTTTTGTTTTGGCCAATTTCTCCTACTTCGAATGGGTATATTTACCCAATGCCTGTACTTCCATTTTATCTTAGAAGGAACTAATTTGTGTTTGATTATACCAGCTCATGGGTGGAAGGAACTTGCTTTGTCTCAGGTGAGACTTTGGACTTGGACTTTTGAGTTAATGCTGAAATGAGTTAAGACTTTAGGGGACTGTTAGGAAGGCATCATTGTGTTTTGAAACGTGAGGGCATGAGATTTGGGAGGGGCCGGGGGGAATGATATGGTTTGACTGTGTCCCCACCCAAATCTCATCTTGAATTGTAGTTCCCATAATCCTCACATGTCACGGGAGGGACCCAGTGGGAAGTGATTAGATAATGGGGGTGGTTCCCCCATGCTGTTCTCATGATAGTGCATAAGTTCTCATGAGGTCTGGTGGTTTTATAAGTGTCTGTCATTTCCCCTGTTGACACTTCTCTCTCAAGCTGCCAAGTGAAGAAGTACATATCTGTTGCCCTTTCTGCCATGATGGTAAGTTTCCTGAAGCCTCCCCAGTCATGTGGAACTGTAAGTTGATTAAACTTCTTTCCTTTATAAGTTACCCACTCTTGGGTATTTCTTCATAGCTGTGTGAGAATGGACTAATACAATGGGGATGTAAAAATGGTTCAGTCACTTTGGAAAACAGTTTGGCAGTTCCTCAAAAAGTTAAACATAGAACTACCATGTGGCTAGAAGTTCTACTCCTAGAATTGAAAACAGGAAGTCAAACAAGTACATATACATACACGTTTATAGTACTACTATTCATAATAGCCAAAAGGCAGAAACAGCCCAAATGTTCAACAGATGAATGGATAAACAAATTGTGGTATATCCATACAATGGAATATTATTTGACCGTAAAAAGAATGAAGTGCTGATATAAGCTACAATATGAGTAAACCTCCAGAATATTACGCTAAGTGAAAGAAGCTAGCCATAGGGGGACAAATATTGTATGAATTTACATGAAATATCCACAATTGATAAATTCATCATGATTGCCCTATGCTGGCGAAGGGGTGGGAGAAAAGAGGAGAAACTGTTTACTTAATGAGTGTGGGGTTTTATTCTGAAGTGATGAAAATTATTTTGAAACTATATAAAGGTGGTTAGGTGTACAGCACTGTGAATGTACTAAGTGCCATTGAACGTTCACTTTAAAACAATTGATTTGTGTTATGTGAATTTCACCTCAATAAATTACTAGAAAAAAGTGAGGCATGGAATGATGCCAAGACAAATTGCTAAGGCAAAAAACTGCAAAACACTGTACAGTGTACTGCACAGTGCAGTACATTACTGTGCAAATATCAGCGTGGAATTTCCCCTATGGATTTATCTTTCTGTACCTGATGAAATTTGGTGCATCTATTACCTTTGCAAAACATTAGAAGTTAATTAATTATTTTTAAAAACCGCTGCTAACTTCAGAGTCAGACCGGGGTTGAAATTCCAGATTGTCCCCTCCCCAGCTGATGAGCTTGTGTCACTTGAGTTCTCTCAGTGATGGGTTCCACATCTGTAATGTGGAGTGATGATTCTACCTATTTTCCCAGTTGTCAAGTATATTAATGAGACTCTGCATGTGAAGGTCACAGTGCTTGGGATTCAGTGAATGCTGAATAAGTGGCTGTGGATAGTTTTTGCTCGCATTTCTGACACTAAATGTGTAGATTTCCTCCACAGCAACAAGTTCTCCAACTCTTTGGCAACCAACTGGGTGTCCTAGAATTCAATTCAGTTCCCACAGGTAGTGCAGACCCTGCAAGTTAAAGGCTCAGTCCCACAAGACTGCCCCTACTTTAGAGGCCAATGGCAAGTCCCAGCGTGTCACTGGTGCTTCTGACTAATAGGCTATAAATGGAGGGTTCCCATGGACCCCTCCTCAGGTTTAATAATTTGCTAGAATCGCTTACAGAAAAGCACTCATTGTTGCTCATTTGTTTACTTTACTTGTTAATACCAGAAAAGTGCTTTGCTTACCGCTACCAGTTTATGATTGAGGATACGACTCAGGAACAACCAAACAGTAGAGACATATAGAGCAAAGTGTGAGGGGAGGGGTGCACAGAGCTTCCATGTGCCATCCAGGTGCACCACTCTCCCAGCACCCCAAGGTATTTACCAACCCAGAAGCTTTCCAGACTTCATTGTATAGGGTTTTTATGGAGGTTCTAACACATAGATATAATGAATTAAATCCTTGGCCATTGGTAATTAACTTGATCTCCAGCCCCTCTTGCCTCTCCCAAGGTTGGGGCTGGGGCTGAAAGTTCTAGTCCTCTAATCATACCTTGGCCTTTCTGGTGACCAGACCTGAAGCTATGTAGTGGCCCCCAGCCACCAGTCATCTCATTAGCATACAAAAGACACTCATATCACTCCAGATATTCCAATGATTTTAGGACCTGTGTGCCAGGAATCAAGGTCAAGGACCAAATATATACTTCCCATTGTGCCACAGGTTGTTATTAGCCAGGTACTTAAAAGAAGAAAGAAAAGAGAAAGCAAGAAAAACATAATTTAAACCCTGCTTCCCAAATCTATGCATGATTTTTCATTTTCAATGGTGTAAGAGGCCTGAGGTTTTGCAAACGAAAGGTAAAAGCAAGGCCATGTGTTACCAAAACACCAAGGGTTCAATCTAGGTCCTGTTGCTCACTGCACAGAAAGCCAATCACTGAAGAAGGCTTTAATCGGGTGCTGCAGCTGAGGATATGGGAGGTCAGTCTCAAATCCATTTCCCTGACCAACTAAAATCAGAGGTTTATATGGTAGAGAAGAAATGTAACGACATGAAGGAAAACAGGAATTAGGGAAGTACAAGGAAGAGGAGTTGATCAATAGGAAGCAAGGAGTCACTTAGGCAATCATGAGAGGTGAGGGATCTGGCATCTCATTGTCCAGATGTGATGATCTAGTAAGTTTCAGTTCCTTGATACATCTGGGAGCCCTGATGGTTGGTTTCCTGAGAAAAGAACTCAGATAAGAGAAATGTAACTTTCTTAAGTTTTAACATTGGGGGATCAATTTCTATGTTTATTCAAAAGAAACTATAGAAACCACAGAAACTACAGTTCTGTGGGAAAATTGGGCCAGTTTCACATGCATCAGACACCCCAGTCAAACACTCCAAGTCTGAGAGAGGTGACCACAGCCCGTGTCCTGGGCTGCCAGTGCACACTGAAGTTAAGAGTGTTCTTGTTTGTGCTTCAGGTTAGAGCTTGACCACATGCATAGACACAGAGAAAACCAGTCAGCAGAGGAAGGCAAGAACAAATCCCTCACATGGGGGGATGCAGAGGCCAGGCCCAGAGATGGCACACCTGTTCCTGGTTCCTGCCCCTTCCAGAGGCAGCCTGCCTCCCCACATATTCGAGATCCATGAAGCACTCCTGCCACCTTAGAATGAATTCTTCTTTTTGCTTAAATTAGCTCAAATCGATTATGTTATAGCTAGGACTGAAGAGTCCCAGCTAACACAAAGAGAAAAACTTTGGAGACTTCTTTTGTTACCAGCCACGTCCAGGTCTGTCCTGCCCATGCACAGTAAATCAATCACTGTAACCTGGATTTTGCAAAGGAGAAAAGATATATTCTCAAAGGCACCAAGCCAGGAGGTGGGAGAACAGCTCTCAAATCTGCCTCCTGGAAGATAAGATTTAGGGATATTTGTGGGTGAGGGAAGTGGGGTGGTTAAGTCATAGGGAAAGATTATTGGCAGTGAATAAAAATGAAGTAACAGGTTGGTTCTGCAGAAGCATAGCTGGAGTTCACGGCATCTCATAGGACATACGTACAGAAAATGACAGCATTAGCATGATCTGAAAGAGGGGTTTTTGGCCCTCCGACATAAAAGGCCACCTCTCAGGCACGTGCCCAGGCCCAGTTGAAGGATCGGAGGTCTCAACCAGTTTGAACTGGGCAGAAACTGGTCCAAGTTTCTGAAAAACAACAGACTCAACCATTACCATGGTGGCCTGTGAACGTTACCTAGGAAGTAGCCAGTGAAGGTTATGTTTCTGCGTTCAGCGGCACAGCCTTCAGCTACCTTGGCCTTCAGCTTAATGGGTAAAGGGAAAAAAAATAATGGAAAGCAAGCGGGGCAGGCAGAGCTGATCAAATTACCCCTCAGTTTCACTTTTCATTCACATTCCTGGCTTTGCTTAACTAACAAAAAACAAACTCTGTGCAAGCCAGGATGGGCAGGGGTGAGGTAGGGAGAAGGAGGGTTCCAAGGCTTTCCAAATATTAACTTCGAGAGGCAGAGTTGGGTGAGAATAATGGTGGCCCCCAAATGCAAATCAAATACAAATAGGATCAACCTGTTCAAAAATAAGAACTGGAAAGGACACAAAAATTCTGATTCTTTCCATGATAGCTCTCCCAAGCTCTCACAAAGCCCTTTGTTCCTTTTTTTCTGGTGCCTCCCTGGACCTTGCCTCACCCTCCCTGACCATCACCCAGCCTGGGTTGGGAGCCCCTCAAATGTGCTGCTGTGGCACCTGGGACTTACACATGTCCCCTTCACCTTACCATTCTATAATGTTATCTTTGTCTGAGAGCCTGTGGATGTCCAGGACACTGTGTAATTAATCTCTGCACTGGCATTTAGCAGAAGGTCAGGTGCACAGTACTGCCCAGTAGATGTGGAATAAATAGCTGAATTGGTTCTGTGCCCCGTCACTCCATGTCAGATCTCAGACAAAATCAATTATTTCTGCAGCTTGGTTCTATCAGGCACCCACACATTCCCCCACCCCAGTTTCCTCCTCTTCAATCACGAAGTACCACATTCCCAGATGTGGCAAGGCCAAGAGGTGGCTTTGGTGGAGGAGTGACGAGTGAGAGGCAGCTTGAAGATGTGTGCTTCAGGCCTACCCTAAAAACTCTATTGCACCACTGACCAAGATTCTCTCCTTGATCAAACTTTAGTCGGTCTTTAGAATTCTATTTTTAACTAGGCTCTAACTTTTGGGTTTCTGTGTTTGTTTCTGCGTTATCCAATTTTAGTAAGGATCCTGCTAAGTCATTGTAACGTGAACCCTTCGCCCTCGATATCTGATCAGGTTCCTCATCCACTATCCCATAGATGACGTCCAAACACCTTGGCCTCTCTTTAGCAAGAAATAGGTTGGGCCTGTTTAGCCAGAATTCCTTCATACCCCAATGTTTCCACTTGATATTTTTCCATCCAGTGACACCTATGTGGAGTGCTAATTGGGGAAAAGGAGTCAGGCTGGTGGGACCAGGGGAAAGCCAGAAGAAAAAGCAGATAAGCTACAAGTCTGCCTTTCTTCCTGTTCCAGGACACCAATAACTCACAATCTTTCTGCACCCAGCTATCACCAAACCCTTGGCTGGTACAAAAAATTCCAAGTTAATTCACTGCAACCTTGGCATTATCAGTACTGCACATACCACCCTGTAGCCCAGTAACTATTCTGTAAAATCCCCAGCAAGCTTTTGTTTCTTTGCAGTCAGCTCCTCTCTTGCTGGCTGCCTGTTGCTCCCTGGCAATGTATTTTTCTACTTTCTGTAATAAATCTGCCTTTCTTTATCTACAACTGTGTTGGTAAATTTTTTACCCCTGTACCACTGGCCCACATAGCCGCTGCTCACGACTGACATCCTACCCTGCTCCTTAACTTTAAATTCTCACTTTTCCTTGTTGTATTCAGAGTTGAGCCCAATCTCTCTGCCCACTGCCAAACCCCACCACAGAAGCCCCTATACCTATGGAAATAGTTCCCCTGAATTAGATCTGCCTTGCTGTTCTTTAATAAGTGTCATGAATAACTTTTTCTTTAACACCCCCTGCTCCCAAGCCTTCGCTTAATCAAAGTAATGCTGTAACACATAGGCAATTAACCTTCCCACTGTCTCATTCAAATCACGAATAAAGATTCTTTCAAAAGCCTTTCTAACGTTATTGCTCTATCCTATGCACTATATCTACTCATGGAAGCCTGAGGCCTGATGCGGAGATGGGAGCTGACATGCTTCACTGTTTCCAATGCCACTCTTGAGCATTGGGAATGTAACTGAGAGTGGCAATGCCTACCTTTACATGGCCATGGGCTGGGGATGCTGGTTGTGCTGCCATGTGTAGATAATGGAAAGTGTTCCCTTAAGTCTGCCTTTCTTTGGTTCTCAAGATATTTAAATATTTGCCCAGCTACCCTAAATTTGGTGCCATTCTATTTGATCTTTCACATTCAGCTGTGAGTCATCCATAACCTCTTTGACCCTGCTGGAATTCTGAATTAGTTCCCTATTTATGCCGCTGGAGTTCCCAGCTCTAATGAATGGCAGTGGTTGGAGCCTCCTTGCGACTCATGGCTTGCTCAGCTCCCCTGTGTCACACTAAGGCCTTTTCAAACAAAACCACCCCTTTACCCATGGAAGGGCAAAAGGCAGACCCAGTAAAGTGTAATTAGAGTGGATTTCAAATATTTCATGGAACACAAGTCATGTCTTAATGCATATATTCAATGACTATTTGGAAAAACAGCAAGTAAGAAAATAATGTGATGCCAACTTTTCATGAGTTTCTGTTGTCACCATATATAAACTCACCAATACCATATTTTTAATTATCTTCCAGGCCAAAATTATACATCAGAAGCAAAGATTAAACATGCTTATTCTAAGAGGAAAGAGAGTAGTTCTTATTTTTGTAGAAGGAGAAATGAAAGGCCATTTAATTTTGCCAACTGATATGGTTTGGGTCTGTGTTCCCACCCAAATCTCACATTGAATTGTAATCCCCAGTGTTGGAGGTGGGGCTTGGTGGGAGGTGACTGGCTTATGGGGGTGGTTTCTAATGGTTTAGTACCATCCCTCTAGTGCTGTCTCATGACAGAGTCCTCACCAGATCTGGATGTTGAAAAGTGTGAGGTACCTCCTCCCTCTGTCTCTTCCTCCTGCCCTGGCTATGAAAGATGTGCCTGCTTCCCCTTCACCTTCCACCATCATGGTAAGTTTCCTGAGGCCTCCCTAGAAGCCAGTATGCTTCCTATACAGCCTGCAGAACCGTGAGTCAATTAAACCCCTTTTCTTTATAAATTACCCAGTCTCAGTCTCAGGTATTTATCTATAGCAGTGCAAGAATACACTAATACACCAACCTTCACTGTACATTAACAGATGCAACAGAAATAGTGACTTTTTTCAGAGGAAATTCATTTGTGTGTGTGTGTGTGTGTGTGTGTGTGTGTGTGTGTAACCCAAAAGAGGAGGAGGATGAGGTCTTACTCAAAAGTTACTCAAAATTAAAGTAATATGTAGTGGCCTTAGTCATTGATATTAATTTTGTCCAGTTTCTTAACACTAGATGCATACAGAATTTTCTGAGAAGCTTTTAAGCCATCAGTGTCTGATCTTCACATCCAGAAATTCTGCTGCAATAGATTTTAGTGCCTACAATCTAGGCTTTTGTTGCTTTTTTTTCCCCCTTCATATAAAAATTTTCCCAATAATTTTCCCTTTCCATATTTTGACAAACAAGCTTAAATTTGCAATACATTGTATCCTCATACAGAGGCCAGACAGTGGAAGCTTAAACATTCACTGAGAATACCAATGAGATCTAAGAATAGGAATGAGAACAAGAATGAGAGAAGCCAAACTTCATTTTTCATCTCTAACAAAAGAGAAAAACAACAAGAACCACCTTGTCCCTACTATGAGGAGAGACTGTTCCTCCACAGAAATTACAGAGGCTTTTTAATCAGTGAGTCTAAGCAGTGGGGAAAATATCCAAATCTGAATCTGCTCTTTCTTTGACAAGTCTTGTCACTTTCAAATGAGCCTTCCTTACATCTCTTAGAGACACACGTCCTGCCACTTCTGGGTCAAGGTGGCCATTCTCCATTTTCAGATCTTCCTCAGGCTGCTTCTGGGCCTTGTCTCTGGAGGAGAGCAGGCAGCCCCAAGTCTTTAAGGGTGAGAGGCATGGGCCAGGGGTGAAGCCCAAGGAGAGGGCAACAGGGAACAGAAAATTCCTGAGAGCAGAGGCGGCATTCTCTCTCCCTCCCTGCTGGTTCCAGGGAGCCCACCTTTCTTGAGTGCATCTTCTCTTTTTACTGGCAGGCAAAAGGGAGACAGATGGTAGGAGGACATAGCCCAGCAGTGGCATCTCCACACTGGGCAAATCTGCCACTCTGTGTCCTTCAGGGGACATAGAGCCCTGGTCTCCGGGCTGCAAACAGGGCCTGGCCCTCCCAAGGCCTGGGCTCTAGGTGGCTGCTCCAAAGCAACTCGGAGCCAGACACCTCAGCAGAAACCCAGTTATATGACCTGGAAAAAAAAAAACAAACCATTTCTGAATTGGTTAAAAAACAGGGGAACAAATAGATGCCAAATTCCTGGTAGCTGGAGGTTGGTGGGAATTTGGTGTACACTGCTTTGGGTTAGGATTGGACTTGGAAACTGGGAAACTGGCCAAGCCTTTCAGGCGGGGACACAGTTCTGCTTTGAGTAAAAGGGACTGTGGAGAAATCAAAGTGGGGAAGGGGAATTTGTTGCAGAGACAGGGAACCAGGAGTCTGACAACCATCATGTTCCTGGGCACCAAAACCTCATTACTCTGCTGGGACAGACCCTCAGCTCCAGCCTATTCACAAGGCCTCTGCTCCAAGTCTGTCCTCATCATGTGCCACCTGAATTATTCCAAAGGGGCCTCCAACCTCTCACCTCACTGTGAGTCCAGCCTCTTATCCAGTAGTGCTGTCTGATAAAAATGAAACATTAAACGTTCCAGTAGTTGCATTAAATATAAAGAAACAGGAAAATAAATTTTAATACTATATTCTATTTAATCTAATGGACAAAGAATACTATCAACATGTAAGCAATAGAAAAATTATTGATGAGATATTTTACATTCCTTTTTTTTCATACTAAGTCTTCAAAATCCCATGTGTGTTTTACACATAGAGCATATCTCAATTCTCACGGGCTCCATAGTCACATGTGGCTGGCTGGGGATTGCCCTACTGAACAGCACAGGGCTGATTGGTCACAAAAATGATCTTGCAACAATGCAGAACAGATATTTTCATTTTCGTCTTAAAATGTTAAAATATATTTGCATGCTCTTTGGCACACTAATCCCAATTTTAAGAATCTATTCTTAAGAAATATTTACAAAATGCCAAAAGAAATCTGAACAAATATATTCATTATAGTTCTTACTGGAAGAGTCTGGGATCTGAAGTCAAATTGCCCACGTCTGAATCATGGCCCTGCCACTTTAATGGCTGCATGTGCTTGAGTAAATGACTAAGTGTTATCTTCCATTTCTTCATCCATAATAGATCTACCTCCGTGGGCTATTTACAAAGATTAATGAAATAATCTACATAAAATGCTTGTATGTGCTTAATAAATCTTAACTCTAATTATTGTTATCAACAGAGAAAAAGCATTACAACTGAAATGTCCAGTAATGTGAAAATGATTTACTGAATAATGGCACATTCATATGGTTTAAGCTACCTTCAAGCAGGAACTGTGTTTTATTCCCTATCACATGACACATAGCATGTGTCAGGTATATGGTGGGCACTCAGGAAGTATTGGAAGGATGAATGGCATGGAAAATCTTTAGAATGAATGCCGCTAGTGAGTGTATGCATGGAGCCTGGCAGCCCCACACCTACCAGCACCCTGCACCTTCCACCACTCCCACTGGTGTGAGTGTGGACACTGACAACCTCACCCCCACCAGCAGTCTGCTCCCACCATGCTGCCACCGCTGTCTCAATGAGCATGTGCAGGAATGCGGCAGCCCTACTCCCACTAGTGCCCAACCCTAGCTGACATGTGCACCCTGCTGCATTGCCATGGCTGCTGGCACATGCGACCAAGCACAGATCGTACTGCCATCACCCTGATGAAGTTCTCTGGCTGGTACCACCTATTGGAATATTGTGGCCAGTGGACTGGGAACACCTTGACCTCTCCAGTGTAGCAAGTTTCTAACCTCAAGGGGCCAGAAAACAAAGCTGGGGCATCAGTGCCAGCCCCTCAGAGTTACAGCACACAGGCCAGGAGTGTTGAGCCTTGGCCCCTTAAAATCTTGCATAATCATTAGACTGAACCATAGCATAACCAGTAGACTGAACCTACCATATGCCACAATCAAACCCCCAACAGCATCAAAAAAAGATAAAAGTAAGAGTTCTCATCCAAAGGATAGCAACTTCAAAGACTGAAGGAACATTAGCCCACACAAGTGAGAAAGAGCCAGTGCAAGAACTCTGGCAACTCAAAAAGCCAGAGTGTCTTCTTACCTCCACAGCAACCATGTTAGTTCCTCAGCAATGGTGCTTACCCAGGCTGAAATGGCTGAAATGGCAGAGAATTCAGAATATGGATAGGAATGAAGATTATCAAGATTCAGGAGAAAGTCAAAACCCAATCCAAGAAATCTAAGGAATACAATAAAACGACACAGGAGATAAAGGGCCATTTTAAGAAATAACCAAATCGATCTGATAGAGCTGAAAAGATCACTTTAAGAATTTCATAATACAATCACAAGTTTTAACAGCAGAATTGACCAAGCTGAGGAAAGAATCTCAGAGCTCAAAGACCAGTTCTTCAAAGTAACTCAGACAAAAATAAAGAGGAATGAACAAAACCTCTGAGAAATCAAGGATTATATAAACAGGCCAAATATTTGATTCATTGGCATCACGGAAAGAAAGGGAGAGAAAGCAAGCAACTTGAAAAACATATTTGAGGATATTGTTCATGAAAATTTCCCCAATTTCACTAGTGAGGCCAACATTCAAATGCAGAGAACCCCTGCAAGATAATACGCAAGATAACCATCCCCAAAACACATAGTCATCCATTTGCCAAGACCAAAATGAAAGAAAAAATATTAAAGGCAACTAGAGAGAAGGGGCAGGTCACCTACAAAGAGAACCCCATGAGGCTAACAGTAGACCTTTCAGCAGAAACTCTACAAGCCAGAAGAGATTGGGGGCCTATAGTCAGCATTTTTAAATAAAAGAAAGTCCAAGTAAAAATTTCATATCAATCCAAAAAAGCTTCATAAGTGAAGGAGAAATAAGATCCTTCTCAGAGAAACAAATGTTGAGGGAGTTTGTTACCACCACACCTGCCTTACAAGAGACCTTAAAAGAAACACTAAATATAGAAAAGAAAGGCTGTTACCAGCTAATACAAAAACACACTTAAACACTCAGACCAGCATCACTACAAAAGAACCACATAAACAAGCCAACATAATAACCAGCTAACAACACAATGACAGGATCAAATCCACACATATCAATACTAACCTTGAATGTAAACAGGCTAAATGTCCCCACTTAAAAGGCACAGAGTGGCAAGCTGGATAAAAAGCAAGACCCAACAGTACATGGTCTTCAAGAGACCCATCTCATATGTAATGACACCCATAGGCTCAAAATAAAGGAATGGAGGAAAAATCTACCAAGCAAATGGAAAACAGAAAAAAGCAGGGGTTGCAATCCTAATTTCAGACAAAACAGACTTCAAACCAACAAAGATAAAAAAAAGACAAAGAATGGCAATACATAATGGTGAAGGGTTCAATTCAACAAGAAGACCTAACTATCCTAAATATATATGCACCCAATGCAGGAGCACTCAAATTCATAAAGCAAGTTCTTAGAGACCTACAAACAGACATAGATGCCCACATGATAATAGTGGGAGACTTCAACACTCCACTGACAGTATTAGACAGATTATCAAGGCAGAAAATTAGCGAAGATATTCAGGACCTGAACTCAACATTGGACCAAATGGATCTGATGGACCTCTACAGAACTCTCCACCCCAAAACAACAGAATATACATTCTTCTCATCATCACATGGCACATACTCTAACACTGATGCACAATTGGCCATAGAACAATTCTCAGCAAATTAAAAAAAACAAAATCTTACCAACCACCCTCTTGGACCATGGGGCAATAAAAATAGAAATCAATACTAAGAATATGCTCAAAACCATAAAATTATATGGAAATTAAACAATCTTCGGAATGACTTTTTGTTAAACAATAAATTAAGGCAGAAATCAAGAAATGCTTTGAAACTAATTAGAATAAAGTACAACATACCAGAATCTCTGGGACACAGCTAAAGTAAGAGGGAAGTTTATAGCACTAAACGCCCACACCAAAAAGTTAGAAAGATCTCAAATTAACAACCTAACATCACACCTAGAAGAAATAGAGAGACAAGAGCAAACCAACCCCAAAGCTAGCAGAAGACCAGAAATAACCACAATCAGAGCTGAACTGAAGGAAATGGAGATGTGAAAAGTCATACAAAAGAGCAATGAATCCAGGAGTTTGTATTTTGAAAGAATAAGTAAGATCGAAAGCCACTAACTAGACTAATAAAGAAAAAAGAGAATAGAATCAAATAAACACAATCAGAAATGACAAAGGTGACATTACCACTGACCCTACAAAAATACAAAAACCTTCAGAGACTACTATGAACAATTCTATTCACAAAAACTAGAAAGCCTAGAAGAAATGGATAAATTCCTAGAAACGTACAACCTCCCAAGATTGAACCAGGAAGAAACTGAATCCCTGAACAGACCAATAACAAGTTCCAAAATTGAATCAGTAATAAAAAGCCTATCAACCAGAAGCAGCTCAGGACCAGACGGATTCATATCCAAATTCTACCAGATATATAAAGAAGAGCTAGTACCATTCCTACTGAAACTATTCTAAAAAACATAGAGGAGGAGGGAATCCTCCCTAATTCATTCTACAAGGCCAGCATCATTCTGTGCCAAAACCTGGCAGAAACACAACAAATAAAGAAAACTTCAGGCTAATATCCTTGATCAGCATAGATGCAAAAAAACTCAACAAAATACTAACAAACCAAATCCAGCAGCACATCAAAAAGCAAATCCACCCTGCTCAAGTAGGGATGCAAGGCTGGTTCCACACATATAAATATCAATAAATGTGATTTATCACATAAACAGTACTAAAAACAAAAACTACATGATTATCTCAATAGATGCAGAAAAGGCATTTGATAAAATTTAACATCCCTTCATGTTAAAAACCTTCAAGAAATTAGGCATTGAAGGAACATACCTGAAAATAATAAGAGCCATCTATGATGAACCCACAGCCAGCATCATACTGAATGGGCAAAAACTGGAAGCATTCCCCTCGAGAACTGGAACAACACAAGGATGCTTACTCTCACCACTCCTATTCAACATAGTACTGGAAGTTCTAGCCAGAGCAATCAGGCAAGAGAAGGAAATAAGATTAATAAAGAAAAAAAAAGAGAGAAAATCCAAATAAACATAATCAGAAATGACAAAGGGGACATTATCACTGACCCCACAGAAATACAAAAAAACCTCAGAGACTACTATAAACACCTCTATTCATACAACTAGAAGAAATGGATAAATTTCCAGAACCATACAACCTCTCAAGATTGAACCAAGAAGAAACTGAATCCCTGAACAGACCAATAACCTGGAGTTCTGGAACTGAATCGGTAATAAAAAGCCTGCCAGACAGAAGCAGCCCAGGACCAGATGGATTTACAGCCTCCAGACAGGAAGAGAGAAAGTCAAACTATCTGTGTTTGCAGATGATATAATTCTATACCTAGACAACCCCATAATCTTTGCCCAAAAGCTCCTAGATCTGATAAACAAATTCAGCAAAGCGTCAGGATATAAAATCAAAGAACAAAAATTGGTTGCACTACTATACACCAATAGCATCCAAGCTGAGAGCCAAATCAAGCGTACAATTCCATTCACAATAGCCACAAAAAGAATAAAATACCTAGGAATACAGCTAACCAGGAAGGTGAAAGATCTCTGCAATGAAAATTACAAAGCACTGCTCAAAGAAATCAGAGGTGACACAAACAAATGGAAAGATATTCCATGCCCATGGATAGGAAGAATCAATATTGTTAAAATGGCCATACTACCCAAAGCAATTTACAGATTCAATGCTATCCATATCAAACTGCCAATGACATTTTTTCACAGAATTAGAAAGAAAGTATTTTAAAATCCATGTGGAACCAAACAAGAGTCTGAATAGCCAACACAATTTTAAGCAAAAAGAATAAAGCTGAGGGCATCATATTACCTGACTTCAAACTACACTACAAGGCTGCAGTAGCCAAAAGAGCATGGTACTGGTACAAAACACACATACAAAGACAAATGGAACAAAATAAAGAGCCCAGAAATAATTCCAATTACCTACAACCAACTGATCATTGACAAAGTCTACAAAAACAAGCAATGTGGACAGGACTCCCTATTCAATAAATGGTGCTGTGATAACTGGCTAGCCATGTGCAGAAGATAAAACCTCTTCCTCTTACACCATACACAAAAATCAACTCAAGATTTATTAAATACTTAAATGTAAAACAAAACTGTGAGAACTCTGGAAGTTAACCTAGGAAATACCATTCTGGACATAGGCCCTGGCAACAATTTCATGATGAAGACACAAAAATTGATTGCAACAGAAAGAGAAACTGACAAATGGGACCCAATTAAACTAAAAAGGTTCTGCACAGCAAAAGAAACTAACAACAGAGTAAACAGACAACCGAACCAAATGGAAGAAAATATTTGTAACGTAACCATCCAACAAAGGTCTAATATTCAGAATCTATTAGGAACTTAAACAAATTAACAAGCAAAAAACAAACAACCCCATTAAAAAGTGGGCAAAGACATGAATGGACACTTTTCAAATGATGACATACACACAGTCAACAAGCATACACAAAAATGTTCAACATCACTAATCATTAGAGAAATGCAAATCAAAACCATAATGAGATACCATCTCACACTAGCCAGAATGGCTATTATTTAAAAGTAAAAAAATAACATGCTGGTGAGGTTGCAGAGAAAAGGGAACGCTTATATACTGCTGGTGGAAATGTAAATTACTTCAGCCACTGTGGAAAGCAGTTTGGTGATTTCTCAAAGAACTTGAAACAGAATTAGCATTTGACTCAGCAATCCCATTACTGAATATATACTCAAAGGAATATAAATCATTCTACCATAAAGACACATGCATGCGTATGTTCATTACAGCACTATTCACGATAGCAAAGACATGGAATCAGTTTAAATCCCATCAATAGTAGACTGGATAAAGAAAATGTGGTACACATACACCATGGAATACTAAACAGCCATAAAAAAGAACAGGATTATGTCCTTTGCAGCACATGGATGGAGCTGGAGGTCATTATCCCAAGTGAACTAATGCAGGAACAGAAAACCAAGTACTGTATGTTCTCACTTACAAGTGGGAGCTAAACATTGAGTACACATGGATGCAAAGAAGGGAACAACAGACATTGAGGCCTATCTGAGGGTAGAAAGTTGGTAAAGGGGAGGAGGACGGTGAAGGTCAAAAAATTACCTATCAGGTACTATGTTTATTACCTGGTGAAATAATCTATAAACCAAACCCCTACGATGCACAGTTTACCTATATAACAAACGTGCATGCATACCCTGAATCTAAAATAAAAGTTAAAAATTAGAATAAATCACTCAGGAGGTGTAATTTGAAACTACAATGAGTTATCACCTCACACCCTCTATGATGGCTACTCTCAGAAAAACCCAGAAAACAGTGTGTTGTCAAGGATGTTGTTATTAGTCCATTCTCATGCTGCTGATAAAGACATACCCAAGACTGGGCAATTTACAAAAGAAAGAGGTTTAATGAACTCACAGTTCCACATCGCTGGGGAGGCCTCAGATTCATGGCAGAAGGTGAAAGGCACATATCACATGGTGGTAGACAAGAGAAGAGAGAATGAGAGCCAAGCAAAAGCAGAAACCCCTTATAAAACCATCAAATCTCATGAGACTTATTCACTACCACAAGCACAGTATGGGGGGAATCCACCCTCATGATTCAATTATCTCCCACTGGGTCCCTCCCACAACATGTGGGAATTATGGGAGTTACAATTCAAGATGAGATTTGAGTGGGGACACAGCCAAACCATATCATTCTGTCATCACATTTCAGAACTAATCATGCCTCCCCAAAAGTCCCCCAAAGTCTTAACTCATTTCAGCCTTAACTCAGAAGTCCACAGTCCAAAGTTTCATCTAACACAAGGCAAGTCCCTTCTACCTATGAGCCTGTAAAATCAAAAGCAAGTTAATTCCTAGATACAATGAGGGTACAGTTATTGGGTAAATATACCTGTTCCAAATGGGGAAAATTGGCCAAAAAAAAAAAAAAAAAAAAGAGGCTACAGGCCCCATGCAAATCTGAAGTCCAGTGGAACAGTCAAATCTTAAAGTTCCAAAATGCTCTCCTTTGATTCCTTGTCTCACATCCAGGTCACACTGCAAGAGGTGTGTTCCCATGGTCTTGGGTAGCTCAGTCCCTGTGGCTTTGCAGGTTCCAGCCTCCCTCCTGGCCACTTTCACAGGCTGGTGTGGAGTGTCTGCAGCTTTTCCAGGCACATGGTGCAAGCTGTCGGTGGATCTACCATTCTGGGGTCTGGAAGACAGTGGACCTCTTCTCACAGCTCCACTGGCAGTGCTTCGGTGGGGACTCTGTGTGGGGGTGCCCACCCCACATTTCCCTTCCCTACTGCCCTAGCAGAGGTCCTCCATGAGTGCCCATTCCTGCAGCAAACTTCTGCCTGGACATCCAGGTGTTTTCACACATCCTCTGAAATCTAGGTGGAGGTTCCCAAACCTCAGTTCTTGAATTCTGTGCACCCATAGGCTCAACACCACATGAAATCTGCCAAGGCTTGGGGTTGCACCCTCTGAAGCAATGGCCCAAGCTCTATGTTGGCCCCTTTCAACCACAGCTAAAATGGCTGGGATGCAGGACACCAAGTCCCTAGGCTGCACACAGCACAGGGACCCTGGGTCCGGCCCACAAAACCATTTGTTCCTCATAGGCCTCTGGGCCTGTGAGAGAGGGGCTGCCTTGAAGACCTCTGACATGTCCTGGAGACATTTTCCCCATTGTTTTGGGGATTAACATTCAGCTCCTCATAACTTATGCAAATTTCTGGGCCGGGCGCAGTGGCTTACGCCTATAATCCCAGCACTTTGGGAGGCCAAGGCAGGTGGATCACAAAATCAGGAGTTCGAGACCAACCTGGCCAATATGGTGAAACCCCACCTCTACTAAAAATTAGGCAGGCATGGTGGCATGTGCCTGTAGTCCCAGCTACTCAGGAGGCTGAGGCAGGAGAATCACTTGAACCCAGGAGGCAGAGGTTACAGTGAGCTGAGATTGCACCACTGCGCTCTGGCATGGGTGTCAGAGTGAGACGTCTTTAATAAAAAAAAAAAAACAGAAAAAAAATTCTGCAGCCAGCTTTAATTTCTCCTCAGAAAATGGGATTTTCTTTTCTATTACATTGTCAGGCTGCAAATTTTCTGAACTTTTATACTCTGCTTCCCTTATAAACTAAATGCCTTTAACAGCACCCAAGTCACCTACTGAATGCCTTGCTGCATAGAAATTTCTTCCGCCAGACACCCTAAACCATCTCTCTCAAGTTGAAAGTTCCACAAATCTCTAGGGCAGGGGCAAAATGCTGCGAGTCTCTTTGCTAAAACATAACAAGAGTCACCTTTGCTCCAGTTCCCAAGTTCCTCATCTCCATCTGAGACCACCTTAGCCTGGATTTCATTGTTCATATTATTATCAGCATTTTGGTGAAAGCCATTCAACAAGTCTCCAGGAAGTTCCAAACTGTTCCACATTTTCCTGTCTTCTGAGCCCTCCAAACTCCTCCAACTTCTGTGTGTTATCCAGTTCCAAAGTAGCTTCCACATTTTTGGGTATCTTTATAGTACTGCCCCATTCCTAGTACCAGACTAATGCTATGTATTAGTCTGTTTTCACGCTGCTGATAAAGAGAAACCCAAGTCTGGGCAATTTACAAAAGAAAGAGGTTTAATGGATTCACAGTTCCATGTGGCTGAGGAGGCCTCACGATCATAGCAGAAAGTGAAAGGCACATCTCACACGGCAGCAGACAAGAGAAGAGAGAATGAGAGCCAAGTAACAGCGGAAACCCCTTCTAAAACCATCAGATCTTGTGAGACTTATTCACTACCACGAAAACAGTATGGGGGAAATTGTCTCCATGATTTAATTATCTCTCACTGGGTTCCTTTCCTAACACATGGGAATTATGGGAGCTACAATTCAAGATGAGATTTGGGTGGGGACACAGCCAAACCATATGAGATGTAGAGTAACGAGAGTCCTTGTGCACTGTTGGTGGGAACATAAAAAGTTACAGCTGCTGTGGAAAAGAGTACGGAAGTTCCTCAAAAAAAAAAAAAATGAGTGAAGCTGCCCACAGTGCGTTAATATCACAGAAAGATTGTAGAAAGATACGCATAACATGGTTGCATTTTCATCGTGGGAAAAACGATGCACTGTATGTATAAAAAGAATGTGTTTGATGATGTAACCATGAGTAAAAAACAGGAAGCATACCAAACCGTTAATGGTTCTGAATGGGTAGGCTTGCAACATTCCTTTGTGGTTATTTACATGCCTGTCTTGTCCCATCTATCTGTCAAGCTCCATTGGCTTGTCTTACTCATCCTTTTTTCCCCTCTTAACGCAGCACTGGTTCTTGGGCATGTGAGGGTTTGGTAAAGTTTTGCAGAATTGAATTGCTAATCATTGCCTCCCCACTTGCTCACCTATACTACAAACCAGAACTTGTTCAACGTCATACGGCTACCTTTAAATATTCTTGTTTTAAGTCTAAGTTCCAAAATATTATATTAGTAAATATGCTGACTTCCCTATACTGCACTCCTCAAGACTTAATGCACAGAAATCCTTAGTAAGTGGGAAGAAACAAAAGATTTGAACAGTAAAAATGCTGCAGGAATCCAGCACTGTTTGAAGGTTGCCTTTCTCCGAAGGTTACTGTTCAGAAAGAGAGGAGAGAGAGACCAACGTATCTCCCTGTACCTTGAAAGCCATTCTCCTCCAAGACATCTGTCAAGAGTTTCTGTCCATGTGGGTTATGGAAATGGTGTTAACTCGTGCAGAATTTTAATTACCTGTCTCAGGGGCCAAATGTATTTATGTATGTATCCATGTCATGATTATTTATTCATTCAATGAATGTTCAGAATCCTACAATATACCAGCTGTAATGCCTCATCATGAAATGTAAAACTGAAGAAAGCGGGGTTCTATTCTCAACGAGGGAGCCTCTGCCCTCACTTTTCTTTTTCATCACTTGAGCACCAATACCGAGCAGCCTCGTCTGTTTTTTTTTGCTTGTTTGTTTCCCCCCTGACATAGCATAAACTTAACTCTAGACGATTGTGTAGGATTGCTGCTGGAGTCCTGGATGCTAGTCTTTTATTTTATTTTTTAGTGACACTCACTCACTTTGTGTCCTAAAGCAAGCCCAGTTCCGTCTCTGTGCCTTGGTCTCGCCTCAGACAAATGGGGTATCCATTTGCCCTGCCAAACTCTAAGGGGTATTGTGAGGGCCAGACAGGGCAACAGATGCTGAAAGCATTTGAAATGAACAGAGCTGTGTAGAAGTGTCAGGCAGTACTCTTCCTGTGCCCCGGGTCACCGTAACTTGAAGAGCATCTGGACATATGTCAGAGAAAATAAAAACTGTTTTTGTTTCTCAGTGAAAATACCTGCCTTTTGAGACTTTCATTTAAAATGAAAACATTCCAAAGTAGTATGTGATCTTGAACAAGTCATTTTCCTCTCTGAGTCTCAGTTTATTCTCCTATAAAATAAGCCAGTGAGACTAGATGGATACATTTCAAATTCTGCTCTAGAAAATTCTTCACTGGGAAGAGATTCTTTTATCCCCACATCTGCAACCAGAACCACCATATATTTTTCAAATTTTACCCTCATTTTACTTATTTGGCTTCTATGTGAGGTCTTTTTGGTTTTCTTTTTCTTTTAAAGTGAAAGTAAGTTTATTAACAAAGTAAGAAAATAAAAGAATGGCTACTCCATAGTCAGGGCAGTGGCTTCTGTTTTGTTTTGTTGTTTTTCCTAAATAAAAATCCTAAGGCTAAAACAAAAAAAGAAAACCAGAACACGGCTAGATCACCTGTAGGGCCATTCTTCCCGGCCTTCGTGTCTGCACACGGAAGACCCACGTGCTTTCTGCTTAACGTGTGTGCATTCCTCTTGTATGTGTCAGGCGTGCACGAGGCCTCTCAGGACAGAATTCCTTTGCAGGGGGATTGACAATGAGTCATAACCTGCTTGACTTTTAAGTGTGCACTCAGAGATGACCATTTTTTATAGCAGAATTCCCGAGTCTAAACAACCTTTGGCAGCTGAAGACTGAGAATGAAATTCACCAACCAGTCCAGGGAAAACCTCTTCCAAAAGCTGTAATATTTTTGTTGGATGCAGGTGTGACCCGTGGTCTTGCCGTGGGGGAAGGGAATGGCTGTGGGAACAGTGCCACCTTGTGGCCATTTTTATGAGCAGACACTACCCAGTGCTGAGCTGAGGGCTGGTTCCTGGATGGTTACACTCCTGAAGAGGGACTTTCATTTTGGGATTGGGAAGGGGCCCAGAGATACACTGAGACCAGAGCCAGTCCCCACCTGGCAGCAAGCTCAGCTGCCTGAGTCAGAAGCCCTTCTCCAAAGTTACCACACTCCTGAGGCCCAGGAAGGCTGCCAGGCTGGGCGTGTGGTTATTGGGAGGGTCATGTGGCTGTCACTAGCAGGAACGTGTCTGGATATGGGAGTGGGAGGCAGAGTCTGAGAGGAGACAGAACAAATTTCACAATGGCCATGGCTGAGCCCCAGTTGGGAAGACGGTGACCCAGGAAGTATGCAAAGTGGTGGCAGGAGGGTGGTGTCCTCTTGTCTAGAAACCCAGGAGGCCTACAAAGCAGAGAGGACTCTACCTGTCCCCTCACCCCTGACCGTAGCCTGGGGCCTAAATGAGCCCTCCTACTCTCCGCCTTGCTGCCACGCCACCATCCCTGGCACAGGGTTCCTGGGAGGACAAAACGAGATGGATGAGGCTTAACACAGCATCTGGTGCGTGGGAAGCCCTCAGACATCCCTGTGCCTGTCCCCTCCCTCTCCTACTCTGTGCACTAGACATTGGAGTGACAACAATGAACCCAGCACAGCTGCTGTCAGAACTCACAGGCTGGCTGGGCGTGATGGTGCACACCTGTAATCCCAGGACTTTGGGAGGCTGAGATGGGAGGATCGCTTCGGTCTGGGAGTTGGAGACTAGCTTAGGTAACATATGGAGATTCCGTTGTTACAAAAGATAAAAAACAATCAGCCAGGTGTGGTGGCACGCTCCTATAGGTTCAGCTACTCAGGAAGCTAAGGTAGTGATCACTTGAGCCCAGGAAGATGAGGCTGCAGTGAGCTGTGATCACACAACTGCACTCCAACCTGGGTGACGGAGTGAGACCCTGTCTCAAAAAAATAAAAAATAAGAAGGACAGGTGTGGTGGCTCATGCCTGTAATCCCAGCACTTTGGGAGGCTGAAGTGGGAAGATTATTTGGAGTCAGGAGTCCAAGACTAGCCTAGGCAACTTAACAAGACCCTGTCTCCACAAAAAAATATAAAAATTAGCCAGGCATGGTGGTGTGCCCTGTAGTCCCAGCTACTCAGGAGGCTGAGGTGGAGGATTGCTGGAGCCCAGGAGTTCAAGACTGCAGTGAGCCATGATTATGCCACTGCACTCCAGCCTAGGGGACAGAGTGAGACCCTGTCTCAAAAAAAAAAAAAAAAAAAAAGGTAAAAAGAAACACCATAAAAATAAATTTAATAATAATACATTTAATAAGATATATCCAATATCTTGTCATTTTAAAATGTAATTAAAATAAAATTCAGTAATTAAAATTCATCAACTTCCCTAAGAGCTGGAAAATTAATGAAATATTTTATATTCTTGTTTTCTATGCTGCTTGAAATTCTGTGTGTATTTTACACCCACAGCACATCTCAATTTGGACTCACCACATTTCAAGCCCTAAATAGCCACATGTGGCTAGTGGCTACTGCACGGCACAGCACAGGGCTGGTGCAAGGAAAGGCGCTCACACACATATACACAATACACACACATACACAAATACACACACACACACATATCCACACACATACAAACACACACATGCACATACACACACATGCACACACACACACAAACATATATACACACACACATATACACACCCAGAGGTCAGTAAGTTACTGGTCAGTAACTTTATAAGGGGCACAAAGTTGATGGGTGATATGGTTGGGCTCTCTGTCCCCACCCAAATCTCATCTAGAATTGTAATCCCCACGTGTGGAGGAAGGGACTTGGTAGGAGGTGATTGGATCATGGGGGCTGTTTTCCCCCTTGCCATTCTAGTGATAGTGAGTTCTCATGAGATCTAATGGTTTAAAAGCGTGTGGTAGATTCCCTTGCTCTCTGTCCTGCCACCATGTGAAGAAGGTCCTTGCTTCCTCTTCGCCTTCCGCCATGATTGTTAGTGTCATGAGGCTTCCCAGTCATGCTTCCTGTTAAGCCTGTGGAACTGTGAGTCAGTTAAACCTCTTTTCTTTATAAATTACCCCGTCTCAGGCAGTTCTTTACAGCAGTGTGAAAATGGAGTAATACAGTGGGGGAGGCTAACTTGGACTGGGAAGGTAAGAAAAGTCCTCTTGGAGGAGGTGGTGTTTAAACCTGGCTGGCTGGCTGCATGAGACTTGAAAGTGAAGCGATGGGGAAAGGCTGGAGGGTGGGAGAGGGGTTGGCCTGTCCATGCACCATCCAGGCACCTTCTGATAGAATGAGAGTGAGTGAACTATAGCTCTCAAGCCAAACTCTGCCTGCCACCTGTGTCTGTATGCCCTAAGAGCTAAGAATGGTTTTCACATTTTCTTTTAGACAGGGTCTTGTTCCAGTGCCCAGGTGGGAGTGTAGTGGCATGATCTCGGTTCACTGCAGCCTTGATCTCTGGGGCTCATTCGATCCTCCTACCTCAGCCTCCTCACCTCAGCAGCCTCACCACCTCCCTCATCTCCACTCAACCTCTCCACTCCAGCCACGCTGACCGCTTTAATGCCCTGGTGATCACCCTCCCCTTCTCCTCCAGGGCTTTCCCTGGCTGCCCCCTCCACTGCAAAGTCCTTTCCTATCTCCTCTCTCCCTGTGGCCAACTCCTCCACTTCAGAGACCAGCCTTGACTTCACATCCTCTCCTGCTTCCCAGTTACCTCCAAAAGGGCCTCTGCCAAGCCATCCTCTCTGGTTTCTCTCTGAAAATCCAGGGTTGGCACAGTGTGAAGAGTGCACAGGGGCCTAGAGGCCTGGGCTCTGGAATGCTCCCGTTTCCAGACTCAGCTGCCTCCCCTGCCTCTTCCCCAGGGCTGCCAGTAAAGTGCCTTTTCCCTGCAGGAAAAAGAGCTGCCCCAGTTGGGCCTGGAAAAAGGGCAGGCATTCCCTCACTTGGCTGGCCAGGGGGGCTGGAAGTCTTTGACAGCCCTGCGGTCAGTCCCAGGGCCAAGTCCTTGTCCCCTCCTGGCAAATTTATGCGCACCTGAACTCTGCAGGATGCCCAGGAGGGGGCGCCAAAGTGCTGCCAAAAAAGAACAGTTTGGGGCATATGAATCAGATGGCCTCGTGGGAGTGCTTAGTGAGGGCTGGCTCTGAGTTCTTTTTACCCCAGCCCCTGCCCAGGGCCAGGCACTGTGTGTGGAATGGAGGAAAGGACACCATGCAAGAACTGACAAGGTCCTGCACATCTCCTATGCTGGCATTTCTTACGATCACAATGACTTTGGTGTTCCAGGCCCAGAGGCTGGGAGCTGGCAGGAAGCTTGACCATTGTGAAGAGCTAGTGTGCCTAAAGTGGCCTACAGATTTGTTGAGGGAGGCTAGGTGGGGTCAGGAAGGCAGGACCCCTTGAGCCAGTTGCCTCTGGCAGCAAACAGTCTCATTATTGCGTAATTAGTATTTTCTATGTTGACTTGACATGGACGTGGTTGGGAAGCACTATCCAATATGGAAGCCACTAGCTACATGTGACCACAGTACTTACGTTTTAATTAAGATTAAATAAGCAGGCTGGGGGGTGGTAGCTCATACCTATAATCCCAGCACTTTGGGAGGCTGAGGTGGGCAGATCTCTTGACCCCAGGAGTCTGAGACCAGGCTGGGCAACTTGTTGAAACCTGTCTCTACCAAAATACTTAGCCGGGCATGGTGGTGCATACCTATAGTCCTAGCTACTTGGGAGGCTGAGGTGGGAGAATCACCTGAGCCCAGGAAGTTGAGGCTACGATGAGCCAAGATCACGCCACTGCACTCCAGCCTGGGTGACAGAGCAAGACCCTGTCTCAAATAAATAAACAAATTAAGATAAAATAAAATTTAAAATCCAGTTCTTTACTTCATTAGCCACATTTCAAGTACTCGATGGCCACATGTGGCCAGTGGCTCTCATGTCAGCACAGAAATAAACATTTCCATCATTGAAAGTTCTGTTGGACAGTGCCACCCTAGAACTTGCTCTGATCTCTTGTGGGTAGGGTGTGCTTTAGAATTTCAGAGAGTTCACTGTTAGCATGCTGCCTCCCATGGATATGGTTGTTACAAGGTTATGAGAAAGGCAGTCAGACCCACCTAGGATTAACCCCTGATTTTGCTGGTTACAAGCAAAGTGTCCTCTATGCAAGGGCTCTGCAGGGCTGACACGGGACTTGAGCATCCGCAGACTTTGGTATTCAAGGGGATCAGGCAACCAAACCCCCACAGTTAGCAAGAGACAACTGGACTACTTTTGTGGCTTCAGAGAAGTCACTTAATCTCTTTCAATCTCTGTTTTCTCATCTCTAAACTGGGGATAATATCACCCTGCCGCCACAGTTATTATTAGATGAGCTAAGACAGATAAATCACAAAACGCAGTGCCTAGGACACAGTTTTGCGGCCTTACCGCCCCAGCCGAGTGTGCCTTTCTGCGTGCACTCACCCACAAGCCCTCATCCCCTGGCTATACTGTGTCCAGACCTGTGTCGGGTTCCACATCTCGTTCAAAGGCAGCACCGGGCTTGATTCTTGCACCGGGCTTGATTCTTGCCTAGAAGGAGATTGCAATCTAGGTCAGAAGGCAAGATAAGGCCCATGAAGCAACCTGAAAACAATTCTTAGGCAACACACAGGGCAGTGTGTCATCCCGTGAGCCAGAGTCTGATGGGAAAGTAGTGTGGGGTGGGAGGCTCTTCTAAGTCCTCGTAGAGAAAGTGGGTGAGATTAGAACTGGTCTTGAAACAGCGTAGAGTTTGGACCGGCAGAGCCAATGAGAGAGAAGTGGCAGCAGGGAATGGTGTGAGGGCAGAGGAACAGCGTGAGCAAAGAAATGCTCAGAGGTGGGTAAGGGAGGGGCCAGAGCTAACACAGTATGGGGCAGCTTGGCCGAGGTGCTCAGGAAGGGGACACACTTCCTGAGAAGAGAATTTGCTAAGAAGATACTCAGATCTTGGAAGCCAGGCTGAGTTGCTTAAGTTTAATGAGACAGGTGGTCATCAGGCAGGCGGGGCCTTGAGCATGGAAACTGGCAAGGCCTGGGGAGGATTGCACTGACAGCAGAAGTCGGAGGTCTGTGAGGGAGATCCTGCAGTCAGGGTGACGTCAGCGAGAAGTGACACCAGCGGCCTTCCGGGGCAGTGCATGGTACCATTTACAGAGCGCTGTTAACATAGCCTGGGCTCAAATTGCTGGGTCCTAACACAGTAACCAAAAACTGGACTCCATTGGTCTACACAACAAGTCAACATCAAATTGGGAAGGAGCAGTGGGTAGGCACCAAGAAGAAACAGAGCAGAGGAAATGCCTGTCACAGTGTGTCAAGATCTGAGCCCCAGCCCCTTAATCAGTTAAGAAAAAGAACAGGGGCCGGGTGCGGTGGCTCGCGCCTATAATCCCAGCACTTTGAGAGGCCAAGGCGGGCAGATCACGATGTCAGGAGTTCAAGACCAGCCTGGCCAACACAGTGAAACCCTGTCTGTACTAAAAATACAAAAAATTAGCTGGGCCTGTAATCCCAGCTACTTGGGAGGCTGAGGGAGGAGAATCACTTGAACCTGGGAGGCGGAGGTTGCAGTGAGCCAAGATCGCGTCACTGCACTCCAGCCTGGGTGACAGTGCGAGACTCTGTGTCAAAAAAAAAAAAAAAGAAAAAAGAAAAAGAACAGGTACAAGGAGGAGAAGAAGGGGGTGTCTAGAAAGAGGACTGGGTGTCTGAGAAACAGGGCTGGGTGTCACATCACACACATACACAGGCACACACAGTCACATTCACATGCCTGTACACATAAACACATATAAGGACACACATATAAGCCCCCCAACTTACTCTTCATGCTAATCATACCCAGAGACCCTTAAGGATACATGCAAATGCATATGTACGGGCACACATCAATACGTATGTGTATATACACGTGTTCTTCCTCAGCCCAGCCTCTCCTTTTAGGCCTGGAGCTGGGGCTGACATTGGGTTTACATCAATCAAAGCCACTAGGAAACGTCTATCCTGCCTGGGCCCAGAGTCCATTTCTGACAGAGGCTTCTCCAGGCTTTACTTGTAAACGCTATTTATTTTGGAAAGCAACTTCTCTGTTTTCAAATAAAACGTTGGGACATGCAGTATTGGATTTCCCTGATCTGACATTGACCTAGAAAAATGTGCTGGCAGGAACAGAAAATGCGATGCCCCACTGTGCTGGCAGGCACAAGAGTTTCCCTCCTCTTGGCTTTGATTGCAAAGGTTAAGATGCAAGTGAGAGAGCGCAGTTCCCCCTCCCTGCCTGAGCAGCACTCTCCCTGCAGAGCTGGAGGGAACTGGGGGCCATGTTTAGGGGCTTCCTGCAGGTTTTGGTGCTTGTGGTCTTAGGGGCATGCTTCTGGGTGGGGAGCTTATCACAGAGGGGCAGCTTGTCACAGGGCTGGTGGCCGAGGCCAGCATGTAGAGAGCAAACAGCTCCAGGATGTGCAAAATATGAATAGGGCCCAGCTATGGGGGTCCCCACGGTTGTCATCAGTGAAAAGGGCAAAGCAACTTGAGCTCTGGGTGAGGTTTGAAGCCAGTTCCTGTCCCTTGGGGAAGAGGTTTCCTGGAGGCAGACCTGCCAGGTCCAGCTTCAGGTGAAGGTCATGGCCTGCTGCCATCTGCAGCGGCCTGGGCACCAGTTGCAACGGTTAGGGGCAGAAGCTGGGAGCAAGGGCTGAGGCAGGAGCCCCACATCATGGTGGGAACCCAGACACCTGTGGTCTGCTTGCGGGGGTGGGCCCTGGTCTAATTAGCAAAGGAGGCTCAAAAAGCAATACACAATTCATTGCCCCAGCTGAGCCACAGAATCTCTCAGAGTTCCTCAGCTGCTCCAGTGACTTAATTCTGTGCCTGTTAATTCTGTTCCTATTCCACCCACATCCCTTATGGCCTCTCTGAGGATGAAATGAGATCAGAAATGTAACATGCTCAGCCAGGGCCGGATGCATAATAGGTAGGCTCGGTAAACGTGAGAGCAAATCCCAGCTTCACCACTCACTAGCTGTGGCGCCTTGGGCGAGCTCCTCCTTGGTGCCTTAATTTCCTCATCTGTAGAATGCAGATAATAACAAAATGTACGTCATAGAACTGTTGGGGATTAAATGAGTAAATATTTGTAAAGCACTTTGAACAGTGCCTGGCACTTAGTAAGCGTGATAGCTGTTTGCTATAATATTAAATTTACTCTTTTTGTGTGTGACAGGGTCTCACCCCGTGCAATGGTGTGATCATAGCTCACTACAGCCTCTACCTCCCAGGCTCAAGCGATCCTTCTACCTCAGCCTCCCAGATAGCTGGGACTAGAGGTGCACCCCACCACACCCGGCTAATTTTTTATTTTTTATTTTTTGTAGAGACTGGGAGTCTCATTATGTTGCCTAGGCTGGCCTCGAACTCCTGGGTTCAAACAGTCCTCCCACCGTGGTTTCCCGAAGGTCTGAGATTATAAGAGTGAGTCACTGTACCCAGCCTTAAATAGTATTCCTAATGGTTATTCATGTATTTATTCATGAATTTATTCAACACGTCTTTCTTGAGGGCCCACTATGAACCAGGCACTGTTCCAGTCACTGGGGCTATAGCAGGGAACAAGAGACACTAGCCCTGTGGTAGGTATAATGATCCTCCCTGCCCCCAAAGACGTCCATGCCCTAATCCCTGCAATCCTGACTATGTGATGTTACGTGGCAAGAGAGACTTAAGGTTGCAGGTGGAATTAAGGTGCTCATCAGCTGACTGGGAGAGAGGGAGGGTGCCTTGGATTATCCAGGTGGGCCTAACGTAATCACAAGGGTTCTTAGAAGAGGGAGGCAGGAGAGTCAGAGAAGGAGGTGCGAGGATGGACACGGGGTTCTAAGTGATGTGATTCCTGGCTTCTTCCAAGATGGAGGAAGAGGCCACGACCCAAGGAAAGCAAGCGGCCTGTAGAAGCTGGAGAAAGCAAGGAACTGGAGTCCCCTCTGTAGGCTCCAGAAAGGAACACAGCACTGCCCTTGATTTGAGCACAGTCAGGTTTCTGACCTGCAGAACTGTAAGATAATACATTTCTGTGTTTTAAGCCACTAAGTTTGGTTTGCGGGGACTCGTTATAGCAGCAATGGGAAACAAATACCAACCCTTCCTCATGGAGCTCATATTTTTATAGGGGGAGCACAACAATAAAATCAACAAAATGCAGTGTGTGCAGCAGGCAGCAGCAGTCGAGCTGGCCCTTGCAAGTTGGCCATCCCGCTAGCCGTGGCCGCCCCCACTCCTAGTGTCCCTCTGTTTACCCATGGCTGAAGGGCGGGGGCTGCTCTGCCCATTGGCTTCCAGGCTCTGGCTGGACACACACTGCTAGATCTCGCTGGCTCCTGGGCTGGGGAGGGGCAGGTGCGTGGTGTCTAGCCCAGGAGTGGGTGGGACCTGCTGCCAAACTCTGGGGCAATTAGCATGTTCCTAGATTCCTGTGGGCGAGGAGATGAGAAATCGTGATTTGTCAAGGCCGGTTGGGAGTGAAAGCCAAAGCCAGGAGGCCGCCTCTGAGTCTCCCGGGTTTCTGTAATTATAATTACTTGATTGGGCATAATAAGGTGCATCCGAATCTTCCCATTAGGAGGCCATAAAACAGCACTTGGGCTTTCATCTTGCCCAGCTGCTTACTGAAACCTCCCTCTTTTATCTTCAATGCCTTTAATTGACAGGTCTGAGCCCAGGGAGCTACTTCTGGAGATGCTGTGGTCTGGGGTGGATCCTGCCTTCTCAGCCCCTGCCTGTTGAAGTCACTGAAGTCTCTGCTGCATCTCCGGGCTTCTGCTGAGCAGGGCTGGAAGGTCTTGCTTGAGGAGCTGAAGCCCACCAGCAGGTGGGGTTTGCCACTCAGGTGTAGCTCATAGACCTTGAAAGGATGGTGCCTTGTGGCCCATGTTCAGGAAGTCAGGTTGAGCACTGCTCAAGGGCACCTACATCTAAGGGTTATCATCAACATGGTAGACATGCTAATTTACATGAGCACACTGGACGGGAGATTGACTAGGCCTCCAGGCAGGTAGCTGGGGAGAGCACCCTTTGGCCTAAATTCACAGTGGCACTTGGGGGTGTGCACAAACTCTGCACACCTGTGCGCCTCTGTCCCATCTGCACTCCAACTGCTTGATACCCTTTAAGGCCTGATTCCAAGACCTCCAAGACTGAATCTGTCATGATTGCCTCACCTGGAGGGGCTGTGGGGGGTGGGGAGGGTGGCACTCAGTGTGTGTGTGCATGCTGCTGCCATGAGTGGGCCGTGGTGTGTGTGGACACAGCCAGGGCTGCTTATACTAACTTGACCTTTCTTATTTAACCTGAGGAAGGGACAACCTTTCCTAATTTGCACAAAAGTGCTGCATGGGCCAGCCAGCCTTTGCAGCTGCCATCTGCATGGTGAAGCCCCACCCTGGGTTTCCCTAGATAAACTTTCCATTCTCTAGTGGCCTGAACCTTGTTCCCAGGGTCAGCCTGCATGTGACCCTTAGTCTCTCCTGGCTGGGACTGGACACAGACCTGTGCCACCCCTGGGTGTCCCCTCTGGGTGTGCCCTGTGAACTAGCTACCTTCCCCTCAACCAGGAACACAGGCAAGTGGAGAACTCAGCTGGGAAAACACTCTGACCCAGGCCTAGGGAGGCAGTGGGAGAATAAGCAGTTTGGCAATAGAAATACACATCCTTCAACATAGTGATTTCCCTCTAGGGAATCTGTGCTTAAGAGATCAAGGATGTGTGCCCAGATTTTGCCGAAAGGATGTTGGTTGCAGCATTGTGTTAGCAACCGTTGAAAATAAACCAAGTGTCCATCAAGGGAAGGAGTGACTGAGTCCCAAGCAGCCCTTTATGTTCCTAGAAATCTGCCCAGAAGTCAGAGGTTTGAAACTTATGTAATTTATTTTAAAAAACTGACAGTAACATTTAAAGTTATGAGAGATATTTATATCCCACCCCCCAAATTAAAAACATTATTAAATCACTAATTATTTTCCTCCCAGCTTTATTGAGGTATAATTGACAAATAAAAATTATATCTATTTAAGGTATATGGCTTAATGTTTTGATGTTACAGAAAGATTTTGAAACATGGTAAAATGATCACCACAATCAAGCTAATGAACATATCCATGACCTCACGTAGTTACCATTTTTTTGTGTGTGTTGAGATCATTTAAGATCTACCCTCTTAGCAAATTTCAAGTATACAATACAGTATTAATAACTGTAGTCACCATGCTGTATGTTAGTTCTCCAGAGTTTATTCATCCTGTATAATTGAAACTTTGTACTATTTCACCAACATCTCCCCATATCCCCCCTTTCCCCCTGCCACCCAGCCCCTGACAGCCACTATTCTATTCTCTGCTTCTGAGTTTGACTTTTTCAGCTACCACATATAAATGGGATCAGGCAATACAGTTGTCCCTCAGTATCCTCGGAGGATTGATTCTGGAACCCGCATACCATCCCCATCTTTGCAGATACCAAATTCTGCAGACTCTCAAGTCCCTTATATAAAATGGCATAGTATTTGCCTATAACCTGTGCACGTCCTCCCGTGTACTTTACGTCATCTTTATTTTGTTTTGTTTTGTATTTTTTTTTTTAAGACAGGGTCTCACTCTGTTGCCCAGGCTGGAGTGCAGTGGCACCATCTTGGCTCACTGCAAACTCTGCCTCCTGGGCTCAAGTGACTCTCTTGCCTCAGACTCCCAAGTAGCTGGGATTACAGGCACCCACCATCACACCCCGCTAATTTTTGTATTTTTAGTAGAGACAGAGTTTCGCCATGTTGGCCAGGCTGGTCTCAAACTCCTGGCCTCATGTGATCCGCCCGCTTCGGCCTCCCAAAGTACTGAGGTTACA
Source organism: Homo sapiens (assembly GCF_000001405.40). Classification (NCBI taxonomy): domain Eukaryota; kingdom Metazoa; phylum Chordata; class Mammalia; order Primates; family Hominidae; genus Homo; species Homo sapiens. Next base: position 12,055,409 of record NC_000011.10, read on the forward strand.
GGCATGAGCCACTGTGCCTGGCCAACTTTATATCATCTTTAGATTACTCATCATACCTAACACAACGTATATAGCTGTTAGGCTGTATTGTTTAGGGAACAATGACAAGAAAAGTCACAATCTTCATAGGCCTGACTGCATTTTCAATCCACCATTGGTTGAATCCAAGGATGTACTCATGAGTACAGAGGGCCAGTTCAACTGTCTTTCTGTGCCTAACTTTTTTCACTTAGTGTAATGTCCTCCAGGTTCATCCATGTTGTTGCAAATGACAGGATCAAATCACTGGATTGTGCCTAACTTTTTAGATGTAATCTTTAATATGTGTCTTAGTTTGTGTTTTCCCAAAAGTAACATCTAAAACAAAAATCTGATTGCAGGTAGTTTATTTTTGGGGTGATTCCAAGAAATGCTGATAGGGTAGAGGAGAGAGGAAAAAAAATAAGAAAAGGAAATAAAGAAAGCTATAATAAGCCGGGTGCAGTAGCTCATGCCTGTAATTCCAGCGCTTTGGGAGGCTGAGGCAGGAGGACTGCTTGAGCCCAGGAGTCTGGGGCTGCTGTGAGCCATGATCACGCCACTGCACTCCATCTGGGCAACAGAGTGAAACCCTGCCCCCCACCCCCCAAAAAAGAAAGGGAGCCAGTAAAAGATGACTTACTAAGCAAATTACCTATTGACAATGTGGTCCTGCAGAGCACACACAGTAGGCCCCAGGGGCCAGGGGGAGTCCTGAGGCGAGTCCAGAGGCAGGCAGCTGAGGCCAGGCTTGAGTGCATAGAAATGGTGAATGTGGTGGAGGTGACAAGGTGGAGCACTGATAGCTAGAGACAAGTGTGTCTCTAGATTTTGTATGTTTTTCTTTAATCTTTTTTTTTTTCCTTAACAATTGGACCTACAGGTGGCAGACAAATCCAGAGGGTATTCATTGGAGGATGAAGATTTCCTGCCTCTGGTATGCATGATTTCCTCTTTGTCACAATTTGATTTTCAAAGGCAGCAGCATTTCTACATTTCTATTTTCCGCTGGTTTTTATAAAATAGTAAGAAGCCGGGCATGGTGGTGTGCACCTGTAGTCCCAGATATTTGGGAGGCTGAGGTGAGCAGATTGCTTGAGCCCAGGAGTTCAAGACCAGTTGGGTAACACAGCAAGACCCAGTCTCTCAAACAATAACTAGATAGTTAATAAGAAATATTATCTCCAAGTAAGTGCTCTAAGAAAAAACAATGGCTAAGACTTATGAACACATACCATAAGCCAGGTTTGCTTCATTCTAATGGCAATGCTCTGGGGTAAATATTACTGTTATTGCCATTTTACAGTTAAAGAAATGGAGGCCCAGGGAGGTTAAGTAATTAGCTCAAGGACACACAGCCATTAGATGACAGAGCCTGGCAGTCTAGCCCCAGAGTCCATGCTCTTAATCAGCCTGCCCTGCAATGGCCATGTGACTGTTTGATATGGTCCCTCAGCTGACTTTGGAAGCCTGAACATGGCATGTGAAAGAGCATTTAGGGGTGTCAGTAATAATGCACAAAAATGTAGATTTTTTTGGTCCAATTTGAATATAACTACAGTGTGGTATAAAATGGTTTGTGGCAGGTAGAAACATTATGAACTCATTTGGGCTAGAAACATACCTTTCATATTTTCTATGACCTGAGATGAGTTTTTATTCTGAGACACACCTCACTGAATGAAGGAAATTAATCTCAATCCATGTGAGGGCTGCCTTGGCTTTTTCCCAGGGCCAAGGAGGGTGTTTAGTACCAACCATGCTGGGGTGGTGAGAGTGAGGTGGTGGAAGGGTGTCCACACTGAAAGGGCGATATGGTTTAGGTCTGTATCCCCACCCAAATTTCATATCAAATTGTAATCGCCAGTGTTGAAGGTAGGGCCTGGTGGGAGGTGACTGGATCATGGAGGTGGTTTCCAATGATTTAACACCATCCACCTGTGGCTGTCTTGTGATAGAGGTCTCTTGAGATTTGCTTATTTAAAAGTGCATAGCACCTCCCCTTTTCTCTTTCTCCTGCCGGCCATGTGAATATGTGCCTGCTTCCCCTTCCCCTTCTGCCATGATGGTAAGTGTGCTGAGGCCTCCCCAGAAGCAGAAGCCTGTACAGCCCATGGAACCGTGAGCTGATTAAGCCTCTTTTCTTAATAAGTTACACAGTTTCAGGAATGTCTTTACAGCAGTGTGAGAACGGACCAATACAGAGGACCTCCTTGCCGTTCATTACTGGGTCATGGTCCACACCTCCATCCTCACCCTGGCCTTGAGTCCTCTTTGGGCACACTGGCTCTGCAACAGAATTTCCATGCCCTGTTGGAATGCAGGGACATCACCCTAAGGCCACTGGCCGCGCTGAAAGGCCCAGCTGCCCTCTGCTTTCTGAAGTCACTCCCTACATCTCTGCGCCGCTGTGTGTCCCACCCCACAGGAAGAGATTCAACCTGGGAGAGGGAGGCAAGGGGAGGAGGCACCAAGTCTTTTATTTCTATTTTTGCTTCCAAGGGTGAAAAAAATGGCTCTGTCTAGAGACTGTATACCTCCACAGTTGGTGTATCAGCTATTCCAGATTCCTTTCCGTCCCCGCTATCCTAGTTGTCTATTGTTGCATGACAAACGCTGAAACTTAGTGGTATAAAACATACATATTATTTTGGTCCAGGCTTGCCAGATAAAATACTGCAAATCTTTTACCTGTAAATACTGTAAATATTTTATCTTCAAGCTTAAAAAATTAACTTCTATCTCTACTACACAGATAAAAATTTAAACTGAGTTAAACTTGAATTTCAGATAACGTATAATTTTTTAGTGTAAATATGTCCCATGCAATCCCATGTAATATTTGAGAGCTACCTAGACTAAAAAATTATTCCTTGTTGATCTAAAATTCAAATGTAACTGAACATCCTGTAGTTCTATTTGCTAACTCTAGCAACCCTATTTTGGTCGCAGCAGTGTGGGTCAAGAGTTTGGGAAGGGTTTGGAGAGAGCCGAGGGATCCACTTGGAAGGAGGCTTTTCATGCACGTGTCTGGGGTGCCAGGGGTGCTCCTTGGCCTCCTGCCCTTTCTTCACATGAGGTCTGATCTCTGGTGCTTCTCCACGCAGCTCAGGATTCTCACGGTGTGGCTGCTGCAGGGAAGTCAGATCACCTACGTGGAGGCCCAGGGGCCTGGCTCTGGAAACAGGAGGCAGAAGCTGCCAGTCTCTAGTCTTGGGCCTGGCAACTGGCATAGCATTACTTCCGCCCTATTCCATCGCTCAAGCAGTCACAGAACCCACCTGGCTTCAGCAGGAAGGGGCAAGGACCCCGCCTCCTAATGGGAGCAGTGGTGAAGAATTTACAGTCATCTTTAATCTGTCATACCCGCTGAGAAGAAATAGATTTTCTGCCACCTGAAAAGTTGAAAGTCACATGTGTTTTTCTCTTACATCATGGCTTTCCTGAGGTGATGGCAGCAGCTCAGTCCAGCTGCCGTCTGATTGGGCGAAGGGTCCTAGAAGAAGGAAATACAGGAGGGGAGGAATCTTGGCTATTTCAAAATGTCATTCCTTGCATTTATGCAACCAAGGAATCCACGAAGTCAAATCATACGTAACAATTCAAAAGATCTTCAGAAAGATCTTTTTAAAATTTTTTCTTTTTTAAAAAATATATTTTTTCTTTTGAGACAATCTCACGTTGTCGCCCCGCCTAGCTAGTTTTGCATGTAGCTATCAATACTTACGTATTCATGTTTTTAAAAGTAATATCGTATTGTAAACAGAATTTGTAACCTGGTTTTTATGCTTACCATTTTATCTTCAAAAGATCTTGGCTCACTGCAATTTCTGCCTCCTGGGTTCAAGCGATTCTCTGTCTCAGCCTCCCAAGTAGCTGGGATTACATGTGTGCACCACCACACCTGGCTAATTTTTTGTATTAGTAGAGACCAGGTTTCACTATGTTGGCCAGGCTGGTCTCAAATTCTTGGCCTCAAATGATCCTCCTGTCTTGGCCTCCCACAGTGCTGGGATTACAGGCATGAGCCACTGCACCCAGCACATAAAGATCTTTTGATTCTAACACATTTTAATGTTTTCTGTTTGTGTGTTTTTTTGATATTTTATAACATGAATACATGTCTTTTTTATTTCAGGAAAAAAGAGATTATAAAACAAAAAGAAAATACTGTTACAATGAACTGAATGTTTGTGTCCCTATAAAATGTTTATGTTGAAGCTCTAATCCCAAAGTGATGGTATTAGGAGGTAGGGACTTTGGGAAGTAATTAGGTCATGATGGTGGAGCCCTCATAAACAGGATGAGTACTCTTATAAAAGGGACCCCAGGCTGGGCATGGTAGCTCATCCCTGTAATCCCAGCACTTGGGAGGCTGATGTGGGCAGATTGCTTGAGTCCAGGAGTTCGAGACTAGCCTGGGCAACATGGCGAAACCTCATCTCTACTAAAAATACAAAAATTAGCTGGGCATGGGTGGTGCATGCCTATAGTCCCAGCTACTCTGGAGGCTGAGGTGGGAAGATCACTTGAGCCCAGGAGGCAGAGGCAGCAGTGAGCTGTGATGGCACCACTGTACTCCAGCCTGGGTGACAAAGTGAGAACCTGTCTCAAAAACAAAAAACAAAAAAGCCACCCCAGAGAGCTCCTGTGCTTTCTTTCCAATAAGAAGTTGGCAGTCTGCAAGCCATAGAGGGCCCACACCAGAACCATGCTGGCACCCTGATCTTGGACTTCCAGCTTCCAAAATTGAGAAATAGGCGGGGTGCAGTGGCTCACGCCTGTAATCCCAACACTTTGGGAGGCTGAAGCAGGCAGATCACTTGAGGTCAGGAGTTTGAGACCAGCCTGGCCAACATGGCAAAACCCCGTCTCTACTAAAAATACAAAAATTAGCCAGGTGTGGTGTCATATGCCTGTAATCCCAGCTACTCGGGAGGCTGAGGCAGGAGAATCGCTTGAACCCCGGAGGTGGAGGTTGCAGCAAGCCAAGATCACACCACTGCAATCCAGCCTGGGCTACAAAGACAGATTCCATCTCTAAATAAATAAATGCTGTTGTTTTTAACCCACCCAGTTTATGATATTTTGCTATAGCAGCCTCAACAGGCTAAGGCAACTGTCCTGTGGATTATTAACTAGTTGGCTCTTTATACAAATTCTATTGAGCACCTAGCACGTACCAATTACCAGTCTATTCACTGCAATAAGCAAGCCAGACAGGGTCCCTGTCCTCCTGGAGCTCATGGTCTGGAGAAGCACCTGGACTGTTCTTTGGTAGTGGCATCTGAATCCAGAGCTTCCTGAGTTTTGCTCCTAGAGGACCTTGTGCAGAGCTGCCTGCTGAGGGGGAACAGCCCAATGGCTTCCTAGCGCACTTGCCAAATACCTGCCTCCAAGCCGTCTGCTTCTTCCATCAGGTCCTTGCTTTTGGATCCCAGAGACTTCATTTCCTGCCCTACTTTTCCTTCCAAGAGCTCAGTGGAGAGTTCTCTTCCTAAAAAAAGAGAAGCTTACTTCCTCAGCAGTGTTATCTCTGGGTCTCAACCATAAGGCTGGAATTTTCCCACTCAGCCATGGAGTAGTGTTGCCCTTTCCATCTTCCTGAAGCCAGAGCATGCAACATGTGGTAGAAGCCATTAGTAAGAGATGGGTAGCAGTCAAGGGCATGGCCCCAAGTCTGGACTCGTGGCTACTGGGGAGAAAGGGAAATTGATGAAGCTCCTATAGTGTGACTGCTATTGTGTGCTACATTCACAGAATCCCCAACTGCCCTATGATGCAGACCAGGCTCTCCAAGGCTGGGTCCTGAGAAATGGTACTTTCTTCAGATGTTAATAGATTCTGTGTGCAATTTTGGGAAATTCTATAGTTCTTTGTTCAGTGCTTTTAATAGGCTAATGTGCATGGTGAAACTCAAAGGGGGAGGTTATGACAGGCAGTCTCCCCCAAATTTATTTCACCCAAATGCCCCATACTAGATTGAATAGTGTCCCCCCAAAATTCAAGTCCACCCAGAACCTCGGAATGTGGCCTTATTTGGAGATAGTCTTTGCAGGCATAATTAATCAAGGTGATGCCACGCTGGAGTAGAGGGAGCCCTAACCCAATGACGGATGTCCTTAGAAGACGAGAAAACAGAGACACATGGCGAAGAAGGCCATGTGATGAGAGGGTCAGAGACTGGAGAGATTCATCCACAAACCAAGGAACGTCAAGGGGTGCCGGAAACCCCCGAAGCTAAGAAGAAGCAAAAAAGGAGCTTTCCCCTCAGGGTTCAGAGGGAGCATGGCCTGGCTGACACCTCGATTTTGGACATCTAGCTCCAGAACTGTGAGAAAATAAATTTCTGTTGTTTTAAGTCACCTGGGTTGTGGTCATTTGTTACAGCATCCGCGGGGAACTAATATGACCCCTTTATACCTTGAATCCTATTAACCAGTGATACAGGTTACCACTTTGAAAATAGGCAATGTGGTTGTCCCCACTTTACAGATGGGGAAACTGAGATTCTTTGAGGATCAGTAGCTTTCCTCAGGCTCCACAGAGTGTGGCTTCCATAGCAGTGTCAGAGCTCACACCTGGGTCTCTGCGTCCGCAGTGTTGAACCCTCTCCCTGGTGCCACAGCTGCATCCTTCAGACCCGGGCTTTCGTGGTTTCTAGTGAGTCTCAGGTGTCTGTTTCCAAAGTCGTTGCTCCCCTTCCTGCCTGGCACCCTGCAGTGACAAGCCAGCCCTGGAGGCCTCTCTATGCAGGATCCTCTCTTCCCCTTGGCCATTGAGAAGGGAAGTGTCCTTGCATCAGGCTGCCTTGTTCCAGAATCTCTAACGGACTGAGGAGTCCAAGCTGGGATGAATGGGACTCAGGCCACTGTTTCCAGGTGGGCTCACTGCCTTTGATGTCTGCAGCTGCTGAGAGGCCCTCTGCGTCATTTCACTGAGCCCAGGGCGTACCCTTCGTGGAGGAAACCACAGCCTCTCATCTGACCAGGAGAGGGGAGATCTGCCATCTCTTTGCTTTCTTTATTCTCTAGACAATTTTTTTATTTCTTTTAAAAACAAATACATGCTTTTTGGAAAAAAGTAATCAGGCTGAACTCAGTGGCTCATGCCTGTAATCCCAGCATTTTGGGAGGCTGAGGTAGGAATGTCACTTGAGGCCAGGAGTTCAAGATCAGCCTGGGCAACAGAGCAAGACCTTGTCTCTGCAGAAAAAAAATCTTTTTATTACCTGGGCAGAGGATCACTTGAGCCCAGGAGACTGAAGCTGCAGTGAGCTATGTTCATGCCTTTGCACTCCAGCCTGGGCAGAAAGAGTGATATATTATCTTTAAAAATTAAAAAATTATTATTATTTTTGAGACAGAGTCTCACTCTGGTTGCCCAGGCTAGGGTGCAGTGCCTTAATTGCAGCTCAATGCAGCTCAGGTTCCTGGGCTCAGGTGATTCTCCCACCTCAGCCTCCGAGTAGCTGGGACAACAGGCACGAGCCACCAACCCCAGCTAATTGTTTTTATTTTTAGTAGAGATGGAGTTTCGCCACGCTGTCCAGGCTGGTCTCAAACTCATGGGCTCAAGTGATCCACTCACCTTGGCCTCCCAAAGTGCTGGGATTACAGGTATGAGGCACTGCACCAGGCCAAAATTTTTTTAAAAATCAGAAAATATAACAAAGAGCAAAGAAGAAAACAGATATTACTTATATAGCCACCAGCAGTTTACTATGTATAAATGTCCAGAAGGAAAAAAAGCTATATTCATATATGCATCTGGTTATATTATATATAGAGAGTCATGCATTCACAGCTCAAATTCAACTATGTTTAAAAATAAACATTTATATATAAGCTCTTTTTACTCTTGGAGAAATGTGGCCATAATAACAATTTTATACTCTATCCTAAGCATTAACACAGGTCCTTAAAAATTCTTTGTATGTATCATTTAATATGGCTACATTCTACTCTATCAAGTGGATCACCACTTATTAGTCATTTATTCTATTACCAGGCATGCAAGTTGTTTCCAGTTTTTCATTAACTCAAAAAAAAAAAAAAAAAACCACACACACACACTCTTTTGAGCGCGGTTGATGTAAGCCTTTATATACATTACTGATGGTGCCCTTAGCATGACTTACTGGGTTCAAGGTCATGAACATAACTTTTTTTCTTTTGAGACAGGGTCTCACTCTATCACCTATGCTGGAATGCAGTGGCACAGTCAATCACAGCTCACTGCAGCCTTGACCTCCCAGACTCAGGTGATCCTCCCACCTCAGCCTCCCAAGTAGCTGGGACTACAGGCGTGCGCCACCACACCCAGCTCATTTTTGTATTTTTAATAAAGACAGTGTTTTGCTGTGTTGCCCAGGCTAGTCTCGAATTCCTGGACTCAAGCATTCCACCTGCCTCAGCCTCCCAAAGTGCTAGGATTACAGGTGTGAGTCACTGCACCCAGTCAGAATATAACCTTTTTACAGCTTTATTGAAGTATAATTTACATAACATAAAATTCACCTATAGTAAATATACAATTCAATGATTTGTAATAAATTTGTATACTTTTACAACCATGTCCACAATCAGTTTTAGAATATTTTTATCAACCCAAAACATTTCATGCTATGCTCATTTGCAGTCAAATATAGTCCTACTTTAAACCCAGTCAACCACAAATCTACTTTCTTCCTCTATTGATTTGTCTTTTCTGGACATTTCGTATAAACAGAATCATACAACATGTATTCTGTTCTGTGTGGCTTCCTTCCCTTAGCATACTGTTTTTATGGTTCATTCATGTTGTGGCATGAATCAGTACTTTTTTCTTTTTATGCTAAGTACTATCTCAGTGGATGCGTTTATTACATTTTGCTTATTCATTCACCTGTCAATGGAAATTTGGATTGTTTCCAGTTTTTGCCTATTAAGAACAAAGTTGCTGTGAATATTTGCATACAAGTCTTTGTGTGGACGTATGTTTTCATTTCTCTGGGTTACATTCCTAGGAGTAGGTCATATAATAAGTTTATAGTTAACTTTTTAAGAAACTGCCAAATTGTTTTCCAAAGTGGTTGCTCCATTTTATGTTCCCACCAGCAACGTATGAGAGTTCCACTTTCTTCACATCCTGTGGTACCTCTTCGTGGTTGAATTTGCATTTTCCCAATAACTAAGGGTGTTGAATGTCCTTTCATGTGTTTATTAGCCATTTGTGTATCTTTTTCAAAGAAATGTCTGTTCAAATGTTTTTCTCATTTTTAATTTGGTTGATTGTCTTAGTGTTGTAAGAGTTCTTTATATATTCTGGAAATAAGTCCTTTATCAGATATATGATTTGCAATTCTTTTCTCTTAGTCTGTGGCTTGTCTTTTTGGGGTTTTTTTTGTTGTTGTTTGTTTTTGAGACAGTCTCCCTGTCGCCAAGGCTGGAGTGCACAGTGGCAGGATCTCAGCTCACTGCAACCTCCTCCTCCCAGGTTCACACGATTCTTGTGTCTCAGCCTCCCAAGTAGCTGGGATTACAGGCATGCACCACCACGCACAGCTAATTTTTGTATTTTTAGCAGAGATGAGGTTTCACCATGTTGACCAGGCTGGTCTCAAACTCCTGGCCTCAAGCAATCCACCCGCCTCGACCTTCCAAAGTAATGGAATTACAGGCATGAGCCACCATGCCTGGCCTTGTCTTTTCATATTTTTAATGGTATTTCTAGAAGAGCAAAAGATTTTCATTTTGATAAAGTCCAATTTACCTTGTTTTTCTTTTTAGATTGCCCTTTTTGGTGACTTGTCTAAGAAAGTTTTGCCTAACAAGGTCATAAACATTTTCTCCTATGTTTTCCTTTACAAGTTTTTAAAATATAATTTTAAAATAATTTTTCATTTTGAACATAATCCATAGTAACATTAAAAACAAATAGAAAATATAAACAGGGCACAGTAGCTCACACCTGGAATCCTAGCACTTTGGAAGGCAGAGGCAGGTAGAGTTCAAGATCAACCTGGGCAACATAGTGAAACCCTGTCTCTACTAAAAATACAAAAATTAGCCAGGCATGGTGGTGGGCACCTGCAATCCCAGCTATGTGTGAGTGTGTGAGGCTGAGATGGGAGAATCACTTGAATCCGGGAGGCAGAGGTTGCAGTGAGCGGAGATGGTGCCACTGCACTCCAGCCTGGGCAACAGAGTGAGACTCCTTCTCCGCCTAAAAAAATAAAAAAATAAAATTAGCCAGGTATCTTGGGGCATGCCTGTAGTCCCAGCTACTTGGGAGGCTGAGGTGGGAGGATTGCTTGAGCCTGGGAGATCAAGGCTGCAGTGAGCTGTGAGCATGTTATGGCACTCCAGCCTGAGTGACAGATTGAGACCCTGTCTCAAAAAAAAAAAAAAAAAAAGAAAGAAAGAAAAAGAAAATGTTGATCAGCAAAAGGAAGAAGTTACAGATCACTCATAATCCCCCTGCCCCAAAATTCATGTTTTGTTACACGTCTTTATTGGTTACCTATTGCTGCATAACAAATTATTCCCAAAATGTAACAGCTTAAAATAACACATTTATTATCTCAAAACTTCTGTGGATTGGGAATCTGGGAGCACTCTTCTTGGTGCCTTTGGCTCAGGATCACTCACAAGGCTGCAGTCAAGGTATCCCCTGGGGCAGCCATCGTCTCAAGCCTCCGCTGGAAGAGGGTGCATGTCCAAGCTTGCCCATGTGGCTGTGGGCAGGCCTCAAGTCTTCACTGGCTGTTGGCTGAAGGCATCAATTTCTTGCCATGTGGGTCTCCCCACAGGGCAATTCACAACATGGCGACTGGCTTTCCTGAGAGCAAGCAAACAAGAGCAGGCAAGAAGGTGCCCAAACAGGCCACCCCCTTTTTGTAACTTATTCATAGAAGTGACATCCCTTTATCTTGTGCCCTGCTGAATGCTTAGAGGTGAGTCACCAGGTCCAGCTCACTCTCCAGGGAAGGGGATTGCACAAGTTCTGAATACCAGGAGGTGGGGGTCATTGGGGACCGTATTAGAAGGCTGCCACGATGTCCTTCTTGTTACTCATCTTTTGTTGTTCTTACGTATTGGGTGGTAAATCTTCACCTGTGGAACTTTTTCCACAGATGCAGGGGCCCCTTTCTAGATTCTAGATTCTCCTGAATCAGGATCTCCTGAGAACCGCAGTTCTCTGTATGCTTATCTCTGAAAAGCTCCACAGGTCATTCTAATGGGAGCCAAGTAAGAGTCACTCAAAAGTGAGTATTTCCCATATGGATTACAACTGCATATATGTTTAGAAGCATTTTTTTTTCTTTTTATCCCCTCAAATAGTGTTGAACACAAATGTGTTCCAGGTGCTTGGTTCTCAGTGTGGGGCCATCATTTCCATTTCTCCTCAGGAAGCTGTGTTTTACGATCCCTTTGCAGGCAGAGCCCCACCAACCAGGCCTGGCGATCATGACATCCAATTCCAGGGGCTGCAGGGGAGCCCTTCCTTCCGAGTGAGCCACGAGGCTGCCTGCCCTGGTGTTTGGCTTCAGGCAGCTCTGACATCAATCTGTCATTCCAGAGGACACTTTTAGATGTAAGTCTGCTGGTGTGGGGACTTTATGAGAACAGGAATCCCTGGCTGTGAAATTGCTGGCATTTCATGATGTGAGAGAAGATTTACAAGCTCCATGCTGAGCTAGGCTCTTAACACAAGCCCAAGCAGTTACACAATCCAGCCTGCCAGGCAGGCAGAATGTGCAGGGAGCGGCAGGTGGGAGGAAGGGGAAGCTGCCACTTTACCATGCTCAGGACGCCTGGCCCTATCCAAACACCCACTGGGGGCTTAGTGCAAAGTTGCCTTAACTGTATTCACTGCAGCACGGGTCCCTCTGCAGATCTTAGTAAGCAAATGGGCAGTGGTATGTTGTGAGACTGTGGATTCAGAGAGGAAGGAATTTCAAAGGTCACTCTCTCCCGTCCTCTCCTGATGCTCCCCTCCCACCTTCCTAGCTAAAAGCTAACTCCTACTCCCCAATCCAAAGGAAACACAAGCATGCCCTCTCCCATAATCCTGTTCAATTTTTTTTTTTTTTTTTTGCATAACCCTATCTCTACTGTGTATGTATACATTTTAGTTTTTTCATGGCTTTTTTTTTGTGTGTATGTGTGTGTTGTTTATCTCTCCTGCTTGAATGTGAGCTTTCTAAAAGCAACAGCTTTGCCTGTCTTGTCAGTTTTACTTCTGGCATTCAAATCATTGCTAGACCTCAGTACATCCAGACATTGCTAGACCTCAGGCGCTGGCCTGTAAGGTCCTGAACGCCCTGCTTCCAGTATCCAAATATTCATTCATTCATTGAATGCACAGTTTTACCACTGTACCTGCTCAGGTCTCCTAAGCTTAGTGGTGGCCTCATCACACTGATTTTCACCTTGATAGGTTGATTCAATGAATGAATTAATGACTGTTGTGATTCTGCCAGGGGCAGAGAGCTCAGGACCTTATGGATCAGCCCAGCCTGGGTCTGATGGCTCTCACTCTTGGCCCCTCCTCATTTTTCCCTGCTGTCTCCCTGTGTGTACCCCCCTTCATTGTCCTCACTTGAAAGGCCACTCTGAACTAGCCTGCTCCTCTTGGAGCGCCCCAGAGATTCAAAAACAGCAGCTGCATGCTTTTCAAGATGAATGTCCCTGTTTCTTTTAGCTGTCTCTCGCGTGTCATTGTCATCCTACTCACCATCCTCGGGAGGGGTCTAGCGAGCCATTGTCCCTCAATAATTTGGGTTAAGTCTTTGAGATTCTTAGTAAGTCTTGGCAGTTTGCAGATTTTGAGACACTTCCCACTCAACACTTAGCTCATTTCTTCATGCTCAGATTTTTCATGTAGAAAAACAGTCAGTGGGTTTAATTGAGGATTGGTGCTTTTAACCAATTCTCTCTCTGTTTCTTTGCCCAAATTTTCTAGTGGACAACAGCCAAAAGTAGGGGCCCCTGGATCTTCAGGGTCAAATGGCCCTATTGTTTCCCCCCTACCAGAAGTATTTTATGGTCCCACCCTACAGAGAAGAGGGGACCAGCCCCCTGTCTCTCACTGAAGGGCAGTCTCACTTGGGAGGGGTGGAGTATGTGGGGCCTGGGACCCCTAGGGTACTTTTCCAGAGTCTGAGATGAAGGAGGTGTGCTGTTTGAAAATGGACACATGGGCTGGGTGCAGTGGCTCACACCTGTAATCCCAGGACTTTGGGAGGCTGAGGCAGGTGGATCATGAGGTCAGGAGTTCGAGAGAAGCCTGGCCAAGATGGTGAAACCCCGTCTCTACTAAAAATACAAAAATTAGCCGGGTACGGTGGCGGGCACCTGTAATCCCAGCTACTCGGGAGGCTGAGGCAGGAGAATCTCTTGAACCTGGGAGGCGGAGGTTGCAGTGAGCCGAGATTGCGCCACTGCACTCTAGCCTGGGTGACAGAGCAAAACTCTATCTCAAAAAAAAAAAAAAAAAAAAAAAAGAAGGAAAAAGAAAATGGACACATGATATTCTTATTATTCTCACCATTTAATCTACAAATTCAATTTTGTGGCCTCGTGGGGAGAGATATCTAAGTGTGCGGGTTTATGAAGGTTGAGACACTGGCTGGGACTTGGCACCTGTCAGGTCTCCTATGCTTAGAGTGGCCTCACCACACTGACATCCAACTTGCATGCTGATTCTGACTTCCCCCTCTTCCAGCTGGGCACAGTGCTCCTTTTGGCTCCAGGTGCAGAACCCAAGTGTACAACAGGAAGATCCCTGCTCCGCCTCCTGGGAGGGGTGTTCCTCCCAGGAGGAAACCATGTGGAGGGGTTTGATAAACTAGCAGGCGGCCAGCAGGGAAGGGTAGGTGTCGCATCTGGTATCCATCAGCCACTGCTCTGTCCCGGGTCCCAGGTAGCCTCCAATCTCTGAAGAGGGCCCTGAGCCCTGAACTGGCAGGTGTTTGTTTATCAGAGATTTCTGGATGATCTTGCAGGTGACAGGGAGGAGCAATGATTACGTACGTCCCCTGCTTGACAATCGTTCCATTCATTCATCTGCCCATTCCCTTGCCCAGCCGACACGTGCTCTGGGGCCCATGTAGCCAGGCCCTGCGCCGCGTTCCTCTCTCCTCTTTCCCTCTTCTTGCTGCTCCACCTCCCTTCACAAAGGAATTTATGTAGACTTTCAAATAAAACATTCAGCCATAAAAAACTAAATGCCCAAGAACACTCAATTATGCAAAAATGCTGCTTAATTTTCATGAAAAAATTTTAAATAAGAAAGTACCCAAATGAGAGTTTTGTAGAAACATCCACATCAATTTCTGGCTGAATAAAATACCCCGAGTCATTTCTTATTGAAAGTCTACGCACTTCAGTATCATTTGGAAAAATAATCACGGCTTACATATTTCATAGTGGAGAGTTGAGAGGGCAGGGATTCGGGTGACAACTTTATTAAAGAAAAGGACAAAGTGGGTTTCGTTATCCATGGAATCCTGCTTGGGCCGCTGGGATTCAGATAAGTGTCAGTGTCACTTAGAAAGGTGACTTAGGATTATATACTGTCACAAAACAAGTAACAAAATTTAAAAGGCTGGTTGTTTGGGGGCCTTATGAAGACACGTATCTGTTGTCTTAATGATGAGAGAAGCCCCATTCTATGGATGTGGCTGGGCAATTATGTGGGGTGCCTGCTCTGATGGCCACTTCTACCACCATCAAACCCCTGGCATCTAGAACTCTGAGCATCACCATCCACTACTGCCCATCCGGTTCACAAATGGCAGGGCCCACAACACAGAGGTAAAGTCAACATTTTATTTGGAGATGTTTACTGCTGCTACTAATTGAAACCCACCATCAGAGCATCAGACCTATAATGGACATTCTTGGGGACCATAGCCCACCCACTTATCAGCCCTCACCAGTTTTTGGATCCCAGTTTAGGTGCAAATCTCTTTGTGCCTCAGTCTCCTCACTTCTAACATGGGTAATTGCACAAGGATTAGCTCTGGGAATCTCATAGCAGCTGCTGTTGTGTAAACAATAAGAGGTTCAGAGTGTTCTGAGGAGTCTCCTGATGTTCCAGAAGGTCTGTGTCATTGAGTCTACGAAATATGAGGACCAAAGGGCCTCCGAAGATGGGAACACATTGTCCCCTGCCACGCTGGTGTGCACGCTGTGTACCCTGGCTCTGCGGCTCCCTCAGACATCTCACTCACCCCCAGCCAAGGTTGGTTGTTCTAAACCCCCCACCTTCAGAACATTTATAGCTTTAATTGTGACATGAGGGCCACAGTGCCTCCCCACTCTGGCCTATTTCTGTCAGATCCAAGTTAAGAGGGGGTGACCTGACACTCGTGGCGTGTGCAGCCTGAAGGGAGCAGCTGGAGCCTCTGGCAGCTGTCTGAGCACATGGGCGTTGGCTCCGGGCAGTGCGGGCTCGAATCCCAGCTCCGCCATGAATGGCCATGTGCTCTTGGGGCTGACTTCTCTAATCTTGCTGAGGCTCAATTCTCCATCTCTAAATCAGGGGTTAAAAGCACCTACCACACACACAGTGTTGCTGTTCAAAGTGAAATATGTGCAATGGGCATAGTGTGCTGCTTGGCACAAAATAGGTGCTTGGTTAATGGGAGTGGCCTTCCTCCCCACCAGCTTCCTTCGTGGTGCAGCAGACACTCGGCAGGTGTGAGCTGCCCAGGCCAGTCTGGGAGAAGTGGTTTCTCCTGCAGTCCTGGGCTCCACAGTGGGGCCAGTTCTCAGACTTGCCTTGCTTGGCCATTGGCAGGACTTCCAGAACCTTCTACTGTTTCTGGCAGTGGATGGAACAGGGGCTCCTCAGGATGGAACAGGGGCTCCTCAGAACTCGCCTTCCACCCAGTCCCTGTACCAATGCTGATCCCTGCCTTGAAGTGACTGCTCTGGGGTCCCAGGCTCTCCCCAGCCTCTCTTTCCACGTCTGTATGTACCAGCGCTGGGGGGGGCCCAGACTCTGATGAACAACTGTAGGAATCTCAGCTCTTAACTCTAGCCAGACACATGATCATCTAGTTGTAAGGCCCTTTGGTCATTTGCTTATAAGGACCATTTTGGAGAATATATGACATTTCCAAGAACACAGGGAATGTTTCTGCCCACCCCTCCCCAAGCACCCCCGACCCTACCTCTTTCTCTCCCTCTCTCTTGCATCTTGGCCCACATAATCCCTAACTCCAGGTGCTTGACCACTGGGCTCATATCTTGTTGTTCTTGCTTGCCTTGTTTGGTTTCATTTTTCCTGCAGGTTTTTGGGTAAATCATCTTTGATCCTTTTGAAAGTAAACAATGAGTAAATAAATCTGAGTGGAAGCTCTCTCAAACATTAACTCCTGTTGCGCAGTTAACTAGTTTCTGTGTTGACCTCAGAATTGAGCTTTTCTAACAATCTGTTTATTGAAGAGTTTCTGGAGCTTACAAGTTAAAAAAATGCTTGTTACCATGTGCGGTTACTAATGTATGTTCATCAGAACTCCTTCAATACTGTGTAAGCAGTCAATACAAAACACAGAGATAAATCAGGTGCAG
Organism: Homo sapiens; assembly: GCF_000001405.40. NCBI lineage: Eukaryota > Metazoa > Chordata > Mammalia > Primates > Hominidae > Homo > Homo sapiens. The sequence continues at coordinate 12,071,992 of NC_000011.10, forward strand.
AGGGCGGACTACAGCTGAGTAGCAGAATCCCTGATTTCATTTTGTTGTTGGTCAAGGAAACTTCTTGTTCACATAGAGTTTATGTCATAGACCAACTTATTGTGAAAGTAAGCAAATGCTATATTTACTTACAAAATTTAGTACCATATAACTTTTATGAAGTATGTTTATGCAAATTCTTTTTTTTTTTTTTTTTTAGAAACAGTCTTGCTCTGTTGCCAGGCTGGAGTACAGTGGCACGATCTTGGCTCACTGCAATCTCCACCTCCCAGGTTCAAGCGATTCTCCTGCCTCAGACTCCTGAATAGCTGGGACTACAGGCATGTGCCACCACATCCGGCTAATTTTTTGTATTTTTTTAGTAGAGATGTGGTTTCACCATGTTGGCCAGGATGGTCTCAATCTCCTGACCTCATGATCCACCCGCCTTGGCCTCCCAAAGTGCTGGGATTGCAGGCATGAGCCACTGTGCCCGGCCTGCAAATTCTTTTAAAGTACACTTTTATAGTTGTATAATGCCAGTGTAGACTAACCTCTGTAACAACCAACCTTCAAATGTCAATGTCTTAATATCTTACTTTCGTATCAAAATACAAAGTGAGTCAGCAGGGAGACTGTTCCAGTGTCATTCAGGGACCCTGACTTCTTCCATCCTGTGGTTCTACCTTACCCTGGGTACTCTTCACTCAACTTATGGATGGGCAAAGGGAAGCGTTCATCTGAGGTGGTCGTGTGAGTCTGTGTGAGCCTGCAAGCACTGCCCATCTCTTACACCCACACCCCATTGGCCAGAACTCTGTTCTCTGATAAACAGTGGCATCGTTGTTGTGCTTGACCACAAGAAAAGGAATTGTGTGTCCAGGAAAGAGAGAAGATGCATGTAGCTGAGGAGTGGCAGTTTCGGCTGTAAATATATAACCTCACCCAAGGGGGTGCTTCACCTAAAAACTTGCAGTAGGCAGAATGATGGTGTCCCCAGTGACGTCCACGTCCTCATCCCAGAATCTGTGACTATGTCACCTTACATGCACAAGGACCTTGCAGATGGGATTAAGCTGAGAATCCTGAGATGGGGATGTTTTCCTGGATAATCTGGGCAGGCCCAGTATCATCACAAAGGTCCTTAGAAGTGGAAGAGGGAGGCAGGAGAGTCAGAGAGAGGTTTGAAGATGCCGTACTGAAGGCTTTGAAGGTGGAGGAAAGGGCAAGGAACCCAGGCAGCCTCTGGAAGCAGGAAAAGGTGAAGGAATGAATCCCTGGAGGACGCAGCCCTGCCAACACCTCAATTTCAGCACAGTGAGACCCATTTTGGACCTCTGATCTTTAAGACTATGAGATAATAAATCTGCATTGTTGTAAGCCTCCAAGTTTGTGGCAATTTGTTACAGCAGCCATAGGAAATGGATACGGAGCTCTCTCAATGTTGTATCCCTACCATGTGCCTGACCCATTGGAGGTTCACCCAGTAGGCACATTTTTTTCATGTGGGCTTCAATGGGGGAGCAAAGGGCACCTGTGAAGCAGGAACTGAAATGATGGAGGAAGGGGGGACCGTGTCCTAAAGGTTAGGAGAGTGTTTTCACGAAGCCCAGGTAAGAGAGGGTGACTGAAATTGCAAAAAGGAGACGCCACGGAAGGCGATGTCCTGGAAGCCACAGAGTAAGAAGCACACCTGTTCCTTTCCCTCCCGCCTCTTTGGGCCAGCATGTGGGGAATGAAGTGGTTTCTGATGATGACGAGGTGGCATCAGGGGAGCCATGCTTCTCTTCTGGTGAGGGAGGAGTGTGGGAGCAGAAGGATCACAGAGGAGACGGGGAGAAAACAGGAGAGTGGTTAGGGGCTCAGACTCAGGAGTTAAACTGCTAGGGTCTGAAGCATCCTCACTCCCCTTCCTGTTACCTAGCAATGTAAACATAGGTATTCTATCTTCTGGCTGTGTAACAAGCCACCCCAAAACCCAGTAGAGTAAACATCCATTTAGTTATGCTTATTCTGTGGGTCGGACAGGGCACAGTGGGGACAGGATTTCTCTGATCTATGACATCTGGGCCTCAAGGGGGAAGGTTCAATGTCTGGGGGATGACTCAACCGCTGGGGACTAGAATCACCTGGATTTCCACCTAGACTGGAACACCTGCATGTGAGCTCTCTGTGTGTGCTAGGATTTCTCATAGCATGGCAACTTTGGGTCACCCGACTTCTTTCTTGGAAGTCCGGGCTTCAAAGGTAAGTGCCAGGCTGGGCTTGGTGGCTCATGGCTGTAATCCCAGCAATCTGTGAGGCTGGGGAGGGAGGATTGCTTGAGGTCGGGAGTTTGAGACCAGCCTGGACAACATAGCAAAGACCCTGTGTCCATTAAAAAAAAAAGAAAGAAAAAAAAGCGAGTGCCCCAGCTCATAAGGTGGAACTTGTAGCATCTCTTATGACTAAGCCTCAGAAGTCACGGTAGGTCACTTCTGCTTCATTGTATCGGTTTACAGTCAAAGCCCACCCGGATTCAAGAAGGGCATCAGACTCTGTCTCTTAATAGGGCCCTGGCAAGGTCCAAGCAGAGCATGTCAGTTGGCAGATATCGTTGCAGCTGCCTTTGGAGAATACAGTCTGCCACATTTGGCAATTTCTTTACCTCCTCTGAGATTTGGTTTCTTCATCAGGAAGATGGTGGTGACACTGTGATATTCTCATCTGGATTAAGCATGGAAAGCCTTTGGCAGTGCCTGGTATGTGATAATGTCATAAGTGTCCTGAGACAGCAGAGCTCATGTGCATTCTTTCTCGTGGCTGCATCCACAGTGCCTCCTACAGTGCCTGGCATGTGAATGAACTTGAAAGGGCTGTGTCAGATTGTCAGTGTATCCAGTAGTTATTGCTGTGTAACAAACCACCCCAAAACTTTGTGGCTTAAGACAACAGCCATTTTATTTGCTGTGGGTTTTGTGATTTCAGCTGGGCTCAGCTCTCCTGGGATCGTTCATGCTGTTGCAGTTCCTGGCAGTGTGGCTAAGGCTAGGTCTTCCGAGGTGGCTTTACTCATGCATCTAGCAGTTAGTGCTGGCTGTCAGCTGGAACACCTTGGTTGGCGTCCACATGGCCTGTTCAGCAGGCTAACTCAGGCCTATTCGCATCCTGGCCTCAGGGCTCCCATTGTAGCCAGGAGAGCAAGCCCTGATAAGTGGGTGCTTCATAAGCCTCTATCTGTGTCTCATTTGCTCATTTCCTATTGTCCACAGCAAGTCACATGGATTGAAGCCTGAGTTCAAGGGATGAAGAAATAAACTCCACTGCTTGGTAGGAGAAACAGTAAAGTCACATCGCAAAGTGCACAGAGATGGGAGAAATCATTACAGTGATCTTTGCAAAGTTTCCCACAATCAATAACTGAAATAACTGAAAGGCAGGCTAGAGGTTGGGAAGGGGTGGAGGCTCAGTTAGCCTGAGATGGAGGTGGCAGGGAGAACCACTGAGCACATGCAGTCGATCCATGGACACGTGTCAGGGGGCTTCACTCCAACTTCTGGCTTACACCACAGGGACATGGATTGTTTCACATAACAGGGAGTGCAGAGGCAGGACAAGCAGCTCAGCTGAAATGGCCACTCAGCAAGGTCTTCTGCCACCAGGTTCTTTCCATCCACTCTCTGTCCTTTTTGGCAAGGGCTTTGTGCCTTAGGCTCTCATAAGATGACTGCAGCAACTACTAGAGTCACATCTAGGCACAGGTGGGGAAAGATCAGAAACCTTTCTCCAAATCCAGCCCAGCAGTCTTCCTCTTATGGTTCCTTGGCAAGGACTGGGCCAACAGGATGGGACTACCATGGTTGGCTACATGGTTTCCCAGGGCTGTGTAACAAAGTACCATGCACTGGGTGGCTTGAAGAAACAGAATTGTATTTTCTCACACTTCTGGAGGCTGGAAGTCCAAACTTGAGGTGTCAGCAGGGCCATTCCTCCTCTGAAGGCTGCAGGGGAATCCTCCCTTGCCTCTTCCTAGCTTCTGGTGGTTTGCTGGCAAGTCTTGGCCTTTGTGGCTCATTTATGTATGATTCCAATCCTCTGTCTTCACATGGCCTTCCCTCTGTGTCTTCACATCAGGTTCCCTGTAGGCATGTCTGTGTCCAAATTTCTCCTTTTCATAAGAATACCAGTCAGATTAAGTCCCACCCAAATAACCTCATTTCAGCTTGATCTTCTCTGTAAATACCCTATTTCCAAATAAGGTTACATTCTGAAGCACTGGAGGTTAGGATGCTGACATATCTTTTTTAAGGAACACAATTCAACCCATTATCCTGGCTAAGAAGATGAATCATCCGAGGTGGAATAGATGTTGGGAGCGAACCACGGTGACCCCTACAGCCACCGAATGAATCAATGAGTGAGTGAATGAGTGAACATGGTACACAGGGCTTCACACAGAGTCAAGCGATAGCTTTCTGGTGAGACTTGGAGTATAATTTTAGCCTTGGAACTCACTGAGGATATTTGGGCACTTGTGCCTTCTGCTTACGACAGATTGTTGATCACAGTTATGATTTATCTCCGGCTGCGTCTTTGGGCAGGAACGCAACCCCTCGAGGAGAACAAATCCTGCTCCTCTGGGGAATTTTGATGAACCACATTATGACATGGTTTCAAGGAATGTATCGTGGTGGAAAAGTCCAGCCTGCTTATACAGACACTCAGCAAGTAACTACCAAGCACCCCCTTATACACACAAACCATCATCACCAGGGCAACCGCAGGACAGCAGACGGCTACCTAGCAACACAGCCTCCCCCTCCAGCACCTTCCATTACCCTAAGGCAGCTCCGTGGGTGGAACAATTCGATTTCACTCGGGGAAGGAGAGGGCACCCATGGAGACCCTACTGTCAAAGCTTACTGAGGTTGCCTTGTTTTAGAATCTGCTTAGGTCTACACTGTCTCCAAATGTACTATGCACTTCTTAAGAAGCGAAACTTAAAATGTGCACCCACCATTGAAAGTCCTGAGTAAATACATAATGCCAGATTAGGGATTGCCACATTTCTGAGTAGGCACTGTGTTCTTTTGAGGAGGAGGGAACTGGGTGGAGTTGGGGCTTCAGAGTGCCCCTGGGAATGTCTAGAGTTAAAAGTAAAAACCTCCTTATCTTAGACTCTTAGAGATTCATCATAGTATATCCTTTAAATTTTGCAGTTCTATCCACAGAGAGCTAGCAGTCACTCAGTTTTTATTGGAATTGTTTTTTCTTTCAAGAACAGGTGTTTTGACTGACGGACAGGGGAGAGAAGTGGGGCAGAGAAATCCTTCTGCAGCCTGGGAACCTTGAGGAGGGCAGACCTACACTAACATGGGTACTCAGGAGCTGCTGAGTGGTAGAGAAAAAGGCACAGAAGTGGAAGGAGAAGGACAGTAGAAACCGCTATGATTCTGCCCAGCATAGGGACATGGGAAGCCATCTGTCTTCCCACCTATAGCAACCTTTGCTGGCTGGAAGAGTGATTTCTTTGTCCAATAGCAGTGCCTTCTCTTCGAGACTCCCTCTGCTAGTTAATGGTGCCACCATCCAGCCTCCCTCCTCCTTTGTCTCTGTTCTACCTCGAATCCTTCTCTTCCTCCCCATTTCCATGATGATGCTTAATTCAGATCCTGAACTTTCTTCCTGTCCTCCTCCCTCTGCCTTTTTCATTCTCCACTCTGCCCAGATGGTCTTGCTGAACAGCTCATCCGATCACACCACTCATGCAGGACATCTTTCATTTGCTCCTCTGATCCACTCTCTGCCCTTCTCTATCCTGCTTTTTGCCCTGGGAGGCTGACCCATATGGGCCATGACAATGGCCTCCCTTGGCTCTGGCTTCTGTTCGGTTTGGCCAGTGTTAGGGAACCTGCAGGGGGTCAGATGGTGGGGAGGGTGAGGTTGGGGTATTTATGCCCTAGCTTCCTCACTGCAACCAAAGGCCACAGCTTCTTCCAAAGTGACCTTCACATGACTTCAGCAACTGCTCCTTCCGAATCTCTTCCTGCTCGGTAGCCCTGACATCACTTGCTCTGCATAGAGCATTACACCTAGTAGTGGTACTACACACTGCCCAAACCTTAGTAAATAGTCTCTTCATAAGACTCCTCAAATTACCCTCATCTGAATGTGTCATCTCTTTCTGCTGGGTCCCTGAGTGATTCAGCTCTCCTATTCAAAACCCTCAATGGTTCCCACAGGCCTTTAAAATAAAGTCCCAAGCTGGGCGCTGTGGCTCACACCTGTAATTCCAACACTTTGGGAGACAGAGGCGGGCAGATCACCTGAGGCCAGGAGATCGAGACCAGCCTGGCCAACATGGCAAAACCCCATCTCTACTAAAAATATAAAAAAATTAGCGAGGCATGGTGGTAGGTGCCTGTAATCCCAGCTACTTGGGAGGCTGAGGCAGAAGAGTCACAAGAACCTGGGAGAGGAGGAAGCTGCAGTGAGCCAAGATTGCGCCATTGCACTCCAGCCTGGGCAGCAAGAGAAAAACTCCGTCTCAAAAATAAATAAATTAATTAATTAAATAAAGTCAAGTCCCCATTGATGATTTTGAGATTGAAAGCCCTGCATCATCCAGCCCCGAGTTACCTTTCCAGCTTCATGCTTGCCACTGGCCCTCGCTTACTCCAGAATCTAATCATAGTGGGTGATTTGCATTTCCTCTCAGACATTTGCACCTCTGCACACACTGTGCCTTACTTCTGAGCTGCCTTTCTCCCCTTATTGGCCTCGGAAAACATGGTTATCTTTTTTTTTTTTTTAAGTTCTGGGGTACATGTACAGGACTTGCAGGTTTGTTCAATAGGTAAACATGTGCCATGGTGTTTTGCTGCACATATCAACCCCTCACCTAGGTATTAAGCCCAGCATGCATTAGCTATTTTTCATAATGTTCTCCCTCCCCCATCCCACTCCCCAAAATGTCCCGGTGTGTTTGTTCCCTTCCCTGTGTTCTCGTGTTCTCGTTGTTCATCTCCCACTTATGAGTGAGAACACGCGGTGTTTGGTTTTCTGTCCCTGTGTTAGTTTGCTGAGAATAATGACTTCCAACTCCATCCATGTCCCTGCAAAGGACATGATCTCATTCCTTTTAATGGCTGCATAGTATTCTATGGTATATATGTACCACATTTTCTTTATCCAGTCTATCATTGATAGGCATTCAGATTGATTCTATGTCTTTGCTATTGTGAATAGTGCTGCAGTGAACATATGTGTACACGTATCTTTGTAACAGAATGACTTACATTCCTTTGGGTATATACCCAGTAAAGGGATTGCTGGGTCAAATGTTATTTCTGGTTCTAGATCTTTGAGGACTCACCACACCATCTTCCACAAGGTTTGAACTAATTTACATTCCCACCAACAGTGTAAAAGCCTTCCTATTTCTCCACAGCCTCACCAGTATCTGTTGTTTCTTGACTTTTTAATAACTGCCATTCTGACTGACATGAGATGGTATTTCAATGAGGTTTTGGTTTGCATTTCTCTAATGATCAGTGATGTTGTGCTTTTTTTTTTAATGTTTGTTGACCGCATGAATGTCTTCTTTTGCGAAGTGTCTGTTCATGTCAATACCATTCAGGACATAGGCACGGGCAAAAATTTCATGACCAAATTGCGAAAAGCAATTGCAACAAAAGCAAAAATTGACAAATGGGATCTAATTAAACTAAAGAGCTTCTGAAAGCAAAAGAAACTACCATCAAGGTGAAAAGGCAACCTACAGAATGGGAGAAATATTTTGCAATCTATCCATCTAAAAAAGGTCTAATATCTAGAATCTACAAGGAAATTAAACAAATTTACAACAAAAAAATAATCCCATTAAAAAGTAGGCAAAGGACATGAACGCGTCTATCTTTTAAGGCTCACATAAAAGTGTTAAACGTCTAGGGCAGTTCCTGGTAATTGGCAAATTCTCAGTCACTACATACGTGATGAATAAGTAAATAAAGAAATAAATAAATAAAAATTATTCAGTGCCTTGTCCTTTTCTTCAGGTCCCATGTCGTGTATGCCCGGTGTCATGTAAAGGCATGTTTATGGATACAGAACTTTATCCTGAATGAAAGTGATTTTGTACTAATGTAAACCCCAGGCACTATACGGTCTTCTGCCCTAAGTTTTGGGGGTGAGTGGCAAAGGGGAAATGAGGCTTCTAAGCACAAACCAGCACAAAGTTATATAACCTTGATCAAAGCTTGGGAGGGAAAAACGTCATCATCCCCATCAGGCTGTCTCTGATGATTCCTGGATGAATCACTGTTGGAAAAAATAAGAGTAAATGTTCTCAAGCAGCAGACATGTAATCAGTGGGAAAATTCTTCCCTTTAGGGCTTTCTCATTCAGTAAATATTCCTTTGCTGTGAGTTTCCCCAAGAGGCGGTGCCGTGGTGAGTTGCGGGGGGGCAGCGGGAGGCAGCCCAAGTCCATTAGCAAGATTGCACTTGGAGCCAGGGCACGGAGGCATGCTTGGGAGGGGGTCAGAGGGCCTGGAATGTTTTGGGTCTGTCCCCATTCAGGTGGGACCTCTAACAGAGCAATTCTCCAATCCTCCTTTGCTCTGGGTCTGGTGGCTAAAGAAATAATCTTCTAGAAAGTAAGAAACTCTGATTAGTGGGTCCCTGTGGAAAGGGAGGCTAAGGAAGAGGATTTAGCTTTTTCTCATTTTACACCTTTCTCTATAAATAACATGCATGAGATCTTTTTTTTTTTTTTTTTTTTTAATGCCAAGGAGTTTGTCTCATCAGTGGGACTTTGGGCCACTTAGTTTTTACTTTTCTTTTCTTTCTTTTTTTTTAATTATACTTTAAGTTCTAGGACACATGTGCACAACGTGCAGGTTAGTTACATATGTATACATGTGCCATGTTGGTGTGCTGCACCCATTAACTCGTCATTTAACATTAGGTATATCTCCTAATGCTATCCCTCCCCACTCCTCCCACCCCACAACAGGCCCAGGTGTGTGATGTTCCCCTTCCTGTGTCCATGTGTTCTCATTGTTCAATTCCCACCTATGAATAAGAACATGCATTGTTTGGTTTTTTGTCCTTGCGATAGTTTGCTGAGAATGATGGTTTCCAGCTTCCTCCATGTCCCTGCAAAGGACATGAACTCATCATTTTTTATGGCTGCATAGTATTCCATGGTGTATATGTGCCACATTTTCTTAATCCAGTCTATCATTTTTGGATATTTGGGTTGGTTCCAAGTCTTTGCTATTGTGAATAGTTCCACAATAAACATACGTGTGCATGTGTCTTTATAGCAGCATGATTTATAATCCTTTGGGTATATACCCAGTAATGGGATGGCTGGGTCAAATGGTATTTCTAGTTCTAGATCCCTGAGGAATTGCCACACTGACTTCCACAATGGTTGAACTAGTTTACCGTCCCACCAACAGTATAAAAGTGTTACTATTTCTCCACATCCTTGCCAGCACCTGTTGTTTCCTGACTTTTTAATGATTGCCATTCTAAATGGTGTGAGATGGTATCTCATTGTGGTTTTGATTTCCATTTCTCTGATGGCCAGTGATGATGAGCATTTTTTCATGTGTCTTTTGGCTGCATAAATGTCTTCTTTTGAGAAGTGCCTGTTCATATCCTTCACCCACTTTTTGATGGGGTTGTTTGTTTTTTTCTTGTAAATTTGTTTGAGTTCATTGTAGATTCTGGATATTAGCCCTTTGTCAGATGAGTAGATTGCAAACATTTTCTCCCATTCTGTAGGTTGCCTGTTCACTCTGATGGTAGTTTCTTTTGCTGTGCAGAAGCTCTTGAGTTTAATTAGATCCCATTTGTCAATTTTGGCTTTTGTTGCCATTGTTTTTGGTGTTTTAGACATGAAGTCCTTGCCCATGCCTATGTCCTGAATGGTATTGCCTAGGTTTTCTTCTAGGGTTTTTATGGTTTTAGGTCTAACATTAAAGTCTTTAATCTATCTTGAATTAATTTTTGTATAAGGTGTAAGGAAGGGATCCAGGTTCAGCTTTCTGCATATGGCTAGCCAGTTTTCCCAGCACCATTTATTAAATAGGGAATCCTTTCCCCATTGCTTGTTTTTGTCAGGTTTGTCAAAGATCAGATAGTTGTAGATATGCGGCATTACTTCTGAGGGCTCTGTTCTGTTCCATTGGTCTATATCTCTGTTTTGGTACCAGTACCATGCTGTTTTGGTTACTGTAGCCTTGTAGTATAGTTTGAAGTCAGGTAGTGTGATGCCTCCAGCTTTGTTCTTTTGGCTTAGGATTGACTTGGCAATGCGGGCTGTTTTTTGGTTCCATATGAACTTTAAAGTAGTTTTTTCCAATTCTGTGAAGAAAGTCATTGGTAGCTTGATGGGATGGCATTGAATCTATAAATTACCTTGGGCAGTATGGCCATTTTCACGATATTGATTCTTCCTATCCATGAGCGTGGAATGTTCTTCCATTTGTTTGTATCCTCTTTTATTTCATTGAGCAGTGGTTTGTAGTTCTCCTTGAAGAGGTCCTTCACATCCCTTGTAAGTTGGATTCCTAGGTATTTTATTCTCTTTGAAGCAATTGTGAATGGGAGTTCACTCATGATTTGGCTCTCTGTTTGTCTGTTATTGGTGTATAAGAATGCTTGTGATTTTTGCACATTGATTTTGTATCCCGAGACTCTGCTGAATTTGCCTATCAGCTTCAGGAAATTTTGGGCTGAGACGATGGGGTTTTCTAGATATACAATCATGTCATCTGCAAACAGGGACAATTTGACTTCCTCTTTTCCTAATTGAATACCCTTTATTTCCTTCTCCTGCCTAATTGCCCTGGCCAGAACTTCCAACACTATGTTGAATAGGAGTGGTGAGAGAGGGCATCCCAGTCTTGTGCCAGTTTTCAAAGGGAATGCTTCCAGTTTTTGTCCATTCAGTATGGTATTGGCTGTGGGTTTGTCATAGATAGCTCTTATTATTTTGAGATACGTCCCATCAATACCTAATTTATTGAGAGTTTTTAGCATGAAGGTTGTTGAATTTTGTCAAAGGCCTTTTCTGCATCTATTGAGATAATCATATGGTTTTGTCATTGGTTCTGTTTATATGCTGGATTACGTTTATTGATTTTCGTATGTTGAACCAGCCTTGCATCCCAGGAATGAAGCCCACTTGATCATGGTGGATAAGCTTTTTAAATTAAAAAACAAACCTAATACATGCTATTAAAAATCAATGCAGCTACTGTACTTCTAGGATTTTCCAAGACAGCCATGAGTTCAAATATGCTGTCCGTTTGGTCTCATACACTAAAGAAATGTCCCAGAAGTTTTAACAGCATTTAGAAATGAAACTTCCTCCCCAACTTGGAAGTACTGCCAAATCTTAAATCAGACCTCAGGTTCCAATTTCTAGTATAGAAAATGTATTCAAAATTTTTCTTTAATAAGAACATTCCTTTTTTTTCCTCTCTGGGAGTCCTCTCCAAATGCTCAGAATAATAATAGATTAACATTTTTAGGAATCTGAGGATGTGAACATGCCTTTATAGAGTTGTGTGTGTCTGCCAACCCCTAAGCTTAAAAGAGTGGTTCCCCAGGTACTAGGACCACCAGGGGGCACCCACTGTGTCCAGAGATGCAGGGGCACTTTCTGAGTTGTCCCCAGTTATAGATCCTGCCGATGACAGGACTGCTGCTGTCCATTCCTGTTCCAAGGTCTCATCTTTTCTGTGCATCTTCATCTTACCTTTTCTTGGTGATTGCTGACTCTCCTACAGCAGAGACAAGATATTCCAAGAACCCAGTCTGATGACATCGTTTGAGATTCTAGATCAAGCTTCTCTTAAAGGCAGGCCTATCATTATATTTTGTTACAAGCACATAGATTCTCCTTTTTTGTTAAACTATTTATGTGAGTTTTTGGTCTTAATTGTAAGATTTGTAAGCCCCCATCCTGAGTCATCTCCTCTGACTTCCTGTCTGATGACTGGGGTCCCACTACCCTTGGACTAACCTTCACATGACAACTGCCCACCATGTCCTTAACCAGATGAGTCTGGAAACCACAATGAACTGAACCCGAGGTTGGGAAGTAGTGTGCTTTGCTATGGAGGGCTGCAATAGCAGAGTCTGGAACAATGAGGCAGGGACCGGCAGTGAGAAGAGAGAGAAACAAAGGTGCATACAGATTAATTTCTCTGGAGAAGTTTTTCCACCTGAAGCATCTCTGCAGGTCCAGTAATTCTGGACCTGTGGTCTCCTTCCCCAAGTATCTGTTGCAGTTGTCTAAAAAAGAGAGCAAAGGCACTACAACTTGGAAAACAATGTGTTGTTATCTGGTAAAGGTGAAGAAACACATACCCTATGACCTAGCAATTCCACTCTTAGATATAAACCCTGGGGAAATATGTGCACATTTACTTCAGGATATACATACCAAGAATACTTATTGCAGCATCACTCATAGTACTTAAAACCTGGAAACAACCCAAATGTTCATCAGTAGTAGTATGGATAAATAAATATGGCATATTTAGCCAGTGGAATACTATACAGCCATGAAAATTAATTCAATATAGCTACCACAACAACATGGATGAATCTCTTAGACACAATTGAGCAAAAAAAGCCAGATATGGAGAAACCCCATAAACTCCATAAAGTGATTCTATTCATGTAAAGCTCAAAGTAGGTAAAATGAAACTATTTTCTTTAGGGATGCAAACTCAGGAGGTAAAACTAAAGGGAAAGGATGGAGACACCACATATTCTAGGGAAGAGGGGATGAGTATGATCAGATAGGGCCACGCAAGGGGTTTGGGGTGCTGGCAATGATTCACATCTTTTTTTTTTTTTTTGAGACGGAGTCTCACTCTGTCACCCAGGCTGGAGTGCAATGGCGCAATCTCAGCTCACTGCAACCTCCACCTCCTGGGTTCAAGCGATTCTCCTGTCTCAGCCTCCCGAGTACCGGGGATTACAGGCATGTGCCACGACACCTGGCTAATTTTTTTGTATTTTTAGTAGAGACGGGGTTTCACCCTGTTGGCCAGGCTGGTCTTGAACTCCTGACCTCAGGTGATTCGCCCACCTCAGCCTCCCAAGGTGCTGGGATTACAGGCGTGAGCCACCATGCCCAGCCAATGATTTATGTCTTGACATGAGTAGTGAGGACATGGGTGTTTGCTTTATAGTTATTTATTAGAATGTATAATTTTCTATGCACTTTTCTGCATGTGCATTCATTTTCATAATCTAAAAAGTAGAAGTGGGAGACAGCCTTGTTTTAAGAGGAGGTTGGATGACAGTGTCACCCTCCACTTTCTTTTCACTTCCAAATTTACCACTGTGGTCCCAGAAGAGAAGTCCCTGCTTGGTGCTCATGTCCCCACCCTTCTCCTGGATCCCCCATACCCTGGGGATCAGTCCGGAGACCTCCACTCTCAGAAGCAAACTCATCCTTGACTGCGCCTGACTCAGCCATCCCTGATTGCATCTTCTGGGCTCTTGTGCTCCCAAGGATGTAATTGAGTGTGCTATGTGGGGAGACAGTCTCATGATTTCCTCGGATGGAAACCAAGTGGAAATAAAAATAGTTGTGCCAGATTGTTGGTGTGCATCACAGCTCAGGAGTGGCCCTGGGATGCCTGGGCCTGGGCTGGAACCTGGCATCCATGTTGTATGCCCGATTTCCTCCACCTCCTCCGCTCAGGGTGCTGGTGTGTATGCCACCTCTCTGAGTGAGACAGGAAGATTGCGTTTAGCTCAAGCACCTTCTCATCAAGACTCTTTCGGAGGGTTCAGAGGGCTTGTTTCTGAAGCACTCAGCAGGCAGCCTGGCATAAAGCAGGTGCTCAGTGACCAGTGGGTATCAGTTGGTCCCTTGCTGCTTTGAGTTGGGCAACACTGAGGTTGGGACTACAGAGGTCATTGCCCCTTAAGAAGAACCTAGAGCAAGTTATCTCTGAGGCCCTCGGAAGCTTTGTTCAAGGGACATTAAGTCCCTTTGTTTGGGGCTGGGGAGTACTGAGACTACAGTTTGGGAAAATGTTGGTCTCTGAGATGTAGGCTGCCTGATGACTAGCTGTGCAAACAAAACCTCGGACTTCCCTCCGCATTTCTTTCCTTTGACCCTTCAGTGTCAGCAAGCTCAGGGTCAGAAACCCTGCACTCAACTCCTTTGCTAGGGATTTGTGGAGGCTGATAAAAGCCCGCAAGGTGGCCAGGGCTGCTGGGCAATGTTGGCATCCTGCTGATACAAAAACTCAGCTTGGATCTCCAGCACCTTCTCCTCAGATAAAGCTGGTAATTTCCTGGAGCAACCACACTTGGAGAGAACCAAGCTTGCAGGGAGCTCAGAGCAGCCTAGGCAGGTCACAGTGGACAGGAGGGATGTGGGACTGGCAGGAGGAAGTCAGGAAGGAGCCTTGATCACTGACTGCAAATAAAAGCTTCATGTGGTGCAATGAAATCACCCTATATGGCTTGAGAGGAAATTCTCTGCAAGGAGCTGCATGCAAATAGGTCATCAAGTAATGGCAAAAATATGCAGCCAAATGGAGGTGCCCCTGCAGTTTCCGTGTCTCCAAGGACTAGATAAACTCCAGGAAGGACTCAGGGCTTGATACCACAAAGGATGGGGAATAAGAGATGCTCCCTCTGCCCCCATGAGCCCCCTTAGCCAGCCTCCTGCCTCCTGCTTCCCATCTCTCCAAGGGGATCCACCCTGAGTCTGACCAGCATCCCCGTGTTCCCTGTGGCCGGGATCAGGCAGGGACACAGAGATTGCTTGAGACACTTTCTGGTGACTAATGCAGTATACTTGAACAGGAAACAGACTGGAAAGGACTTAGGGGGAGCTATAAATAGCCCATGTCCTAAAAAAATGAACTTGGGAAGAAATGGAATTAACAAACTGGGAGGAGAACAAGGAGATCACAGGCTCCAAACAAGACCAAGCTTTCTCTTGGGAAATGAGCTTTTCTCCCAGATGGAGCTCCATCTGCCCTTGCAGGATCAGCTCCCCCAAGTGTGCCCTGCTCCACCCTGGGGTTGACCAGCCAGCTCAGCCTGCCTGCCAATATGATGCCTGGAATTGTCTGTGGTTCTGGGGGCCAAGCCTTGTCAGGATCATCACGTAAGGGTGTGTATGTGCGGAAGGGTGGTGGCTGAGGCTCAGGATTCAAGGACTATGGACCATGGTGGGAAAGTAGAGAATTGGAGCAGTGACAGGTCAGGGACATCCCTTCTGATGTTCCTCAGTTCTCTTCTGTTCTCTGGGCTTCAGCAATCTGCTGTCTCTTGAACCCAGTGAGGGGAGGGGTGAGTCAGGCAGAAGAATGAGCTCAGGTAGGATGGCACGTCAGCAGCCTGGAGTCTGACACCGGCCAAGACACTCAGTGGCAGAGTAATGTAGAATAGAACACTCCATTTCACTAAGACTGGTTCCTTTTCTGTAAGATTGAGAGGTTAGACTAGTTCACTGGATTTGAAATATTTTTATTTTTTAAAGATGCATAACCTTTCTCCAAAGGAAATCACAAGGAAAGAAGAGTACTGCCCTGGTTAAGGTGGGGACTCAGGGTTTCTCACACTTACACTCAACCATTTCCCTTGTGGTAGCCCTGAGAAACTGCCACAGTGCACCAGGGCGTCGCCCAGCTCTGTTGAAAGCCACAGGACTGGAGCACTTGGCAAGTTTGGCTGGCCACCCAAACACAGCTCCTCACGGTTTCTTTCTGTCTTTCCTTTCTCCATAGAGGCTGGAAAGCTAAAACAGTGAAAGGTAATGCTGAGCAATGGAGGCCTAACTAATGATGTCAGTGAAAACAGAGGAGGAACTTGTAATTTACACTCCCCAGCTAACTTCTTCCTCCTCTTCTTCTTTTTTTTTTTTTTTAAAGACAGCATCCTCCTGTCACTTAGGCTGGAGTGCAGTGGCATGATCATGGCTCACTGCAGCCTCAAACTCCTAGGCTCAAGCAATCCTCCTGCCTCAGCCTCCCAAGTAGCTGGGATGACAGAGGCATGCCACTATACGCGGCTCCTAGCAAACTTCTTATATCCTTATTAGTTATTGTGATAGACTGATTGCAAAAACAGCCACAATCGTCTATCCCTTCCAGTCCACACCCTCTGCATCCTCAATCCACACCCTCTGCAATGTGACCGTGTAGCTCCTCCCATCAAGAGACAGAATCCATTTCCCCACCCTTTGAATATGGGCCGGCCTTGAAATTTGCTTTGAACAGTGTTTATTGAAAGTGACAATGTGCCAGCTCCACGCTTAGGTCTTAAGAAGCCTGTGTCTTCTACTGTCTCTCTCTTAAACCCCTGCTGCTGCCATGAGAACAAGCTGGGGCTAGCCTATGAGAAATGAAATATCACACAGAGCAGAGCCGAGTTGTCCCAGCAGAGGCCACCCCAGGCCAGCCATCCTCCAGCCAACCTGCCAGCGGACCCGAGATGCATGAGCAACTAGACTCATGAGAAATAATACATGTTGTTTTAAGGCATACGTTTTGGGGGTAGTCTATTTCTGTTCTAGTATTTATTGTCGAGTAACACACCACCCCAAAACTTAGTGATTTAAAACAATGTATTATATACTCATTTATTACAATCTCCCAAGGTTCTACGCATTGACTAGTCGCCGTGGGGCAATTCCCACCTGGGGGCTTTCAGATGATTAGTCAGATGTCGGCTAGGGCTGCAGGTATCCGAAAGGTTCAGCTTGAGTGGGTGCCTGGGATGGCTCACCCAGGTGGCTGGCACTGGATGCCAGCTCTCATGCTGGACTCAACTGGGCTGTTGACTGCACATGACCTCTGCATGGGCAAGGGCTTTTCACACCGGGGTGCTGGGTTCCACGAGGCAGGAAGAGGATGCTGCTAGGCCAGGTAAGAGTTGTGGCAGCACTGGCACGGCATCACTTTCTTTCTATTCTATTGGTCAAAACAATCACAGCATCGACCCTTGGAAACATAGATGTCACATCTTGATAGGGAAATGGCAAGGTCACATTTCAAAAGAGAAGATAGGATGGGAGATATTGTTGCGGCCATCTTTGGGAAATACAATCTGCCACAGTTGCATAGCATTATTGAAGCAATGAGTAACACAGACAGACATTTTTATTTTCCAGGTCTCCATCTTCCTTGCAGCACTGCTTTCTGTCCAGCCTCCCTGCATACCCACTTCATCACACAGGGAATGGCAAACACTGAGCTGCTGGGGGAAAGGCCTGCAGGGCCCTTCTGAGCTTTGTCGCCAGCTCTGGGGTCAGCAGGAAAGAATGCAGTGACTGACCAGTGATCACTGCCTCAAGGACCACGAGAAGAGGGGAAAGCCCTGGTATGAATGAGCTTGTACCCTTCACCTCGCTGCGTCTTGGTTTCCTCTTTTACATTTTTCTAAGGATTCTTCAGTATGGATATGAGGAAATATAATTGTCTAATTTCATTAGAGAGTGGATCCAGGCAATGCAAGCCGAGTGCTTTGCCAGTACTAGGTGCGGTGGAGGAAAAAATTAGATTATTCACAGGTTCAAATTGAGATTCTCACCTTATTACTCACACAGAGAGACTAAAGGTATCAATTTCTGCTCTCCCCAGCCAGGCCTACCCACAGGAGCTAGAGATATTCAACTGCCTTATTTAGCTTCACCCAGGCCCAGGAGCTGCTGAAATTAGACCTGGCCTGGTAGTGGGAACCCCATCTGGGCAGTGGGAGAGAAAGGGTTAAGATCTGTGATCATCGCATGTTCTTACTCATAAGTGGAAGCCAAACAATGGGAACACATGGACACAGGGAGGGGAACAACACACACTGGGGCCTGTGGCAGGGCAGGGGGAAGGAGAGCATCAGGTCAAATAGCTAATGCATGCTGGGCTTAATACCTAGGTGATGGGTTGATAGGTGTAGCAAACCACCACGGCACATGTTTACCTATGTAGCAAACCTGCACATTCTGCACATGTATCCTGGAACTTAAAGTAAAACTAAAAAATGTTTAAAATAATTAAAAAGAAAAAGATCTGCGTTTATGACCCAAGGTTCCTGAGAAGGCTCCCTGCCTTGGGCCTCCACCTCTGTTCTCAGCTCCAGCCTTTCCCCAGCCCAATCTGGGTAACTGAGCTTCTGCCCCAGGTTTTCCAGTGAGCAAGAAGTCCCCTTAACCCCATTCAGCTGGGATTCTATGGTCTTGCCAACTTCCCCTATCATTTTTCCTTTTAGACCACGCCCTATTCCTGAATCCAAAACCACTTCCTGCTTCAAAGAGGAAGTTCCTTCAGAAGCCAGATGCTGTTACCCACCTGAAAACAAGTATCTTTGGCAAAAGCCAGAGACTCCTCCTGTCAGAGCCCTGCCCACCTGCCTGAGAGCCCCTGCCAGGTCAGCAGCCAGTATGTTAACCCCCCTGAGGGCCCTAGGCCCCCGCTACTCCTGTCCCGGCAGGTCTCAGAGCTGAGCCCAGAGGGTCACGACAGGAAGAAGGCAGATGCCTTCCATACTGACTAGGTTTTTGGCTTGCTTTGCACCAACATCCTGTCTGCCCTGTTTCCTACTGAGGGCAAACTGGACTGGTTTTTAATTAAACCCATTCCCCCAGAGAGCTTGGGGGAGAGATAGCCTCATAGAATTCCTTCAGTAGTTATCAGAAGGAGACCCCGTGGAGGCAGAGGTTGCAGTGAGCAGAGATCGTGCCACTGCACTCCGGCCTAGGCAACAGAGTAAGACTCCGTCTAAAAAAAAAAAGAAAAAAGAAGGAGCCAGGGTGGGGGGTGGGAACAGGAGAGAGGGAGGGGGGAAAGTGAAGTCACAAGTCCAGAGTGGTTCCTTCCTGGCTGAGCTAATGCCCTAGCAATGCACCTTATGTAATGGGCAACTCACCTGAGCGTCTGAGCCCATAGGAGTGCCAGCCCCTCCCTGTGGTGCCTCCCCTGCAGGGCCCACAGCCACACCCTCAGTGCACACACTCTCCTTCCTATCCATCCACTGATACCTGGGGATGACCTTTGAACGATGTCCAGCAAATCAAGCAAATTAAAGGCAATCACATCCACTGTAATACATCTGCTTGGTAGAACATTTGAACAGAGAAAACATTCCCCAGAGCTCCACCCCTAGAGATAGTTTTTCTTTTATTTTTTTCACCCAGGTTGGAGTGCAGTGGTGCAATCTTGGCTCACTACAACCTCTGCCTCCCAGGCTCAAGCAGTTCTCCCACTTCAGCCTCTCGAGTAGCTGTGACAACAGGTGCATACCACCACACCCGGCTAATTTTTTGTATTTTTGGCAGAGACGAAGTTTTGCCATATTGCCCAGGCTGGTCTCAAATTCCTGAGCTCAGGTCATCCACCTGCCTTAGCCTCCCAAAATGCTGGGATTACAGGTGTGAGCCACAACACCCGGACTTCTAGAGATAGTTTCTATATTCTAGAGATGTTTTTATTTTTATTTATGTTTAACCAAATTAAACTCTTCAGTTCTTCTTTCTGGTGCTTCCTTTGGTCTTTAGCTGAGTCCCTCTCCAAAACTAGAGGCCATAGGGTTGCTGTGGCTTTTCCATCCCCATCATAAAGGGTAGTGCTCCCTCAGTGATTGGTTTCAGGATTCTCCCCAATACAAATCAGGCCTCCAAGAACCATGTCCCCTTCAGAGAGGATTCCTAAGCTTCCTCCTCTTCCTCCTCTTCTTACTGCAAGGGAAATACAAGATCAGTCTGGAATGGGCTTCCAGATTCATACAACCTCCCCCAGGACACAGATTCCGGGAGAGAGAAGAGGAAGGCAGGTTTGGAGCCTCCACCACCACCAGTTTCCCTCACGCCCTCCTCTCTCCCTTCCCCTCTTTCTCAACTTCCTCCTTTCCCTCTCTTCCTTCTATGATCTGTCCCTGCCCCTCTGTCTCCTCTTCCTTTCCTTCCTTCCTCCCTTTTCTCCTCCCTTCCTTAGCAGGCAGCAATGAGCAGGTGGCACTGAACTTAGATTCCACCATCACAGGTGGGTAGATCTTGGCTCACAAGCCTGTCATTGACTAGCTAAGTAGCCCTGATTGGAGGAGTCATTTTATTTCCCTGAGCCTTTGTTTCTCATCTGCAACATGGAGATTTTACTCACCACCGTGGTGCAGACAAAGTAGGACAAAGTATCCTTTAACCCAGGGCTTGACACGTGACACTCATCAAACATTGCTGAGCTCTAATCTGCATCAGGATATGGTAAGTGTCTACTGGGTGCTGGGACAAAAGGTACAGATGGGAGCAAGGCAGAGATCCCTAAACAGACCTCTGTTGTGATCTTTGTTGTAATACATGGTAATTATTTGTTTCCAAAAAGAGGTGGAAGGAGACATAGATAGCTTCTACCGCCAGGCATTCAGGCACCAGCTGTGAAGGCCTTCTGCACATTGAAAAACTCAGAGTAGCCTGGTGGCTGGAATGAAAAGTCAACACCAGTTCCCCCAGCAAAATATTTCTCCATTCAGCCTTTTCGGCTCATTGGTTTGCCTGAAATCAGTTGTTTCTCCCTGGGGAAGCAATCTTTAAAATGGTGAGGAGAGTGTGCATCTGATGTGCCTGCACTTGTGCCTGTGAAACAGGGTAGGCTCAGAGCTCCGTGCAGGCCCATGAAGTCCCCTCAGAGACACCAGTGTTGGGTTGTCATAGGGTCCCAGAAAATGCCTGTCTGCTTCGTGAGATTTAGGCTGGGTGCACAGAGGTTTCACTTGGTGTGCCTGACTTATTTAGGGGCTGCCTGAAGTGCCATGTGAGAAAGGAGGCTGAGGGCGTTGGGTTTGGAGGAAGAGAGCACTAGGGTGGATTAGCAGTATCTGCTGCAAGTGGAATTTGGAGGGGATAGAAATCGTGCGTTCAGCTTATTTGGCATCTCTGGGTTGGCCTCACTTTGGCAGTTGGTTCCTGCTGGCTGGGCTCTGCTCACACGCAGTGAGAGGTCTCTCAGAGGCTCTTTGTTCTGCTGCTGGGGATGCCTTGGGAATGATGCCCTGGGGTGCACTGCCACATCCCACACAAAAGGTCTCCTTAGCTGGAGAGCCTTACCAGGTGCATGGAGGGGAAGACGCGGTACCATAAAGATGAGGATTCCTCTCAAAGTAATATATGCATTGAATGAAATGCCTACTTCAGTAAGGAATTTCCCAAAGCTTTACAAGCTAATTCTAAAATTCACATGGAAGAGAGGCCAGAGAATAGCTTAAATTACTTTGAACAAGGAGGGGAGACTTAGCTGCCAGCTATTAAAATCCATTATTAAGGCACTGATGTTAAAGAATCACCACACAAATAGACAAACAGACATTGGAGCAGAAGACAGGGAACAGAAAGACGCTCATATGTATCTGGATAACATTGACAGGAAAATCAAATTGTAATGTCACATACAGGAGTCTTCATGAAGGTAAGATGTTTAAAAACATTTTTAAAAGTATAAAACATTGTTTAGAAATATACGCCTTTGTAGTAAATGTGTAAAAACACGCATTAGAATGATGAACACCAAATTCCAGAGAAAGGGAATGGATCCCTGTGGGGCACAGAGTGTGCATTAACTATGTTTATGTCTTTAAAGGAAGAAAATATTTGAAGCAGATATGGCAAACGGAGAAGATTCATGAAAGCTGGATGGCCGGCGCATGAGCGTTTGCGGTGTCATACTTTGTTTCCTTATGTTTGAAATATTAGCATGGCTGGGCATGGTGGCTCACGCCTGTGATCCTAGCATTTTGGGAGGCTGAAGCTGGGGGAACACTTGAGGTCAGGAGTTCAAGACTAGCCTGGGCAACATAGTGAGACCTCATCTCCAAAAAAAAAAAAAAAAAAAGAAAGAAAGAAAATGAAACATTAGGGAAAAAAAATCCCCCATGTGCCTGGTCTGCCGGATTCCCCCAGTAGCCTGGTTATGGCTTGGGAGGGGAAAAGGAGGGGTGTTTTTGTCTATTTCTCACATATGACACTCAATGACTTCACAATCATTAATTCATCACCCACTAAGGGTCATGCACTGAGGTACCAAGACTAATGAAGGTCCGGCCCTCCCCAGTGTAGGAGGCAGGTAAATGATCACACTGTGACAAATGCTCAAACGGGGATGTGCTTGCAAAGGCTAGAGACAGCACGGGAGGAAGGAGCAGTCCATTCTGCTGAGAGTGTGAGTACCGAGAAAGCATGGCACTGGGCTTGAAGGATGAGGAGTTCGCCAGACACAGAGGATGAGGAGAGCAGCACGTGAGTAAAGAAAACAGAGAAAGGAACTCTCTGTCATGTTGTGGGCTGGAGGGCAGCATTCACACTGGACAAGTGCTTCAGAAAGATCCTTCTGGCAGGTAGTGGGCAGAAAAATGAGTGAAGTCAGAGCGATCGACTAGGAATCCACTGAAAGTGGATTTAAATGAGAGGTGATGAAAAACTCAGCTACAGCTGGGCGAGGTGGCTCACACCTGTGATCCCAGCATTTTGGGAGGCCGAGGTGGGCGGATCACAAGGTCAGGAGTTTAGGACCAGCCTGGCCAACATGGTGAAACCCTGTCTCTACTAAAACAAACAAACAAACAAAACTCTCTCTATATATATGTATAATATATTAATATATTATAGATCTATAATATATTAATAGAATGTATTATAGATATATATTAATATAATGTATTATATATATAAATATAATATATTATATATAATATTATTTTATATATATATATACACACACAAAAATTAGCCAGGTGTGATGGCAGGCACCTGCAGTCCCAGCTACTCGGGAGGGTGAGGCAGGAGAATCGCTTAAACTCAGGAGACAGAGGTTGCAGTGAGCTGAGGTCACACCACTGCACTCCAGCCTGGGCGAAAGAGCAAAACTCTGTCTCAAAAAAATAAATGAATAAGAAAAAAAGAAAAGAAAAAGAAAAACTCAGCTACAACAGAGTGACTGGTTATAATTTCCCTGCAAAACTGCTAATTCTCTGATGGAGGGACAAGCGCTGAATCAGGTTTTGTTTATCTCTGCAGAGTACCTACATTGTTCCCTCTTATGATAGGAGCTCAAACACATGTTGATGAAAGGGAGGGAGGAAGGAAGCAGGCAGGCCCGCAGGCCCATGCCCTTCTTTTACAGATAAGGAGACAGAGCTGGGACGGGTGGAGGAGTGTTCAAGGACATTCTTGGCTAGAAACTTACTATCTAAAATAGTAAAGAGACCTCTAACCATTCTGCTGACAAACTTATAAGCACAATAAGCTTTGAATAACAAACACTCCGCAGGTAAAGTTCCATGACAACGATTCTTGTTATAAAGTTGTGGTCTTCATAGAGAAGTGCTTTCCTCTCTCAGGCAGGAAAAGAGTTCCTTTAAAATAGATCGAAATGCTCTGTGATGAATAATACGAAGCAGTAAGGCCTTCACCTGGCCTGGGTCCAAATAACAGGTTCTATTCAGGTGGCTCTGAAAGCACCTGATTGTGTGCTGTCGCCACTGTGGGCAGGGCAAGTCCAGCAGAACTTTACAAGTCTTTTGTTCTGCCAGCAAGCAGTAATTGGTTCTCCACCCCAGTGTAGTAAACTTCCAGCCACCTGAATGAAATTCACCTAATTTAACAAACTGCACGAGAAGCAAAGCAACTCCCGGAGCATACACAGGTGTGAATATTGTGCATCTGTCTTCTCTGTGATTCCTCTTGTCTTGAGGCTTCCACACCCCTCTGGTCCTTGGTTCGTCCTGTCCCCTCTTCTCCAGACCCATCTTCCCATCTACTGCAGACCTGGCTCTATTGGGTATTGAATCTGCTTCTCTCCACACCTCAGTTTCCCCCTTTCACCTAGCTCTTCCTTTTAGCTTCTAAACATGCTCAAGGCTTGCAGCCTAAAAATGAAAATACTACAAACTACTCTTTATTCTGCTTCTTCCCCCACTGTGTGCCCCTTCCAGTCATAAGCGATTCTGCAAGGAACCATCTATACTCAGTCTCTACCATCTCATTTCTTGCTACATAGCAAACAACGTTCTAAGAATTTTACATATATTGACTTATGGAAGCCTGACAACATCACTGTGATGTAAGTGCTATTGTTATTTACATTTTATGGATGAGGACAAGGAGGCACTGAACAGCAAAGTATTTGCCCTGGATCACCAGGATTTGGGCAAAGGTATGCTCTGAGACCTTTTTCCCCGCCTTATGCCCATTACAAGGTACCTTGAATGAAAAAATACACAAGAACATTGCATGGACCTGTCTCATTTATTGATTCATTCATTTCTTCATTATTTAACACTTACTGGAGGCCTACCATGTGCAAGACAAGAGAAAGACATGAGTCTGCTGTTGACATGGTCAGAGTCCAAAATGGGAGGCAGGCCTGCAATATAGCATAAGAAGAGCTCTGGTAAATAGGTGACAGGGGGCTAGGGAAGCCCAAAGGAAGCAGCTCACTTTGCTCATAGCGGTGGTTCCCGAATTTCACCATGCATTGGAATCACCTGAGATCTTTCAAAACTACCAATTCCTGCCTCCCACCCCAAGATATTATGACTTAATTGACATGGCGGTTGGATTTAAAAGCTCTCCAGGTGATTCTAATGTTCAGCAACATTTGGGAAACACTGGCTTCAAGGGTAATGAGTAGGGAGTTTGGTTTGTAACAACACAAAGCCTAGCTTAAACTATCTTAAGAATAGAAAATGAAGTGGGTAAGGTGTTGTGCCAAACCCCTATCAACTCCCAGAGAGATGGCACCAGCCTCAAGGGGCTGAAGAAGAGACCCAGAGCCAGCAAACGAGACATAGGGTTTTACTGGGGCTCACAAACAGGGGAGAGAGTCCAGTGGTGGCGGACTGGGCAGAAGAACCACACTGCTGCGAAACCATGCAGTTTACATAGCATTTTCACTTAACACCCTCCCCCTAACAACCTCCACTTGACAAACTGCATTTAACCCCTCAAAAGGGCCTGGATCCCATGTATGGAATTGTGGCTGGGCTGGGGGCACTCAGATGTTCCTCATAGATAAGGAATGAGTCTCCGGGTTGGCCACTCTGGGATTCCTTAGCTCAGAACTCTAAACACACATTCAGGTGCGTCTGTTACACAGGGTCATTCTCAGGGTATGCTTAAGTTATCACTGCCAGTTGCGTCTACCATGCACCGATGCATCTACCATAAAGGAGGGGAGTTGTGTATTGGCTTACATTAGATTTTTAAAAGATGGTCAAAGGCTATATGGTTCCTGAAAGGGTTTGATCCAGGTCTCAAAAGATGTCATCAGGATAGTGTTTTCCTTTTTTCCCAGTGATGGTTGCATTCTAAGTCTCCCATTGGTTGCAAGATGCAGCAGTTCCAATCTCTGTTCCTGCTTCCCTCACATCCAGTGCAAAGAAGAGGTCTGAGGTTCTTATATCTCAAAAACCTAGCATTGCATTTCATTGGCTCTGGTTTGGGCCTGAGCCAATGACTGGGGCCACAGAGGTGGAGACTGCTGATGGCTTAATCTAGTCATGTGTCCCACCTCTGGGGCCAGAAATTGGAGGCAGTCTCATCTAGAAGGCCGTGGTAGAGAATGGAGGATTTGTAACAGATCCTGCAGGGAGATGAGGGTGAGGAGGTAGTCAGGGCTAGACAGAGGAGAGTTGCTGTATTTTGTAGGAGGTAGAGGTATTTAAGTAGGAGAATGATAACATGACTTTTGTATTTTAAGATGCCACTCTGCCAGTTATGGAGAAAACATGTAACTTTTTTTTATTTCTTTTTTTTTTAAGACACAGTCTCGTTCTGTCACCCAGGCTGGAGTGCAGTGGCGAGATCTCAGCTCACTGTTACCTCTGCCTTGCAGGTTGAAGCGATTCTCATGCCTCAGCCTGCAGAGTAGCTGGGACTACAGGCGTGCACTACCACGCCCATCTAATTTTTTTGTATTTTTAATAGAGATGGCATTTTGCTATGTTGGCCAGGCTGATCTTGAACTCCTGGGCTGAAGCCATCCTCCTGCCTCGGCCCCAAAGTGCTGGGGTTACAGGCATGAGCCTGGTCATGAATTTTTAAAAAAGGTGTATAGGCTGCGTACAGTGGCTCACACCTGTAATCCCAGTGCTTTGCATGCCAAGGCAAGAGGATAGGAGACAGGTAAATGACCATACTGTGACAAATGCTAAAATGGAGGTTTGCTTGAAAAGGCTAGGGAGAGCAAAGTAGGAAGGAGCAATCTGAGTGTGACTTGAGCCCAGGAGTTCGAGACCCTATGTATTAAAAAAAAAAAAAAAGAGAGAGAGAGAGAAATTAGCTGGATGTGGTGGTTCATGCCTGTAGTCCTAGCTACTCAGGAGGCTAAGGTGGGACGATCACTTGAGCCCCAGGAGTTTGAAGCTGCATTGAGCTATGATTGCACCACGCACTCCAGCCTGGGTGACAGAATGCGACTCAGTCTCTTTTAAAAAGGTAATTGTAGTTGTTCAGAGGAGAGATATTGGGAACCTAAACTAAGACAGCAACAATAGGGATGAATAGTGGGGAGGGGATTCAAGAGATGTGTCTGAACTATAATTTAAAGGATTTGTTAACCAACTGGAAAAGAAGATTTAGACAAAGAGAGAAACCACAGAACCACAGAAGAACCACTAAGAATTCCAGTTCGGGAAATGGGGTGGATGGTGATACCATCAGTGAGATTTGGAATATAGATCATTAAGAGGGTTTTGGACAATGCACTTTGGACATGCTGACTTTGAGATGTGTTGAAGGCATCCAGGGAGCAACATCCAAGGGCAGATGAACATGAATTTGGAATTTGGGAGACAGCTGGAATTCCAGTGCCCATATGATAGCTGAGACAGGGGTGAGGAATGTGGTCACTCAAGGAGAGACATCGAGGGAGAAGAGCAGGAAGAGAAGCTCTTATGGCATGGAAAATTGAGGTGGAGCAGTGGTGTTTGGGAAACAAAGGAAGATGGCTGGGCGCAGTGGCTCACACCTGTAATCCCAATACTTGGGAATGAAAAGGCAGGAGGATCACTTGAGCTCTGGAGTTCAAGACCAGCCTGGGCAACATGGCAAAACCACATCTCTACAAATCAAGAAAAAAATAGGTGTGGTGGTGCATGCCTGTAGCCCCAGCTACCTGGGAGGCTGAGGTAGGAGCATCTCCTGAGTTGGGGAGGCAGAGGTTGCCTCAGTGAGCTGAGATTGTGCCACTCCAGCCTGGGTGACAGAGTGAGACCTTGTCTCAAAAAAAAAAAAAAAAAGAAAAAGAAAAAGGAAGAGAGAGTTTCAAAGAGGGGTGGTCAACTGTGTCCTGTGATGCAAAGAAATTAAGGAAGTTAAAAGCCAAAAGTATTTTTGGCTCTATAACAGGGATTTGACCACTAGGAGGGCTCTGGCATCCTAACAAGAGCCAGCTTATAGGGTTTAGGGTGAGTGAAACTGGAGGATGCAGAGAGAAAAAGCATGGATGGATCACTCTTAAAGAAGTTTGATGGTAAGAGACAGGGCCAGTGGCTCAAGTAGATATGCCACATCTTTTTTCATTCTTTTTGTGATTTGTTTCCTTTTTAAAGTTCAGTTTGATGAGAGAAGTTTGACTACAATTAATGCTGCAGGAAAAACTAAAGGAGAGAGAAAGTCTGAAGATAAAAGATAGTGATTTTTCCATAGAGACAGAAAGCAGATTAGCAGTTGCTGGGGACTATGAGGAAGGGGGAGTGGAGTGACTGTTTAATGGGTGTGGGTTTCCTTTTGGGGTGATAAAAATGTTCTGAAACTATGTGTGAAGCAGCTCCCATATAAGAAAGAAAAATGTTCTGGAACCAGATAGTGGTGGTTGTACAACACTGTGAATTTACTTTGAATTTTATTTTATTTTATTTTGAGACAGGGTCTTGCTCTGTTACCCAGGCTGGAGTTCAGTGGCATCATCTCAGCTCACTGCAACCTCTGCCTCCCAGGTTCTCATGCCTCAGCCTCCCGAGAAGCTGGAATTATAGGTGTGTGCCACCACACCTGGCTAATTTTTGTGTTTTTAGTAGAGATGATTTCA
This sequence comes from Homo sapiens, assembly GCF_000001405.40. Lineage (NCBI taxonomy): Eukaryota > Metazoa > Chordata > Mammalia > Primates > Hominidae > Homo > Homo sapiens. The sequence continues at coordinate 12,100,016 of NC_000011.10, forward strand.
CCATGTTGGCCAGGCTGGTCTTGAACTCCTGGCCTCAAATAATCTGCCCACCTTGGCCTCCCAAAGTGCTGGGATTCCAGATGTGGGCCACTGCACCTGGCCAACTTTATGACAACTTTATAACAACTTCACTACCCCTATTTGATGAAAGAGGAAGCTGAGAATCAGAGAGACTCACTTATCCAAGGTCATACAGCTAGATTTGAGATTCCACCCCAAGCTGGTTTAACTACAACGCCCAAACCCTTAACCCTCTCATCTGGCCTCTATAGCTGCAAGATTTCATAAGTACATATGTTGATAATGTGAATTGATCCATATTCTCCAAGGTGTAATGGCCCCAATCCCTGGATAATGAGAATGTCTTTTTTTATTTTTACATTATTCCTTTTGATTGACCTTTTTGATTGGGCACAGCTTTGATTATACAAAAGATAAAGCCTATTTTTAATACAAGGAGGAAAAGATGTTAGAGGTAGGGCGCTTCTCTGAAGGAGATGTCATAGGCATGTAAGCAACCACTAGCGAGGACGCGAAACTTCACGGGGACGTGGGTGAGTCTGTTTGCAGAATGTGAAAGGAGCATGAACTGGGGCAATAAGGAAGACTTCCCAAGGTGGTGACCTGTAGTACAGTCTTCTCACTGGGTGGAAAGGAACAGGGAGAGCCTTTTACAAGGGTAGCACTAAGCCTGAAGCCGAGATCAGGAGGGATGGGGGAGGAACGGACAGACAGGCTGGATCCATAGGGTGATGTTTCATGCCATCTCTTTCCTGGTCCTCCCTCTGCCCCTCTTCCAGTTCCCATTCCCCCTCCTCTGCGCACAGTGAGCCATGCAACATAAATATGCTTTGCTCTCTGCTGTCAACAGAGCAGCTATATAGCCTTGTTCTAAGATGCTTCCCTTGGTCCTTAGGGAAATAGAAAACCTCGAGGGCTGGCCGCTCAGGCATTCTTAGAAGGCGGCTGTGGCTCGTGCCTTCCCACTTTGTTCTGGGATCCTGTGACTCTTGGGCACAGACCCAGCACAGCCTTCACTCAATGGCTTCTTTGATTTTCTCCCAGTTGGACTGTCAGAGATTGTTGGCCAGCGGGAAGAATGCTGAGTGGTAAACTGTGCAGAGAAACAACTATTGCATTTCTGCCAGAAGTCAAATTTCTTTTCAGCCTTGCCCTTATACAGAAGGACCAGAACCCTGCACTTGAGATATTGCCTAAACCAGGTTGCCCAATCTGCCACTTACCTGATGACCAGCAAGTCTACAATTCATTTCATCTGTGTTTTAATATCTTTTATGGGGGGGGATGGCCTCCTTTTTTTTGTTTTTGCCACTTCTTTGGCAATGTCTTTGGATATATCTAAAAGTTTTTCCTATTTCTAATAAGTATATATCACATTTGCAGTAGTTTTACTGCTAATGAGATATGTGCTTGTGATAAGTTTCAGAGTGACTAAGTGACAAGAGCTGAGGCTCAGGAGATGGACAGATCAGGGTTTGAATGCTAGTTCTGCCTGTTACTATGACTTAACCACCCTGGTCTTTGGTTTCCCCAAGTGTAGAATGGGGTTAAAAATCTCAGCCTGCTATATGGATGTTGTGAAGATAAATAAGGTAATATATGGGCCCATTGTAGGTGCCTGAAAAACGGCAGTTTCTATTTACCTATTGTATCAGTTAAGGTTTGATCAGGGCAGCAAGACCATTAATATGTAGAAGAGGGAATTACTATAGGGATTAGAGTTCACATAATTGTGGGAGCTGACAAAGAGATCGCAGAAAGCTGTTGCCTCAGTGTTTACTTGTGGACTTGGATTGCTGTAGATCCACAGGGTCATCAGGTGAGAAGAAAACCTGCTGTGAAGAGGGGCAAATCAAGAGCCAGCTGAAACTTGGACAAATGGATCCCTTGAGGAGAAGGTGGAATTCATGTCTATTTCTCATCACCTCTAACTTTGACGATGTGGTGACCCTTAGAAGAAGGTTGCACCTTTCACCAAATAAGTGAACCTGCACCTGGCCCTAGATTCAGCAAAGCTGAAGGAGGAGAATCTGCGTGAGCTGCAGGAGCTGGAAGGCTGGCAACTGCCCCATGCCAGCAACACATGAGCGGCAGTGTTGCCTGGTGACCTGTGCTGATCTGGCACAACGATTGCTTCCTACGGCTGGGCACGGTGGCTCATGCCTGTAATCCCAGCACTTTGGGAGGCTGAGGCAGGTGGATCACCTGAGGTAGGGAGTTTGAGACCAGCCTGGCCAACATGGTGAAACCCTGTCTCTACTAAAAATACAAAAATTAGCTGGCTGCAGTGGCGCATGCCTGTAATCCCAACTACTCAGAAGGCTGAGGCAGGAGTATCACTTGAACCTGGGAGGCAGAGGTTGCAGTGAGCTGAGATCGCACCACTGCACTCCAGCCTGGGCACTAGAGTGAGATGGAGTCTCAAAAAAAAAAAAGAAAAAAATCCTTCCTGATCTCATGCAAATATCCCTTATGGCCAGTCCTAATTCAGAACCATCCAGGAAAGGAAATTCTGGAAAACAGGTCTAGCTTAGCAAGTTGTTATGATACAAAGCCACCACACTTATAAATAGGAGGGAAGGCAACTAACATTAATTGAGAGCCTTTACATATGCCATCTTATTTGATCTATGCTCTGATCTTACAAACACAGGGTTATTATCTCCACCTACTGGCTTGCTCCAATTCACACCATTAGGGAGCACACATGTTGGAATCCAGGTTGTTGGAGGTTGAACTCTTTTCAAGGGAATTTGACCAGTGAAGCTGGTTTGGGCTTTTCTATTTGGGAACTTGGTTCCATCACAGTAATGCTTGGAATGCCCCTGTGGACCTCGTTCACCTGAAAAGGAGGAGAACATCCCTTCTGAACCAATCAGAGCTAGTGCTGCCCTAGGTTGTCTCTTGGCATCTAAGCTGTTCCTAGGAGAAAGCTTTTAAGAGAAAAGTAGGTAGGAATTTAATTTTCATTTAAAAGTATTAATCCACTACAAAATGTACTGCACTTAGAGAGCAGCTTAATGTGAGGGCTGATGTGTGAAAGTAGGGGTGGGGAGGGGATAATAGGGGAGGAGGTCAGGATGATGTAACTTTCCCAGAGGTAAAAAGTATAAATTCCTCCGAAATTTCATATGGGCCCAGGTCTATAACTAGGGCTCAGGCTCATTAGCGAAATAGTTGCTGGGTGGTACAAGCACTTGTCTAGTCTATTTTTTGTTTGTTTTTAAATAGTTTCCTTTTATTCTTTCAACAAACATTTCCTGACACCTCCCACCTGCTGGGTGCTGTTTAAGCAATGTGCATTGAGGTTACAATGTTGCATACCACACGGAGGAGCCTCCTGAAGAGTTTTAAAGCCAAGGGCGCAGATGAGTTGCTCCTGTCTTCACGTGGGTTCCTGCAAAAGCCGACCCTGGGATAAGAGTCTGAATGTCAGCAGTTTATTGGGAAGTAACCCCAGGAAGCACCAGTAAGGGACCGGGGAAGTGTGATGGAGAAGTGGCAGGAGGAAGCCAATACAGGTTACTGCTGTGAGACCTGGAGCCCAGTCCTGCTGGGGCTCTCTGAGACAGAGCTAGAGATAGAGAACTCACCTTCAAGATGTCTTACCCGGAGGGGTGAGAAATTGGGGGTATATATCCACAAACCCTTGCCCACACTGTGTTGAAGGTTGCTCCCTGTGGTGTTAAATCACCTGTATTTCTGGTCTGCCCTGTGCATTGGCTGAGCTTACTGCTGAGGCTAGGGGAGAACCCTCAGGCAGAGTCCGAGATATTTGCATTAGAAAGCCAGTGGCATATATGGAAATCAACTGCCTGTGCTAGATCTACCTGACATATGTATACATGTCCTTCCTCCCTTCCTAACTGCTCTCAGTGTTCACTCAGGTGTTCCCCCTCTCCCATGCAGCCCAGGTGTCTCAGGGAAGCTGAGTCCACCCCAGCTCTAGGAGGGGGCCTTGACTGGCATGGACAATCAGCACATTCCATTCCTCTGGCTATGGCACCAGTTCAACTGGGCATGTGACCCACTCCAATCCGATGAAGCTCAGGACCATGCTTGGAATGCTGGGCCAGAAATATTCTTTTGGATAAGGAAGCGTGTGGCAATGAGAGCAATGACACTTGCTACCATGAGGAAAACCAGTCTGAAGAGAAGCTGACAGAGAGGAGGGCAGAGCTGAGACAACTGCAGAGTAAGGTGGCTGGAGCTTTCACCCCTGCAGTCTTCAGTTATAGGAGTTTCTTTCTCTCTTTCTCTTCTTGTGGTCAGGTTTCCTCCATTGCACCTGGCACACAATTCTTGGTAGCCCTAAGTTTCATGGAAAGAGAGCCTCTCTCACTGTGTATCTACACACTGGTCTTAACGAATTCTGCTTGGACCAGGCGCTTGGCTGTTGGACTGTTCACCATGGGGGCTTGATGTTTCACCAGGCCTGGGAACTGTGTCCAGTTCTGTAGCCAGGAGGGCAGGGATGTTACCAAAACAAGGAGGAATGGAGGAGCTGGCCAGTTCATTCCCTCCTCCACATACAACAACTAGCTTCCACAGTCCCCTGTGTGGTTCTTGCCACCTCTCTAGCTTCATCTTGGATTACTTTCATGTTCTATTCCCTGCTGCATCCCCTCCACTAAGAATAATGCATGGAAGATGGCAGGCACTCAGTCAGCATCTGCTCAATGAATGAAGGAAGGAATCTCTTGCAGTTCCTGGCTCTGCCCCTCATCCCTGATTCCGTGTTTCAGTTGCTGCCTGTCCTGAGCGCTCACCATACTCCTTCCCATCTGCCTGCCACTCATCTCTCAAGGCTCAGTGGAAGGGATGCCACCTCTGTGAAGTCTTCCCACTCCCCTCAGCCTCCTCGCTGTCCCCCAGCACCCCAGATAGATCTGGGGAGGCAGTATTGGGAATTGTAAAGAGCACGGGCTTGGAAGTCCACCAATTCGATTCATTTTGCCAGATGCTGGCCCCTAGGAGACTCTGGGCCAGTGATTTCACTTCTCCAAAATCCCATTTTCTCATCTCTAAGGAGTGGATGAAAATAGTACCTGCCTTTATAACATACACACAAGTCTGAGGCTGGGGACTAGGCAAGTCCCTGACCAGGAGTTGCTTACAGAATTGATGCCTCCTACAGACTCTAGTTCTCCATACCCTTAGTGGTATCATCACCAAGTATATTTACTCACAAACCCTTACATATGATTTATTATGTGCCTGGCGCTGTTCTAGCATGCATCTCCCCATTACTATTCCCCTACTACCTGCTGCACAAGGAGGTTAACTCCCTTGCTCAAGGTCACACAGTTAATAAGTGGCAGAACTGGGATTCAAACCCAGTCATCTTGACTTCAGAGTCTGTCCTATTAATAGCTTGGCTATGACACCTCCAGCCTAACTGCACTGTACATATTTCTGGGGTGGACACATGATGGGTGGATAGACAGATGAACTTGATTGAGTTCCCTCCTTGGACTAGAACAGAGAAGAATATTCCTGTCCTTGCCTCTAGCCAGCTGTTCTGGGAAGGGTTTGGAAGTACAAGTTGAAAGCTGTCTCCCAAGATCCATCAGTTACAGCAGTTCTGGAATGGGCTTCGGGTTTATGTGGACAGGAATCTGCCCAGGCTGCAGGTGTGGCCCAGCCTGCCATGAGGGTGCTCTGGGTTTTGTGGCATCAGTTGATCTCTAGAGGTCAGAATTATGTTATGCCCCTGGAATTCACAATTGTCTGTGAATCCCCAGTCTATCTGGGGCTAAAGCTAGACTACTTACATGACCCTATGTTTCTTCCCCTCTCTTCTGCACACCCACTCCATCGCTGTTTGCTCTGGTTGCTACATCTGGCTGGGATGTCACCTCCTGCCTGCAGCCACAGCTCTTTGCTCTCCAGCACTGACTTTCTCACCATTGCTGGCAACGTGCACACATTCACCAAAGTGCTGGGGTGCCTCCGAGGGCATTACTGACTTCAGCAGGTCCCAGACAGGTGCCATTTTTCTCTAAACCACCTCTGGAAAAGCCACTTAAAGCGAGGTAGGCCTGATGAGTTTTTAGTGACCTTGAAAACTTTTAGATGTTTTATCCGTGAACAAGCGGTTTGTTCTGAGGACTATAAAGATGATGAAGAGCTTGAACAAGGCCCCAGGGATCTTGCTTCTCACATACTGCTGAGTCTGTCTGTGGGAGATACAAATGTTTCCACTTCCTGGCTTAGAAAGTCCTCCAAGGACAGCTCCCAAGGTGCCCGGGGCCAATCAGCCCTTTCTCATCATTTAACCAGGTCACTGGACTCTGTCTAGATACCAGCCTTCCTCTTCCTTCCGAAAGACCAAAGCACTTTGATAGCAGCTTGGGGAGGAAGCCAGTGAGAACCACACTCACTGTTTTGCCCTTCTCTGGAATCTATGGCCTTCAGGAAGAGATCCAGAGCCCGGTGCAACTGTCTTCTCTGCCATTCAAATATCTTGAGGGGCACCCTGGCTTCATTACAGAAAATCTCCATCAGGAGTCCACTTAGTTCAACTCTGACCTCTCTTCAAGCATATTGCTAGGCTGGAAATAAAAGGAAGCCAGAACTGCCACCCCCACAGTCCTCTGAACACAATCAGGTGGATAAACGATGATGCCCGCGAGCACCAGCTGGGTTCTTTCAGGGGGAGGCATGCATAGTGCTGTGGAGGCCATTGCTTCCGTCTGAGATGAAGCTATATTTAGGGATGAATCTGGGCCTTCCTTCTCTTCCTCCCTCTCGTGCTAAGTGGCCATCTGCATCTCCCAGACAACCTCCACAAGCAGCATCCTGGAAAAGTGGCCTGGGGAAGAGGTGGCTATTAAATATAGACTATTGAGCCTGCTTCATAAAGATATTGAGTTAGTTTGCCTGTCATGCTAAGAGTGAGAAAGGGACATTGCATGCCTGGAACACACTTATTCACTCACTCTGTGACCATCAGAAGCATCCTTCTATCTCTGGGCCTCCATTTCTTTCCTTTTCTTTTCTTTCTTTTTTTTTTTTTTTTTTTGTTGTTGTTGTTGAGATGGAGTTTTGCTCTTGTCGCACAGGCTGGAGTGCAGTGGTGCGATCTCGGCTCACTGCAACTTCCACCTCCTGGATTCAAGTGATTCTCCTGCCTCAGCCTCCTGAGTAGCTGGGATTACAGATGCACACCACAATGCCCAGCTAATTTTTGTATTTTTAGTAGAGATGGGGTTTCACCATGTTGGCCAGGCTGGTCTCAAACTCCTAGCCTCAGGTGATCCACCTGCTTCGGCCTCCCAAACTGTTGGGATTATAGGCATGAGCCACTGTACCCGGCCTCTTTTTCTTTTCTTTATCTTCCTTTCTTCCTTATTCTTTCTACCCTCCCTCCTTCCCTCCTTCTCTCCCTCCCTCCCTCCCTTCCTTCTTCTTTTTTCTCTCTCTCTCTTTCTTTTTTCTATTTTTGAGACAGAGTCTTGCTCTGTCGCCCAGGTTGGAGTGCAGTGGTGTGATCTCGGTTCACTGTAACCTCCACCTCCTGGGTTCAAGAATTCTCTGGCCTCAGCCTCCCAAGTAACTGGGATTACAGGCGTGTGCCACCACACCCAGCTAATTTTTGTATTTTTGGTAGAGACGGAGTTTCACCATGTTGGCCATGCTGGTCTTGAACTCCTGACCTCAAGTGATCCACCCACCTCAGCTTTCCAAAGTGCTGGGATTACAGGCATGAGCCACCATGCCTGGCCTCTTCTTTTCTTTCATCTGCTAGGTAAGGGATTCGATAAATATTCCTCTAAAGTTTGCCCTAACTTTAGATCTTTCATTTGAAGAGCTGAGCTGTATAACTCCTAGACATAGTCACAGCCCAGCAGGACATCCCATGGTGACTGCTTAGTCCAGAGGAAGGTGAGTTGTGACATCCTTAACCCATTCCTCTTCTCTCTCCAGGAAGATGGTCAGCAAGGGTGGCTTGTGTGAGGTGGTGAGTGGCTCTGGCCACTGGCTCAAGAAGTCCCCAGGTTTATCTCCCTCCATGCAGTTAACCCTTCTCAGTTCCCAGGTTGCCCTGCGTCCAAGGAAAAGCTCACCTCTCAGCCCTCAGATGCACCCACCTAGCAAGAGTCTTTCTTATCTGAGCCCCCTGAGTTAAAAAGATTGGGAGTAGGGTAGGGGAGAGGAGGCAGAGGTTCTGGGAATGCATTGGTAAGTTCTAATTTTTAAGTTGCTTGAACTTCTGTGCTGAGCAATGCTATCTTTGTTAAACTTGGTTGGCCCACAGTGCTCCTGAAATAGCATTAAGCTTGTTTTAATCTGAAGGGAGAATGTTGTGCTATTGGTAAGGTGATAAAACTGTAAAAAAAAAAAAAAGAGTAATAAAGAATACAGCTCCCAAAGCACTGTGGTCTTCTTCTTCTTCTTCCTCTTCTTCCTTTTTTTTTTTTTTTTGAGATGGAGTCTCGCTGTACGAGCAATTCTCCTGCCTCAGCCCCCTGAGTAGCTGGGATTATAGGCATGTGCCATGATGCCCAGATGATTTTTTGTGTTTTTTAGTAGAAACGGGGTTTCACCATATTGGCCAGGCTGGTCTTGAACTCCTGACCTCAGGTGATCTGCCCACCTCAGCCTCCCAAGTGCTGGGATTACAGGCCTGAGCCACCATGTCTGGACAGCATTGTGTACTTCTGATTATTCATCTGTTGCATTATAAGTTACATGAGTGCAGGAACCACATTTGGTTCGGAGTAGGGTTTGTTAAATGAATGAATGACTCTGTCTCCATCTCTATCCACCACATGGGTGTCTCAGGTCCAGGCCAATAGCAAGAGGCTTTATGTCCAGTGTAGTTAAGGTGGGGACAGATGTAACACTGCTTCCTGAAGCTCCTCACTGCCTTGGGTTTCCTGTATCACTCTTCTAAATAAGGTAGGGCCAGGCCAGTGGAGTCTCCTCTCCCTTACAGTGCCCTGGCCTGAGCTTGACAGACTGTTTGGATGGACTGGGAGTGGGTCAGGCCTAGAGCAGCTCTTTCAGGGTTAGACTTGACCTGTCAAGTACCCTAGAGGCATGGGCAGTGCTGTAGAGGCCCCAGCACATAGTGTTTAGGCATGTAGATTCTGGAACCAGATCTGGCTCAAATCCGGACTCTGATACTTACTAACCATGTGATGTTGACCAGTTGCTTTACCTCACTGGTCTCAGTTTCCACATCTGTGAAATGGGATGATGATACAATACATACCTGTCAAGCCAGGCTTAGATGAGATCACGTGTGAAGGGCACTCCCCAGGCTGGCATCACAGGCAGATTTCCATCAGAGTGGAGTGCTGGCCCTCTGAGAGTACAAGCTGACTGGGCCTTGCAAACTGGGTAGGAACAGCTTTTGCTGGAAAGTTCATCTACAGGAAGTTGATTGAATTCTGAAGAGAGAGCTAAGAGAGCTGCCAGGTAGGACAATACCTGGTAAACACCAAAGGGCTGAGAGTAGGATCACATGGCAAGAAGTAGAGTAGAGAAAAAATAATAATAATCTGCAGGTTTGGGGAGGCAAACTGTTCTGTTTGCACTTGTCTGGCAAGGGAACATGGTGTCTCCTGGAGGTGGTCTTGTGCTGGGGAAATTCCAGCAGCCTGGAGCCACAATACTGTTTCTCACTGCTCAAGCCTGCCTGTTTTCCTCTGCCTAGGTAGCTCAGTTCCAAGAACACTTATTGATGCTTACACCGGGCCAAGCCCTGTGATGGGCCCTGGGTTCCAGAGGTGAGTCAGACATGGTTCCTGCCCATGGAGATCCCCATTTCATGATAACTGCTACAAGAGCCGTTTAAACACAAGGTGTTTTACAGTAGTTATAGTCTACAGAGTGCTTCTGATTGCTCACTAGGCCCCACTCCATTCACACTGTGTTGTCTGTGAATGTTGCTCTCTGGAGCTGTGGGGGGTAAGGGTAACCCGGGAAGGTGGGCAGAGCAGAGATTAAGATAGGGATATGACAGCCAAAGGTAGAGGGTGTTTAGGTGATCTGACCAAGGTAACACAGGTAGTCTGCACCACCGCCCCCTTCCCACTAGCTTTAGCCAAGCAAGGCCAGGTGAGGGGAAGATCCTATTAGCTAGCAAGGAGGTTTGCGGAAGCTCAGGGTGGTCAAGGAGCCGAGCAAAGAGGGAGGTCCACAGGACGTACACAGTCGGTACTAGAAGTGCCATGCTGCTCCCCCATGTCCAAAAGGGGATGCCGTGTCTTGCTTTCCAGCCGCCTAGACCAAGAAGCGTGAGGCCCAGGCCCTCGCCGCTCCCTTGATACCCGCTTACCAACACCGGGGGTTTCATCTCGCAGCGCCACCACGCCCCACTCCCAGCAGCCCTCCCCTGGTCTCCGCCCTGTGCGGGTCAGGGTGGGAGCGCCCGGCCACTCCCTGCGTTCTGGGCCGGGCTACAGCCCACGTGCGCCGGCGGCAGCGGCGGTGACAGCCGGCCCCACGGGGGCGGGGCGGGCTCCGTGCTGTCCTGTCATTGGCCGCGCCGCTGTCGGGGGCGTTCCCCAGCCCGGTCCACCGCGCGGCGCAGAACCGCAGGCGCTCGGCTGGCTAAGCCTGCGCCGGGCCGCCTCGCTCGCTCCCAGCTCTGTCAGTGGCCCGCGGGGCCCGATCGCTGCGCCCGCGGCCAGGGCCGAGGCAGGCCTGACCCGGGGCCGGGCAGCCCGCGCGACTTTCGGTAAGGCGGGGGCGGCGCTGGCCTCAGGGTGGGGAGGGCGGGCGGGCGCGGGTGGGGACCGTGCCAGCCTCGGCTGGACTCTGCGCCGTGTCCAACGCCCGGGAGGGTCAGGTGCGGCCGCAGCATCCCCCGCCTCAAACCCACCCGGCGGGGCGCACAGTGAGCAGGTGGCGCTGCGACGAAGCCCGGGGCGGCCCTGGCCGGCCTCTGAACCAATTAGAACGCAATAAAAGCCTCCCACCGGCACGCCGAACTACCTCTTACTCCGCTCCGCAACACCCAAACCCTGCAGTTCCAAGCCTAGAAAATCGCAAGCGCCAAAACGGGGTGGGAGTGACGCGCCTGCAGTGCTGCCTGTCACCTGGCAGAAGACCATCCCCAAACTTCCCAGGATTGGGGCTCCGAGCCTTGCACGCCCCGTTCCAGCTCTTCACTGGGCGCCCTTTTCCCCCTCCCCTGTCCCCTCCCTCTTTAGTAACAGGAAGTTAAGTTGGGCCAAATGTCAGTGGCCTGGCTGGCCGCGGGCTGGAGCCCAGTCGGGATGGGGTCGTGGCAGTGGTCCGAGGGGCCGCGGCACTGTCCGCTCTGCATCGCGTCTCCCGCATCCCCAGTAGCCCGCTCTCGCTCCAGGCCCAGGAGCACCCCCGCAGGGTGTCCGCGGCACCCACCCTGTAGGTGCCTGGCTGGCCCCGGGGAGAGGTGGGATCTTGCCCACAGCGTCTAAGCCGCTGCCGGGCCAGACGGGGCAGGTGGGGTAAATTGTATTCACCGCCAGCCTCACTGGCAGAGCTGGGAACGGCCTTTACTGGATGGGGATGAGGGGATGTGGAAACCAGAGTAGTGTGCCTCCTTCCACATTGTTTATTCTGAGGCCTGGGTTCTTAAAGCGGAAAGAGCTTTTATTTGGAAGCCTGTAGGGCCCCGCCAGGCCTACAGCAGTGTGCCGGCTCTCTTGCTGTGATTGTCGCCTGTTAACTACAGTCTACAATGATTTTGGTGAAGGATGAAGTCACCAGCCAGGCCCCTTGTGGGCTGGTCCCACGGGAGAAAAGCCAGAGGCGAATTGGCCCTCCAGTGTTTGTGCCAGGTTCCCTGACACCTGCACTTACTCTGTCCTGCTCCCCCTCCCCAGTGGCAGTCGACCCAACAAGTGGGCCTCCGGTCTCCAGGGTAGTCCTGTGCAATGCCCTGGAGACTCTAATACCGTAAGAACTCACTTTCTTCATGCAGAGAGAAGACGGACTTATTAAGTGCCTACTGGGCAACAGGTCCTGTCTTGTGGCACTTTTGCAGCCAATTTCATGGTTATTCCAAAAACGCTGAGAGTTTTGCCCTCCCCATTTTAGAGATGGGGAAAGAGGCTCAGGTATGGTAGGTGCCCAAGGTCACACAACAAGTGTCTGAGCCAGGTCCTGGCCCTGTCAGTGTGAGTCCAGTGCTCTTGTTTCATGGCTGTGGGAAGTGGTGTGCTGTGTGCAGGACCATGGCCCCACAGCGTGCTGACTAGAGCCTTCCAGCCTCTGAAAAGATGCTCTCCACCAGGATTTCAGGGGATGCTTCTTTGGCAAAACAGTTGAAGTGACCCAGGTTAGCCAAGTTGTTCAACCTGCAAACCCCTTATCCTCCCCCTAGTCAAGAGTAGTGGATAGTGTTGGCCAGATTGCTATGGGGAGGGATTGGGTGCTATTTTGGAAGGAAGCCTGCTTCTACCATTGACCTGGCCTCACCTCTGAGAAGCTGGCTTCTGGTATAGTCTAGGAGGACTGTGTTAGCTGAAATAACCTCTACCTTAGGACTGATTCTAGTTTCGTGGGGCTTTTGGGGGTGGGGGGGCAGGTGTTGGGGTGTAGTGTTATGGTTGTGGGGTAATTGAAATCCAGTTTGAACATACCTCTATAAAAACATGACATCACTTTTATCTCCAGCCCCTTCTTCCTTTAGGCCTAGGGCTCTGGCTTTCTGCTCATCCCCTCTTTCAAAAGAAAATCATGATAAGTCATGATTTTCATGACTTATTTTCATGATGTCATGAAAATCATGAAAACTGATACCAATCCATTATACTTTAGTATAAATCAGCTTTTAAGAACTATGCCTGGTTGTGGCTGTGGCCATTGGAGGCCCATTCCCAGGCTGCAAGGAGCAGCCATATGATCCCAGATTCCTTCTCTGCCTATAATTGGGGTATGTTTCTGTTCTCTCCACCCACACCTGGGTTTGCCTCCCAGCCATGGGCCTGCCCCCTTTGCTTCCCACTGCTGAAGTATAGAGGTCTTGTCTTCTTGGTGGAAGCCTTGGCTCTGGCAGGACGGGACGTGGTAAGGGTAAAAGAATAACTTGGTTAAACATTGCTGATCCTAGATGTCCTCTGAGGGCTAACAGTCTCTATTCTTTAAAGAGTCAGAGAAGAGAATACTGTTCATCATGCTGAGATGTTTCATTCTTTACATCATTCTATTGTTTCATTCTGCCTCTAAAGAAGTGGGGTTAACTGCATTTTACAGGTGAGGAAGCTGAGACCCAGAAAGGTTACAACTTGGCCGGGTGTGGTGGCTCATGCCTGTAAAACCAGCACTTTGGAGGCTGAGGTAGGAGGATCATGTGAGGCCAGGAGTTCAAGGCCACCTTGGGCAACGTAGCAAGACTGCTGTCTTTAGTAACAACAACAACAAAAAAGGTTACAACTTGCCTGCATCACACAGCATGTATGAGTGCAGTTTGAGTGTGGAGAATTAAATGCTATGGGAAGCAGGAAAAGCCTGTGGCTGTCTCTGCACTCTGGAGGCTTGGCAGGCACAGCTCCTCTGCTGCGCAGTCATCTCCCTTATCCGCGGTTTCACCTTTCGAGGTTTCGGTTACAGTCAGCCATGGTCTGAAAATATTATAGTATTTTGAGAGAGACGGAGACCACATTTACATCGCTTTTATTATAGTATATTGTTATAATTGTTCTATTTTATCATTAATGTTGTAATCTCTTAAGGTACCTCATTTGTAAAGAAAACTTAATCGCTCCTGTATGTATAGAAAAAAACACAGCATATATAGGGTTTGGTACTATCCAAGGTTTCAGGCATTTACTGGGGGTCTTGGGATGTATCTCCCTGAGATGAGGGGGGGCTACAGTACTTACCCTTTCTCACCCTATATTGTAATTATTTATGAACATGTCTTCTCACCTCACTATGAAATGGCATTTAAAACACTCAGAAACTTGGCAGATTTATTTTCTGGTTTTGCAAATCCTCTGTGCTCTTTGCTCTGTATTTCCTTAGCTTTTATGCGAGCTATGTCCATGAGGGTATCTACCAGGATGTATTGCAGTCCTCTCTCAAAAATATTACAAACATTTTCACATACACAAACTCATAATGCATAATCAGCCCCATATACTCATTACCCAGCTTCCACAGTTATTGAGATTATGCCTGGTTGGCTTCCTCTCTCTCTTTTTCTCCCTTCCCCTCTGAAAGGAATATTTATTCCTGAGATATTTTAAAGCAAATGTCTAATGTCATGTCATTTGGCCTCTATATAATCCAGTATACAACTCTTTTAAAAAGGACGTTGTCTTGCATAACCACACTTCACTACTGCACGTAACAGAATTAACTGTGCTTCTTAGACATCACCTGTCCACCTGCAGATATCCTTGATTGTGTCAGAAATGACCTTTAGAGTTGGTTTGTTTGAACGAGGATCCAGTTGGTATGCCGCATTAGGCCGTTGGTCCTTTTATGCCTGGTTTTAGTTTAGAGAAGCGCCCCCTCTTTAGCCATTACCCTCTGTGTTAACTGCCCATCTCCCCTACTACATAGGGAGCCCCTTAAGACGAGCCCACCTCTTGGCTGTGCTGGATCCTCAGCACTGAACGCCGTGTCTGGGACACGCAGAGGCTCCATAAGCATTTGTCCAGTTGTATCATAGCCACTCAGGAAATGTGCTTTGAATTGATGAACCCAGTCACGGATTTGTGTGACTACCAGTGCATGTGCTTAGATAAGAGGTTTTAAAAAAATGACTTGCTTACGTGTGGACGTTTCCTCAGCACGCGTCGGTCTGTAAACATCCTAAAATAATAGAAGAACTATCTGCTGCTCCCCCTCACTGTGCTGGTTTGTGGTGGGGAGCCGAGACAGCTGCGTTTGTGCCTTGATCAGCAACCGGCCTCCACAGGTCACACGTGGGGCTGACGGAGACTGAGGTCACTTCTGTCCAAGCTTTGAATTCTGCCACAGGAATGACCATGTTATGACCCAGAAACCTGGCCCTGGGCTTGGTGGAGACCACTCATCTTTTCTTCTTCCTTCTGTCTCTGGACAGTGCTGCTTCTCCTGTGCCTTCCAGAGCCTTCTCTAACCTGCCTTACTCTTGGGCAAGTTGTGGTGCCTTCTTCAAATCACTATTCATCCACAACTGGGGCAGGTCGTGATGGAAAATAAGTGTTTATAACCTTCAAGTGTCTTGTCTGAATTTGTTCTATAGAGTTAGCACCACCACTGGCACATTTGTGGGTGACCTAATGAAGGAGACCGGAGGCTTAGGAGGGCAGGAGAAGATGTACCTTCTTCTCTTGGTAATGGACTTCACACCTGGTTCTCTCACCAGATGTCCTTAGGGGTGCTGGACACCTCGATAGGTGTCTTTTACCCATCCAGTAATGGCCCTTCCCTGCGAACAGCCCTCAACATGAAGACATGGTTTGTTTGGGGCTTTTTTTCTTTTTTTCCTTTTTAACACAGACAGGCTTTTAATTTTTATTTTTTATTTTTGGTAGAGACAAAGTCTTGCTATGTTGCCCAGGCTGGTCTCAAACTCCTGAGCTCAAGCAACTCATCTGCCTTGACCTTCCAAAGTACTGGGATCACAGGTATGAACCACTATGCCTGGCCTAGCCTTTTGCACTAGGACAAAATCTAACAAAATTTTAAGTTTTCTGACTCTGGATGGCAGTGCTAGAGTTGATCTTTTCCTTTATCTTTTGCTTTTTAGTACTATTTTTCAAAATTTTTTGTAGGACAAATATTTTATGTTTATAAAGAAAAATCCAAATATTTATTTTCTTAAAAAAGAAGACTTCTTTCAACCAATTTGAAGTAGGTAGACAGAATTATACGTGTATTTGGAACGGTTATACATGCAGATAAAGCCCCAGCACTATTGGGATTTCGATATTTGCTTGGATCATTATTTCCACGATGAACATATCCCGACTTTCTGAAAGTTAGAAAATACTACCCTCTTTCCCTTTCTTTTTTTTTTTTTTTTTTCTGAGATGGAGTCTCGCTCTTTCACCCAGGCTGGAGTGCAGTGGGGCCATCTTGGCTCACTGCAAGCTCTGCCAGGTTCATGCCATTCTTCTGCCTCTGCCTCCTGAGTAGCTGGGACTACAGGCATCCGCCACCATGCCCAGCTAATTTTTTTTGTATTTTTAGTAGAGACGGGGTTTCACTATGTTAGCCAGGATGGTCTTGATCTCCTGACCTCGTGATCCACCTGCCTCGGCCTCCCAAAGTGCTGGGATTATAGGCGTGAGCCACTGCGCCTGGCCCCTCTTTCCCTTTCTACTTCCTCCTTTGCTATCCCTCAAATGAAATTTTTCTAATGTTAGGCTCTTGATTTTGATTTTTTTTTTTTTTTTTTTTTTTTTTAACTGAGGAAGGTTGAGCCCTCAGGGGAAGACAAAATGACACAGAGTGCTAAGACAAGGCAGGGCAAAGTTCCACGCTCCAGTGGCCTGTCTTGTCCTCTCAGGAAAGTGCCCAATGGCCAAACACCCTGCTCCATCACTTTGGGGTGCCTGGACTCCTCCCTCCTCTAGTTTCTGTTTTCCTCCCTACACCCTCCCCAAAGGTAGACAGCATGGCTGGCCTGGGCTGATAAGGTTTCTTCTTCCTAAAACATCGATCACGTGGCCTCAGAAATTCAGAGCCCGAGGGAGTGATAGGTGACTCTGGCCCTCTGTTCACGAACAAACTTTCTTTGCAGGATTGGGTCAACCATGGGGTCTGATTTGGAGATGCTTCCCTTCTCTGTCAGCTGCTCATGTCTCAAATGAAGAGCCTTTTGTGATGACCATGTATGGAATAGTGTCTGAAGTACCACTGCACTGTACCTGTCTTTGCGTCTAAACATCACTACCATCATCACGGGACAAACCGCCCATCTCAGTGGTGTCTGGCAGTGAGCTGTGCGTATGTGGATAGTGCTGGTGTTTTTAGGGTTGAAATTTTTAGTTTGTTCTTTATTTGAGCTAATGTTTCTCTCCTCTGAGGGTCAGGGTAATTTCCCTGCCTTCCTCTTTCTCTCAAATCCCCACCTCCCAGTGGCTGTCCTGATACCTTGAGGCACCTGCATTCCTTCCAAGGCTTGGTTAGATTTCTTTTGATGAATTACAGAGGTAAGGGCAGGCAGAAGAACCGGAGCTGTGCTTCCTGCTGGTTTGGGGCTCAGGTTTTTCTCCTTTGCTGGGCAAGAGAGAATGTCTAGTGCAGATGTTCTTTCTGCTGGCAGCAAGAGGAGGGCAGCAAGGGGTTGGACGGTGGTCCCTGGCCTCTGAGCCACTGCAACAGCAGGTTTCTGGGACATCTCCAGACCTAAGGTCTTGACGCACACAGCCTGGAAGCCCAGCACATGCTGGAGACACGAGTGGGAGTCTAAGAACACCCTGTTCTGGCCTTGCTGCAGCAGTACCAACATGTTGAGGTGCAGAAACTACTTCTTTGTTCCCACGACTCTGAATGGCTGGCCCTGGCCACTTATCTGAATACTGACTTATCTGGTGAAGCTTTGCAGGATCTCAGTATATAGTGTGTTGGAGCCAGGATAATGAGGTGTAGGGGAGACTGAAGAAGCAGCTCTCACTAACAAGAGCTGCCCTCTGAAACAGAGTGGGCCCAGGGTCTGCCAGGGGCTTGGTTGCTGAGCCCTCATTGGACAACTGTTCATCCAAAAGGAGCAGAATGGGGGTTGGGTGCTGTGTGTAGAGTCTGTGGCTGCTGTCAAATCAGCTCCATGTATCAGGACAGCCAGGCTTTGCACAATCTGATGCAAAGGTAGTAAGATCAGGATCTCCCTGCTTGTAAGAAGGAGGCTACATCATTTGTCTGATGACTAAATGAAAGGAAAACAGAATAGAGAAACACACAAGGGGATTTCCAACCTCTTTCCAGACCCTCAGGGAGAGGATTCACTCAGCCTTTTTCTTCAGGGAATGTCCTGTGAGGCTCATGCAGTTGGAGCCTTGGGGACCATGGGGTCCATGTCGGGAGAGCTTCCCGGCCACATGCCTGGAGTTGCCACACATTACTGTTGTGAAGGAGGAGTAGGAGGAAGCACTGTGTGAAATTTCAGGCTTCTTCTGGATTCCAGGTTTGCCCCAACCAGATGACCTAGAAGGTCTTGCTTGGGCGTGTTGGTTATCTTGTATCTTGGGCTTTCTTAAAAGTGACTTACCCACACATACATACATATGTGTGTGGTACTCATCCCACACATACATAGATGCATAGGACTTACCTTCACACGCACACATAGATGCACGGTAAGATATCCACTCAGTACAAAGGAAATTGAATGAAAAGTACATCTCCCTTCTTTCCCTGTCCTCCAGCCCTCAGTTCTTACTTTTTTGGCAGCTGTTGTCCCCAGCCCCCTGTGGATCCTTCCAGACATAGTCTAGGCATGTCCTGGTGCCTGTTCCCCTTCTGCTCTTCCTGCGGCCTGCTGAAGAAGCAACCAGGATGTAAAGAGACAGGGCCCACAGGGCTGCAGAGACTTGGCCATTGTCTCATTTGGCCAAGGCCTAACCATTTCCCCTTCCACTCTACTTTGCCAGCTCTCTCCTTTAGGAGTCCCCTTGTGTTCGATTTGGGGGTTCAAAGAGCCTGGAATCTGAGAATAAACCTCAGGGGCATGTTGTGGATGCAGGTGACATAGGCAAAAACAAAAAGCACTAAGACAGACCTGGGCTCAAATCCGAGCCCTGTGGCCTTGGGCGAGTTAATGAATCCTAGTATTTTAGTCTACATAAAGGAGGTAATTATACCTATTACAAGAGCTTGATCTGGAGATGAAATTAAAATATTTGTGAAGTCCCTTGCCTGGATATGCACTCCAAAATGTCAGGGTTTTTGTTGTTGTTGTTGTTTTGTTTTTTCACATTTAACGAGTGACCCATTGCCAGAATGAATGACACTGGTATGGAGTCCTCTGGATGGCTTTCTGAAAATCCTCTAGGTGGGTTCCTGAGCTTTTCTTTCCCTGCAGAAGGCAGCCAGTTCTCCATTTTCTACCAAGTTGAGTTGGCCCCACTACTTCCTCCTCCTGTAGGGAGCCAACCTCCATCCTTCCCAGCCACTGGATACCACCTCCTCCTCTGCCCTTGACCCCTGAACCCTCTTCTCCGTTTCCCTGGGCTCTGGGTTCCCCCCTCCTCCCCTCGTGAACAGGATGCTGCCTGCCGCCTGGAGAGTGCTGTGGGCTGTTTATGGCTGCTCTCTGGGGTGTTTATGTTGTATCTCTTCAGAAGCTCCTAGCAGATGTCTGTTTATTGCTGAAACTTCATCTACGGCATGAGAGGAGAGAGGCTATTTTTAAAGATCTTTAATTGGCATGGCTGCACAATACAGCTTAGATTGCCTCCAAGTTTAATTCTTCATCGCTCTTATGCTCTATCCATTATGAAACCCTTCAAATCCAGCCTGAGAGACCTTATATGTCCTGATTTTAGAGCAGCACTTAAATTCAGCAGACAGTTGTAATCTCTAAAAAAGGTAGGCCAAGGAGGTGAAGGCAACTGGCTGACTGTCTTTTGTCTAGGCCGAGACAGATGGCATGAATGAGAGCATAGAATGCAACACCTTTCCCCCACTTCTGCCCCTTCTTTCCACCTGCAGTGGTTGAGGCCCGCCCTCATAGGCCGCCTGCGGATTGGCTGGGAGATCTCTAGCTCTCCCTTTCCCTTTGGACTCAGGTGGGGCTTGAGAGTGGGGTAGTTTCAAATGACACTGACCTCCCAGGAGGGAGGAGGCCACAGAGGCCATGAGTCACAGAGCCTTGGGATGTCAGGTTGGATGGGCCTCATGGGATGGTGTAGTTCTCATCCTGGCCACCTTGTTTTACCTATGGAGAAACTGACACTCGGATGCTTCCTGATGCTGAGTGGACAGAGAGGTGTGTTTCTTGCTCAAGGTCACCCAGCCAGGTCAGAGTCAGGTCTCTTTTCCATCTACCATTTCCCACCAGGCTGTGGTCCTTGATCAGTCTAAGGCAGCTGTGCTTACAGTTGGCTGCGTGTACCGAAGGACAGAGCCTCATCCTCCCTTTCTAAAACCTCCCACATTCTTTGAATTTATGCTGTGTACGCTTGTAGCACTGGCTGGTCTCAGTCCCAAGATCTTTTCTTATCATGAACACCTCCCCCAGAGCCTTGGGGCTTAGAATTCCCACCTTTGTTCCTAGCCCTTGTCCGCAGAAGCCCTTTGTTAAAAATACAGAAGTTAACTGGGAAGGACCATATGTTGACAGAGATGAGTTTATCTTTGATTAGCTGTCAGCCAAGGGCTGAACCTTAAGAGGATGGGGCATAGGATGAGTCAGCTGGGAACAGGAGGAGGAGGGAATCCTGAGAGATGGCAAATAGGGTGCTGGGGGCATCAACAGCCATAGGCCCAGGCTCGGAGCTCACAGTGTGCAGCTGCTGGGCTAGAGTCCCTGTGATGACTGGTGGAAGCTGCCTGCTCTTCTAACTCATGGAGGGAGGTGCATTAGACAAGCTCACCTGTGGCTGAACACCGAGACAGAGTATGGAATGTCCACAGAGTCCCACAGTAGGGGGGAACCAGGGGAGGCTTCCTGGAGGAGGTGGAGTTTGTAGATTGAGAAGGGTATTGGAAGATAGGTATGATTTCCATAGGCAGAGATGGGCAGAGGTAACAGCACAAAGAGATGTAGAAAAGTGAGGGCACAGTCAGGGTACCATGTGGTAGAAACGTGAGGGCTGCCTAGAGAAGCTGAGGCTGGAATCAGGCTGCTCTGAGGCATGGAGAGCCCTGAGTTCTGGGGGCGGTGTGGGTGTGGACTGAACCCAGCGGACTGTGGGAAGCTGTCAGAGAGGGATAGTCAGAGTCATCCTTCAGGGCACTGCCCTCCGTTCACGGGAGGTGCACACTGCCAGACAGCTGCCATTCCCCTGGACTGAGGAGGGCTGTGGGGAACAGGGTGGGGGGCAGTAAGGCTGGGCCCCCAAAAAGACTTTGTCTGTATCCTGGCTTTTGACCCACAGCCTTCTTTGTGAAGGGAGTCTGCAAGCAAAATGTTGTCTTTGGTTTATCAGGAGGGCAGCCCTTTTTGGAACTCCTGGTTAGGGTCTTAGGATATGGGACATCTGTCACATTCTGCAGCTTGTACACCCAAGTGTGGCTGTCTGAGCTTTGGTGGCTCTTGACTCTGTGTAGCAAACAGCGTCTGCTTCACTTTCACCACCTCGCTGCGGGCTAAGCTCTTCACACGGATCTTCTCCTGACTCAAGGTCAATTTGAGGGGAATAAATAGGGCAGTCGAGGTGCTGAGCTCCTCTGGGGGCTACTGCTGGAGCAGGAGCAGGAGTTCCCTGTCTGTGTGTGAGGGAGGCAGCAAAGCTGGGATGGTGCAGGAACCCAGCTGACCACCTCCTCCAAAGAAAGCGCCTTTGGAAGAATTGGCTCTGTAGGAGTCAGCGGCTGTCAGAGCATTTGTACATCATCTGGAATGATGCTGATTCTCTCCTCTGCACAGCCTCACAATCACCTGAATATCCCCTTCAAGTGCATCCTGCCCTGGGTTTCCTGTGTGCACATTGAGTTTCCTTCTCTAGTTGAAGAGAGAGTTTGCAGAGGCTGGCAAACCTGGAGCTGGACTGAATGGCCTGGACAGGTGGAGCAGGTAGGGGGTTGGTTGCCTCCCAGCCCTCTGGCCATCGTGGCCACAGGGAGGTGGATAAAGGCTGAGCTCTGCTTCCGCCTGCTCCCGTGTTAAGCTGGCAGATGGGAGGCACCACAGCCTGGTGCATTTTCAGCTTTGACATTTGAGCGGGGCTGGCACCTGTTCTCTTCCATGTATGTCTCAGGGACACTTTTGCTTTATGTGATGGAATAAATTGTTCCCGCAAGCAGCAAATGTAATGAGTTTAGTGCTATTGATGGGAGGTATTGATGGGATTTGGGGTGGGGCACTGAAATGGGCTTGCTTTCTTTTTTCTCCTAGGATCAGTGCTACCCATATGAGAACAAGCTGATTTGTTCACTGATTGATAAATTGATTGCTCAGTGCATTCATTCTGTCAGCCAAGATTTTTGGAGTACTCTCAATTTGAAGCATGCTGTCACAGACAGACCATGGGTTTTCAGTCACTGTAAACACTGGACAAGCCACACACATACTATCTCTGAACCTTGGGTTTGTTCTCTGTAAAATGGGAGTGATGCTACTTACCTCACGGGGAGGTTGTGAGGATTAAATGGGGTAATGGGCGTAGCACACCTCTCATGGTGCCTGGCACATAGTGGCCTGCAGGTGGCCTCTTCCCCTCTGGCTCATTCCTGAATTGGCCCACAGGAGCCTTGGAGCACAGATGTGGGCAGGGTTCCTTGTTGCCGCAGGCCTCTCATTCGGTACTGGCCCCTAAGTGCCTTTTACCTTTAATAACTTTTAATTGTTTTTTAAAGACAAGAGTCTCACTCCGTCACCCAGGCTGCAGTGTAGTGCGATCCTGGCTCACTGCAACCTCTGCTTCCCAGGTTCAAGCAATTCTCCTGCCTCAGCCTCCCGAGTAGCTGGGATTACAGGCATGTGTCACCACGCCTGGCTAATTTTTGTATTTTTAGTAGAGACAAGGTTTCTCCATGTTGGCCAGGCTGATCTCAACCTCCTGACCTCAAGTGATCTGCCTGCCTCAGCTTCCCAAAGTGCTGGGATTACAGGAGTGAGCCACCGCGCCTGGCCTGCCTTTAATGACTTTTTAAAGGGAATGGCTCAGTCAAAGCACCTGTGTGTGCAGTGAAGAACGATGGGCCACCTTTCGCTTCCTGGTGAGAAGTTCTTCTCATAAACCTTGGAACTGCAGGTCTGGGAGAGCCTTATCATCAATCCCACTGGATGCTTGACTCCACAGTGGTGGTTTAGCCTGAGTTTATAGGTGGGAGGTGATCCATCCTGTCTTTGAACTCCTCCTTCCTGATGGCTTCCTATAGCTTCTGGCATTTGGTCCCAGTTCTTCCCCTTGGGTGCCATGGAGAGTAGGTCTAATCTGTCTACCACCCAATAGCTCTTCAGAAATTGTTTTTTTTTAATCAAATCTCTAACACCATCAACTGAAAGATATACCATTATTTCATGTACCCTCAAGAAAGAAAAAGAGCTGCCAATTAAACTGTGGCACAATGCTTTGCCATTGCTTAAAATTTTTATTCTATATTTTCTGAATTTTTTAAGATTTTAGACATACTTTTTTTATTTTATATCACTCTTGCATATATATAAAAGTAAATTGGTTAAGGCATTTCTAAAACTTCGCTTTCAGAATCTAACTCTTCTGAATCACTTTTTGACTGAGATTCATCAATGTCCATGGTTTTCTGACTCACTGTTCTCTTCTAGTCAGGTGGGGATGTATTTCTTCATCTCTCTTGTCCCTGGAATTTTTTCCAGCTGCTGACACCCATTATGTCAGTTCTGGTGTTTTCTTGATTTTACCAGAAGGCATCAATGAAAGTTTTTTTGTTAACAACCAGGACTCACATTCCTTCCTTAAATGGTCCTTAAAAGTATTGGCTCCTGAAATGTTTTAGATCATGGTTGTTCAGATATGCCACCAGGAATGAGTCAAATTTCCATATGTGAGGCGGTGACAGCTATGCCACAGCTGCATCCCGGGAGAGATCGTTAGGTTTCAGGGGGTTTTAAGACACATTCTGCTTTCAGACATTTTATAATGGGAAAAATGCATTTCTGATCAGTGAAATACGTTATTTAAAGACAGCCCTCTGTTTCTCTCCTGCATCTTCTTCCAGATTAACAACCCACAGTGTGGGTTCAGGATTTTTACCTTCTCTGTGGTTTTCCTCTGAACATGCCTTAGTTTGTTCAGATCTTTTTATACAGCGAAGGCAGTGTCCAGACCATATATTGTATTTATGGTATGAGGACAGCAGAAGAAGGGAGCTATCACCTCCAGTTCCGGACATTCTGCTTCTCTTAATGCAGCCCAAGACTCTATGAGCTTTGCTGGCAGCAGCATCACATCACAGACGTTACTGCTGACTAGGTCTTTTTAACATGTGCTGTTGCTAAGCTGCTTCTCCCCTGTCCTAAACTTGTGTGGCTTTAGAATTTAAAGGCAGAGCCTCCTATTTTGCTCCTGCTTGATTCAGAATGATCATTCCTGTTAAGTTTCAACTTGTTAAATTCAGTGCAGCCCTGTTCCATTGATCAGAATCCTATTTAAGTATGCCTTCCACAGCGTCACCCAAGTCATGATAAATGCTTATCGAAGGGACCCCTCTGTCACACTCCTGGAGACCTCCCCTCAGTGGACTTGCGATCTTTGACCGACTGACTTTGGGAAGAGTGATTGAAGCCGCCCCTAGCCTAGTCTCTGTCCTTTTGCTTCTCTGACCTAAGACGCCTTTCTGAAGCTAGATAGGCCATGCCCATTGCAGTTCTGCATCTACTATCAAGTGCTTCATCAAAAAGGACATGAACAGCCTTAACGTTACGTGTTCTCAGCTCCTCGAGGGCTCCAAGGTTGCTTTCAGCTGTTCCTGGGCTGCTCCCCAGAGATTGCACCAGGCAGCTTAGCATCTCATCTGTGAACGTTTTCCGTGCTCTGGGAGGTCACTTTCCCGGGCTAGGGGACTTGAAGTCATTGCAAATGTCTAAATATCCTTTTTAAAAAACAAAACAAAAACACTAAACCCCTATCTCCACTCTACTCTTCATTCCAGTGTTGGTTCTTTGCTCCCCTGTCCTGGTCTCCTCAATTGTTTGGCTGGAGTTGCATTCAGAGTCCAAGTCATTAACTTCCTCCACCTCGCATCTAGCAGCTCTTCTGATCTCCCAGCCACTTGAAGTCTGTGTTCTTTGAGTCTCCAGCACCAACTTCCCCTTCTTGGTCTTTTGCTAATTTCACAGGAAATGATTGTTTTTCCTCCACAGTTCCTGTGTCCTTCTGGTCACTAACCCATTCCACCATTGTTGTGGGAATTAGGGAACTAGGTTAGTCCCTGTTTCTATGGACACATCCTCTCTCTTCTAGATGATGAAACTCTCTGCAAAGCCAGGCTTAGCCTTTAGCCACTGGGGCTTCCTGCGCTCTCAGGGTGTCTGATCTCAGCCCCACCCGCCAGAGCTCATCTCTGGCTAGCCTGGGATCTGTATCAGCAGCAGCCCAGTGGGGTCCATTTCCATCGTATCTCTATGCCTTAGTTCTTCCCTTCTCACCCATGTGTTCTCCAGAATATTTCTCTTTATTTCATGGGCTTTTCACATAGCTGTACATCTTTTTTTTGAGACGGAGTCTCGCTCTGTCACCCAGGATGGAGTGCAGTGGCGCGATCTCGGCTCACTGCAACCTCCGCCTCCTGGGTTCAAGTGCTTCTCCTGCCTCGACCTCCCGAGTAGCTGGGAATACAGGCATGCACCACCATGCCCTGCTAATTTTTTTGTATTTTTAGTACAGACGGGGTTTCACCATGTTAGCCAGGATAGTCTTGATCTCCTGACCTCGTGATCTGCCCGCCTCGGCCTCTCAAATTGCTGGGATTACAGGCGTGAGCCACCGTGCCCGGCATCTTTTTTTTGTTATGTAGAGACACTCTATCTCTCTGCCCTGTCCCAAGTCTAGTCCTTTAAAAGATAAAGCCTGGGTGCAGAGAAGTGTGTCTAGTCTGCTATCAGTTAATGTAAACAAAAGGACACATATTTATATTTGTGTATATATGCATAATCACGGTCCGGAAACAGACACAAGCAACTGATAATAGTGGTGACCTGTTTTAGAGTGGGGACGTGGTAGGTAGATGGGGACAGGAGTAGGAGGGAAACTTTTTCTGAATACTTTTGTATTCTTTTGACTTTGGAATCCGGTGCAAGTATTTCTTATTCAGTTTTTTTTTTCTTTAAATAACAGATAATCTGGGATGCCTGATTGGCTAATGTGAACTGGTGAGGCCATGTGGAGTGAGTGACTCACCTGCTTGAGTCAGGGCTCTGCAGCCTCCTACCCACCTGGGCCTCAGCTCCTCAGGTGTAAAGCTGGCTGGTCCCAGCCCACTTACCTTGCAGAGGGGACTCAGGGAGGCCCTCCTGCAGAGCCTGGCATAGGCCAGCACATGGAGGGTCTGTAGTAAACAGGGCCTCTCCCTCAGAAGTCATGTGGGATTTTAGGACCATTACAGTAAACTGTAATCTCGGTTTAGTGATAGCTGGTGCTCAAAGCGTGCACCTGAGCCTCATGTTGGTTTTCTGCTGTCAGTCACTTAAAACTTACACCATGGTTTTTTCCTCTTGTGAACTCCAGTATTTAAGGAGATTGGAAGCTCTGAATCTCTGGGTTTGCCTGGAAGAAGTATGTACTTTGCTTTGCCAGACCTGAGATGCTTTACAAATCATCTCGTCTGCCCAGTTCAGTGGAGTGAGATTAGAATAGGTCTAACATCCTTTGAAAACATAGGCCCATGGTGAGGTTTGCAGGTAACTGAGATCACAGCTGGCTCTGAAGAAAAAATGCAGCCTCTTGGGAGTGGCCAGTCCAGGTACCTATAATTGAGGAAGTGACCTGATTGGGGAGGTGACTTATTTACCCTGGGCAATTAAGAAGCATTTATTGAACACCTACTATGTGCCCTAGGCTCTGTGCTGTGGGGATGACAAGATGCATAAGGCTCAACTTCTCCTCCTAAAGTATTTACAGTGGGCTTGGGAAAGCAAGGCTTATGTGTGTAAAAAAAAAAAAAAAATTAAGTAACAGGAGATTTTCGCAACAGTTCAGCTCAATCATAGAAGAAAAACCACAAGGTAGTTCATGACTAATGTCCATCTGCCTGAAGGAGGCAGCGGTGGGTGTGGGGAGTGTTTTCTGTGGGCTAGGGAGGGCCTGGAAAGCTTCCTGGAGGAGGGAGCAGAGGTGGCGGCAGCAGCAGCATTTGATCTGGATCCTGATGGGTAGTTGCAGTGCAGATGGATAAGTTGGGAGTAAGAAGAGAGCATCTCTAGTGGGTGTTGAGGCCAAGAGAAATGGGGAATTGCCTGCTTTGAAGGTGGGCAGCGGGAAATGAGGCTAGGCAGGTGAGTTTAGGACAGATGCAAAGAGGCTTTAATGAGAGAGAGATTGAGTTGGAGTGTGTTTAACTTCAGAACAGGGATGGGAGGATGAAGGCCCAGGGTCTCACAGGGAACTCTTGTAAATCTCAGGAAGATAGGCAAGAAAGGGTCTAGCTCCAGGACATTTCAGTCTAGGCATCTCTAGCCTCCAGCCTCCTGGAGCCATTCTTTCACCATTGCTCTATGGGGACATTTTCTTCTTAGGCATTTTACATGTCTGCTCATTCATTCATTCAGCAGGTATTTATGAGCTCTTACTCTGTGGCAGGCACTGCTCTCAGTGCTGGGTTGCAGCAGGGAAAAAAACAAAACAAGATAACATCCCTTGCCACATTCCCAGAAGGGGAGAGGGACAATAAACAAGTGAGCTAAATGCGTGGGAGGCCAGGTGATGAGAGGTATGGTGGAGAAAATCAAAGCAGGGAAGGAGATGGTGTGTGCTGCATGGAGAGGGGAGCAGCTCGGGGAGGGCTGTAATTTTAAACAGAGTGGTTAGAGAAGGTTTCACTGACTCACCCTGTCACTGGGACTTTGGGAGCACAGGGAAGGAGGCAAGGCCAGATCCTACTGGGATCTTGAGCCCACAGTTGATCCTCTTCGACCTGTTGGGGGTCTTTGACTAGGCAGTAGGGAGTCTTTGAGTGCTCTTGAGCAGAGGAGTGACATGTGTGGGGAGATCTCCCTAGTGGCTTTGTAGGGGATAGGATATTGGCGGCTGAGACAGGGGAGCAGAGATTCAGGAGGAGATGACCACTGTAGACTAAAAAAGTCTACTCATTTGACACTTTCCTCACTGTGCTGCAAGCTCCACATCTGTAAATGGAGATAAAATGGTACTTACCATTTCAGGCACGTTTTCAAGAGGATGAAGTGGGTTACTGAATGTAGAATACTTAGACTAGCACCTGACATATAATAAGTGCCTAAAAATATTGTCTTGCTCTACTATCTGTCCCTCTGTCTGCATATACGTATGTGTGTGTAAAATTAATGTGTTAGGGACATCCTTTCTTGTCCTGAAGCCAAGTCAAATGAAGAAAATAATGGCGCTTTTCAGGATTAAATGAGATCATCCATGTTGTGGGTGTAGGTTAGTGGCAGATGAAAACCAGGTGAATACTAGTTAAAAGTACTACTGTTACCACCAGATCTTACCTTGAAGAAAATGATTTTGCAATGGAAATCCTTTGTAAAGTCTTCCTATTTAACAGTTGTTTATCAAGACTGCAACATGCCAGGTGCTGCACTAGACACATCCCATTTCATCTTTGCAATAACTGCCCAAGATAATAAGTGTTAACCACATCTTACAGATGAGGAAGCAGAAGCCCTGGACTAAGACTTGACAAGGTCACATAGCTGGTAAATGGCAGAGCTGGGATTAATCCATGAGTGTTCCATTGTGTAAATGTAAACATTGACATATAGGTTCTCATATCAGTCTCCCTTGGTATTAGGTACCCACAAAGAGGTGCAGGGAGAGCAGAGGCATGGCCAATTTCCAGGACAGATCGGGGCAGTGTGAATGTAGTGGGGAAAGCATGGGTGGGAGACACTGTGGGTGAAACAGTACCTTTCTTCAATGACTCAGCCCTGCAGGCTTTATCAGAGCCTTTCAGCCACCCTCTCAGAGTCTATCTGAAACCCATTTTGGTTTCCCAAAAGGAGCAGAGCCTGACAAGTTCAAATCCTGGCTCCAGCACTTACCAGCCATGTAAGTCCAAGATAGAAGTCAATTTCTTTGTGCCTCAGTTTTGTCATCTGCAAACTTGCTTCATAGGGTTGTTATGAGAATATCAGAGAAGCTATGTCAACACTTAGAACAGTGCCTGGCCCATAGCAAGCACTCTGAAAGAGTTATTATTATGTTAACAATTCTTATATTATTTTTATATTATAGTATTATTGTAAGTGCCTTCTTAATCTCTGAGGTCAGGGTAGAATGTCCATCCTCTCTGCAGGATCATTCTGTAACACATTCTGTTTTGCCTTATTATATAGATGTGGGTGTAGGTCTCCCCTTTACAAGACCATGAATAGAATTCAATCAGCATCTTTCTAAAATCCCTGAAGACTTGTGCCTTGTCCTAGAAGCTGTCAATAGAGACTTGGGCCAAAAGAAGTGATTCTTGGTTTTCTTTTACCCTTCAAGCCACATATTCTGACCTGAAGACCCCACCTCTCAGGATTTGGAAAATGTCTGATATTTCCAAAGGTGCTTTACAGTTTGCCAAACACATTCCCATTCATATTTCATTTGGTCTTCACAGTTACCCTGTGCGGTTACTGGGTACTGTCCCCATTGAACAGGTCAGGAGACTGAGGCTCTGCAGGGTTGAATAACTTGCTCCAAAACGTGCAAGTGGAAGGTAATGAAACACGCACCCCCCTTCCTATCCCAGAAAGCTTTGTTCTGGAGTTTCAGATTGACTCTTCCCCTAAAGCCATTCATCATTTCCCCCTTAGCCCTTTTCCTAAAGAGGACTGGGAGGAGGTCATGTGGTGACCAGCCGACCTTTATACAATTCTACTCTGTTTCTTCTTCTTCTTCTTTTTTTTTTTTTTTTTTTGGTGGTCCTCAATTACGTGGACAGTTTTTCATTTGTTTTTCTCTTAATTTTATGATTCATTTATTTATATGAGACAGGGTCTCACTCTGTCACCCAGGCTGGAGAGCAGTGGTGGGATCATAGCTCACTGCAGCCTCAACCTCCTGGGCCCAGATGATCCTCCCAGTTCTGCCTCTGGAGTAGCTGGGACTTCAGGTGCACGCCACCATGCCTGGCTAATTTTTTCTTTTGTTTTTAGTTGAGACAGGGTCTCCCTGTGTTGCCCAGGCTGGTCTCAAACTCCTGGACTCTAAGTTATCCTTCCATCTTGGCCTCCCAAAGTGCTGGGATTACAGGCGTGAGCCACTGCGCCCAGGCTATACAATTCTACTTTCACCCTTTGTTCCCAGGTCTTGTTACTCCCGAACTAAGCACATGGTGATGGCTTTGAGCAGAGCTGATTATTGGAGTTGCTCAAATCATCCCCACTCCATTGTCCCTTCTCTGTGGATCTGAGGTCTGGGCTGGGACTCAGCATTTGGAACTTGGTGGGGAGTGGGAGACAATGGGGGAGAGCATTGTAGCTTGAAGCATTTGCAGTGCCTGAGTATGAAATTGTCCTGAGCATAAATGTGCCATGAGGGACCCTGCAACTGAAGGTGGAGGAGGCAAGAGGAGGAGCAGGTGCTGAGGTGTAGAGCCCAGAATCACTGCCTGGAGCCTGGCCAGGGGCCTGCAGGGGGCTGAATCAGAGGCCACAGGGCAGAGGGATGGGATGGGGAGTACTTACTCCCTGGGAGGCAAACAGGCAAATGATCCTTCTAGCCAAGGTGGGACTAAACCCAGGGCTCAAAGTCAGCCCTTAATTCAGACTTGTTAAACTCCTTGGAGTTGTTCCTTAAGCAGAAGAATCTCCTGTTTAGTTCAGCCCAACAAAAGTTTATTGAGGAAGTACCTACAGTGTCCCAGCAGGCATGAGGAATACAAAGTCCAGCAAGACAGGGACCCTGCCACAAGGGGCTCAGGTCCTACAACCTCGGCTTTACCTGTGCCTCTTCCTCCCTCCTGCCAACTTTGAATACTTGGGTGGAGGCTCTGAGGGTGGTGCTTCTTAAGTGCACATGGCAGCATTTTAGCTTCCTGGCACCCCAGCACTTGGGCTAGAATTAAGGCCTGGCAGGTCTGCAGAGCAGCACAGACTGGGAATTGGCAAACACACCTGCTTATGGAGGTGGACCCTGATACTGCTGTGGGAAGAGAGAGGTTTCTGGGCTTTGGCACCTGGAACTGCTTCTCAGCTCCCTCTGTGATGGTCGCATGACTGGAGGAGCAGAGGCCGGAGGGCCTCTGGGTTGCAGGTGAGAAAGATCCCAGTAGGGCCGGGCGCGGTGGCTCACGCCTGTAATCCCAGCACTTTGGGAGGCCGAGGCGGGTGGATCATGAGGTCAGGAGATCGAGACCATTCTGGCTAACAAGGTGAAACCCCGTCTCTACTAAAAATACAAAAAATTAGCCGGGCGCGGTGGCGGGCGCCTGTAGTCCCAGCTACTCGGGAGGCTGAGGCAGGAGAATGGCGTGAACCCGGGAGGCGGAGCTTGCAGTGAGCCGAGATTGCGCCACTGCAGTCCACAGTCCGGCCTGGGCGACAGAGCGAGACTCCGTCTCAAAAAAAAAAAAAAAAAAAAAAAAAGATCCCAGTAGAATTGCCCCAAGGTAATGGCTCAGGCTGCCCATCCCTCAGTCAGACCAGCTCCCCCTTCTCATCCTCCAAGCTGGCTGGTCTCCTCTCCTCTGCACCTGGGCCATCCCTGGCCCCAATTCTTTGCTTTGGTTCTTCAGCACTTTCCTTCTTCTCTGCCTTTTCAACACCCTCATCCCCCAAGTCTGGATTCAGCCCTGCTGTCTTCAGAAAGGCTTCCTAAACCCTCTCAGACCCAGTTTCCCCTCCTTTCTCCATATGCTTGCTGGGCAGAGAATCAACAGCCCCCAGTTCAGCATTTACCTGTTTCCTGGGAGTTCTTTCTCACCCTCTCTGCTTCCTGAAGGGAAGGCAGGCAACATGTTTTGTGCACCCACCATGTTCCAGGCAGTTGCATGGAGGCTGGGTATGTCCTAGCTCTGTTTTTTATGAGCTGTGTGACTTTGGGTAAGTGTTTTCATTTCTCTGAGTCTCATTTTCTCATTTGAGATTGAGGATGCGAAGCCTACTCAGAGGGAAGTTGTAAGAACTGGATGGAATAATCCATGCAAAGCACTTTGCACACAGGTCCAGGCTCATAGTAAATGGCTAACATATGGCAGCCTTTGTTATTCTTTGATAGGTATTATCTCATTGAATCCTCACCCTAGCTTTATAAGGTAGACGTCATTCCACAAAGGGGAGCAAATGAGCCTTAGGGCTGAAATGACTTGCTTGAGGTCGCACAACAGACAGGCAGCAAGGCAGGGATCCAAGCCTAGGGGTGGGCTGCTCTGAGGCAACACCCATCCTCCTACCACCTCTGCTTCCTGAGTCCTGGCCCCTGTTTCCCATGCTTTTTAATGTTCCTCGCAGTCCCAGCCAGGGCACTCAGCAAATGCTGGTTGAATAATCTTTCCTGGCTGGTTTAAGGGAAACCAGGTTTGCAGCAGGAGTGCAGGAAATGCGACCCCTTGAACATTCCACTCTCTTTCAGATTTCTATCTGGTCCAAGTTGCCCATGGATCCCTGCTAGTGTACTGCATGCCACTCCAACACCAGGCAGTGCTATGCTGTGTGGCACCATATCTCACCCAGGAGTGAAACCAAATCATGCCCTCAGGGAAAATGAGCCGGTTCCTTTTTATTTTTTAAATAGCAGAGAATAAAGTTATGAAAAGAAAAAGAAAAGTAAGGGAAATACCTGCCTGGATAATCCCCCATGACTGGGGCAACCACTCTCTGAAGCTGGCAGCTGGAAAACAAAGAGAATAGCCATTAGCTGCCAGCTGGGCGCTGGGCGGTGTGGCATTATGAAGCCTGTGTCCTGTGAGGGTCAGCAGGCAAGGCTTCCTGCTTGGGATGGCTTCTTGATCTTCCCTATTCCCACAGATAGAGCCAAGTCTCTGCCAAGAGCTTTTCTTCTTGACATGATTGTAGTCAGGAAGATTTTCATGTCATTCCAGATCACAGTTCCCAGTTTAATTCTCTAGCAAATGCTAGAAGCTACCACTTCCATCTTGGCTGTGTGTTCTTTTGTACCAACTGATGCTTGTATCTTTACTCCTTACTCCACTGGTTATTTAGTTTATGCCCATGCAGACTTCGGTGCTGGGTTCCCTGGGGCTTGTGGAAGAAGGCGCTTGCCTGTGCTCATTTGTGTGTTCATCTCATGGCCCATGCTGCAGGAGAGGTGGGTGGTTGTCAGCATATTTTGGTTCTTAGTTTTTGCTACCAGGCCATGGATTTTTTTTCTGTTGCTTTGTATTTTGTATTATTTATTTTATTTTTGAGAGTCTTGCTCTGTCACCCAGGCTGGAGTGCAGTGGCACCATCTCGGCTCACTGCAGCTTCTGTCTCCTGGGTTCAAGCGGTTCTTGTGCCTCAGACTCCCAAGTAGCTGGGATTACAGGCGTGCGCCACCACACCTGGCTAATTTTTGTATTTTTAGTAGAGATGGGGTTTCACCATGTTGGTCAGGCTGGTCTTGAACTCCTGACCTCAAGCGATCTGCCTGCCTCGGGCTCCCAAAGTGCTGGGATTACAGGTGTGAGCCACTGTGCCCGGCCATTTTTTCCATTTAAAACCCTTTAAAAACACACCTGAAGGTGCAGCTTCCTTTCCTGAAGGGAATTAAAACCATGCTATTAGTAGGCATGGGATACGGGAGTAGATCATCTTTGGGTGCTGGTCCAGAAAGTAGTGAGTAAGTGAGACAAGCAACGATAATATTGTTTAGCACAATGCTTTGTGACAGGGACTATAGTCGTCCCTATTAAGTCAGAATCTCTTGGGACAGGTGACTGAGAAAAAAAAAAAAAGTAAAACAAAAAACACGCAAAGGAGATGATGTTTTACAGCCTGTTGGCTGGTTGTCAGGCGTAGGCAAATCTTGCCCTCAAGAGCAGGAAACCCACTGATACATGCCATCCAGTAAAATCACACTAGAGCTCTTTGAGATTGAAATAACTAAGGTCTTGAAAAGGAAACTTGCCCAAGGATGCACCTGAGCTGTCAAGATACTGCCTCTCCTGTCTGTGTCTCAGGGCTGCGCTTTCCTCTGAGTAGTTATGAATAAAGGAGCAGCAGGACATTGCCATCACCTCTGAGGGATCTGAGCACAGATGTGAGTGACAGTAGAAATGGGCTGTGTGAGGAAAAGACCCCAGGCTCCACTGAAATCAGAGTGTACTGAGGAGGTGGTGTGCATGGGGTGGAACAGGCATGAGGCACTAGTGGCATGACCTTGGCGAGTTAGTTATTGACCTTCATGAGCCTCAGTTTCTTCACCTGGAAAATGGGTTGGATGATCATCCAGTTCCCAGTGTTTCATTGAAGGTTAGACAAGATCATACAATTCAATGAGTGTGACCACCAGTGCATGGCACATTTAAGTACTCAAACAAGGCAAGTTTTCTTCCCTTATCCATGCTCCCCACTTTCTCCCTTACTTCCTCCTTTAAAAAGAGTTGTTTTAAATAGCTATCTGGATTTTTTTTCTGCACCACTTCAAAGTCAATGAAAATCAGCTTTAGCTTCCTTCTTTCTCTTCTTCCCCTCTCATAATGGGCATGGCTCCGGGGCTGGGTCTGAGGCTCCGTTCTCAACCAGGAAGCACAGGGCTGGGCTGCTCGCTGTTGGTTTCGGTAACTTCTTCTCCCAGGAAGGGCCCTGCTCCAGGGGCTTGCAGTGGCCTCCCCTCACTTCAGTCTGTAGATACCTTGCTGTACATATTTGCTCTCCCTTGGCTTCCTGGGTCTCACTGGGTGTGCAGCTGGCTTTTCTTCCTGGGTGGGATTTGGTGATGATAAAGCAGGCACTTGTTGAGGGCTGTTATTACTTGGGAGTTTTTTGGTTTCAAGGCACAGAAACCAAACTTGAATGAGCTTAAGCAAAAATGGGATGCATAGCTTATGCCTCTCATACCAACACTTTGGGAGGCTGAGGCTGGAGGAGCGTTCAAGGCCAGCAGTTCAAGATCAGCATAGTCAATATAGCAAGAGCTTGTCTCTACAAAAAAAAAATTAAATTAAAAAGGATACATTGGAAGGTTTCGAGGAGGCTCAAAGATTCAAAAGAGGTGCAGAAGAATCAAGCCCCAGGAAGACAGCATGTGACCTCCAGCATCTCTAGACCAGAGTCCCCTGTTCAGTGCACTATGGCTGCAGGCAGCTCCCAGCTGACCCCACACAGCCCTGCCGCCAACCTAAGAGGACCAGGCCTTCCCCAGGAGTTTTCAGATTGGAATTTGGCCTGGCCTGGAGCATGTGCACACCCCATGTACCACTGCTAAGGAGAAAAGATACTCCCATGAGCCCACCTTGAGTCCTATACCCTCCTTTTTGGCTGGAGAGTGGGAGATGGGGTGGAGTCTGTTATCAGGAGAGAGACACAGAGAGAAGAATACTAGTAATATTAATAATTAAGTATAATGCTCACTTTTCTTGAGCTACTTTATGCAAGACACATTCTAAGCTCTTTACCTGCATAACTCATTTAATCTTCACAGTCAACCCATTTTACATACCAGGAAACTGAGGTAGAGAGAGGTTAAGCAATTTGCCCAAAGTCACATAGCTAGTTAGGAGGAGAGCTGGAAGTGAACCCAAGCAGAGGGCTCCAGAAGTGCCGTTACCCACCCACTCTGATGCAGACAATAACAGACATCACCTCCAAGCACCTGCTCTGAGCAAGCAATGGGCTAAGTCCTTTATAGGATTATCTCATTTAATCTTCAGAGAAGCCCTATGAAGTGGGTGCTAACATCATCCACATTTTAAAAAAAGAAATTGAGGCTCACAGAGATGATGTGATTTGCCTAGGGCCACCCAACTAATTTAAAGTGACAGAGCTGGGATAGGACCCTTGGTTTGACTGATCATAGGGCCCAAGTTCTTAACTGCCTCACTGGGTAGCCTGCACATTTAGACACTTCTCTTGCTCTGTCTGCAGCTCCCCTGGTTTGGCTCAGCACCTGAGTCTTTGTCCACAGTCTGGGGAGGGGCTGGGATGTGGAGACCCCTACCTGCTGCATGCTGCTGAGGGGTCGGCTGTGAGGTTTGAGCTGGTCTCGATCTATCTCACACCGACCTACACCAGATGGTTCTTGAACAAGTCTTTAGTGCATTGAAACTCTGAGTTTATTCATTTCTTCATTCAACAAATATTTACTGAGGGCCTGGAGGCTCCAGGCCCTGTCCAAGTGCTGGGGTCCCTCAGGGAAGAGCTTAGACTCTGAAAACATCCAAGAGGAAGGCTCCCGGAGTTCCTGTCACTTGGGCCTGTCATGTCCCACTCAATCTCACAGGAAACCTTCCCTGTATCACCCAAATCAGGCCCATGAGGGACCAGAGACCTCGTGCTTCTTTGCTTGGCACTGGCCTGATGGCAAGTCCAAGGAGAGACAGCATTTCTTCATTCTGGTTGATTACAAAGGAAAATATAGTGTCAGGGAGTGAGCATGGGCGTGGACTCAGGCCAGCTCCATCGGGAGTCCCAGAGCTGCTGTGGTCTCTGCTAATCGAGACTTTGGGTGAAGCACTTCGCTGTGCCATGCCTCAGTTTCCCCCTCTGTAATGATACCGTACTACCTGTCTTACAGGGTTGCTGGGAGGATTAGCTGAGGTAGCAGTGTTAACTACCCAAGGCAATACCTGTACACAGGTTAATCCCTCCCTCTTATAACAACTAAGTAGTTTTGTCGGTGTCTCTAAAAGTCAGGGTACCTGGAGGGGGGCAGCTGAATGGGGTCCTAGGTGAGGAAATCACCAATTGTATCAAGCTCCTCATTTTATGGATGAGGGAACAGAGGCCCTGACCCTCAAAGGCCAGAAGGTATTGGGCTCTAGGACCTTCTAATTTGTTGGTGTTACAGGGAGCTCAAGTGTATTTGGCTTGTTGGTCAGACAAAGGGTACGAGTTGGTCCTTTGAGTGGCTGGACACAGTGTGCCCAGGCCTCTGTGAGCATCTGACCAGTGGTCAGCCCTTGTAGCCTGGTCCAGTCATACCTGCCTCCAACCCACCATGAAGACAGCCTAAGCTGAACCTTAAAGAGCCCCGTGTCCCTGCTGCTGGTCTCCGTAATGCCCTAGGGTGGGTAGGGACTTCTGTTCCTGAGATCTAGAGAGCATGGCGGGGTCCCTGGCTTCTGAAACTCTGGTTGGACCAATGATGGAATTCTGTACCAGGATGTCCAGCTCCCCACCCACAGATCCCAGAAGCTTCCCTTGAGAAGCAGGGGGCAGACAAGTCAAGGCCTCTAGCCGCTTTGACTTCTGGCTGGAAGCAGCAGCACCGAGCCTGCAGCACAGGCTGATAGAATGTGGCCCAGGCAGGCCAGCCTGTTTGTCAGCTGGCACAAGCCCCGAGGGGTGTGGGCTTGGTAATGATGATGACGGGCGGGCAGGGCTGCCGCTTCTGCCCAGGTGGCCGCCCTTGGAGCTCGCCAGGCTCGCCCGGTGTGTGGGCCCACCAGGACTAAATCAGAGTTGATGTCCAGTACACCTTTCCCTCAGCTTGGTGGGAAAGACCATGAGCACAGGGGCAGCCAGTCCTGGGCTCCAATCCTGCCTTGCTGTAGGGGCTTGGCAAGTGCCATCTGTTCTGTAAGCCTCTGTTTGCTGTCTGTGAGGAGCCACTGAGATCAAGCAGGTCTAGTCTCCACCCATGACAGTACACAGCACTTCATAGGCTG
The DNA here is from genome assembly GCF_000001405.40 of Homo sapiens. Classification (NCBI taxonomy): domain Eukaryota; kingdom Metazoa; phylum Chordata; class Mammalia; order Primates; family Hominidae; genus Homo; species Homo sapiens. The sequence goes on from NC_000011.10 coordinate 12,137,507, forward strand.
TCTCCCATTAACGGGCTGAGAATTCTGAACAGTGAGTCCCATCTCCCAGCACTCTAACAATGTGTGCTCTTTGTGTGCTAGAGAGAGAGAGTGTGTGTGTGTGTGAGTGTGTGTGTGGGGGGCACCACTCTGTTGAACAAAGTGTGCGTATACCTCCCTGGAGTATGAATATTGCCTCTTATAGATGTCAAATTTCACACCTGTGTTAGTTTTTGTCCCTTTGAGGTTACCTCTTAAATATTTTGATTTATTTTTTAATGTGGAAGTAAATCATTAGAAATATTTTGTAACTCTGGGCTTCGTTTTCCAAACAGGTGTAGAGGCATTTTCTGCAGAAGCAATAGGATGTCATGAAATAATGTGGGTCGTCACTGGAAGCCAAGAGAAAAATTAGTTTAGGAAACTCAGCCATGATCAGCTGGTGCACTTTCATAACTCCCTAGTTTACTCAGTGTTAGAAAATGGGACCCGTTTCACACTGGGGACTTGTTATCCAGTTTTACACCTGCTTGATTTACTTTCATTGTGTCTCACACTTAAAAATTCTGACACTTTCTGTTTTTACTAAAGCAGCGAATAAAGCATTGTTTTCCGGATCCCTCCTACTCCTCAGCAAAGTCTTTGTGTAGAGATCTGATAAGCCCTTAGGGTGCCCTGACTGCAGCCAACAATAGAATTTGTTTAGCCATCTTGCTATTCCTTTCTTCACGTGCAAAACTTGTTGGAGGCCAGGGAGAGATTCTCTGTCCATTTCCTCTTGCTGGGTGAAGTGTCCCACAAGGCAGAGTGCACAAGCATGCGTGACCTCTTGGAGGAGACTAGAAAGGAGGCATAAGCTACGATGATGTCACTGACATTAATTGTTGGGCTCTTGTTTTTAAAGGAACATGGCAACCCGTGTGTGTCTCATCCCAGAAAGAGAAGACTTTAACCACTGTGATGCCTGAGAATCCAGTGAGTAAGTCACAGTGGTGGATCTTGTTTACCGTGGAGTAGCTCCTGGGGGCTGGTCCTAGGCTTAGGAAAGTGTGGGATGTTCCCACCATCCTGGGGCAGCTTGCTGTGCCCAGGGCGCGCTGTTCCCTCTGAGTCAGCACCACCTCCTCTGCACTCCCCTAGCGCTGTGTTCTTGCCTCAGATACACCACTGAGTTAGGGTTTGTTCACCTGCTTGTCCCACCTACCGGCTGTGGGAGCCTCAAGGGCAAGGAACCAGACTCCCGCCTTCCTGTCTGAGCCAGGCAGCAATTCCCGGCAGGCACAGTACAAGGCACATCACAGGTGACCAACAGCTGTTTGTGGACTCAAGGAGTCTCATCCCTGAGGTTTGATCAGGGCTTTTATGGTCCACAAAGCTTCATCACAAACAGTGTCCTATGGGAACCTTTGTGCCCTGGGTGGGGTGGTCACATTATCCTTGTTTATTTTATAGACATGGAGGCTGGGGTCTGAGGAGTCAGATAGCCTGCCACAGGTGGTGGTAGGCTAATAAGTGCCCAGGACTCACGTTTTCTGTGTCCCAGGCTAGCCTGGTTTCTGTAACCTTATAATTAGAAAGGTTGTTTAGAGTAAACCCCTCATTGCCAAACAGGGAGACTGAGGCCTGGCCTGAAGATTCTTTCTCAAGGTGACAGGGCTCACTGGTGTCCAATGGAGAATGGAAACGCAGGCCCTGGACTTCCTGTCTGGCGTTTTGGCACCCCTCCTCCCTCCTCCTCTGCCCTGCTCCTGTATTCAGCAATCAGAGAACATTTTGGGACCATATATCTGTGTTTACAGGAGGGTGAAGAACTTACAGAAAGCCATGAGTCAGAGGGAACATAGGGATGAATAAAACCCTCCCTTCTCTCCGGGAGCTTTCCTGGACATGTGAGCCTTGGCAGGGCGTTGAAGAGGCTCAGTTTAGTTGTGGGAGGAGGGAGGATGAAGGTGAGGGTGAGGGGAGAGCATCAGGGCCCAATCCAAGATGCTGGGGCATGGGCGGAGGCTCCGGCGGAGGGGCAGCCGGCGTGCATGTCAGGGCATTTGGCAGCTGGCCTGGTGGGCGCTGAGGGATCACGTGGGGTGAGGAGTCCACGGGAGTCCTGAATGGCAGGATGACAAGGGGTTGACTGGACCTCAGGGAAAGCTGCTCCAGGAATTCTCATTCTTAGTATCTGGGGAAAGACCCAGGCAAAGAGCTGATTGGCCAGTCTGCCACAGCCTGAGAAACTGTCCCCTCTCTGGAGAAACAGAATACAGAGTTTGTCCACAGAGGAGGGTCAGGCAATGAACAGTGAATTCCAATGTTGTCTGAAATGTGTAGGGAGGGGAGTGTGAGCAATTCTGGCTGGCTCAATCCTATTGCCCTCAAATGAATTTTTGTTTTGTTCTGTTTCTGTTGAACACACGTGCTGTTCTTCTCTCTTCCCTTTGGAATCTTGGGTCCCTCCTGGCTCATCCATTCAATCCAGGCTTGACCCAGGGCCAGGTGGGTCCTGGCTACTCTTCTGTGTTTATTCTACCTTTTCTTGCAACTTCCTGGACTTGAGGACTGGGACTGACTGCCAGTTTCATCTCCATTGGCAGGGTGAAACATAAAATTTCCCCAAATTACAGAGAATGTGATGCTTGCCAAATAGGTACCTTGGATTATTTTCCAAAGCATTCCCAAATTATATACTTCTCTAGGGCAGGGGAAGTGTATCATGTTGTATCATTATTATTTACACTTCATATTTCTTTGCACTTTATGTTTTATAAAGGTCATTTCATCTTCATGATCAAGCAGGTGGACTTCTCCCATTTTACAGATGAGAAATTTGCCTTAGGCAGGCGGTAGCCTGCCCAAGGCAATGCAGCTGTCTAAGGGCTGAGCTGGGACATGGCCCAGTCCTACTGTTTATAAATTCCATGTCTCTCCTCTGCTAAACTCCAACCATAGTAAATCTCTGGAGGGCCTGAGACCTAAGAGGAGCTCAATAAACACTTGTGGAATGAGTGAACTTTGGCTCTTTTTTTTTTTTTTTTTGGCCACTCTCAACCATAAGTGGACCCTCTTTGGCAGCAAAGAGAACACTACCCTGTGGAATATTTGAGTTTCTTGCCATGATAAGGAACTGGTGAGCTCTCTTCTCACCCAGCCATACCTCTGGGAACTAGGTCATGCACACTGAATAATTAATTCCTTGACTTTTACTCGGAGCTTCCTCCTCCTGACATTGAGATGCTACGTTAGACATTGATCTATGAGAGGTCCTTGGGAGAAGCAGATCCTACTGTTTGTTGTCACAGACCTTCAGTGACCCATCTAATTGCCCATGAATAATACCTGTGGCCTAAACAGGTCAGCCTTCCAGGCAGTTCACTCATCTCCTCCTTCTACCCTTCCCCCACCAACCTTCTCTAGACTGAGGAAGAAGGACAGGTGTGTATTATCTTAGATATGCAGGGTTCTGTACAGTTAGGGGAGCCTACCTCTTCCTTCTCACTGACCTCTGAACTTTTCCATATGTTGTGGCAAGGGCTGGAGAAACAACAAGAAAACCATGTCAAGATGGGAAAGAATTCATGGGCTCCGGGAGGCAGTTATCAAAATATCCGCTGGGTCTGCTCTTTCCCTAAGTGATACTTGGGTCATCTTTCTTCGAGTCTGCAAGGGATCCAGCTGGCCTTGTTAGACTCTTGAGGTCAACAGAATAGAGTAGAAATAAGAGTGGGCTGAGACCAAGAGAGCCATGTTCTAGTGTTGACTGTCCACAGCTTAGCTATGTGGCCTTGGGCGAGTCACAGAACCTCAGGGGCCTTCAGATTTCTTATTCAGGAATTCAGGGAGGGGTGGAGGTTTGGTGGTATCTTAAAGAAGTCTCCTTGACTTCTGTGGTCCTGGTCCTCAGTGTCTCTCTCAGTTTGTCCTTGTGATTAGCACTGTCTTCTCCTCCAGGTCACCTCCTCCTCATGTGGTCAGAGCTTGCTTCTGTAAGCACTTTCATCCTGATCTTTGTAGCTTTGCCATCTCTCCCCTGCGCCACCCTGAGTTATGCCAGAGTGCAGATAAGAACTTCCTGTTGTTGCCCTACTCTTCTGCCAAGCAGCATGGGAGAAAACTCTAACCTTGTGAGACTCTTAGAGATCTAAGGAGTGAAAGTTGGTTGGTATCAGAGGAAAATGGGATTAAAGGTTGTTGGGATTTTCAAGTCCTTGATGCCCCAGGGTACCTGGATTGTACTGAATTTTTGATCAGAGGGTAGTCAATATGTTCTTAAGAATATGGCCCCAAGTTGGCCAACCCTTGTGATCAGGGGTGACCAGACACTTTGGAGAAATAAAGGGAATAGCATTGGTAGAAGGTTGCTCAGTGAGAGATGAGAGATACCTCAGATGGACAACCAATATGAAAAGGGGAAAGGCTAGGGAAGGTGGATTTGTCTCTAACATTTACAATTGTAAAGTATTAAAGCTGAAAAGAACGACAGATCCTTTAATCCACTTCTCCCGTTTATTAGTAAAGAAACTGAGGCCCAGAGACATGACTCAAGCACACCCATAGCGCAAGCTGGTGGTAGAAGTGAGACAGAAGCTAAGTCTCCTGATTCCCAGCAAGTGGCTCTCTCTGCAGTTCCATGTTGCCTCCTCATGTGGGTTCAGCCACCGTGCCTTCCTCTTTTCTCCTCCACCCTGCACTTGAATGTCTAAGGTGTTAGCAGGGCCCCCACAGCTCCTACCTCATTGTTTATCAAGGCCTAATAAAACCTGGGTGCAACAGCATGGAGAGGTTGAGGCTTCTTATGTGCAGGCTGTTTTGATTTGTATTTAGTGACTTAACACTGTTGAGTTGCCGTTATTCTGTTTTATGATGTGTCTTGGGGTGAAAGATTAATTCAAGACAGGAAATGAAGGCTATAAGATGGCCCAGCCTTAGCAGGAGTAGCCTCTTGTGAGTTTGCCATTCAAATCAAAATCATATGAGCGTTGTTGCTAAGCAGGCCTTGTTGTGAGAACCTCCAGCAAAGGGCATGGATTACACTGTTGCTTGCTCTGAGAGGGGCTTTTTCAGTCAGAGACTGGCCATCCCAGCACTATGCTGATGGCACATAAACCAGAATGGAAACCACTCACTTTTTCTGTAGAACTCCATTTGGCCCAACACTTCCTGCTGAGCTCAAGGAAATGCATCTGGAGCACTTTGCATTGGGCAAGCACTAGGTTTACATATATTACCTTGTTTTTCCTCATAGCAGCTCTCTGAGAGATAGGCATGGCTACCTGTTGTACTGAGGAGAAAATTGAGACAGTTACAGGTTAAATAACTTGTCCATGCCCACAAGGGCCAGGACTCAAACGCAAGGTATCTGACTCTAAAGCCCTTCCTGGTTCCACATTTCACATGGCTCTCTGCACACAGAAGGGAGGGCTGGGGAAAAATAGGCAAGGCATTGACTGAAGCGTCAAACATTTATCATGGGACTTCCAAATGCCAGGTCCTGGGCTTGGTTCTTGGGATGCAAAAGTGAGTAAGACCTAGTCCCTTTACTCCTAGGACTTGTGGCCTAGCCTGGTGGTGGGACAGATGTATATGATGACAGTCATAGCTCCCTTATCGCTCTGGAAGCACTGAGAAGAGAGCAGCACACAGGGAAGACTGCATTACCAAGGAGGGGCTGTGAGACTTGGGTACTGAAGGATGATCAGGAGGTTGCCAGGCAGAAAAGGAGGCAGACGGTTCTCCAAGGAAACTGGGTGGAGGTGTGAAAGGGCCTGATTTGGTGTTTAGAAGTAAGGAGGAGTAGTGGGCATGCTTTTTTCTTAGCTGAGGGTGCAAGGAATGAGACATTCAGTTGAGAGATCAGCTCTGAAGTGGGAGAGGAGGGGAGTTCAGAAGTAGACTGTCAAGGGCTTTGCAAAATACTTGCTGCTAGGTGAGATTCATTGAAAGAAACATTAGCAGAGACCAGGAAAGCTTCTCCAAATATGAATTCTCCAGCTGCCTGATGGATGTTTCCATATAGAGAAAGGAACTTCTGCTGGGGGCTCATTTTCAGAGAGTTTGTGTCCGTTTTCTGCATTTTGTGTCTCACACACCAATGGAAGTGATTATTGATGGGGCAAAGTGAATGGGGTGGGACGGGCCACACCAACAGTTCATATTTAAAATGTCTCAGATTCCTCTTGCCAGATAAGCTGATAGCAAACACCCTTGTGAGTTCCTGCGCAGATTGACTCTCCAGGGATCATTTTGCATTCCAGACAGGGTCACATAATATTTCTGCAGGAGCTGGGGCTCTGGGTTGAGAAAGCTACTTAAAAATAAAGACCAACAAAAAATATAGTTGTTTTTAAGGATGACATTTGCAAGGCAAAAGTATCCAGGAAGTAGATTATTTGTCATGAGGGTGAGCCAGAATTTTTAAAAATATCAGATCATTAGAGTGGAAAGAATAATGGCGGAGAGAGAGAGGGAAAGAGAGAGAGAGAGAGCGCCAGGAACTCTTGTCTCCTGGGCGTGGTTGTTCCTGCACACCCCCACTTTAATGAATACCTTGCTGAGGTCTGCCCCAGGAAATGAGTTTCAAACATTGAACTTTGAGCCTGAATTGTCTTCTATGGAGAGGAGCAAACCAATAAACCAGAGAGTGATTTGGAGTCTAAGACTTCTTGGTCTTGTATCAACAGTCCCTATCTGCTGCCCGTGGGTTTTGTATCTTTATGAGAAAAGAAAAAAATCTTTTTTGGAACAGTTGGGGCTTATTTTAGTAAACATGTTTTTCAGAGCATGAGCCCAAATACCAAGGAAAGAGTCCAATGTCTTTATTCAGCCAAGAGAAATGTATTCATCAGGATGATGGGAGGCTGTCTCCCTCCCACCAGGGAGAAGTCACTAGCGGGGCCATACCTTCGGGGCTCCCCTCCTCTGGGGCTTCTGGATGTTGGAGTTTGGGGCTGGTGAGGGACATTTTGACCCCCTGAATGGTCAAGGCCCTTTCTGGGCCCTGGAACCTATGACCCAGCCTCTCTGAGCTTTCAGGAATGTGGCCTCTGAGTGTGGCCTGGAGAGGCAGCGTTCTTCCCCGAGACTGTCCCACAGAGGTCTGCGTTGTTCTCAATGTAGTGAATTGCTCACAACCATAAATTGCAACGGTTCTGCAGCCTCCGAGCCATTACCAAGTAGGCAAATGTTATAGGACTTTCAAACCTCAATGCTCGTGCACCTAGTTCAGGGAGGTGAAATACAACCTGTCAGACCAATAACCTCCTCCAGTCAGTTCAGCTACAACCTGTCAGACCAATAACTTCCTCCAGTTAGTTCAGCAACTGAGTATACATTAGAGACTGGTTCTACCCTGTCTTCTCAGACAGGCATTTTTGTATTTGCCATCTGTAACCTTACTTGGCTTTACAGACATCTGGGGAGAAGTTCCCGAGAGACTTCAGTTCCTCTGTATAGTAAAGGACTGGGTCAAAACTGTCCTGATCTTTCACTTCTGTTCAGATGTCTGAAATGCCTCCTGATAGCAGCATATTTTCCGTGGGCAGAGAGCTCTTCTCAGCCCACATCCTGATGAAGGAAGGAATCCTTTCTCAGAACTGTCTCACCTTGCCAGTTTCTGGTCTGTTCACTCTCCTGAGGTTGTACCTAAGAACTGTCCAGCTGGGTTCATGTAGCACATCGCTGGGCACATGGTAATCAGTGTTGAATGAATGACCAGCAAGGAAATCCTTCTGTTTTCCAGCAGAACAAAATGGAAGTGAACAGGCCTCAGACTATGTGGCCTGCATGCTATCAGGACCCAGCATGCACTTCAGAAAAGACCCCTTTGGTGTTTGGCATAAACGAAGTTACCCGATAAAGGCATCTTCTAGGCCGGGGCCTGGAAAGACAGATGATGTTTAATCCACATCACCTCAAGATGACGAGTCCTGTTTTCAGGGCTTAAAACAAACAAACATCAATAGCGACAATGATCTACTGGGAATGCTGGCCCTGGAGAAAGCAGGGGGAGTCATTCTGCTGGCAACCCCTGCATACCTAGCCAACCCTAGCTGGCCCAATGTCCTATGCTTGGACAGGTCTCCCAGGAACCTCATGATGGGGCTCTTCCTTTGTCATGCTGCCTCTCTGCAGCACAGGCAATTTTACATCTAAATCTTAGATCCTGACTTCCCAAGTGTGTTGACATTTTGGTAGGCTTCGAATAGCCATTAGTTATTTCTGACTCAGGCAGGGCTCACCTGTCCATGCAGGTGTATACACCTGCTTATAAAGGCTGAATGCAGTGTATAGGCTCTTATGCAGACTCTGGGGTGAGGGACATGGCCAGTTGGACTGCCAGTTGGGTGGACGGCCCAATGAAAGGTGTGCACAAGCATCTCAGAGGCCAGCAGACTACTGAGAGCCAGGAAGGTGTTATTTATGTTGTTAATAACATTAATGACAATATAAACAACAAAGCTTCTGTAATTGTATATCAGGAAATTAATCCTGAAATTGGTGGTCTGTAATTCAAATGAAAAATTTAGAAATCGTGATGTGTAGAAAGCTGAAACTGGATCCCTTCCTTACACCTTATACAAAAATTAATTCAAGATGGATTAAAGGCTTTAATGTTAGACCTAAAACCATAAAAACCCTAGAAGAAAACCTAGGCAATACCATTCAGGACATAGGCATGGGCAAGGACTTCATGTCTAAAACACCAAAAGCAATGGCAACAAAAGCCAAAATTGACAAACGGGATCTAATTAAACTAAAGAGCTTCTGCACAGCAAAAGAAACTACCATCAGCGTGAATAGGCAACCTACAGAATGGGAGAAAATTTTTGCAATCTACTCATCTGACAAAGGGCTAATATCCAGAATCTACAAAGAACTCAAACAAATTTACAAGAAAAAGACAACCCCATCAACAAGTGGGCGAAGGATATGAACAGACACTTCTCAAAAGAAGACATTTATGCAGACAACAGACACGTGAAAAAATGCTCATCATCACTGGCCATCAGAGAAATGGAAATCAAAGCCACAGTGAGATACCATCTCACACCAGTTAGAACGGTGATCATTAAAAAGTCAGGAAACAACAGGTGCTGGAGAGGATGTGGAGAAATAGGAACACTTTTACACTGTTGGTGGGACTGTAAACTAGTTCAACCATTGTGGAAGACAGTGTGGCGAGTCCTCAAGGATCTAGAACTAGAAATACCATTTGACCCAGCCATCCTATTGCTGGGTATATACCCAAAGGATTATAAATCATGCTGCTATAAAGACACATGCACACATATGTTTATTGTGGCACTATTCACAATGGAAAGACTTGGAACCAACCCAAATGTCCATCAATGATAGATTAGATTAAGAAAATGTGGCAATATACACCGTGGAATACTATGCAGCCATAAAAATGGATGAGTTCATGTCCTTTGTAGGGACATGGATGACGCTGGAAACCATCATTCTCAGCAAACTATTGCAAGGACAGAAAACCAAACACTGCATGTTCTCACTCATAGGTGGAAGTTGAACAATGAGAACACTTGGACACAGGAAGGGGAACATCACATACCGGGGCCTGTTATGGGGTGGGGGGAGCAGGGAAGGATAGCATTAGGAGATATATCTAATGCAAATGACGAGTTAATGGGTGCAGCACACCAACATGGCACATGTATACATATGTAACAAACCTGCACATTGTGCACATGTACCCTAGCACTTAAAGTATAATAATAATAAAAAAAAGAAAGCAAAAGAAAAAATTTAGAAATCTTTTAAGTGAACTCTAAAGGTGCTACCATGGAAGCAGTTCCATCCCTCCTGAGCCAGATTTCTATGGTAAGCATTCATTCATTCAACAAACATATACTACCTACTGGGAGCAGGCACCATGTTGGCACTGGAATTACAAAGATGAAGATCAGTAAACAGCTCATCAATGAGTGAATTAGCTACAAAATACCATAATACAGAAAGCTGAATTATTTGAACCTTAAATATTGATTACCAACTGAGAACCCAGAGCTGGGGTGAATACTCTGGGAAATAGAAAATAAATTTAAAAATCTGCCTTTCCTTAAGTTTACACATTAAATTGTCCAGACAAGATTAGTGCACAAAACACATGATAGGTTCAAGGCTAAAGGAAGAGCCAAATGGCGTGGTCTGTGACCTGTGTGGGAACTCTTCGTCTTCCCCATTTTTCAGAAGATGGGAAGAAGCATCTTGTTCCCTTGGCATCCACAGCACCTAGCAAGGCCCCAGTCACAATATAGGTTCTCAGTAAATTGAATGAATGGAATTGAATGTGGCTAGTGGGTCCCAAAGTTGGCTGATCAACAGAATTCCCTGGGGAGTTAAAAACATCTTTTCCTCTTGAACCTCAGGCTGCAGGGATTCTATTCGGGAACAGGCCCAGGAAACTGAGTTTTCATAGACTTCCTGGGCGAATCTGCCCGACAGCCAGGTTTGGTGAGCTTAGGCATAGACTCTGAGTTAGACGAACACAGATGGGTAAGGGATGGGGTGGTGGAGGGCTTCTGAACCTGAATGCTCCAGCCCATCCCTTAAGATCCCGCCCTGGTACCACCTTCTCAGGGAGCTTTTCTCAGGTGCTGAGTCACTCCATCTTCCAACTCTGCATCCACATGTCTTGGCACTCACCTCCCCAGCAGCTCTTACCAATAACTGTTAGTTTGTTTGGATTCCCTGAATAGACTGTGAAGCTCCTAGGGGGCACAGCTTGTAGTAGGTGTTCAGTCAGCACCATGGAGCTGACTGGGCTTCAGAGGATGAGCGAGGTTTGAGAAGTAAGACAGAGACTTGATATGAGGGCAGCCACAGGATAAGCCCAAATGCCTTTGGGAATTGAGCCTAACAAGGAAGAGAGGGCTGCATGATGGGTGGGAGCCCGCTGAGCCCGGCAGGAGGGTTTGGATTTGTACAAGGGCTGTAGGGAGCCCTGAGAGATTTATGAACAGGATAAAGGTGAAGCTGGTGAGTTGGGAAGGGGGAGATCAGTGAGGAGGCCCATGGTAGCTCAGGTCAGAGCTGGCCAGGTCCTGGATGAAGTGGCAGGGTTGTTGACAAAGGGCAGCCACACTCTAGCCACTACACACCCTGAATTGTGTGCGATACTCTTGATTTGATTGTATCTACCAGTGGTGGTTATTGAGCACCCACCATTGTCAGAGGCATGGGCACCAGGCCCCGGGGCTTGCAGCCTTCAGCTTCAGAACGCACAGTCAGGTGAGGTAGGAGGGGCCACAAGTAGATCAATGCAAGGGTATGTGCAAAACCATCATACAAACTTCCCCAGAGTACAGTGTAGAAAAGGGGGCCCAGGGAGGGCAAATTATGCTTCAAAGAAGAACAGTGCAGCTAAGGATGCAGCCCAGCCAGGCGTCACTGTGTTTCATCCTGAAGTCACCCAAGGGGTCAGGACTGTTATTATACCCATTTTATGGATGAAGAAACTGAGGTTCAAAGAGGTTAGGCAACTCCTCCAGGCTCACACACCTAGTAAATGGTGGGTTGGGTTTGGTGACCAGTCTGCCTGACTCCAGAGTCCAAACTGGGACCTGTGACACTCTGCTGCCTTTGATGTTTCAGCCCTAAAGACCACTGGGCTTTCACAAGGTAAACAGAGTCCAGATAGGCATTCCAGACAGAGGGATCAGCATCAGCAAAGGCATGTGGGTGGAAGTGTGTCGGAGTGGAGTTTATCGGGAAATTACAAATGGTTCCTGAGTCTAGAGTATGAGGGGGCGGGGAAGTGATGAGAGTAGAGGCTGGAGGGGCGAGCTAGGGCTGGATCACGAAGGTAGTTTTTGTTTTGCTCCATTAAGATGTTTGGACTTCACCCTGCAGATTGTCAGGGAGCTGTTGAAGGATTTTGAACAGCAATGGAACCTGACTAAGTGCACATTTTTGAAATAAAGATCTCTCTGGCAACAGTTTGAGGACTAGGCTGGTGGATTGGAGGGAGGTGAATCTGGAGGCAGGAAATGTTTTTACGAGATTTTGAGAGTTCCAGGTGACAGCAGGTGGAGACCTGACCCTCCTAGGAAGGATGGGAGGCAGTAAATAGGGCTGCTGAAGAGGCAGGACTTGGTGACTGGCTGGCTCTGCAAGATGAGGGAAAAGGGGCAGAGAAATTTGACTCGAAGGATTTGGCTGCAGAGTCACGATGGTGCTGCTCACTGAGGTTGGGGCTGCAGGAGAAGGAACAGGTGGGGTTGCAAGGGAAATTGGCCACACGTGAGGTCTCTATAAGATAGTGAGAGGAGAATGTCCAACTGTTGGTGACACAAGGGCCTGAAATGCAGCAGGGAGCTGTGTGGTGCAAGTACAGCCTGGGGAGTCATGAGGACACAGATACTGGTTGAACTGTAGGAGTGTTACGGTCCATGACAGTGAAGACCAGAACCTTCATTTTCAGGGGCAAGTAGAGAGGGGTCTGCCCTCTCTATGGGGCCTCAAGATAAGGCCCCATAAGTGGCGGTTGCATTTAGCAGCAGTTGGTGGTGACGTTGGTTTGATGCACCGGGTGGCCTGTGAGGAGAAAACAGATTGTGGTGGTTTGATGGATGAGTGGGAGGTGAGGAAGTGCACATTGCAAGGCTGGACTATTCATTTGGAAACCTAGGCTGTGAGGGGAAGAAAGAAGAGTGCTATTTGTTTTCTCCCATAAAAGCAAATATAGATCTAACTGTGGTTGGATTTGTGCGCATTTTGGGGAATGACTTCATATTGATAAATTCACAAATCAGAGAAACAAAAATAAACTTTTGTTGAGCACTGAACTTTTTCTAAGCGTGTTTGAGAAAAATGAGGTCAAATGGTACAGTTCTTCAGAACAGGGAGATTGGCCCAGGAGGTCAAGGCTGCAGTGAGCCGTGACCGTACCACTGCTCTCCAACCTGGGCAACAGAGTGAGATCCTGTCTGAAAAAAAAAACAAACAAAAACAAAAAATGCACACAAAACATAGGGGATCTTTGGGGGACAGACTCCATCAGATATAGCTGGGTTGCGAGCTGCTCTGGGTGGGGCGGCTCTGCAGTCGTCCTGGGCTCCAGGTGTGGTACCATGCACACAGTGAATAGGCATAGAGAAATCCTTTTCAAGTTCACTTGGCTGTGACTTTGATGCCTCTTCCCCAGCATCCCTCTATATCCTCCAGACTAATTACTGTACTGGCATCAAGTCCCAAAGGCCTAATTTCAGCAAGACGCAGTGCCATTTAGATACAAAGGTTCCCCTGGAGAGTGCCTTTAAGAGGGTGCCGGGCAGAGACTTGGTGGAAAATCTGTTTTTAGTCGTCTTACCATAGCAGAGAGTTGGTTAAGGCGAGGATGAGCTACCCTCAACTTTTATGTGAAAATGTATCCATTTCTGCCTCGGTTTGGTTTGGGCTACCTAGAGCTTGAGGTGGTAGGAGTTATCCCCACGCAGCTTCCCGGGAACTGACGCTTATTGAGCTCATCTGTGGGCTCAGCGCTGTGAGAGGCCCCTCCGTTTAATTTTCACAGGAACCCTATGTTGTTTATGACTTGCTCAAAGGAGTACTTAGTGACTCAGAAGCCCATGTTCTTTCTACCACATCACATTGGCTTCCAGGGACTCAAGAGCTGAGTGCCTGGGGGTGTTTCTGAAACCAAGGAAATGAACTAGCTTATCTGTTCTAGTCTCCTGTCTTATGCTATTTGCAAATAGGGAAAGGATGTCTTTTTCAAGATAGGTTGCACATGTGTGAGTGCCTACGTAGAGGGGTGGGCAGGCTTATTTCTGGGGGTCAGGCAACTTTTGCAGAACACTAAGGTACTAATAGAAGGTAAAATGTAAAATGACGGACCCGGTTGTTATTGGAAGTTGGCCTGCAACAGTCGGGTAAGAGACATCTTAATTCCCATGTGGTTGACCTTCACATTGGGAAGGAATGCCTTCTGATCCAGGCCAAATTTGACATACCCACTCCTAATACCTACTGTATTAGCTAGGGTAATGCCTCCTGCCTAAGAGATAAGTTCCCAGTTCTCAGTGACTTCGCATACTGCATATTTATAGCTCACATATGTAAAGTCCAAAACATGTGTTCTGGTCAAAGAGGGCTTTCCCCCATGCAGGCATCCAGGGGACTGGGTCCCTTCCTTCTTGTGGCTCACCAACTTCAACACACAGTTTCCAAGGTCTTTGTGCCCTGGCAGAAGTAGAAAAGGCACCAAAAACCACTATGGGGGATTCTTATGGGTCGGTCTTAGAAGTGGCATGCGCCACTCCTGCTTGGATTCCATGACTTAGAACCTGGTCACCTGGACTCACAGCTGCTAGCAAGGGTCCAGGAGGAAGGAGCGGTCCAGCTGGTGGTGAGCTAGCTCATCTCCACAACACCCACCAAGGCTCCAAAGACACCTCTCAGCTTAGCTTTCACTGGTGGATTGGATGCTGTTCTCATTTGATCTATAGATCCTAGCATTTTGGAGTTTGATGAAAGAAGGGCAGGAGAGTATTAAGAATCAAAGGTCTTAGCTGGGCTTGGTGGCTCATGCCTGTAATTCCAGCACTTTGGGAGGCCGAGGAGGGTGGATCACTTGAGGCCAGGAGTTTGAGACCACCCTGGCCAACATGGTGAAACCCCGTCTCTACTAAAAATACAAAAAAAAAAAAAAATCAGCTGGGCCTGGTGGGAGGCACCTGTAATCCCAGCTACTTGGGAGGCTGAGGCAGGAGAATCGCTTGAACCCAGGAGGTGGAGGTTGCAGTAAGCCAAGATTGCACCACTGCACTCTAGCTTTGGCAACAAAGCAAGACTCTGTCTCAAAAAAAAAAAAAAAAAAAAAAAAAAAGAATAAAAAGAATCAAAGGTCTAGACCAAAGACTACATCCTGATGTGGTGTGCAAGACAGTAGTGCTTGTGTGCCTGTGGCCCCATCTACTTTGTGTGGGAGCAATATGGGTATGCTTATTTAGGGCACCACCCACTCTGTATAGGAATTGTTGGAACACAGGGTCTGAGTGTTCTTCCTGGGTAGGGCGATGTATGGTAGGCCCTGAGAGCTAAGACCAGGGAACTGGTGCCCAACCTTCCCTGGGGTGTTGAAGAATATTTCACAGGTGCAGAGTGGTGGGGGAGGAGTGTACCTGTGGTGAGAGTCTGGGGAAGACAGAATAGGAGATAAAAATGGGGAACTTGGCAAGGCTGAGCTTTGGTGGGCTTCCTGCGGTCAAATGAGATTTGGAAAGAATGAGAGAAGCCTAGATGACTTTTTAAAAAGAGGTAAAAAATATTTCATTGAACCAATAAAAAACAGCAAATGTCTTTCATTGACCTAATGATTTATTTTGTTTATTGTATTTTAACTCAAAAGTATTTCAGAAAGTTAGCAAGATTATTAATTAGACCACAGATTCTATTCCCTGGCCTTGGGCAGCTCCCACTTATAGAAGGTGGTGATGGTGGTAGTGGTGGTAGGGTTTTTTTTTTTGTTTGCATTTTATTATTGTTTTTGTGGTAAAATTTACATAACATACAATTTATCATTTTAACCTTTTTTTTGTTTGTTTGTTTTGAGGCAGGCTCTTGTTCTAGTCACCCAGGCTGGAGTGCAGTGGCATGATCATGGCTTACAGCAGCCTCGACCTCCTGGGCCCAAGCAATCCTCCCACCTCAGTTCCCCAAGTACCACAAGTGGGACCACAGACGCACCCCACCACACCCGGCTAATTTTTCTTTGTTTTTTTGTAGAGACAGAGTCTCACTGCGTTGCCCAGGCTGGTCTTGAACTCTTGGACTCAAGCAATCCTCCCACCTTGGCCTCCCAAAGAGCAGGAATTACAGGCATGAGCCACTGTGGCTGGCCCATTTTAACTATTTTTAATTGTAAGATTTAATGGTATTAAGTACATTCATGTTGTTATGCAACCATCACTACCATCCTTCCACAGAATAAACTGAAAGTTGGCACCTATTTTTTTCTGAGACGGAGTCTTGCTCTGTCACCCAGGCTGGAGTGCGGTGGTGCAATCTTGGCTGACTGCAACCTCCACCTCCCAGGTTCAAGCGATTCTCTTGCCTCAGCCTCCTCAGTAGATGGAATTACAGGCACGTGCCACCACACCCAGCTAATTTTTGTATTTTTGGTAGAGATGGGGTTTCACCATATTGGTCAGGCTGGTCTCAAACTCCTGACCTCGAGTCTGCACCTATTTAATAATAACTCTCCATTCCCCACTTCCCCCAGATCCTGGTAACCACCATTCTACTTTATGTCTCTATGAATTTGCTTATTGTGGTCACCTCTCACTGTTAGTTTTGAGATAGGCTGGCCTCCTAGAAATTGGGATTCAGAGTTCACAGTTTTCCTGGGCACCCAATGTGGGATCAAGATGATTCAGGTCACATGCAGAAGTGTCTGCAAAGGTTTTGTTGGTAAGATGAGCTCTGCATGTGGGGTAAGATGTACGTTACTTTGTCAACCAGGTACACAGGTTTCCTTCTTGGGGACTTCACCAGCAGGGGATCCTGCAGGAAATGAGATTTGGGTTGGAGATTTGGGTTGGAGGCAATGCCTTTCCCATTCTGCTCTGGAATGTGGGTGGGAGAGCATGGGCTTTGGAAGGCACCTGCTGCACTGGATGCAAGGGCCCTGTAGTCCCTCGGGAGTGGAGCTGCTGGAAGGAACACAGCCTTGGGGGACTTAGCCCTGACCTGTTAACATTTAAGCTAATTCCTTAAATTAGCACAATGTCAGGGTTTCATGCAGGATGACCCTTTCTGTTTTGGAGAAAGATCACATTGCTAGTGCTGTGTAGCCACACAAGGGCCCAGGTGCTGAGTTCCACCAAGACCTGAGCGCTTGTTAGGCCTGGAGAAGATAAGATACAGGAAGCCCACCTCCTGTTGTTGAGATGGACAGTCAGGGAAAGAAGACTCCTGGCCTTGGAATGTGTATGTAAGAGGGGTTGTAAAAGTCATGCATGTTCCTGGTAGAAACTTTGGGAAATACAGAAAAGTATAGAGTAAAAGTATACTAACAGCTATCTGAAATGCGATCCTACACACATATCACCACTGTTCACATCTGGCTTATTTCTCTTCTCCTACAGACACTAGACATTATTTTATGGAGTTGAAATTGTATTGACTTTCTGGATCCATATCCTGCTCTTTTCACTCTGCATTATGGCATAAGCATTTTCCCATGGATTAAATGTCTTTATAAATATTATTTTTAAAGGACTGCCTGATACTTGTTTGGTTGTACCATGACTTATAAGACCATGCCTCATTTGATACTTGTAGACTCTCCAAGCCCAGAATAACTTGAGAGACAATAGAAGTTAACTGATTTAATTTACATAGCAGCTTCAGAAAAGGAAGACCATACTATTTCTGTATATATGGCTCATATGGACTGGGGCTAAGAGCATGGATTTCAAAGTGAAATGGCCTGGGCTCATTTCACAGCACCCCTACTAGCTGCCTGCATGATATGGAGGCATTTACTCACCTCTGTAAAGCTGTCTTCTATCAAACAAGGGTGGTGAAATGAGACAGGATGGTAAAGGCCTGGTACACTGTGAGTGCCCGCTGTCAGTGTCCTCACATGGGCGGTGCAAGCTGAGGGCTGGGCTTGAACCCAGGTATCCTCATGCCTAGGCCAGAGTTCTTTCCACCTCAAAGGCTTCCCCTGTTCTGGAAGGTCCTTGAAGAGAGACAGAGCTTGAAGAGGTACAGATGAAGATATGGAGTGCTGGCTAGAAATCCTTATGGAAAATTTTAAATATATATATGTATATGATATATTTGCATACTCACCACACATACATGTACATACACACACACGCACATATACACATACATGTACATACACATGCTACATATACATGTGTATTTGCGCACACATGAATACACATACATATGTGCTCACATATACCATATATACACAAACATGCATATATACACACATGCACACATATACACATACATGTACACATGTATACCCCTGCAAACATACACACGTACACATACGCATATACACACATTCATACATATATACACATATGCACACACATACATACACACATGCACACATATATACATACATGAAATAATCACACATGGCAAACATAGTTGTGTTACAGAAAAGGAAGATAGGCAACTTCTGCAATTACTTCTCTCTCTCTTTTTAAGGCCTTTGCTTTTTGCAGAATAAAAATGAAAAAAGAAAGAAAAAAGTCTTACCTCCCCCACGTCCACATAGACGTGTTTTGAGGATTCCTTAGGTTAACACTGGTGAGAGTGCCTGGGTGGTACTGGGCCCTGATGACGTTGGCTTCCTTCTGCCATTCCAAGCACTGTGACTGGTCAGCATACAGATGTTTCTTGATGCCAGGACGGGAGGCCTGGAGGGTGGGCACTGCCTCATTGGGACCTCCCGGCGCCTGGTACTGTTGAGTGGCTATAAGAAGCAATGGATGAGGTGAGGAAGGGGGAATGTATGAGGCGCCTTCAAGCTAGACCAGTGGAGTCTACTAACTATTGAAAAGGAGTGGGGAAGAGGGTTGGGGCCAGAAGGGCAAGAGCCAAAGAACTTGGGTTCTCAGTGAAGGAGCGGGCATAGAAGGCCAGGGCCTGCAGTGGACCTGGGGTCTCTCCCCAGCACTCCAGCCCTGAGGCTGTGTGGCAAAAGGGGGAAGGTCTGGGCCCTTGCTACCTCCTGGAAACTTGGTTGAGCTTCGTGGTGAGTCTCTTGGGTGCTCTTTCATTGGCCTTTCGTAGTAGGGGTTTCAGACAGCATGTATAAGAGGACTCTCCATGTGTGCCTTCAGTGTGCATGGAAAGGGGCTTGGGCTTCCTGGAGGTGATCTCAAGGCAACACCCAGGAGCAATAGAGAAGGCTTTGGAGAAGTGGAACTTATCTTTCTGGGGAATGACTAAGAAGAATTATTTCACTGAGGCTGTCTTCCAGAGGAGGCAAGGGTGGAGCAGGCAGCCCCAGGAGGCAGTACACGCTCCTCTGTTTGTGGAAGTGACCGAGGCCAGGCTGGGGACACCTGGATGGAAGGAGATTACCAAGAAGACAAAGTGGCCCTCTCAGTCCCTTCCCTACCCTGGAAGTGCTCCTTTTGGTTAAATTGGGTGCCTAGTGCCCTGGTAGGTGGAAAGCCAGCCCTACCTGGGCCAGGTGGGAAGATGGGGTCTGTAGGCCCCACCTGGGAGCCAGGTGTTCCTGCCCATGGTGGGCTCTGTGGGGATGCACCAGGTGTGGAAGGCATCTCGCACTGCTGAGCCCCTGGCTGGCTCCTGCCTCATCTCAGGTGTTGGATTCAGATGGCCATAACTGAAGGTCTTCTGTGTGCGAGAGTTAGAGCTGGAGCTTTTAGTTTCCTGAGCACCCTGCGAGTGTGGGGGGAACACCCCACTTCATCGCCAAGGAACCTGGGCCTTCCTCCAGAGCTCCTTAGTGACGTAGAGCTGGGAGAGGGTAAGTTTGAACAGGGCTGCTTGGCAGTATACATGGGTTTTGTTTTTGGATTGCATTGACCTTGAAACAGATTTTGTCTGTGAGCCTCAAGGGTGGGTTGAAAAATGAGCTTTTCTCCTGGGCAAACTGCTGCTTTGTGGGAAGGTTCTGCCTAGTGTCCACCCCCATATCTCCTTAAGTTTGTATAAAATCCATCATTTATCAAAACCCTGGTTGCACTGTCTGATATGCCATTTGGGAGAAGAGGCTCAGGGAAGGCAAGAGGCATCAGAGTCCTAAATTTGAGGGCACCTGCAGATCGGGATGGGGAGGCTCCTCCTCTCATTTGGAGAGGTGCTCAGGGACTCTGCATAAACCTTGAGCTTGACTCTCAGATTTTGTGGGCTTAGCCCATTACCAATGCTGTTGCCTGCAATCTGGGGCCCTTAATTATAATTTTTAGCAGCTAGAGGCAGGGAAAGGAAGTTGCTTTGTGACTCATGAAGTCACATAGGCAGGGGAGCAGAAGAACCACAAATAAGAGACTCCACTTGGCAAAAACCAAATTGCTTCAAGGCTATTCTTGGAAACTTAAAGCATCACATCTTGTTTCTTCCCAGAAAATGCAGAAAGCCTCATATTTCTGGCTAGTTGGTTTTATTTCTATTGCATATCAAACCTCAAAAGGGCAACAGCTGGGTGGTGGTTAACAAGGAAAACTTTAATAAGAGCTAGTTACCAGGATCCTCTGATAAAAAAAAAAAATCCTGACTACGTTCTTTTGGGGTGAGGGGAAGGATAGCCACCAAAGGTTTTGCACTCCAGTTCTCTGGAAGAAAGGTTTGAAGCTCAGAATCACTGAGTCCTTCTGAGTGCTAGGTCAGCCCTTCCCAGTTCATTCCCAGCACTGTCCTGAATTCTGTATGTTTTCAGTTCATTACCAAAACTACTTTCTATGAGGTTCCCTAGTTATACATGGGAAACTAAAACCCAAAAAATAAATGAGTTGTCCAAGTCTACACAGAGAGGAAGTGAGTTTGAACTCAGACCTTCTAAATGGAAGGCCCTTGTCCTCTAGTTTTAAAGTATACAGGTTGACTATACCTAAACTGAAATCTAGAATGCTCCAAAATTTGAAGCTTTTTGAGTGCTGACATGATGCTGTAAGGAAGTGTTCATTGGAGTCTTCTGGATTTTGGATTTTGGGATTTGGGATGCTCAACCAAGTAAGTATGATGGACATATTCTAAAAAAAAAAGAAAAAATAGAAATCCAAAACACTTCTGGTCCCAAGCATTTTGGATAAGGGATACTCAACCTGTATATAACTCCTTGACCCAGAAAGCTAGTCTCAGTAGTCTTGAATGATGTTTCTTTTGCCCTTCCTTTTGATATGATGATGTTTGGGCTGTTTGAAGAATCGTAATGAGTATTGGTTATCACATACATGATCTCACTGATTCCTTAGAGCCCCATGAAGTGAGGAGAACAGGTGGCCCTCTGCATCCATTGGTCCCACATCACAGATACAACCAACTGTGGATTGAAAATATTCAGGAAAAAAAAAAAACAGATAATTTCATCTGTACTGAATATGTACAGGCTTTTTTACTGTCATTATTTCCTAAACAATGCAATGTAAGTATTTACATAGCACTTGTATTAGGTATTATAAGTAATCTAGAGATGATTTAAAGTATACGAGAGAATGTGTGTAAGTTATATGCAAACATGGCATCATTTTATATAAGGGACTTGAGCATCTACAGATTTTGGTATCTGCATGGGATCCTGAAATCAATCTCCCATGGTTACTGAGGGAAGCCTGTATTATCCCTATTTCACGCATGAGAAAACTGAGGCCAAGATGGATGAGGTAACTTGCCTAGGGTCACAAAACTAGCAAGTGTTGAGAGCAGATTCACATTCAGGTTACCCTGACTCTAAATATTCTGATGTTAATCCCACGAGGAAAGCTACCCGCCATGGGTGTTAGAGTCATTTTTAAGGTCTGTGACCTAACTTGGAAAGCCAGTTGTAAAGGGTGAGATGGGTGTTTAGGTCCAGGGTGGCAAGTCTGAGCCTGGTACAGGCTGCTGGGCTACATATCCAAGCTGCGCTTATCTTCTCCTGTCAAACCATCTCCCTCCACCTCCCCTTATCTCACTCTAGATAAGGGCTGGTTCCTGGAGCTCCCACGCCTATCCAGCCCTCAGCACCACCTTTAGCTCTTTTTCCACTGGAGCCCGAAGACGAAGTTGTTCATTCTTCTTCTAGGGGAGGAGGGGTGGCCATTGATTGGGGTGCGGAGGAGACAGCTTCTTCCAGTTTGTAAATTATTGTCTGGCTTGATGCCTCTAAACTGTTCATAATTTTAGACAAGGAGGAGCTGGCAACTTGGAGAACTGATTTACAAGACTATTTTCTAAACTGGTACATTTCCCCAGGTACAAATCTGCCTCCTGTGGTAGATGCAGTGTGCGTTACCACATCTACTGAGTGCCTGCCAGGACCTGGCTCTGCCGTCATCCACGTTTCTTGCCCTTCACAGCTACCCTGCAAGGATGAGATTATAATTTGTCTGTTACAGTAAGGGAACTGAGAATCAGAAGTGGCTTGTGTGAGGCAATAGCTCTGAAGCCTTACAGTTTTCTCTGTACTGCTTGCCTGTCCTCAGAAAAGACTGTAGTGTAGCAGGCAAGTTCAAATAGCCTTGTGTTTTTCGGCCAGCCACTGCAGCCTTTGTTCAATGCTGGGCACAGAAGTGGTTCCAAAGATAGATAAAGACTGAGAATGTTAATACGATCTGCAAAGCAAATGAGTCCTTCCTTCTGTTTATGCTCTCTGGGTGGCAACATTGCACATGGGGAAAGTGGAGACATAGTAGGAGGCAGTGTTTATGTGAGTCATGCCCAAGTAAGCACAGTGGACGCTCACAGAGCCCAGAGAGGATCTGTGAAGGAATCCACGCTTGTCGCACCAGGCAGGGCACAGAGCCCCCTTCCCCAGTCTACTGAAGTTGCTGAGTGTCATAGACCGGGGTCACTGGGTAAGGCCTCATGGAGGACCCAGCCTGGGTAGGGCAGGGAAGCTGGCCAGGCCTGAGCAGGGAATGAGTGCTAGTCTCCCTTCAAGCCAAGCATAGTGCCAGGCACCTCGGAAGCTCTCCGGGAAAGAGGGAAGGTCGGGTAGGGCCCTACAAAGTTGCAGGGATCCTGTCACCCCCAAGTCTGGGCATCCAGTGTCTGAGACCTCGCCAGCCCCAGCAGGCTCCTCCTGGCAGGTGGTGCCCAGTGGGCTCCTATGCTCCTTTGCATGTGCTGTTCTTCCCCCTTCTCTTCCGGCTCCTCTCATTGCTGCCTGGACAGCCCCTTAGCTGCCTCCTTGCCTCCAGCCTCCTCCTCCAGTCCACTGCTGCCCTATCATCTTCCCAAAGACTTGTCTCTTCCTGCTCCTCTGTCTTCTGCTCCTCACCACCCACTGGAGAGGCCAGTCCCCCTCCTTGGCCTGGAGGGGACACCTGCCACCACGTGCGCTGGACATCCCCACCGCACCTCCTCACGAATCCTGAACCTTGAACTTGCTGTCATTCCACCACTGTCCCGCTCTTTCCACACTCACATCCCTGTGTGGGTATTTCCATGGCCTGGAATGTCCACTGCCCAGTCTTCTAGTAAAATAAATCTCATTCCTAAAATTGAAGCTTTCTTGAGATTTCTCTCTTGTGGCCCCTCTGGACTCCTCGAGGCTCTGTTGGACACCGCCTGCTCTGGGCTTCCATGCCCTTGGTTCATATTCCACAAGCACTTGCCTGTGGTCTTGTAATCCATCTGCCCCTGTGGGCGGGGCCTGAGCCTACGTATTCCCGGCCCCTTGAGTGGTGCCCGACTCTTGCTAATGCACCAGTAATTGTTGCTGAGTGAATAAGTAAGAGATTAAGGAGGAAGATAAACACCATTCTCTGCTTTTAGTATTATAAAACCGTCCCACAATTCCAACTTGTCCACGATGAACACTGCCCCTCTGGGGAGCACAGAGCTGCCGTGAGGCCTGCGCTCTGTGTGCTGCTGACCTCCTCTTACCAGGCCTCATCGGTGGAGCTCGGTCTGCTGTGCCCTCTTGCTCAGAGACCCCTCCAGCCCTCCTGACAGCTGGGTCAGCCCCAGCTCCTCCACATTTGTTTTCTTGTGCCAGCTTTGGATTCTGGAAAAACAGCTAGTGCTTTGGAAAATCAGCTCTACTTTATTTTTGTTCCTTTGAAACTTAAATGACTTTCCTAAGAAATGTCTGAGGTTAGAATGGTGCAGAAAGGACCATGGCCAAAGCCCAGGCAAGCTATTTTTGGGATGTGAATGAGCACCCATCGCATTTTTCCCTTCCATGAGCCGGAGCACTTGTTCCAAATAGCTCACAGCCTGGAATTACAAAGCACAGGCCCCCTTTGCACAGGCGGAGGAGGTCCACGTGTCTCTGTCTGTCTGTCTGTGAGTCTGACTGAGGTAGATGGTGTGCTTCCAGCTGATACCAGGAGCAGAAGTTTTGAGAAGAGACTGTTTGTCATGTGGATAGTGGAAAGCCCTGCTCTCTGGTAACGAATGAAGAAAGGCTTTAAAGCTGGGTGTCTACGGAGAGGTGGGCAGTCATGAAATCTAGAGAGATGTTCTCTGGAGTTTTTTCTGTCTGTGCCTTAGTGTAATGTGGCTGGGTTATATTCACATCAGCCAACCAATTTGCAGCACCGAGAATGATAGACTTTCAATGGTGCTATATATAGTGTACTTTTCTGGGTTGTTTTCCCTTTTCCTAGTCACTATTTGCAGAACCACTTGGCTTAGAGCAAGATTGACTAGGTACTGTTGGCATTAGCCAGGGCATAGCCCTGTGCAATCTGTGGTACTTTTCAGCCAGCAAGAGGAGCAGAGCATAGGGGAAGAGATTACCTGCAATGCCACATCGACAGGCCAAAAGGCACAATTCTGTATCTGTTATAAATATTTATGTTTAGTATTGAACACTAAATAGTGTGGTTAATATTTGAATGTCTTAAAGAAATTGCATTTTTACTTCTCAGCACCCATCCCCCACCCTAACCTCATCGTCCAAAGCTGACCTCTGCCTCCCCCTACTTTCACAGGTGTGACGTTTCTCCAGATACTTCATGCTGTTCACCTGTGTCCTCGCCGCACCACTGCCGCACACGACTCCTGAACCATGGGGGAAAACGAGGATGAGAAGCAGGCCCAGGCGGGGCAGGTTTTTGAGAACTTTGTCCAGGCATCCACGTGCAAAGGTACCCTCCAGGCCTTCAACATTCTCACACGACACCTGGACCTAGACCCTCTGGACCACAGAAACTTTTATTCCAAGCTCAAGTCCAAGGTGACCACCTGGAAAGCCAAAGCCCTGTGGTACAAATTGGATAAGCGTGGTTCCCACAAAGAGTATAAGCGAGGGAAGTCGTGCACGAACACCAAGGTAAGGGGAAACCCTCCTAGTCTTACCTTTGCAGGGCGTGTGGGTTGACATTTGGGAGGTTAGGAAGCTGTTGCCATTTTGGCACTCTACGGTTCTTAGGTGTGGGTGTGAATGTTGCATTGTTTTCCTCCGGTAAAGGTTTCCTTTGTCTCTAAGCATCAGCTTTTCCTGGCTGGGAGGTTCCCTCCACTCGTGCCCTCTCCAAGGGAGGGAAGCCAGAGGCAAAGTTGAGGGAGAGAAGCCCATGCTTGATATTACCCCCACTTCTATTATCCCTGCTGCCACTACTACTACTTCTAGTAGCTGCTATTTGTTGAGCAGCTTCTAGGTACAAGGTACTTTATGTCCATGATTTCAATGAACAGCTACAGCAGTCCTTCAGGCCATTTTAGAGATGGGGAAATTGAGAAGTCAGTTGTGCCCAAGGTCACACAACTAGAGGGCAACCTTAGTCCATCTGATTCTAGGGCCTAAGACCTAAATCTCAGGGAGAGGCATAGTTACAGAGTTGTGTTCGCCTGGGTGTGGACATTTTAGAAAGATCCCCTGGTTTTGGATTAATTGGCTAAGAAATAGGTCTAGGTCCTTACTGCCTCTTCCTCCCTGTCTCTTTCTCTTCCTCCTGATACCCCTGCATTCTCCACCTGCCCACTCCCTTCCTCAGGATGCATTTCTCTACCTAGGACCACACTCATAGTTAAGCCTACACGAACTGGTTGCATCCCCCATCATTTGGCCATAGACAGCATCGGCGAACATAGGCTCACTATCGCAACCTTTCTCTGACATTTCTGAAATGCCCAGCACCAGATGGGCAGGTGGGAGTCCAGGCGTCTCAGCTGACTTCCCTGGTGGCCGTTGGGGACTACCAGCCCTGAGCACTGGTGCAGGCTGTGTGTTTAGGTTAAAATCGAATGTGCTGTATTTAGACCTCACAGGAGGTAGCTCAGCTAGAACCCTAGGAATTCCAGCCGGTGCCAATCCCGGGACAAGAGGATTGAACTCTCCATGGCAGTCGGGACTGTTGTGTTTTTGTTTTGGTGGTGAGAAGCTGTCGAGTCCACCATGGGATATGCTGCTTTCCACTGCCCCTGGGGAGACAGCTGCCAAGCTCCTGTGAGCCTGGGGCACACTGACACTGCGGGACGTAGGAAAAGCATTCCATCAGGTTGAAACAGACCAGTCGCCTCAGCCCAGAGCAGACTAGCTATCCAGGCAGTGCCTGTTTATAACCTACCATGCTCCAGCTAGGCAGAGGAGATGGGGGAGGTAGGGAAAAGGAAGGGGGAGGAGAAGGTGAGACCAATGTCCTGGGTGCCACTCCTGCCCAGTGCCTCCCTTCCTCGTTGTTGTGACTTCATGGTTCAGAGTTCACGGGGTGGCTCTTCAGAGTTAAAGGAGGGGAAGCTTTTAGCTTCCAAAGTGTCATCCCTCTTAGTAATTGTATATGGTGGCTTCTTTTTTTTAAAGGTCCCATAAAAGTCAGGTGGCCCAGTTGCACTGTGTTCTCTCACAGAGGGTTTTCAGAGCTCTGGTTTTTATTAGGGAATGCTATTGCCCCATACACCCAACATGTTGTGGCTGCTGAGGGACCCTCTTGGTGATCTGAAGACAGATTGTCACAGGGAGTCAGCCAGCAGAGGGATGGAACGGAGGGCTGACCACCAAGAAGAGACCCTTCTTCCAAAACATACTAGCCAGTTGCCTAGCTGGTGTGGCCAGCCTCTATTTTACAAGCTTTGGTAGCTTGAAATAGAACAGTCATCACATCTTGTGGTTGGCAGGTCACCACTGGCTTCTGTGATGCAAAGGGAAAGAAAGCTCCTTTTGTTAGGGATGCTGGGTAAGGTGCCTCTTGCCCAGGAATTTTTATGCCTGTCTTGTGAGGAAGAACAAAGACATTTCACATGTGAGATAACCCATCTCGTAAAAACCGCCTGAATGCTGAGGACTGGAAGATACATTTGAGAATGCATTGTAAGTATGAACTGTGACTGTGTTAGGCTACTTGAGCTGTGCTTTTCAGAAACCCAGCTCAAAATAACCACAAAGAACAGGAAAATCATTGACTCATATTAACAGGAAGGTCCAGACACTTTAAGTCCTGACCTTAACTTGGGTGCTTTGATGCTTTGCTCTCTATTGGCTCCATGCTTCCCTCCTGCAAACACATTTTTCTCCATGTTCGAAGCCTCTCATTCACATCTTTATAGCTCCATTCCAAAAGGCTGGAATCTGTCTCTTCCAGGTCAATATTGAAAAAAACCTCAGAGAAGGATTCTAATTGGCCCACTTCTGGATTTATTATGGCCAAAGCCAGAGGAACTGGCTACTGTGATTGGCAGCCCTTTCAAGCATCACATGATTGATGTGAGGGAGGAGCAAATCCCCAAGGATGTGGGAGTGTGAGACAGATAATCAACAGGTGTCCTTGGCTGGGCGTCGCGGCTCACGCCTGTAATCCCAGCACTTTGGGAAGCCAAGGCAGGTGGATCACTTGAGGTCAGGAGTTCGAGATCAGCCTGGCCAACATGGTGAAACCCCATCTCTACTAAAAAATACAAAAAAAATTAGCCAGGTGTGGTGGCAAGTGCCTGTAGTCCCAGCTACTCAGGAGGCTGAGGCAGGAGAATCACTTGAACCCAGGAGGCATAGGTTGCAGTGAGCTGAGATCACACCGCTGCACTCCAGCCTGGGTGACAGAGCGAGACTCCATCTCAAAAAAAAAAAAAAAAAGAAAAGAAAGAAAGAAAGAAATAAAAAAATCACACAAAAAATGGGTGTCATCTACAGTGAGTGTTGATTTGTATTCTGGCCATGATACAGGCCCCTGGCATATCACATTCATGTGTGGGTGGTTAATGGCCAGCTCCATGAGGCCGGTGCTTGTACTCCTTGTTGTGAGTCAAAACACAGAACAGGGGTCCTCACCTCTTCCAACATGAACAGACACTGTCTTGCTCACATACCATGTTCAGGCATCCTTTGGTGTCATGGTTTATGCTGAGCATTAGTCAAGGAAGAAATGCTGGGCATTTGCATACATGTGGCTGATCATTAATGCTAAGCCAGATGACACAGGTTTGTCAGGTACCAGGCATAAAGCCAAGCTCCTGGTTAGCCATAGGCAGAGCAAGAATAAATGTAATTCAGCCAGAACCCCGACCTTTGTGCTAAAGTGGATGCATCTCAGCACCACCTGGAGTGGGTCTGGGCTTTAGCATTTCACAAGCATTTATCAGCCGCTGCCATATGCTGAGCACCATGCTCCTGCCTCCGTGCCACCATATGTGCGTGTATACACACGTGCGTGTGACAGTGGTGAGAGATTGGGGACCAGGATCTATTTGGAGAAGAAGGACGGGCTCTAATGGAGGTGTCAGGGGACAAGCAGAGTGGCCTGAGAGCTCTCTAGAGCAGTGGCTCAGGTGCCAGTTCCAAAATCTCACTTGGGATTATTGTTTATTATTGATGATTATTTATGAGGGTATTATTGGCACTGAATATTAATAATTCTTTCCCTGGGCGTGACTGTGTTTGGATAAGAATGAGGGTGAACTGAGGATCATGCCAAATGAACTCTTTCAGGATTGATAACTGGCTCTGTATTAGGGTAACACCTGACTCGAATGTTACACCCGACTGAGTAGTGTTACGGAGGAAAACGACCCAGAAGAACCTGCAATATGTAATTTGGTGTGGGAAATGCTATAATCACAAAATTTTGGACTCTGGTTATCTTTATATATAAATCTTTAATGCTAGAAGGAACTTAAGCAGATGTTATGTGCAATCTCTGCATTTAACAGGCCACAAACTGAGGTCCAGAAAGCTGAAGAGAGTGGCATTACTGGGATTTGGACTCTATTTACTGGTTTGCTCTTATATTCTTTTGTTTATTTGCTCATTAGCAGGTGTTTCCAGTGCCCTACACCTTACCAGGCATTTGACAGAGAGGATAGTTTGGAAGATGAATAAGATGTGGTTCTTACTTGAGCTTTATGTGAAGACAGATATGTAATTATTTCTGTATTCACTTTAATTAATCATTCATCAGGTGAATAGTTATTGAGCAGCTACTATGTGTCAGGCATTTGTCTAGCTATGTAATAGCTCTGTAGCCTTGGGCAAGTTACTTAATATCTCTGGTCCTCAGTAGCATTCTCTGTAAAATGAGGATAATAAGAGTAGCTACTTCATGGAGTTACCATGAGAGTTAAATAAGGTAACCTTTGTAAAGTGTAGAAGGCTGTCTAGCATTCTGATAAGTGATCAGTAAACATTTAGCCCTTATTATCATTAATATCTTAAGAGCTATGAGAGAGGTATGTACACTGGTCTGCAGGAGGATAGAAAAGCAAATGACTGACTGTGACAGGGGTAGTCTGGGAACGCTTCCTGGAAGAGGAGGTTTAATGTGGGGCTTGGCAGATGAGTAGGAGTTTGCCATGTAGAGCTGAGAAAACAGCTAAAGGGAGTGCATATATTCTAGGGAGAGTGTGTTGCTCTGTAATGGGAAAGGAGGAGTGTGTGGGGTGCGGGGAAAGGGTGAAAGCCGGAGAGAACAGAGTGGATGGATGGTAGGAAAGGCTGGAGGAAAACGCCTCCTGGTCCAGGCTGTGAACAGAGGGTCTCGTACTCAAACAGAGGACCTGGGAAACCATTAACAATGAGCCCCTGATTCCCAATCCTGTCCAGGGTTCTTTCCACCACTCCCCACAGGATTGCTCAGTAATCACAGGTACCATTACAGACCAGGGGGTATTTGTACATTGTTGCCATAAAAACTCGCAGGAAATGACTCATGGACTCTTGTCACCAGCAGGAATCAGGCCAGCGTATGTAATGAAAACTCTTGCGTTATCTTTTTAGAAGGATGTGACTGTATTTTATGAGTATGCAGCAGGGTCACCACACACCTTTTGCTCCTGGGCCCCTCCCCTGTGTGTAGCCCAGGCCCCGGTTTGTGCTCGAGGGCCAGACGGCCCTATGGTCCCCAGTTTCCTCCGTAGATCACACAGGGAGGCAGCGAGGCAGGGTGCAAGGATGTTAGGGGTGGAAGGGGTGACACCGGGAGCAAAGACTGCTACCCCTTGGCCTGGATAAACCTGTCTGACATTCCCGACCTCTGAAGTCATCCATCATGGCTGCGCTGGCTCAGACACTTCAAGGGCCACTTTGCCTGATACGGGCAGTTCCAGTCATAACCGATAAAGCAGAAGATGGTCCCTGGGGTGTGAAACTCTGTGCGAGTTGAAGAAAAAGCTTAAAAGAACTCTGGATTTGTCTGCTTACCTGACAATAGACTGCCGGCCCTGCAACATTGAACATGTTTCTGAGCCTGGATTGCCAGTCGGGTTGTACCAATGGTTGCATTTGTTACCACAGCTGCACATGGAATGTGTGGGGTTTGCATGAGTGTGTGTGTTGGGCATTATATGTGAGCTTGAGTAAATCCAATTCACAGCAATGTCATATGGAGAAGAAAAAACTTTCCTTTTTAGCTGTCCTCATAGGAAGTTGTTAATCCAGGTTTACTGAGTTCACTTTATAAATATATTTCTAAATAAAGACTTTTTTGTCTTTTTATGAAAAAACTAGGCCAGGTGGGATGGTTCACGCCTGTAACCCCAGCACTTTGGGAGGCTAAGCTGGGAGGAATGCTCAGGGCCAGGAGTTCGAAACCAAATTGGGCGACATAGTGAGACCTGGTCTCTACAGCAAATACACACACACACACACACACACACTTATGCACACATACACCATACATACACATACAGTTAGTCACACATATACACACATACACACACCACACACACATACACACATAGATACACAAATACATATACACCACACACATACACACACGCCACACACCATACACACATACATACACACATCACACATACATATATACAAATACATATATACACAAATACACACATACACACACATACTACACACACCACAAACCATACACACATTCATACATACCCCCCACACACCATATACACACATACACACACCACACACACGTACATACACATGCACTTATACACACATATACATGCATACATACCACACACATACATAACACCACACACACACTACACACATATCTATTTCTTTACATAGACACATATATATTTCTTTAAATATGTATATATAAATATATATTTCTGCCCCCATACTTATCTATATATTTCCATATATATTTCTTTATATATATACTTTTTCTTTATAAGGAAAAGAAAAGGTTTCTTTGAAAAAAATGCCTGCTCATGATAAAAAATAACTCAAGTAGGGTAAGAAAATATAGGGTGAGACCGGGCAAGTGGGACCAACACAGTGAGAAAACAATGTGTTTTCACTAGCTGAGGGTGGTGCACCCCACCGTGCCTGTGGTCCCAGCTACGTGGGAGGCTGAGGTGGGAGGATCGCTTGAGCCCAGGAGGTCAAGGCGGCAGTGAGCTATGATTGCACCAGAGTACTCTAGCCTGGGCAACAGAGCAAGATCCTGTCTCAAAAAAAAAAAAAAAAAGAAAAGAAAAGAAAAGAGAGAGAAAAAAAAAGACAAGACAAGACAGTGTGGATTTGAGCCTAAGCCAAGCTAATTTAAAAAAAAAGGAAAGAAAATTTAGTGTGGAAGAAGTTTCTTTTCTCCACTCCCCCAGTTTTCCTTCCTAGAGGCAAGTACTCTCCCATTTCTTTTGTGACCTTCCTGAAAATCTCTGCATGTTTGTGGATGTGTGTTATGGATGCATGCACTGCCCCCTTTATTTTCTTAATGGGAAAAAAAAATCTACACACATTTTTTTCTACACTGGTTCTGAACTTTTTTCACTGAAAAATATATCTTTGAGATTGCTTTATCTCAGTAGGTGTGGATCTAACTCTTTTATTCATGTCTTTTATGGTTTCTCATTTTATGGCTATAGCACAATAGCACCATCTCTTTTATTTATTTATTTATTTATTTTTGAGATGGAATCTTGCTCTGTCACCCAGGCTGGAGTGCAGTGGCATGATCTCAGCTCACTGCAACCTCCGCCTCTCAGGTTCAAGTGATTCTCTTGCCTCAGCCTCCCAAGTAGCTGGGACTACAGGCGTGAGCAACCATGCCCGGCTAACTTTGGTATTTTTAGTAGAAATGGAGTTTCACCATGTTGGCCAGGCTGGTCTCAAACTCCTGCCCTTGTGATCTGCCTGCCTCGGCCTCCCAAAGTGCTGGAATTACAGGCATGAGCCACCACACCGTCTATAGCACAATTTCTTTAGCTTAGCTTATTTCCAGTCTATTGCCATTTTAAACAGTGCTGCAGTGCATTTCCTTAACCACACTTGTTTGTATACGTGTGAAATTGTGAGACAAAGGGTATGTGTGCTACATTTAAAAATTATAGGCATTGTCAGATTCTCCTCCCTGGAGTGGATACTCCCACCAATAGTGCAAGGGAGTACCAAGAAGAGCCCTTCTTTAAAAAGAGAGTGCAGTAAGATGTTGCCTACTTAGATTTCCCGGGCTTTGCTGAGTGGGCATTGATAGACACCCTCTGAGTCCTGCAGCCTGGACTAGGTGACCTTGAATGGGGCCACTGGGTGAAGAGCAGTGCAGCAGTGAAGTGGCAGGGATTACTGCCATCCTTGTAACAACAACAGTTTTATTACCACCACCAAACATTTGCGTGGTGCTTTACAGCTCACAACACAGTTCCATATACATCGTTTCATTAAGAGGTTTACTTTGTCAGTCCCCATTTCTCACTCCTATAACCCCAGCACTTTGGGAGGCCTAGGTGGGTGGGTCCCTTGAGCCCAGGAATTCGAGACCAGCCCGGGCAATATGGCAATACCCCGTCTATACAAAAAATAGAAAAATTAGCCGGGTGTGATGGTGCATGCCTGTAGTCTCAACTACTGGGGAGTCTGAGTGGGGAGGCTGACTTGAGCCTGGGAGGTCAAGGCAGCAATAAGCCGTGATTGTGCCACAGCACTCCAGCCTGGGTGAAGAGCAAGACCCCATCTCAAAAAAATAAAAATAAAAAAGTTTGCTGTATCAGTAAAAGTGAATGTTCTTTAAGAGAAGAACACCTATAAGTGTATCAAATCAAATGCACTTATATTTCTCTTGAAAATTTCATCAAATAATGGGAGACTTTAGGGCCCTGGCCCATGGAGGATCTGTCCTATTAGTGCTGAACAGGGACCTGGCCTGGCTAACTTGTTCTCTTTATGATTCAGTTCAAGCAGACACCACCTCCTCCTGGGAGCCTTCCCTGACCATCTCCTCCCCATTGCCTCCTCTTATTCCATCCCCAATCTGGGTTTGGTGCCCCAGTGGGCTCCTAGATTCTCTGGTCCTATTGCTATCTTGCTGATCAGTGCCCCACATTGATGGCTTTGTCTCTTTTGACGGTGAGCTCCCTAAGGACAGGGAGCATGCCTGGTTCATCCCCGCGTCTCAAGTCCCCAGCACAGGGCTTGGCACAGGGAAGATGCACAGGGATAGAGGAGCGAACTCTGTGGCTCAAAGGGCTTCTTTCTGGAGCTTTACTATGTGAGCCCCGGTGTTTCCAAGCTTTGATGGTGGGTTTGAGGAAGACAAAACCAGACAATCCTTTCATTTCCTTATTTAAGCATCTGTCCAAGTTTGCATCCGAGCATTCCTTCCCTGCAGGGTGGGGATGGTGGCCACAGCCCTGTCTGGCCCTTGACTAGCATCTGGCTGCCCGTGGAGCTTTCAAAAGAGACGGGAAGTTAGCCAATAGGCTTGTGAAGCTGGAAGACTGAGCCTCCCTTTTCTTGGAGAAAAAAAGAAAACCCTCTTGCAGCTCCTGGCCCACCCAGGGTTGTACAAGGCCCTAGGGAGTCTCTGGCCAGGATTATCCAAATAAATGTGTATCTCTGGGCAGGGAGAAAGGAAACCATGAAGCAGTTTAACGCTCTCCTTCCCAGACTAAAAGGTAAACCCTGGCTTCCCTCTTCCTTGCTCACTGGAGACTCTTGTTCTGCTTTGTTTTTTTCCCACAATTAAAAATATCTTGGCAATCAGTGTATTCCTTGACCAGATAATTGTCCCACTTGATGTGAATGTATCTGTCTATCTCCTACTCAACAGGGTGGAGTACCAGGTTCAGTTCAGCCTCCTGCCACAGGGAAGGTCCTGGGCAGTTCACTGAGCCTGATTCTCAGGTTGTTCTCCTGCGCTGAATTTGTAAGAGTGCATTCAGCTGCAGGTAATTGAGATGCTGACCAGAGGCGAAAACAAATAGGGGCTTATGTTTTTAAGGAGAAGTGAGGAGAGAGGCAGTGGCTGGAGGTTCAGTAGCTATATTCTCTGATTCTCTAGGCCAGTGCCGCCCAAAAGAAATATAATGTAAGCCCATATATAATGTTAAACTTTCTATTAGCCACATTTTAGAAATATAAAGACGTGTTGAAATTGTAATAATATATTTTATTTAACCTAATATATCCACACTATTTCAACATGTAGTAAATATAAAAAATGATTACTGAGATATTTTGCTTTTTGTATATTACATTTTTGAAATACTGTGTATTTTACAGCTCATCTCAGTTAAGTCTAGCCACACATCAAGTGCTTACTAGCCACATGTGGCTAGCGGCTGTCAAATTGGACTGTGCAGTTTTCCTCATGCTTGTCACCTTGTAGTCACAAGGTGGCTGCTGCAGCTCCAGCCATCACATTTGCTTTCAAAGCAGGAAGAAGGTAGATGGGGTTGCTCTAGCTACATACATCTCTTTATCACGCAGGCAAAAGTGTTCCCAGAAACTCTGCTAAAATGTAAGCTCCATGGGCACAGGAATTTTTGCCTATATGTTCTCGGCTGATTCCCCAGCACCTAGGAAAATGCCTGACACATAACATGTATTTGTCTCAGGTTGAGTTCTTCAAATGCAGATGCTTAGTAGGTGTTTGGAGTGCAGGGTGTTCATCAGCAGTCAACACCTGTGAAAGGAATGGGGAAGACGATGATTGAGCTGAGGAAGAAGTCAAATTGTGTACAAGAGAATCAAATGTCTGCAGGTTCAAGCAATTAGGTCTCTTCCTACTTGGCCTTTCAGTAAATGAGTTTTGCAAGAAACAAGGTGGGAGACATCATGGTTCTCAGTTGATATTAGTGTTGTAGGACTTTCTCCTCAGTTCAGGTAAAAGCAGGGTTCTTGTCACATGGCCATGAAAGATTAGGCTCAAAGACACTTTGAAGGGTGAGAAAAATGGAATGTATTGGGTGAAAAGGAAGAAAAAAAAACTCAGCAAACTGAGAGAGGCTCCTATTAACAGGCCCCCATCTCACACATTGAATCCCAGGTACCACCCAGAACAGGAGAGGTCAGTCTCCTCCCCCTGCTAATGGTGCAAACTTCCCGAGGCCCCGCCCCATCCTCCCAGTGCACAGGCAGGTCAGAGGTTCTCTGGAGATCTCTTTATACTTGGCTGTCTCCTTAGGATGGTCAGCCATAAGCTACCAGCTCTCCATGTAACATGTACTAACATATATCCCGATACAAATATTGAAATATATAACATACATAGTTATAGAAATATATACTTAAGAGAAGTTGTAAATATAGTATATACATATATTTTTATGTATTATAATTATATTACATTAAAAAGTTACTCATTTCAAACTTCTATGCAGCTTCTTAGAAAGATAAACCGAGTCTATTATAATTTCAGAGGCTGCTCAGAGCCTTTGGCTCTATGTGACAGATTTCACTGCAACCTGGCGTATTCTACACCTCCTGCTATCGGTCTTACAGTCTTAAGAGATGTAAATACAGGGTAGCGAGCTATACCAAAGGGTGGTCTATGGGAAATCTGCAGTGGAAAGATTTTATTCTCAGGACCCTTTCTGCAGGGGACAGCTGTCAAAATCTGAGGAATATATAGGGGGAGATGTTTTTTAAGTTCAAATCTACAAGACTTAAGTCCAGGGGAAGTTTCATGTCCCCTTCCAGCCAAGGAGAACATGCTCATGTTTACTTGCAGCTGCCTGTTGCTCCTCTCTAGCTTTAAGAGAATGAGCTCTTGCATTTACTCTTTGCCCCTGGCATTCCCAATGTGTCTTTTTAAATTGTGGTAAAATATGTTTAACAAATTTGTCATCTCAACCATTTCTAGGTGTACAATTAATTCAGCGGCATTAATTACATTCTGGATGACGTACAACCATCACCGCTTCCTGTTTCCAAGATTTTTCCTCACTCCAAATAGAAACTTTGTGACCATTATGCAAAAACTCCCTGTTCCCTTCTTCCCTCAGCCCCTGCTACCCTCTCATCTTTTTGTTTGTGTAAATTTGTTTGTAATATTTCATGTAAGTGGAATCATATTGTCTTTGTCTTTTTGTGTTTGGTTTATTTCACTTAGCATAATATTTTTGAGGTTTGTCCACATGGTAGCATGTGTTGGAATTTCATTCTTTTCTTTTTCAATCTTAAAAATATATTTAACCAAATATATCCAAATTATTATTATTTCAGCATGTAATCACTGTGAAATTATTTAAAGCTATTTTACATTTTTTCGTACTGAGTTTTTGAAATCTGGTGTGTGTTTTATAGAGCATCTCAATTCAGATGCTAAATTTTAGTCAGAAATACTTAATCTGTATTTAAATTTTATAAAACTTACAGTTGAAAAAAGTAGATTTACATATCCAAGTTATTCCAGTCATAATTAAAACTTTTCCAGTAACTGAATTGAGTTTGAGGTTTTTTTCAAGCAAAATGTGGTAAAATATACATAACATAAAATTTTAACCATTTTAAAATGTATAATTTGGTATCATGAAGTACATTTACATTGTGGTACACCCATTACTATCATTCATCTCCAGAAGGTTTTCCATCTTGCAAAAATGAAACTCTGTACCCATAATCAGTCACTCCCCTCTCCTCCCCACCCCCACCCCCAGCCCCTGCCTACCACCATTCTACTTTCTGTCTCTAGAGTTTAACTATTAGGTACCTCGTTTAAGTGGAATTATACAGTATTTGTGGCTGGCTTATTCACTTGGCCTGATGTCCTCAAGGTTCATCTGTGACATATGCCAGAATTTCCTTCTTTTTAGGACTGAATAATATTCTATCCTATGTATGTACTGCATATGTTTATCCATTCATCCAGTGAGGAACCCTTGTTTTTTTTTTTCTGCTTTTTGGCTAAGATGAATAATGTGGTGATGAACACTGACGTGCAAGTATCAGTTTGAGTCTTTGTTTTCAGTTATTTTAGGTATATACCAGGAGTGGAATTGCTGAGTCATATGCTAATTCAACTTTTTGAGGAACCACCAAACTGTTTCCATTTACCCTTATATTTTAAATTGCCATCCCTGAGTTAAACTTTTCGCAATTATTAATTCATTCAAAAAATCATTTTCAGCCAGGCATGGTGGCTCACTCCTGTACTCCCAGTGCTTTGGGAGGCCAAGGTGAGTAGATTGCTTTAGCTCAGGAGATTGAGACCAGCCTGGACAACATGGCAAAATGCCATTTCTACAAAAAAATACAAAAAAGTAGTCTGGTGTGGTGGAATGCACCTGTAGTCCCAGCTACTTGGGAGGCTGAGATGGGAGGATCGCTTGAGCCTGGGAGATCAAGGCTGTAGCAAGATGAGATGACACATCTGCATTCCAGCCTGGGCAACAGAGTAAGACTCTGCTTAAAAAAAAAAAATCATTTTAAGTGCCTGCTACATGCCAGGTGCTAGGGACATAGCAGTAAAGAAAACAGACAAACCGAGCACGATGGCTCACGTCTGTAATCCCAGCACTTTGGGAAGCTGAGGCATGCAAATCACCTGAGGTCAGAAGTTCGAGACCAGCCTGGCCAACATGGTGAAACCCTGTCTCTACTAAAAATACAAAAATTAGCCAGGCGTGGTGGTGGGTGCCTGTAATCCCAGCTACTCAGGAGGCTAAGGCAGGAAAACTGCTTGAACCCAGGAGGTGGAGGTTGCAGTGAGCCGAGATTGCGCCACTCCACTCCAGCCCGGGCAACAGAGCAAGACTCTGGGTCGAAAACAAAAAAAAGAAAACAGACAAAATCCTTGTCCTCTTGGAGTTTATGTTCTTATCAGTGAGAGAGAGAGAGAAAGAGAGAGACAATAAACAAATGTGTGGGGAGTCTGTGTGTGTGTGTGTGTGTATGTCAGGTGTGTGTATATCCTAGGTAGAAGATACAGCAGGGCAGGGAGAGGAGAGTAGGTTGCTGTTTGATATAGGATGTCCTGGGAAGGCTTCTAGAAGATGGTGACATTTGAGCAGAGACCTAAAGGAGCAAGGTGATGAGTGTGCAGTTCTTAGAGGGGAGTGAATGCTAGGCAAAGGAGCAGCAGGTACAGAGGTGCTGACGCAAGTGTGCTCAGGATGTTGTGGAAACAGCAAGGAGACCTATGTAGCTGGAAGGAGGCAGGCTGGGGGTGGTAAGAGATGGGCCAGAGAGAGAGTGGGGTTGGGCCTTGGAACCCTTGAAAGGACTTGGGCTTTTACTCTGCATGAGATGCAAAGCCACAGGAGGCTTTGAGTGGAAAGTGACATGACTTCCTCAGGTAAGGAACTGTGAAATCTTGGGGATGAAAAACGTAAAGGAAGACTAGGGTCTCTCCTATCTGTGAGTCACGACCATCTCAGGCCTAAGGAATGTATTACATCCTGTGCTCATCATGTCTTAGAGGAGCTGCTCACTCTCTCACCACAAACCAGCAGATCAGGGACAGGCTGAAACCAGCCTCACTGCGAAGGTTAGGGCAGACTTGGCCATTCTGATTTAAAGTCTTTTTGGAAGAAAAAACCTTCCTGAATACCCATGACACTTAACACTACCCATGACTTATTGTGTGATCTTGTATCTTGGAGCCTCTGATTCTTCACCTATGAAATGAGAGTAATAATAATGATAGTTGTTATCTCATAGGGCTGGGGTAAAGGCTATGTGAGAAAACACATGTAAAACATATTAAGTGCCCAGCAACCGTTAATCGCCTCCTTCTACTTCTTGAACTATCCCCTTGCCTTTTGTGACACAACTTTTTTTAACATAAAATTGACCATTTTAACCATCTTTAAGTGCACAGTTCAGTGGCAATACATTTTTGTGCAGCCATCACCAACATTCATCCCCAGAACTTTTTTCATCTTGTAAAACTGAAACTCTACCCATTCAACAATAGCTGACAATTCTCCCCTCCCCTCAGCCTTTGGCAACCACCATTCTTTCTGTCTCTATGAATTTGATTACCGAAGTATCTCATATGAGTGGAATAATATAGTATTTGTCCTTTTGTGACTGTCTTATTTCCCTTAGCATAATGTCTTCAAGGTTCATCCATGTCGTAATGTATGTCTGAATTTCCTTCTTTTTTATGGCTGAATAATATTCCATTGTATATATAGACCACATTTTTGTATCTGTTCACTCATCAATGGACACAGGTTACTACTAACTTTCGGCTATTGTGAATAATGCCACTATGGATATACGTATCTATTTCTTCATGATCTATGGATATACGTATCTATTTCTTCATGATCATGCTTTAATTCTTTTGGGTATGTGGTATACCCAGAAGTGAAATTACTGGGTCAAATGGTAATTCTATTTTTACTTTTTTGAGGAACTGTCCTATTGTTTTCAAGTAGTTGTACCATTTTATATTCCTACTAGCAATGTCCAAGGGTTGAATTTTCTCCACATCCTCATCATACTTATTTTTTGTTTTTTATAGTAGGCATCCTAATGGGTGTGAGGTGGCATCTCATGATTTTGATTGGGATTTCCCTAATGATTAGTGATGTTGAGCATCTTTTCCTGTGCTTATTGTCCACTCATAAGTCTTCTTTAGAGAAATGTTTATTCCAGTCCTTTGCCCATTTTCGAATCAGGTTTTTTGTTTTGTTTTTATTGACTTTTAAGAGTTCTCTGTATATTCTGGATACTAACTCTTTGCCAGATATGGGATTTGGAAATATTTTCTCTCATTCTGTGGGTTATCTTTCTATTGTGTTGATAGTGTTCTTTGTTGCACAAAAGTTTTAAATTTTGATGAAGTCAAATTTGTCTATTTTTCCATTTGTTTCCTGTGGCTTTGGTGTCATATCCAAGAAATCCTGACCAAATTACTGTCATGAAGCTTTTGCCCTACATTTTCTTCTAGGAGTTTTTAGTTTCAGCTCTTTCAATTAGGTCTTTCATCCATTTTGATTAATTTTTGTATATGGGGTGAGGTACAGGTATGGCACAACTTTTCTGATTAATTTTTAAGAGTCTTATGCTTTATTTTTCTTTTCTGTAGTACATATTTGGTGTCTGAGGTTTGTCTCCAACTCCTTTTGTTTCTGTGAGGCCTGCTTTCTCAGGAAATCTCAGTTATATTTGCCTGTCACCCTCATGAAGATGACTCTCCACATTTCTATTTCTGGCCTGTACCTCTCTCTTGAGCCCCATGACCCCGTTGAAGTAATCTGATATTGTGAAATATATATATTTGGTCTTCTCCCCTTGGAATCTCCAGGGTGATAAGAGTGTCTTTTGCATGCTGATAAGATGCTTGGTGGCTGGCAGCCCATAGGCAGCTTCAGGATGAAGGCTGCTGCCTGAAAGGCCAAGCCAGTTTCCAGGGAGGAGAGAAGGGCTGAAGGTTAATTCGCTCATCAATGGCCAATGATTTCATCAACTGTGCCTACATGATGAAGCTGCCATTAAGACCCAAAAGGACTGGGTTCAGGGATCTTCCACTAGCTGAACACGTGGCAGTGACTGAAGGGAGGTGTGCTCAGAGAAGACATGGAAGCTGCTGACAAAAAACAAAGAACAAAAAAACCCCAACTTTTGTAAAATGTTTGAAGAGGTTTATTCTGAGCTAAATAAGAGTAACCATGGCCCGTGACACAGCCTCAGGAGGTCCTGAGAACATGTGCCCAAAGTAATTGGGTTATAGCTTGGTTTTGTACATTTTGGAGAGACAGAAATTATAGGCAAAGACATGAATCAATACATGTAAGGTATGGGGGTGGGGGGCAGGCATGGGGGCTTCCAGGACATAGGTGGATTCAAAGATTTTCTGATTGGCAATTGGTTGAAAGAGTTAAGCTTTGCCTGAAGAGTTTAAGTTGGCATAAAGAAATGTTTGAGTTAAGAAAAAAGGGGTTGTGGAAGCTAAGATTCGTGTTACCTAAATGAAGCCTCCAAGTAACAGGAGACTAGATGGTCTCCTTAAGAGAAACTAGATGGTAAATGTCTCTCATCAGACGGTATTATTATTATTACTATTTTTTTTTTTTTGAGACAGTATCTCGCTCTGTTGCCCAGGCTGGAGTGCAGTGGCATGATCACAGCTCACTGCAACCTCTGCCTCCAGGGCTCAAGCAGTTCTACTGCCTCAGCCTCCCGAGTAGCTGGGACTCCAGGCCCATCTCCTTTCTTCCTCCCACATGCAATCACACCTTCCTTTGCAGTTCTCTTCATGCTTGTCCCCTGCTCTTCGCCCCCACTGTCCCACTTTGGTTCAGGGACTGGCTGATTTCTTACCCAAGTGATCACACCTGCCAGCCTCTGGGCTCTCTTGGCCTTTCCTCCCCTCCAGTCCAGTACTGGCCCCTGCAGACTCACTCTTCCCAAGCACGGCTCAGATTGTGACTGCCCAAATTCAAAACTCCCACTGCCTGTGGATTAAAGTTCCAGCTCCAGCCTGGCCCAGTGACCTGTCTGATCAGCCCAGCTCCTGCCTCACCAACCTGTTTCCCACAACTCCCTTCTCACAGGCCGCCTTCTTGGCAGGCTCCTCCCCTAGTTCTCAGCCTCTCCTCCACCTGCCTCTGCCCAGCACTGTAGGCACTTTCCGTGTTCAGTCTGCTGAAATCCTGTCCTTGGAGATCCTCCACCTTTGCAGCTCCAGCAGCCTCCACCTCCTCGTACCTCTCACCTTCTCCCCAGCAGCCCAGCCCAGAGCCGCACCTAGGAGTTTTCCACTGCCCAAAACTGTCCCACCTAAACTCCCACTGGAAATGCTCCTCTCTAACCATGACTTGGAGCTGCTGCTTCTCTTACCATGTCATTCTCATGAGACCTGCTGCAAATCCACCTTCCCATCCTTAGCCAATGCCTGCCTGTCCTCCCGATCCACCTGCCTCCCAAGGGCTTCCTTCTTTTGCCCATCTGGGAGCCCACATTGTGCCTTTGCAATCGTGTTCAGCAGCTGCTCAGTGCTCCTGACTTCAGGCTGGCCCCACCCAAAGAGACTCTAGTGTCTCTAATTCTGCGTCCTGCTCTCGAGGGCTGCCTGGCACTGTTAGAGAGAGCTGCAGAGCCCAGCTGGTTGGTGTTGTTACCAAGTTATGATAACTTAATGCTGAGCCTCTCAGTGCTGCTGGGACAGCCTTTTCAGAAAATCTAGCCAGTTTCCTGTCTGTATCAATTCCCACAGCAGCTGTTCCCATCCTTTACCTCCTTCTCTGTTTCTTCAGCCCCTTCCCTTTAAGCAGCCATCTGACTTCTCATGAAAATCAATATTATCAGCTCTGTTTCGTCTTCTGTTCTCCACCAAATTTCTGGGGAAAGTAACTCTGTACTCCTTGCTCCCATATCTTCACCTTCCCCTTATCCCCTAACACACTGAAATCAGGGTTCATTCCCCTGTGCTAGTAGAAATGCTTTTTTCAGGGCCACTAGAGGCCTTGGGGTTAGCAAAGACCGTGACTACCTTGTATTGTCTACTTGGCCTTTTTCAGACATCAGATGTGGTGGGTTGCCATCTCCTTGAAGTCTCTTCTCCTTGAAGAGACACCTTGAGGGAGGGGAGAATGAGGGTTATACGCCTTTGTGAGGAATTGTAAATCTGAGTTTTAAGAGGTCCAGACTCTTGCAGTGTTTATATACATGTATATATGTATATATTTTTTTTTTGGCAGGAAGGTTTCCCATGAAGGGCATACCACTGGCCTTTCTTCTGGTGCTGCTGCACACGGCCACAGGTGTGGGTGACACTGATTTATGATCTCTTGTGCTGAAGGAAACTTCTGTATTTTTTGCCTCCCACATTGATTCTGAAGCTCCTGTTCATACCGAATGACTTATCCCTTGTTAGGGTTTAATAACATCACAATAGTATAAAGCTTTTCTGTTTACAGAGGAATTTTGCATTGAGTATCTCATTTGATTTGCACAATAACTCTGTGGGGTAATAAGGGCTGGGATTATTATCCCCACTTTACAGATGAGGAAACTGAGGCTTCACTGGGTTAAGGGACTTGCCTAGAATTTCCTGGGGATAAACGGAAGAATGTGACAGTGTTCAAAACCAACAGTCCTAGACTTTAGTTGCTCAACCTTTGAGGACTTCAGTGGAGAAAATGGGAAAGATATGAGATATATTGTATTTTCAAGTACACTATTTCTTCAACAGTTGATCTTGGGTGATAAGGATACAGAGAGGGCTCAGAAATTATTCTTGCCTTTATTTTCCTTCTTTTTTTTTTTTTTTTTTTTTTTTGAGATGGAGTTTTGCTCTTTTGCTCAGGCTGGAGTGAAATGGCGTGATCTCAGCTCACTGGAATCTCCGCCCCGCCACACCCCACCCCTGGGGGTTCAAGCGATTCTCCTGCCTCAGCCTCCCAAATAGCTGGGATTATAGGCACCTGCCACCATGCCTGGATAATTTTTCTATTTTTAGTAGAGACAGGGTTTTGCTATGTTGGCCAGAATGGTCTCAAACTCCTGACCTCAGGTGGTCCACCCACCTTGGCCTCCCAAAGCGCTAGGATTACAGGCATGAGCCACCGTGCCCGGCCTATTCTTACATTTATTTTCAAAAGAAATTCTGTCAGAAATATTTAAGGAGGGCAACAGCATTATTTTATATTTATGAATGTCTGGTTTTAGAATTTCACCTTTGTTTATTAGAAATTCTCGATTAAAGTCCTGGTACTATGAATCTGATGGATTTAGTAGTTTTCAATTTGCGGTTAAGGATGGCATTTGTAGCCTTATATCAGCTTCAATGTCTAATTTATTTTGTTTTGTTTACGTGAACTCAAAATCCATCCAGCCAAGAAGAGAATTTCAAGTAAAATGGTTTTTTTAACAGCTTACTTTACAGTCTCTTCAATTACAATAATCTGTAAACTTGAACATGAAGTAGGTAGATGTGTTTAACTTGCTTTAAGATTCAACCTTGAAACCAAACTTTTCTGCTTTGTAAGATCAAGGCAGCATCACCCACTTTAAAGAAAAGCTGTCAGTAGGACATGAGTTAGCTTAACAGGGGCCTGCAACATTAAAACATTCAATAAATCGCAACTGCTATTATTTTGTCCTACAGGTTTAAGGAAAAGTTGACAACTGTCCCCCATGCTGGGGATTCATGGTAGTG
Organism: Homo sapiens; assembly: GCF_000001405.40. Classification (NCBI taxonomy): domain Eukaryota; kingdom Metazoa; phylum Chordata; class Mammalia; order Primates; family Hominidae; genus Homo; species Homo sapiens. Next base: position 12,181,825 of record NC_000011.10, read on the forward strand.
CTAGTCTGGTACACGGATTTTTAATTTCCTGGGGTCTGTGAACTTGAATGAAGAAAAAACCCTTTATTTTTACTAACCTCTAACTGAAACGTAATATATTCCCCAATTACAGGGACACTGTAGGCAACAAATCCATCTTAGGAGTGCCTGTGACTTCATCACTAATAGAAATCACAAATATTTTCATTCCTTCTTGCAGTGGTTGCAGATATCTCAAGCTAGGATTTACACTTACAACTAGAAATTATTATAAGTGAATAATTATTGAAATTATTGTAAGGTGTTAGACCTACAACTAGATCTTGTTACTTACTATTAGCTATGCTAGATCTGTTAATGTTTTGTTTTATGATTTAAAGAAAATATTCTGAGAAGGTGTCCATAGGTTTTATCAAGTTACTGAGATGGTTTGTGGCATAAAAATGGTTAAGGACCCCTGTTCTGATGCCATAGAGCTGGGAATAGAGGGGTCAGGAGCCATGTGGGGCCTGCCAGTGTAGTGGGTCAGGGGTGGGGGAGTTGCTGAAAAGAGCTTGGAAGGGATCCGGGTCAAATCTCTGCTCCTCTGCTTTTTAGTTTTGTGACTGGGGGCCAATTACTGGCTTGAGACCAAATTTCCACATCTGTAAAACAGCAATATTCTAACACACCGTAGCGGCTTTAGCACACACGACACGATTCCTAGCGATAGGAAATTGTCAGAAACGTAAATTCCTCTTTCCCTTCCTCCCAACTCTGTTCTGTTCCCTCTTGTGTGATATGAGAGATTTTAGTAGATGGCCTCTCTAAGGTCTTTTAAATGCACTGTGATTCTACGTTTTTCCTTTAATTAAGGTCACACCACACAGTCCATTGTTCGAGTCAGAGGTGGTGTCGTAATGCCTCAATGGATGGCTAGTCTTCCCTTCCTGGAGCAGCAGTGAGACGTTCAGACCCTTTCTGACCCTCCTCCCACTGTCCACCTTGGCTCTCCCTGGCTCACCTCCAGCCTGAGCTCATGGGTTGGGAATGTGTAGGCCGATCCTCTGCTCACTGGAGTGCTTGCAAGAGGGCCTTGGGGTAACATGTTCTGAGACCTATTCCTATACTGCCTGCCCCAGCTGATAGCAGGCCTGGGAAACCCATTAATCATTGTCCTCGGTGGCCCCGCAGACCTGCGTTTACTCTCACTGCTTCTCTATCTGCTGTTCCAAGCCAACTGTTCTTAGATGGAAAATGCAGCCTATTGTTGTCTTGGTGGAAAGGCGCTAAAATGATGGAATGCTTTCTTTGTTCAGGAAGTTAGGAGTATGTGGGGTGGGGGAGATGGCTTAATGCCTTCATGAAACCATATCCTGACTCCTTTTTTTTTTTCTTTTTTTTAAATCCTGAATCAGAAAAGTTTTGTGGTCACTGGGTTTGGATGTAATACATTGTTGTGGTTTTGTTGCTTTGTCATTTAACTGACCTGGGCCTTGGAATCATGCTCTATTTCAACTCAGTTTTCAGAGTGGGTGAACACGTTTGGCGTGCCCAGCTGACCGCTGCATTGCTCATTAAAATGATTGCCAGAGTCATGGCCTGGTGGACATCTGTCCACACTCAGCATGTCCTCCCCCTTGTCCTGGCCCAGACACAGAGCCTCTGCTCCAGCTCAGAGCCCAGAATCTAACCGCCTGTGCCCTTCTCAGGCACAGATGTTTCTGAGACTGAACTGAGCCAAGAGAGGTGGATGGTGCATTTGGGGTCTTAAATATCACTGGTAGGATGCTGGCTAGGGACTGTGGAGGTGAGAGGGACACTCTTGCTTCAGGACATAGGAGAAGTAGGTGTGCTGTGGACACTGTTGACATAGACTACCCTTGAAGCTCTTATTTCTTCAAGCCACAGAGTGAGACGGTGGTGTGGCACAGGGCCTGAGAGCATGGTCTTTGAGGTCAGACCAACCTGGGTTTGCATCCCACTTATGGCTGTGAGACTTTTTTTTATTTTTTTGAGACAGGGTCTCACTCTGTTGTCCAGGCTGTTGTGCAGTGGCACAAATCAGCTCACTGCAACCTCCATCTCCTGGGCTCAAGTGATCCTTCCACCTCAGCCTCCCGAGTAGCTGGGACCACCGGTGTGCACTACTATGTTTGCCTAATTTTTGTGTGCTTTTGCAGAGATGGGTTTTGCCATGTTGCCCAGGCTGGTCTTGAACTCCTGAGCTCAAGTGATCCACTCGCCTTGGTTTCCCAAAGTGCTGGGATTACAGGTGTGAGCCACCACGTCGGATCTTGGCTGTGTGACCTTAAGCATGTTACTTCACCTCTCTGTGCCTCAGTTTCCTTAATTGAAAAATGATAATAGTCTCCAACTTTGAGGGTGATTGTGAGGCCTGGATAAAATAATATGTGTAAAGCACTTAGAACAGTGGCCGGCATAGAGGAAGATGATTACCTTTGTCATGATTACTGTTTGTCAGGACTGTTTGAAAGGACTCTGAGCGGAAGCTCTCTATCTGGCTGCCTCCCTGTCCTGCAAGCCGCTCCCTGTTCACCATTCTCCTCCTGGTTAAGTACGGGCATCTGTGTCCCAAGAGAGGGCTCCACTGCAGACCCTGACCACCAGCATACCTGCCCACAGAGGCCGAAAATGTGGTAGTCAGCTGCTTCTCTGAAATTCCAGCCCGGGAGAGGTAAACTAAGGAAATGCCATCCTCCTGAGTGTCCTGAACTGTCATCTGTCCCAGCGAATGTCTGACATTAAGGTTTGTGATGGAATTAAGCTCTTCTGAGAGATTTCATAAATAAATTCCCAATACAGTATTAAACCAAGCCTACTGCTGGGCCTTTCTGTACTTTTACTGTCACAAGAATGAGCTTAGGAGAATCATTGTTTCAGTCAGTTGTGGGGAGAGAGTTTGGGTGAGTTTAATTTGGTGGCTGGTAACAACAGCAGTAACTGACCCATACTGAGCCCTACAGTTTCCAATGCCCCTGTCTAGCTTCAGGTGTTGGTGAGATTATCCCACCACACAGATTGCTCAAAGGAACTGTCAGCTCAGCTGCCTTGTGCTCAGAATCTCTCTAGTTAGCCAGGCCTCCTGAATCATCTGCCTTGTAAGTTTGCATAGCAGGAGGGGAGGAAGCAAGGCTTCATGTAGCCTAGTGAGTTAGGAAAAGGCCGATGGCCCAAGGAGGGTGTCCCCATCTGCCCTCTCCAAGATTCTTCCTGTTCAAATGAGGTGTTTGTAGAAGACCTAGAATAGCAGTTAGCTTTCATTCAGCAAGGCTGACTGGATGGGTGGGGGGATGGATAGGTGGGTGGGTGGGTGGGTGGGTGGGTGGGTGGGGGGATGGATGGGTGGGTGTGTGGATGAATGGGTGGGTGGCTGGATGGATGGATGGGTGGGGGGATGGGTGGGTGGCAGGATGGATGGTTGGATGGGTGGGTAAGTAGATGGGTGGATGAATGGGTGGAGTCATGACTGCACTCTTCTAGATGCTGGAGGTAAAGCAGTAAGCACTCAATAAGCACTGCTGGGATAAAAACCATTACTGTTGTTCAGTGCTAGAGGGAATTGTGAAGACGTATACACATTGGCCATTCCATCATGCCTTCCCACAAAGAAGATAAGCTTCTCTCCTTATATCCTTTCATCTTGATCCAAGCCACTCGTGCTTCCTTCCCATCCCCATGACAGGATCTACCCATCTCAAAGCCGTCACTTGCTGTATTGCCTGGGGCTGGAAACTGAGCTTCCTAGCAAGTCTCTGATGTGTGTTAGGTGTTACTGTTACCATTTCATGGATGAGCAGACTGTGGCTGGAGGAGACCAGGTACCTAAAGGGGAGGAGAATTTCAGTGTTTAATTCTTAGTTCTCTGTTCAGCCCTAGTTCTTAGTGTTCTTTGTACGGTACTCCGCACTGCTCAGCTCTCCCAGCAGAGGCAATAAAGACGTCCAAACCCATATACAGTGTGTAAAAAAGAAGATCCAGGATCTCTGGAGGCCTGGAGGAAGCCAAAGTGACCCTTTTGTACTCTGTCATGCTTCCTATAAACTGCTTCAAATTGAATCCCAACGCCAGCCTGCGATCATGTTTTCAAAATACTGCCGAGGCTTTGAAACTCTCTTTGCTACATATGATGTGCTTCCCAGGCACATAGCAGGTGCTCAGCAAAGGAGTCATGGAACTAGAGGGTTGGCCCAGTAGCTCTGATGGAGCCCCAGCTCTGGGCACTGGCGAGCATTTCCTCTCCACTTAGGCAGGGAGATGACAGCCCTCTTGCCAGCTGCAGGGGGAGGTCTTCCGTTACAGGATTAACTGGCGCCTGCACTTTTGCTGGAAACTTGTGGGAAGTGGCTGAGAGCTCTCCAGTGCTTAAGAAGTGGGTTTTGGAAAACAAACAAGATCTTGCCTACGCAGGAATAGGAATGAAGCAAAGGTTAGACATGGCTTGGGGGAGTTTTTTTCTTTTTTTTTCTTTTTTTGGTTTGACTGAATAACAGGCTAGAAGGAACTCTCAAAGTTCAAAGTGGGCCTTAGACCCTTTAAAAGTAGGTCCATAAACTTGTGTAGAGGACAGTGAGTTCTCTGTTTAGAGTAAATTTAATGACAACTATCATTTGTAAAAGGCATCATAATTTACAAAGCCCTTTCCACATGCACTGTATGTGTATATAAATACTATATGTGACCTTCCCCTTTAAGATTATTTATCCCACGATTTGAGGGCGCCTAGACAATTTTTAAAAAAAGATTTTTTTTTTAAAGATGCATGGTCTCTTCATTTTGCCTGTAGTATAGTGGAAATAACACAGGCAGGCTTCCAGTCTCTGGGCCTCAGTTTACCCAGCTGCAAAACAAGGACAATAGGAGAGATGGACCCAGGGAAGGTTTGCCTCTTACGGGCTCAAGAGCCTACTGGGAGTGCAGAGAGTGGGAGCTGAGTTGACTCTGAACATATTGGGCCATTCAAGGGTGCCCAGCACAGGTGGTGGGGACCCCAGACATCAGCGGCAGGGAGGTCCCCTTCAGATGCTGCCAGCTCAGAGGATACAGAGCTGTCTCTTCCTGAAGCCAGATGGGGAGGCTGAGGCCCACGGGCCCATGAGCAGCTGGGCTGTGTACCCATCTGCCCTCCTACACCTGGTTCTCAAGGTGATCTGCCTGTGTCCCTGTCCCCGACTGTGCTAATTCTTGAGTGTAGTCCCTGAGTGGTGAATAGGATTTCCCTCCATGAATTAGAGCAGCGGTGTGCTTTCTGCCTGAGGCTCCAGCGAGGACTCTGATCCTGTGTCCCCTCTGCTCTCTCCCCGTGTGGGGCTCTGCCTCTTCCTCTTCCTTTGTGTCCTCCTCTGTCCTCTTCCTGCCCTCATTCATCTTTTCTTTCTCTTCTTCCCTCCTCTGTAATCCCATGGAGCTGACTGGTTTTTAACTGTATTTTATGTTTCTTGTTCCTTACATCAAACATGAATTCATTAAATGGTTTCATAGTCAAGGGAGAACATCTCTAAGATTGCTTTATTTGTGAATTATGTGTGCTTCAGTTAATATTTTTTTCTAAATAATTAGTGAAGCATCCTGGCCAGGGTTGTTTCTAGGGGTGTGGTCCTGGGTCTCCATCCTTACAATGGGGAGAGCAACACTTCCCCCTCTGGGGCAGCAGTGAGCAAATGAGGGACTGAATGCGTCCAGACAGCGGCAGGCCCTGGCCCTTCTACTTGAGTTACCACAAGGATATGTCACTTGTTACTGAGTGGTCCCAGGCAGCGGCCTCAGCTTTTCTGGAACTCACTTGAGATGGACTCAGACGCTGTGGTTTTGAAGGCTTTGTTGTAGCGGTTCCTTGGGCTGGAATCAGCCCTGTGTCAGCAGCTGCTGGTGGAGGTGACTGGGGGTTCCCGAGAGTGGATGAGTTGTCCGTATCTGTCTTACTTCTCGGCTATCTTGCTGGTGGCTGGCAGCTGCCTCCCTGAAAGCCCAGGTTGACTCCCTGCTGTCTGTGTGGGTGGGCTTCCCAGGGCACCCTCCCTGGGCTTTCCCTCCACCTTTCTTCAGTCTCGTCTTTTGCCCTTGTTCCCTGGGGTAGGCGGGTTGTTGATAGGGAGGGGCAGTTCCCGGGGTGGGGTGGGGAAGGAAAAGCTTGAACTGCTAGGACCCCAGAGGTTGTCTGTGACCCTCTCTGCCCACTGTTCAGTGTTGCTTTTCCTCCTCCTCCTCCTCCCATCCATATATGTGGGCAATTCCCTCCTTTTTTCTCCAGCTTTTTGCTGTTCATTATGGGAGTCACAAGCCACGTGGCTAGGGCACTTGAAATGTGGTAAGTCCGCATTGAGCTGCGCTGTACATATAAAATACTCACCTCATTTTAAAGGCTTAGTATAAAAAATGATTATCAAATATTTTATCGATACTTTTTATATTGATTACGTGTTGCAATGATAATATTTTGCATATAATAGATTAGAATATTGAAATTAACTTCCTATTTCTTGTCACTTTTTTAGAAAAAATGTGGCTATCAGAAAATTTAAAATTGCACGTGTGGCTCACCTTATATTTCTATTGCAGTGATTCTTAACTGGTGGCTGTTTTGCCTTCCAGGGACGTTTGATAATATTTGAAGACTTTTTTTTATTGTCATGCTGTTGGGAGAGTGGCGTGGTTGGCACGAGCACCTAGTTGGAAGAGGCCGGGGAAGCTGCTGAACATCCTACAATGCACAGGATAACACCCTACAACCAAAATTATCTGGTCCCAAATGTAGTAGTGCTGAGGTTGAGAAACCCAGTTCTATTGTATAGCACTGTTTTACTCTCACTTTTGATGAACCAATCTTCTCTCATTGACAATGACACTAAAATTGGAGGGCTTAGGGCACAGTAGAAAGAGCATAATGGCCAGAGTCAGATACCTGTGACCCTGGGCAGGTTATGTAACATTTCAGAGCCTCCACTTCCTCATCTGTGAAATGGACGCAATGATACCTACTTTATAGGATCCTTGTTAGGACTCAATGAAATTGAACATAGCATACCTGACACATGGTAGACCTCCACTCAGTAGAAATTAGCATTATTGTTAAAATTTGTGTCACTATGCGGACTCTCTGGATCAACTATTAGGATTTCTACACATCTTTTAGATTTTCAATGAGTACCTTACACTCAACAAATAGAAAACTAAATTCATAATTTTACACTTCCTCTCCCCTCCCACTCCCTAAATTTATTCTTCTTTCTGATTTTCAGTCTTAGAGCACAGTATCACCATTCTCCCACTCTGAGAACCTGAGTCAGTTTCACTTCTTCCTTCTACCCTCCAGCCTGAATTTGTAATCTCTTAACCTTTATACGTTAACTGTGTTTCATCCAACCCCTCCTTTACATTCCTGCCTAGTGGGACCTCTGCATCTGCTGTAAGTGGCTTCCTTCCAGGTCCTTGCCTCTACTCTTTCCCAGTCCCCACTATGTGTAAAGTTCTCTTGCTCAGGAACCTTGATGTTTTTTTTGTTTTGTTTTTGTTTTTGTTTTTGCTAAAGTGCGAGTACCTATGGTCAGAAAATGTGACATATCCATCTGTATTTCCCTAGCACCAGATATGATGCCTAGAAAATAGCTGTTCATTCAGTGTTTTTTGAATGAATGCATAGATAAATAAATGATAGATATCCTTTTCCCGTTGGTACATGGGTAGGATCAGGTATTACAGGGAGCTAGGGTAGCAGTTTCCAAATGCCCTATTTCCCTTTAATAGTTTTGCAGGGTTTAAATTACATATTCCCTAACCTACCTTATCTCACCACCCCCACTACCTCCACCACCTTCCTGATTTTGAGCTGGAGACTCAGTTTGTTTTCTCTGAAAGGGTTACAGCGATGATGCATTAGACCTGGGTCCCGGAAATCCTGCCTTCCATATGTGGGCTTCCGCAGGCAGCCTGAGCCAGCTATGGCTCACGTTCTGCAAGCCCAGGCCTGCCACCAGAGGGAAAGTGCCCTAGATGCCCAGGCATGCCTTCCTCTTGGTGGCCAAAGATTTCCCAGGCAGCTCCCAGCAGGCTGTGAGGGGAGGCTTTCCAGAAATTTGCCCTTAAAGATGCTCTGATAGAGAAAACATAACATGTTCTTTGGCAGGTTGTGGGCATCTATCATACAGTAATCATGGGCAGTCGGGATGGTGTAGGATTGGAGCCTCCCGATGTCTAGACACTTTGGTCTGTTCACAGTTTCAAAAACATTTTAATTACAAACCACTTTATGGTGTAAGGTGACCCACATGGAGTTATCAAGAACTTCTGAGTAAGTTTGCTAACTTCTTTTGTGGCAGCTGCAAGTTGACTCAAAACTACATTCCGCTGGTGAGTATGGGTTGTCTGGCCTGGAAGACATGTGTGAGTTGCTCTAAGGGGCTCGCTGTTCTCTTACTATCTGGAAGGCCTCAAAGTTCCTCTGGTGGGAAAGATTTTCTTCTGCAAACACCCTGGGATTTGTCTCTTGAAGAATCAGGGTTTTGGACTCTCCTACGTAACCATCTTCTGTGGGTTGGATATCAGATGTGTATCCAACCCCCAGAAGATGGATCAAGGTGCAGTTGACTAAATGGCTTTTCTCTTGGGAAACTTGAGGATTTTCTGTCACCTCTAACTGGCTTTGTGACATCTGAAGTTGTTTCCTGTATCTGAAGCTACTTATTTCATTGGTAAAGGTAGTAAAACTCCCACCTATTTTCAGCTTTGATTCCTTTTCTCCCCTGACCCCAAAACTTGTGCTTCAGAATAAGTTGTTTCACAGACAAGGTTGCATATGTTAGGTGACAATATCTTCTCTCCATTTTTGTAAAGTGTAAAGTCACATCACTGCCTGTCAGCATTTCTAATCAGCCACAGATAATTTGTGTTCACACTAAATTGTCACAATCCCATGCAAAATTAAGCAAGAGTGGTGATTAATAGCATGAGTCCAGAGTTGAACAGATTTGGGTTTGAAACTTAGCTCTGCCTTTTACCAGATAAACATCTTTAAGTAGCAGGACTTCAACTTCAATGTCCTCACCTGAAATCAAGAGATAAAATAGTTCCTACCTTATAAGTTAGTTTATCCCTTATTTAATAAGATAATATATGTAAAGCCCCAAGACAGTATCTTCTTAAATATAGACTATTATATTTCAGTTAGCCTCAGTGTGCATCCTGATTTGGGGTAAAGGTATGATTTGATTTGATTTGATTGACTGATTGATTTGGCAAATATTTATCAGTACCTGCTGAGGATGAGGGACTGCTCTAGCCTCTGGGGATACAGCTATGAATCAGAGACAAGGCCTCTGCTTTAGTGGAACTTATGTTCTAGAGGGAGACAAACAAAGTGAACTATTTAACAAATAAAAAAGATGGCCGGGTGCGGTGGCCCACGCCTGTAATCCCAGCACTTTGGGAGGCTGAGGCGGGCAGATCATTTGAGGTCAGGAGTTCAAGACCAGCCTGGCCAACATGGTGAAACCCTATCTCTATTTAAAAAAAAAAATAGAAAAATTAGCTGGGTGTGGTGGCATGTGTCTGTAATCCCAGCTACTCAGGAGGCTGACGCAGGAGAGTTGCTTGAACCTGGAAGGCGGAGGTTGCAGTGAGCCAAGATCATGCCATTGCACTCCAGCCCGGGCAGCAGAGCAAGACTATGTCTCAAAAAAAAAAAAAAAATGTAGGCCAGATGCACCTGCAATCCCAGCAATTTGGGAGGCCAAGGCAGGTGGATTGCTTGAGTTCAGGAGTTTGATACCAGCCTGGGTAACATGGTGAAACCCTGTCTCTACAAAGAAATACAAAAAAATTAGCTGGGCATGGTGGTGCACACCTGTAGTCCCAGCTACTCGGGAAGCTGAGATGGGAGGATTGCTTGAGCCTGGGAGGTCAAGGCTACAGTGAGCCGTGATTGTACCACTGCACTCCAGCTTGGGCAACAGAGTGAGACCCTGTCTCCAAAAAGAAAAAGAAAAAAAGAGAGAGATGTTGGGTTATGATAAGCACCATGCAGAAAATAAATGGAAATGTGAGAGAGTAATGGGTGGGGCTGAGAAGGTATCATCTCCAGGGAGTGGGATGTTTGAGCTCAGCCCTGAATGGTGAGAAGGAGCTGTGTTCAAAGATCTGAGGGAAGGGTGTCCAGGGCAGGAGGACCAGCAAGGAGCTCCCTTAGACTTTCAGAGGTACAAAAAATGGCCTCTGGGCTCCCTGAAATAACTTCTTGGAACCCCCACCCCCACCCCCGCCCGCCACCCAAAACCCACCAAGGGCAAGGGGTTATGGGGAGGGATGCATTGGACAGCATGATCTAAGCCTGCATTTGGTGAAAAGACTGAAATATTTACTATCTGGCCCTTTATAGAAAAAAATGTGCTAATCTGAGGGATCTAAGGTCCCTTTCAGCTTGGACAGTGCACACACGTGCAAGTGCAGGTGGGCAGGGCAGCTCGCCAGTGCAGGAAAAGTCAGCTCAGCAGCCTCCTGGGCACCCAGGCTCCAGGTGGGACTCACTCACCACCTTGGAGATACCCCAACAGAGGCAGTGTGTCTGTCAAGCGATGCAAACTGCCATCAGCCTTGAACTGCTGGGATCACAGTGTCCATGTCCCCAAATGGGATGGACTGGACTCTGAGCTCTTAGAGGTCAAAATCTGATTTCACTTAAACGATTTCTCCTCAGAAGCAAGGCACGGTGGCTCACGCCTGTAATCTCAACACTTTGGGAGGCTGAGGCGGGCGGGTGAATCACTTGAAGTCAGGAGTTCGAGACCAGCCTGGCCAACATGGTGAAACCCCGTCTCTATTAAAAATACAAAAATTACCCAGGTGCGATGATGGGTACCTGTAATCCCAGCTACTTGGGAGGCTGAGGCAGGAGAATCACTTGAACCCAGGAGGCGGAGGTTCCAGTGAGCTGAGATCACATCACTGCACTCCAGCCTGGGTGACAGAGTGAGACTCAGTCTTAAAAAATAAAATAAAGGATTCCTCCTGAGAAAGGAGGGAGGAGAGGAGCCGTGGGTCATTGCTACCATTTACTGAGTGCTTGCCATATGCATACGAGGCTATTTTATGAACAATTCTGCAGTGTATTGACTCCATCCCCATAACAACCCTGCCTGGTAGGAACTGCTTTATTCCTCTTTTATGGTTGAGAGAACTGACGTCAGAGGTAATAAGCTGCTGTGTTCAAAGCTACATAGCGAGCAAACAGGCTGCCTGCTTCTAGTCTCAGGTCCCTCACTACACCACCATATCCGCTATTTTCCCAGTGATGTTCATTCAAGGGCTGGTGAGTCTTCCTCTTTGCAGGCCTGAATTAAATCATGTTCAGACTCCTAAGCTGTGTTCATTCAGCACCTGTCTATAGGGCGAGAGACTTCATAGAAAGAGAAGGGGAACACTCTAAGGCTCTTGGCAAGGTGGTTAGCTGTGGACATAGCAGCCGGTCCAGATACGGCTGTAGAATAGCATGGTAGCCTTGCACTCCTTGGCTCCAGCTCTGGGCTGCAGGAACAGCTGCTCAACTCAGATAAGTAATCTCTCCCTTGTTGACCTTAGAGCAATAGGAATTGGTGAAATTGAAGGAATGCCTGACCTTTTCTCATACAGATCCACTTCCAGGCCTCATCATGGCCCTTCTATAGAGGCCAGCCTGAGACAAAGCTGTTGTCCATGGATAGGATCAGCCTTGTCTGTGCTCATGAGTGGTCATGGGATGAGGTGGTGCCAGTAGAGGATTCAAGTGCCTGTGAGGGAGAGAGAAGGGCCTAGAAAGACAGTGGGCCCTAATACTTCAAAGAAAGGTGGCAGAGAGGGCAATGCAGGAGTCACACCTGGCAGTGACTCCCAGCTCCACCCTTTATCAGCTGTGTGAAGCCAGGCAGGTGTAACATGATGGATATGAGTTTCTGCTTTGGAGCTTGACCACCTGGATTCAGATGCCAGTTCCTCCACATACTGTGTGAGGTGACCTTGAGCATGCTACTTGAGCATTTCATGTCTTGGTTTTGTTATCTGGGCTTGTTGTGAGATTTGAATGAACTGATACATGTGACAACTGGTGCTGGATATGGAGTCAGAGTTCAGCACATGCTGGCTATGTTACATCATTTTGCCTCTGGACCTCAATTCCTCAACTGCAAAATGTGAGCAGCAATGCCATTTTCTTAGGAGTTCCTGCAAGGGTTAAATGAGTGAATATACTTCAAGCAGGTCTGGCAATAATATGGAAGACACTTAATAGACACCTTTACTGACCTCAAGTGGCCCCCGGCCATGGCACCTGCTGAGTGGAAATGTTTGTCATTGGGTAGATTGACAGCACTGCTTGCAGTCCTGCCTGGAGTTCTCTGGGCTAGGAAAGTCTAGGTGGTGGATGCCATTGTCCTCTCCCTCACTATCTGCTGTCATCTCTATGGTGCAATGGTTAAAATCATGGTCTCTGAACCAGATACCGGGATTTGAATCCTAGCTTCACCACTGAATAGCTACAGCTGTAAGACATGGATGATGGATGTTCGTTGTTGTGAATACAGCCTTATAACAGGCCTGGCATGTAGTAAAGAGTGTTAGCTATTATTATTGCAGTGCGGGGACCCCTACATGACTGAACTGATAGGCTTTAACAGTTACTAAGCAACTAAAAAAGAGAAAATGGCAGAAATGAACTGCTCTATTTCCGGATGTTATATTATTTATATATTTTAGCTCTGCCTTTTTCCCCACATGTAGGTTACAACTGGCCCTACATTTTTTAGCTTTGAATATATGTTGACTCAGCCCATCTCAGAAGCCTCCCCTCTTTCTCCTAAAGAAATGTGAGATTTATCTGACACCCCTTTTTGGGTCTTGGAAGACCCTGTGTCTTTTGTTCTCCAGAAGAAGATCGCTGGCCAGATCCAGGCCTTACCCCTCGACTAGGAGCTCTGTGCTATTAAAAGAAAACACCAGGGTACCAGCACCAGAGCCCAAGGGACAAGAATTTACAGGGTCAGTTAGAAGAATGACCATTCACAGGGAGAAAACCGAGGCTATAAAAAGAAAATATATTGTAATTTTTCACATCAAATGATATGTTTAAGATATGTGCACCTTTCTGCAGTTATACAGGCAGTAGGAAAAAAGAGTATGTGGATTTCATTTTATATACATTTTACCTTAAACCTGGGCCAGACACAGTGGCTCATGTCTATAATCCCAGCAGCACTTTGGGAGGCTGAGGCAGGATGATCGCTTGAGGGCCCACCAGCCTAGGCAACATAGGGAGACCCTCTCTCTACAACATTTTTTTGTAATTAGCCAGGTGTGGTGGTGTGTATCTATAGTCCCAGCTACTAGGGAGGTTGAGGTGGGAGGATCACTAGGGCCCAGGAGTTCGAGGCTGCAGTGAGCCGTGATTGTGGCACTGTACTCCAGCCTGGGCTACAGAGCAAGACCCTGTCTCTAAAAACCAAACAAAACCAAAACAAAACCTTGAGCAAATATTGAACTCTAGTCAATGAGATACATGCTGAAATATTTGGGAGGAAATGTATTGATTCTGCTATTTAATTGAAATGCACCACAAAATAAGATAAATTGACTAGTGAGTAGAAGGATAGACGGATGTGAATAGATACATGCTAAAGCAAGGAGAACAAAATCTAATCATAGAATCTAGGTGGGGAGTATTTGGATGTCTTGCAGCTTCTCTATATATCTGAAAAGTATTATAATGAAATGTTGCCAAAAAATGTTGTAAAGCTACTAGATTAAAAACAAAAAAATTACAATGGGAAAATATAAAAGTAGATGCTGGAAATATTTACAAATGTTTAAAATGCTATTTGGAAAACTAGAGTTGAATATGAAGAAAAATAAAACTAGGCCCGTGTATTTTCTGCAATAGATTTCTTTTTTTTTTTTTTTGTATTAGAAAATAGCAATATATATATTTTTAGAGGAAGAGTGTTCTAGACAGAAGACAAAGCGAGTGAAAAGCCCATGTGTGGGCTCAGTGAAGCTAGTACAGCTGGAGTGTGAGAGGAGGGGGTGGTGGGAGCTGAGGACAAAAGGGAAACTGTAGGTTGAGATCATATAGGGTCCTAAGGCCTAGCCACATCCTGTGATTCTGACTTCTGAGTGCCACAGGCAGACATGAAACGATGTGAGCTACGAGTGAGTGACATGATCTGACTTGAGGAGGACTGCTCTGGTTGCTGTATGGGGACAGACTGCAAAGTGACAAGGGTGGAAGCTGGGAGACCAGATAGGAGCCCTGATATCAGTTCAAAGGAGAGATGGCCATGACTTGGATAAGGAGGCAGCGTGTGAGCCGGTGAAAATTGATTGGATTCTATATCTGTTCTGAAGATAGTAAACAAGATTTATTGGTGGATTGGTTGTGAGGTAAGAGGAGAAGAACCAAGACTGATTCCAGATTTTTGGTCTAAGCAAGTAGAAAAGTAGGTAGCACTTACCAAGACCATGTTGATGGGGGAGAAGCAGGTTTTTGCAGGGAGGGAATAAGAGTTCAGTTGTAGATCTGTTATGTGAGTAATGCGTATTGAAGCAGATAGAAATGTCAGTGCACAGTTGGCTGGATTCCGTGGGATATTCAGGGTTGAGCACCATCAACATGTAGATGGTAATTAAAGTCATGGAAGTAGATGGTGTCAGGGTCAATAAGGGAAGGGTATAAAGGCTGAGCCCCAGGCACTTCCAGGTATAGAGGACAGGAAGATGAGGAGGAGCAGCAAGGGTGCCTGAGCAACTGCAGGGCAGGAGAGAGTCAAGAAAGTAGGTCAACTGTTTCAAAGGCTGCCCTGACTGCCTCTCTACCTCTAGTTTCTTTTCTCTCTTCTTACCATCTTTGTTATTGCTCTGGAACCAATTGTCCTAAAGTAGCACCTCCATCCTATTCTAAGCTCATAAAATCCAAAGGGGAGGAATAAAGTCCAAACTCTTCAGTCTGCCATCCAAGTCCCTCCACGATCTGGCTCTTTCTTTCTCTTTCTCTCTTTCTTTCTCTACTCTCCTGGTTTCACCTTCCCCACCAACCCCTGACCCTCACTTCACTGGCCACTGCCCTGCAAACCACCTCCCTCTTTCTCAGCATGCCATTTGTTTTCTTTCTGCAAATCTTCAGCCTCAATTCTCCATTCATGGTCTATCTCCTGGAGGGATCCTTTCTTGACTGAAGTCACTAATCTGTTTCTTCTCTAAATTCCTAAAGTAGTCAGAGGTAATACCAAACAATCCAGCATTCATTGTATCTGTTTTTCTTCTTCTCTAGTTCCCAGCCAATTTCCTGAGGTTTGGGAACATGAGCCTGTAATCCCCAGAGCCATCTCACCAGTCCTTTACATATCTTAGATGCTCTGCCACATAACACTTATGGAAACCTGGAAGGATTAATATAGGATTGGGATTTTGAGTATGGGCTCAGAGGCTAGGTTCTTCCCCTGGTTCTATTACCATGGCCAAGTCATTTAACCTTCCTGAGCTCCAGTTTTCCTATCTGCCAAATGGCTATGAACATGCCTAATTCAGGGTGATTGTAAGAACGATGCAGGATGCATTTCTTATAGTATGCTTAGCACACTTCATGTACATTATAAGCAGGCAATAAGCGGTAGCTTTGTTTTCATTATTGCTATTATTAATACTATTATTATTCTTGGTCTTCCCAACAGAGATGCACAGGCAACAACAAAGATGGGACTGTGTTGACCTGTTCACTCCATACTTTCAGATCTCAAGTGAGGTGTTCGACTCTGCTGCTGGCAGGGGTACAGGGGTGGCCCTCACACCCTGACTTCGGGGAACCTATGTGTTAAATGGGGAGATGCCATGAGACCCAACCGCTACCCAGAGAGGTACAAGCCCTGAGGATTGTGCTTAGAACTTCTAAACTAGGCAGCAGTGTGAACGAACTTCTGAGGCCAAAAGGCAGAATGTCTGCGAATAAAACTGTCCCTGAAAATCCAGACCCTGCAGCTACTGGTTACAGTTGGTCATGGAGGAGGAGAGCACTGGCTCAGGATGGAAGGGAAGAACAGAGAGAAACGGAATGTTTCTCAGAGGAATTAGTTGGTTTTTTTAGGGAACGTACAAAGCATAGGATACCTTTTTCCATTTTATTTCTGTAAATTTCTAAGATTGATAAGTGGTGTGTAATTGTTACTCAGGAATAACTGGATACAGAAGAGAGTCTGGAGATGTCAGGGCCATGTCAAGTCAGATGAGATGTAACTCCTTTCCCAGAGCAGCACTTGAAGTTCCCCTGGGGAGCCCCTACTGGCCAACCCCCTCTCAGAGATTCCTCCACAGCTAGAACCTCAGGTGATTTTGAGCATGTACCCTGGAATCAGAGGTTAGGTTTTCACCCTGGTTCTGTTACCACGGCTATGTCATTTAACCTTCCTGAGCTCCAGTTTCCTATGTGCCAAATGATGATGAATATGCCTAATTCAGGGTTACTGTAAGAATCAAGTGAGATGCATTTCTTAAAACATGCTTAGCACAGTTCTTGTACATTATAAGCAGGCAGTAAGTGTTAACCCCATCTCTCATGAGTAAACCCCAGCACTGCCCTGCAGGGGTGAGGCTGTGCAGCCAGGTCCCTATTGCAAGCCCTCCCCCAACACACACATTCTGGCAGGTGGGTGGCACCTTGAATTTGAAAACTCTCCATCCTGCGATTCTGAACCAAGCTGTTCTTATTCACGGTAAACCAGTAACAGCCAGGGGCTTCCTGCCTGGATTCAGATAAGTGGCTGGTACTGAGAGCCAGGGAGGCTGCAGAGCCACACCAGGAAGTATGGTGGCACGTCCCTGGCACCAGTGCACTGCCCTGGGGAGCTGGCCTGCAGGTCAGTGTGCTGGGAGGACTGCGGCTACCAGGAAGACAGCACCATGCATGACCTCCCCCATGCCCAGCTTGCTGCCAGGGCCACCCTCACCAAAGGAGGCTTGCACTATCCAAGCCCAAACTCCCACTGTGGTGGCACCTGCCAGTGTGACTTGCACAGGCTCAAGCTCTGTCCAGCCTATGATTTCCCACCCTGCGGAAGCACATGAAGCTCAGGCTGGACCTGGCTTGCTCGTTCCTTGCAGAGCCCCTGTGAACCCAGCCTGAACCCCAGCTCCTTTCAGGAGGCCACAGTGTGCTCAATGCAGGGAAGGAGCCAAGTCCTCTCACTTCATCCTGACCTCACCACTGAGGTCGGGCTTCACTGTCAGTCAAGCCGGTAAGAGCATAGACTTTAGACCAATAGTACCTGGGTTAAAATCCAGATCTGACAGCTTATTTGTTATGTGACTTTAAAGACATTTCTTACCCTCTTTACTCAAAAAGAGAGTTAATAAGAGTGCCTGGAGCAAGTTGCTTAACTTTTCAGTGCCTTAGTTACCTCACTTATAAAGTGGGGATGATCATAACACTTTCATAGGGTAGTTGCAAGGATGAAACACACAAAGCAAATAGGACAGTGCCTGGCAAATAGAATGTGCCAGGCACCGTGCAGTTAGGTCTCACAACTGTCCTTTCTAGGTGAGGTGCAGGGTGGGTAAGCCAGCTGGAGAACGCCACACCCTGGTCAAGTGCTAGCTTCTGCACTCGACCTCGCTGCAGTGTCTGCACACACAGCTCTCAAGGAACACAAGGGCAGGATTCGGAAGTGGAAATGAAACCTGCAGACTGCTAACCCCTGGCTTAGCACTTGGTCCCCTCGGCATCTCCCTCTGGGGACTGAATCTCTTATGCATTCCTGACTGCCCCAGCACACTTGCCCACTTGTAGGCTGGTGAGAGGGGCGGCTGGAAGATGCACCATGTCAAGAAGTGGGTTGTGTTTGCAGGTTCCCCTGGGGAGGAGCAGAAGTCACACGTGAGCTGGGGCCGCCCAGTCCTTGTGTCCTGACTGTGGGCTAGTTGGTCACCATCCCCCCATCCTGACCCTTGATAAAGAGCTGATTTTTCCATGAGGCGTTTGTCTCTCCTCTGTGCTAACGTGGAGGCCTGAACACCGCCGAGCTTATCTATACAATGGATTTCCTGCAGGTGTTGGTTCTGCCCTGCTCCCCACTGGGTAATAATTTATGTCACCTGAGCACACAGATATGCTGACATCCATGATGCTGGTGGCCCTGGCAGACCCTGGCTCCCCAAGTCTGGGTGGAAATCTGCAAATGTGAACCCCCAACTGGTGTGAACTGAAACATCCCAGTTGTGAATGGAGAGCCAGAACTGGATGGGTGGAGAGGGTGTGGAGAGTTCATCAGCTGTCTATTGAGGCCTCCTAAGTAGCAGGCCTGGTACTGGGCTCTGAACACACAGAAATACAGAGGACAGGGGCAGCCTTAGAGGAACCCTTGGACTGGCTGTGGGTTAGACACGGAAAATATGACCCGCAGAGCTGGTTCTGGGGAAGCAGAAAGGACACAGCTCATGGGAGCGCGGGGCAGGAGCTTAAAATCTCATTGAGTTTTAATGAAAAGCTTTCCTTCCTTGGACATAAGGCCTAGCTGGGTCTGAGGAAAGAGCTCCTTCGGGTCGAGTTATCACAACCCTTTGCATCTGTGGTCTGTTTGGACCACATCCAGCATCCAGAGCTTCTACAGTGGGCATGCTGGGGAAGTCCTCATCTCTCCCACTCCTCTGCCCGGGCACGTGGCTGCCATGGTATTTGGCCTCTTGCCAGAACACCGAGTTCCCATATTAATCACAGCAAGTGCGTTCAGAGAAGACCTGACTTGGCCCCTGCCAACAAGCCATCTCTCTGGCCTTGATAACATCTGTACCGAATTTTCTCCCTTTATATAATTAGGCCCGTTGGTATTTGCTTTGACTTTAGATTACGGTATGACTGGCATCTCTGAAATTTCAGGCCCGAAATATGTACTGGGGCCCAGGATGGTGGGAAAACCGAGCTTTCGCCAATGGGATTTTAGGTTTAGCCAAGAGAATCAGAAACTGTACACCAGCTACTGTTTGCGTGCAAAATGCATGGCAGCTCCCTGACTGGTGGGAAAGGGGTCTCCTGCCTTGTCCAGGGAGCAGTACTGGGTCGGGCCTGGTGGACAGAAGGATGCAGGGGGCTCCCCTCCTTCTTTCCTGCCTCTCTTCACCCCACATCCTTCTACCCCTGCTCCAAAACAGGAAAAGATGTACTAACTGCAAAGAAATGCAGTGAATCCAGACTTAACCCCAAAGCAAACCTCACCAGTGTCGGGGCTTGGAGTCGTGCTTTGAAATGACTGTCATTGTCTGGCTATGTCCAAGCCAAGGAGCTGTTTGTGGAGTGAGATAAAGAGCAGTGCTGGGCTTGGGAAGCGGGGCTTGGTTCTTTCCCGGTGGCTCTATCCAGAGAGGAAGCACGTGGGCTTGCACACCCACTCACTCCCTGAAGTCTCCAGCTGGATCTCAGTGGTGACTTCATTTCCCCTAATTAGGTGTCTACAAACTCTCTGGAAGGTTCCAACCAGTAAGCCACACTGATCGTGGTGTGGGAGCTCCTGATATGCTTGTTTGCACTGTCCCTTTGGGACCCTGCAGGCCCAGCTGAGTGATAACTGGATGATGGAACGTTTGCTAGAGGAAGGGGAATGTGTTTTTTTAAGATAAGGTTTGATCTCAAGCAGAAGGGCAGTTACCAGATGCCTCTGCAATGTCAAGCAGTGAGGAGTGGGTGCGCATTCCCTTGCCTGACGCCTTGCTGGGGGTAGTCAGATCCCCCAGGCAAACTCCTGCCTTAGGAAAGAGTTTCCTCTCATTCTTTCAGCCAGAGTATTGCCATTTTGCTCTGGTTTTAGACAGTATCGATGTTCCTCGTAAGATTTTCTGTGGATGAAAAGGCTTTTGCCGAATGTAGCTATCCTAGGTCATTGTGGGGAAGTATCCTTGTCTTTTTCAGCATGCAGTGTCCATTGAGGACCGAGCGTGGGACTTGTACAGAATCCTGTTTTGTCACTTCTGCCCACATGTCCCAAATGCCAACAGGACCAAGGCCATAAAATACGCCTTTGGCACTTAAGACTTTCACTGGCCGGGCACAGTGGCTCACGCCTGCAATCCCAGCACTCTGGGAGGCCAAGGCGGGCAGATCACCTGAGGTTGGGAGTTCAAGACCAGCCTGACCAACATGGAAAAACCCCATCTCTACTAAAAATACAAAAAAAATTAGCCAGGCATGGTGGCACATGCCTGTAATCCCAGCTACTCAGGAGGCTGAGGCAGGAGAAGCACTTGAACCCAGGAGACAGAGGTTGCGGTGAGCCAAAATCACGCCATTGCACTCCAGCCTGGGCAACAAGAGTGAAACTGTGTCTCAAAAAAAAAAAAGACTTTTACCATTTGGCTGCAGACCAACTCTCATCTCTTTTCTCTCCTTCCCGTCTCTTCTCCCAAAGTATCCTTCTCTCCATCCACCTTGAGCTTCTTTCTCTTTCTCTTTGAAAGGGCAGTTACCTCTGCTGAAATGTTCTTTTTTCTTTTTTATTCCTGGCAAACCAGAAGCAGTCCAGCATGGTGGGCTCTGGAATAAGACTACCTGGGTTTGAATCCCAGCTCTCCCCCTTTCAATCTGTAAAAGCATGAGCCAATTAAGCAGCTGCTTTGTGCCTCAATTTCCCCATCTGTGAAAGGGGCACCATAATAGTTCCTTAGATTTGTTGTGAGGATTAAGAGCTAAAACACAGAAAGCACTTGAAACCGTTCAACCCACAGTAAGTGTTCAACAAATGTAGGCTAAAATAATAATTTTAAAGACTCTCCTCTGTGAAAATCTTTTCCAACCTACCAGGCAGGATTAGCTTTTCCGTCTGGGCTCCAGAAAAAGACCAGCCACAAGAGGTTCTAGTTATTTATTTTATAAGTTAGGTATTTTACCCCTAGCCTGAGAATTCCTAGAAGACAGGGCCTAGGTCTAGGCAATAAGAATGACATTTACACCAGTAGGTGCCAAGCTCTGTACCATGTTTTTTTCTCATGCGCTTTTTAAAATTATGACACAATTCACATTTACCCTCTTATAGTACACAATTCAGTGGTTTTAGTATATTTACAAAGTTATGCAACATCACCATTATCTAATTCCAGAACTTCCCAAAAATATAACCTGTATCCATTAGCGGTCATTCCCCAATTCTCCCTCCCCCATTTCCTGGCAATCACTAATCCACTTTTGTCTCATGGATTTGCCTATTCTGGACATTTCATATAAACGAAATACAATATGTGTCCTTTTGTATCTAGTTTCTTTCACTTAGCACAGTGTTTTTAAGGTTCATTCATGTATTAGAATTTCTTTCCTTTTCATGGCTGAATAATATTCCATTGTGCGGATATACCACATTTGGTTTCTTCATCAGTGGTGGCCATTTAGGTTGCTTTTACTTTGGGGCTATTGTGAATGACGCCGCCATGAACATTCACGTACAGGATTTTGTGTGAACATGTTTTCATTTCTCTTGGATATATATATCTAGGAGTGGAATTGCTAGCTCCTGTGGTTTAAACCTCTATGTTTAACTTTTGGAGGAATGGCCACACTGTTTTCATGTATCTGCACCAATTTATTTTCCCACCAGCAATGTATGAGGGTTTCAATTTTTCCATATCCTCACCACACTTGCTGTTCTCTTTTTTATCACAGCCGTCCCAGTGGGTGTGAAGTGATTTCTCCCTGTGGCTTTAATTTGTGTTTCCCTGAAGGCAAATGGGGTTGAGCATCTTTTCATGTACTTAGTGACCATTTGTATATCTTCTCTGAAGAAAGGTCTACTAAAATCCCTTTGCCCAGTCTTTAGTGGGGCTATTTGTATTTTTATTATTGAGTTGTGAACATCCTTTATATGTTTTGGATACAGGTCCCATATCAGATATATGATGTGCAACTATTTTCTCCCTTCTGTGTGGTTGTCTTTTCACTTTCTTCATGGTGGTCTTGGAAGCACCAAGTTTTAATTTTGAAGTCTCATTTATTAATTTTTTCTTTAGTTGTTTGTGCTTTTCCTGTTATATCTAAGACACTATTACCTAATTCAAGACCACAAAGATGTACCATATGCTTTTTAAAAGTGATCTTATTTACAATAACCTTATGAGGAGAGTAGTAGACCCACACAGATAAGGAAACTAAGTGGTCAAATGCTGGAGCTGGGACTTCAACCCAGTTCACTTTGACTCTGAAGTTCATGTGCATCTTACTGTGCCTCCTCGCCAAGTCCCTTTACCTCTGCACTCCTCACAGGGCTTGGTGCAGTGGCTGGTGCGTGGTAGGCCCACAGGTAAGGTACATTGGGTGGATGAATGACAGGCCCTAACAGGTACACAGCTTGCACTTGCTGGTTGGTTCAGGAAGAGTGGGATTTGCGCTTCAGTTTTCCTGCTGACTGGGGGTTCGTGTCTGTGATGCTAGAGGTTACCAAGAGTCTCTCTCCTCTCTCACCTCTGCAGTGTCTCATAGTTGGGGGAGGACCCTGTGGCTTGCGCACTGCCATTGAACTTGCCTACCTGGGAGCCAAAGTGGTCGTGGTGGAGAAGAGGGACTCCTTCTCCCGGAACAACGTGCTACACCTCTGGCCTTTCACCATCCATGACCTTCGTGGCCTGGGAGCCAAGAAGTTCTATGGGAAGTTCTGTGCTGGCTCCATCGACCATATCAGTGAGTGGAGTCTATGGTGATATCCCATGAAGGGAGGGGACTGACCCTGGGTGGGACATATCTCTCCAGGTCTAGGAGTCCCCAGCTTGTTCCATCTTAGTCCCTGGGGGCACCATATATCAGACTAACAGACAACTAGTAAAAGGCCTGCTTTGTGCCTTGTTCTGGGCCCTGGGTTATCCCCCAGTGGACTGTAAGCACCATGAGGTCAGGGATTGCAGCATGCCTTAATCACCAGACTATCTCCAGGACATGAAAGAGTGCTTGACTCATAGCAGATGCTTGATAAACATCTGTTGGATGATTGAGTGAAACAGAGAAACAGAGGCAGAGGTAAATAGCATAGCCTGCACCCTGATGGAGCGCATTAAGATTTTGTTGGTGGTAATGTGTTCAACAGGGTTAGTCACACTTGCTAAAGGAATTTGGAGGAAGGGGCCACACAAAACCATTAATGGGCCAGATAGTCAAGACCTTCCATACAAAGGAGTTTGGACATTGTGCATCGTGCTGGTGTTGCTGGGGAGCCATGGCAGGTTTTAGAGCAGAGGAAAGAAATAATTGGATCCTTGTTTCCTGATGGATCCCATACCAAAGTTTTAAAAATATGAGCTTTAAAAAGAGAGAGAACATCATGATGGGACTTCAACCAGAATAGGAAGGAAAATAGAGAATGTGGACTTCAGGTCCTGGGCATCCCTGAATGCTTATATAGGGAGAGACGAGTGCTGAGGCCCTTCTGCTCTGATGTTCCTCAAGCCTGGAGCTCTCTGGGCTAGGTCTGTGCAGACGGGTTTTGGGAAAGGCAGCCTTCCTTCCTGCAGCTTTGCAGTGGGGAGGTCTTTAGCTGTTTTATATGCAGTTGACGCTTGAACAACACAGGTTTGAACTGCAAGGGTCCACTTATACATGGTTTTTTTCAACCAAACACCTGCAGGATGTAAAACCCACCTATATAGAAAGCTGACTTTTTGTATACTTGAATTCCACAGGGCCAACTTCAGGACTTAAGTATGCATGGATTTTGGCATACTCAGGGGTTCTGGAACCAATCTCCAGCATATACTCAGGGATGATTGTATAGCAATAGTGACTCATGAAAGGGAGGTTAACACTATGGGGAAAGCTCAAGAGTTTGAACAGATTTGGGTCCAAAATATGTCTCTTCCATTTCTATCTGGCTTGGGGCAAATCCCTTACCCTCTTCAAGCCTCAGTTTTATCTCCTGTAAAGTGTGATTAATTTCTGTCTCCTAGAATTGCTGAGAAGATTAAATGAGGTCAAGTTTGTAATGTGCTTTGCACTATGCCTAGCACATAGTAAGTGCCCAGGAAAACACATTGCATCCCATGCTGTACAGTGAGCAAGAAGCAGCCATCGTCCCCAGACTTCAGAATCCAGAGCTGCTTTCTCTGTAGGGGTAGGTGGGAGGAGGGCCCTGAGAGCCATGTTCTTATGAGGACAAGAATTGATGGGAAAAAGGAATGAGGCTTGGGCGGGAACAACTGGAGAGAATTATCAGTCACATAGGGTATAATTTATTCAGACACAGGAGAATTTACCAGCTGTGCCCCCAGAGTTTATTCACACTTTGAGATGAGAAAATTCCAGGAGTCCAGTGGAAATTTGGATTTACTCAGAAAGCTGCAGTGTCAGCTTTCAAGATGTGCTCTCCCGCCTATGGAAGAATGTATGTCGGTTACCAATTTAGAACCACTGTATTGAGCACCACTTTCTCATCAAGTTCTCTTGGGGGGCAGAACTGGGTACCAGGATGCCTTGTGGGGCCCTGGGCTGGTTGGGCTGGCTTCCTGGCCAGGAGCCCTTCTCTGCCCTCATTGATGGGGCTTTCATTGAACCCCTAGTCCTTGGAAATCCTGCAGCGTGCCGTAATGCCGGTGGGACTCTAGAAATAACATTGAGACAGGCAGAATGATCATTGTCAAGGGTAGCTCCAGTACTTGTGAGAAAGGAGGCAAGGAGAATTTATTGAGCACCTACTGTGTGCTGGAACCGTACTGAGTAGGAACCTCAGGACTATAAGGAAAGGCCAGGTCTCCCCTGGCAGGGTGGTTCATGGCAGGAGGTGGATTGGGCTCTTTAAGCTGATTGGCTTTGGATCACCCCAGCCACATCTCTAGCCTCAGCTGCACCATCATACTCAGCACTGCTCAGCAGTTCTCCATGTCTGTGTTAACTTCCTCCTCCAGTTCCCACTGTGGCCATTCCAAACCTCCAGCACGGTGACCTCATTCCTAGCAGATGGCCTCCCTCCTGTGTTCCTGTTCTAGGCCCGCTTTTCTCCCCTGCTGCCCCAGCACCCATTCCTTCCTCGTGTCTCATGCCAGATCACAGCTTATGCCTCCTTTCCAATTCCAATCCCTCTGGCTTCCTTCCTTCCTTTCTACCTGCCCCATCACTGAGTCTTCCTGCTCCTCCCCTCATGCCAGCCCTCCAGCCCTGTTGCTGCCCTGCCACTTTTCCTTGCCATAAGGTATTTATTCTAGAAAGAAGGGCGTAGACTTGGTCCATGCTTTCCATTCAAACCTTCTAACGTCGCAGTCTGCTGTCTTCCCCACCTGTGTGCTAAAGAGATTTTCAGCAGTGTCTCCAAAAGCTCCCAAACCCCCAAGTTTATTGGGCTCTTGTCACCTTCACAGCCCTTCCTCTCTCTGTGGGATTTGATATTCTTGGTCCCTCCTCTCTTGGCTTCCAGGACCCCCACTAAGGCCCTGTTCTACCACCATCACCCTCCCCCAACCACCATGTCTTGCCCCATTCTATTTACCTCTGTTCCCTCCATTAGAGGGTGTGTTCTGTATCTCCTGTGCCTAGCATGGCACCTGACATAGTATAGATGCTCAATAAATACTAAGTAAGTCAAACCCACCAAATACAGAAGGGCCCACAGAAAGTTTAAAACTTCTCACTCTACAGAAAAGTATTTGGAGGCATACGCATTTGTGCTGAATGGCAGGAGACAAAACAGAAATGAGATTCCACTCACTAGGGGAGTTTTGAAGTGTGGGTAAGAGATGGGGAACCATGACCCAGCTTTGTGGGGAAAATTTCCTACCCACTCCTCACCACTGGATGTCTAAGAGCTGAGGCGTAGGCCCCATGTAATGAGTCACTGATCACGGTCTTCACTGAGGCCCTTTACTCTTCATTTCATCAAACCCAGAGCCCAGCTGGGGAAGGAGGCTGGAAAGACAGAGCTTCTCTTGTTACAGCATCATCTAGCAGCTAGAACAGGGTCTAGAAATCAGACAGATGTGGGTCCATGTTCTAGCTTTGCTCTGTGTCGCCTTGAGCAAGTCATTTAACTTTGTTAAGCCTCAATTTCTCATCTACAGAATGAGAATAATAACGATTCCAAAGGGCCACTGTAAGAGTTAGATGAGAAAACACAGAGCTCTTGGTGCATAATCCCGCTCAGTAATGATCATTGTTGGTATACTGCTGTGCTCAAAGGTCACTGAGCGGCAGTGATTATGTAGCATTCTGCATATAGGTGGTGTTCAGGTATTGCTGTGACAGTTCCTCTCTCCTTCCTGCCTGACAGGTATTCGCCAACTACAGCTCATCCTATTCAAGGTGGCCCTGATGCTGGGAGTTGAAATCCATGTGAATGTGGAGTTCGTGAAGGTTCTAGAGCCTCCTGAAGATCAAGAAAATCAAAGTACAGTATAATTTTCTTTTTCTGCCTAGAAAGCAGATACTACAAAATAGAAATTCCACTTGCTGCTTCCAAAGGGTGTTTCTGTAGGAGTTATTCTTACTGGGAGCTGGTTGGCATAATGCCACTGAAGGGTATTTTACTGTTTTTTTTTTACCATTGCTATGACTTTAGGTTTGCTGTTTGGCTCCAAGGGGATTTATGATTAAGCCATTAAACCTGTAATTTGGTTACCCTGTCCCAAGGGGTTGCTACTTTGGCAAAGGAAATCTAATCAATAAATAGGACAGAAGACATAGATTTGGTTGTTTGGTAAGGTTCATTCACGTGTTCTTCAAGCTGTGTGTGTGTTTAACACATAGATGTGGTTGTACTTGTACCCATGGCACATTTTAAAATCCAGTAAAGTGAAGCTTCTAGAGCAACTGTGAAATAAGGTTCAAGATGTTATTTGGTATATAATACTCTTAACCATGTTGAGGTATCATTTATAAACTATGATATTTGCCCGTATAGGCATATCATAATGTTTCTCTTTTTTCCTTTTAGCATGTTTGTTTAAATTCTTATCCCTTACACACACCATGGTCAGAGAGTTTATTCAGGATGCCTCTGCATCTTACTTATTATTAAAAGTATCTACCGCCTGGGAAGGGCTTTGAGTTTGGGACCAGCTTAGTGTCAGAGACCTTGTGGTTTCCTGCTTAGGGTACATTTCTGATTTCTCCTGTCCTCTGCCCAGATTATTTGAGAATTTAGGGGAGGCTTTAGTTAGCTTTTGGAGCAGGACAGCATTCACTATTTGGCATTCAGAGACTGTGTACTCTTAACCTTTTCCAGACCTCTAGTGGACATTAAATCTTAATTAGCCAGGCTTCACCTGATTTTTTTTTTTAAATAAAAGACAGTGTAGTGTACAACAGAACATTTTGAGCATACAATAGAAATTAAAAGTGGTTTCCTTACACCCTACATATCCTTTTGGGTCTGTTTAGCAATGAGAGGCACTGAAGAATGTGGGAGAATGTGAAGAGAAGATGGTGGACTTTGTTGAGAATGATAAGATGCAAATGAGAGTAGTTTATGGAGCATTGAGGATAGACTCCTAGCGGAGGCCAACAAAACCAGGCATGGAGTTGGTGTTGCTGGTTTACTTCATCCTGGATTGAACTGACACTCAGGTCAGAGGACACCAGATTAGAGAGTGAATCTGGACTGCTCTAGCCTTTCCCCTGGAGGCTCTCTCTGTGATACACAGACCTGGCTGCACTGTCCATTTCTCATAGCCACCACACGGGGGGTATAATCATTCTCTTCCCACCTCTCTCTGCCAACTCATCTCATTTCTCTGTCCTGGTAGAAATTGGCTGGCGGGCAGAATTTCTCCCTACAGACCATTCTCTGTCGGAGTTTGAGTTTGACGTCATCATTGGTGCCGATGGCCGCAGGAACACCCTGGAAGGTGAAGACTCTTCTTCTTGGTGTGGGAATGGGGGGATGGGAATGGGAGAGGGTACATTGGGGAAGAGTTGGAGAAAGTGGGCAAGATGCAGATGCCAGAGCTGGATGGAGGTTTTGATAGGAGGGCAGACCATCCTGTCCCTCTTGAGGTAGAACAGCCCATCCACCTGTGGGGTGGGCAGTTCAGGGGACAGCCATCTCATTCCGTCTGAACCTCAGTTTTCTCAGCTGTAAGATGTGGATCACAGAACCCTTTCAAAGTGTTGTTATGCGGGCTGGGAAAGGACTGGTATGTGAAAATGCTTTATAAAGATAAAGTGTCATGGGGGAAAAATGAACATCCATTATTGAGCACCTCCTGGTGTGTGAGCCATGGTGCCGAGCACTTTCATACTTACTTCAGCTAAGATAAACATTTTTATAATACTATTAATGGTATTCGCTTACTTTCAAGTGTAATATTATTTATACTTGAAGGAGGAACTCACCTCTTTTTGTAACTTTTAAGCACTGCTGGGCAGGCAGGTATGTCTTGCCAAACTGTCAAGGTACAAAGGCCACACTTCTCTGAGTTCTAAAGCTGAAGCATAGTATCTTTCGTGGGGTAAGATCCTGTCAGTTTGTGAGAGAAACCCCATTGCCAGAAAATGCTTCCGTCCCCTCCACCTCAACACCAAGACTGATCCATCCACAGGCTGTACTCATTGATATTAACCATGCTAAATTGAGACCATGGGTTATAAACAACATGGCCCCAAATAGGGCAGTTCTGCTTTTTGAGCCTGCCCCCTCAAGAGCCACAGGCTGCAGATGCCTGACTGAGAGGATACGTCACTCTGAGGATGGGACATGCTCCCTGGAACAGGGCTAATCTTAGAAAACTCAGGATCTGTGGGCCGCCTGGCTCAGGACCTTCCCATCTGCCACATAACTGGGGCTGTTTGCCACTCCCTTTTCCCTTTCCATACCCACCTCGCCAACCATAGGTCATCAATATCTGACAGGGAATGTTTAAGCTGCCAACTTGGATGTAGTACTGTTGGAATTTTACACTTGGTAAAAGTGTAAGTTAGAATATTTGAGAATCCAGGACCCATTTTCAGCTTGAGTATAGTTGGGCATTTCTTGAACATGGAAAGAAGGGTGGAGAGTGATGGAGCCATTTGAGCCACTCAAGGCCAAATGGGTAAACTAGAGCAGGGCTTCTTAGTATAAACACTGCAGACGTTTGGGGCCACACCATTCTTTGTCACAGAGACTGCCCTGTGCATTGTAGGGTGTTCAGCAGCATCCCT
Source organism: Homo sapiens (assembly GCF_000001405.40). Classification (NCBI taxonomy): domain Eukaryota; kingdom Metazoa; phylum Chordata; class Mammalia; order Primates; family Hominidae; genus Homo; species Homo sapiens. The sequence continues at coordinate 12,210,893 of NC_000011.10, forward strand.
GGCCTCTGGCCCCCCAGACACTGGCAGCACCCCCAGGTGCGACAACCAAATATGTCTCCACACATCACCAAGTGGCCCCTGGGAACAAAATCACCTCCAGCTAAGAAATGCTAGATGAGAATAATGGCCATTTCTGACCCTTTTGACAAAGGTCTAATGAAGGACAACTTAAAAGAGGACTATTGAATGGAAACCCAAGGTTGTTGGCCAGGCGTGGTGGCTCACACCTGTAATCCCAGCACTTTGGGAGGCTGAGGTGGGCGGATCACCTGAGGTCAGGAGATCGAGACCATCCTGGCTAACAGGGTGAAACCCCATCTCTACTAAAAACACAAAAAATTAGCCGGGCATGGTGGCACGTACCTGTAGTCCCAGCTACTCGGGAGGCTGAGGCAGGAGAATTGCTTGAACACAGGAGGTGGAGGTTGCAGTGAGCCAAGATCGCACCACTGCACTCCAGGCTGGGTGACAGAGCAAGACTCCATCTCAGAAAAAAACAAAACAAAACAAAAAAAACCCCAAGGTTGTCACTAAAAGGGATTTTTGACAGATGAGTGAGAATCAGCATGAGGCTGGAGTACATGGTGAGCAGATGTGTGGGGCATTCCCAAAGGTGGCTAAGGAAAGGTTATGTCTGGAGGTCTGCACCTGTGTGACAGGCACCTGGCCTTACACAAAGTACACAGCATGCCTGGGGGCAGGGGCACTCAGGAAAGGTCAGATGACAGCAAGATGGGGGACTAGGAGGGAGACACACTGTTGAAAAGTGGCCATCTGTTGTGTGGAACCCCTATTAACCTCAATAGGGAAAGTACCAAGTTCAAGAGGCCAAAGAAGAGCCCAAGAGCCAGCAAAATAGACATGGGGTTTTATTAGGGATTCACAGGGGAGAGAGTCCAGTGGCAGTGGGTTGGACAGGAGACCCGGCTTCCCTGCAGAAACGGTCCAATGGCGGCGGGCTGGACAGCACAACAGCCCAGTGGTGGCAACCTGGGCAGGAAAACCGCAACTGCTTGCAAACAGCATGCAGTTTATTCAGCATTTTCACTTAACACCCTCCTCTTAACCTCCACCTGGCAACCTTCATCCAACCCAGAACTCAGGGCCTGGATCCCCCTGCATGGTCCATGTTCCACGGGATGGGCCAGGAGCTCAAATGTCCCTCATAGACAAAGAAGAAGTCTCGGGGTTGGCCACTCCTGGATTCCCCAGCTCAGAACACACATTCAGGTGCATCAGCCATACAGGGTCTTTCTAAAGGTGCGCTTCAGTTATTGCTGTCAGGTGCGTTTACCCTGCACCAGCTGCTGTGATCCTCCATAGCACTGCCATTCAAGAGCAATTTTAATGTAAATCATTGAAAACAAGAATTAGAGCACTAAGCCTGGGCAACATGATGAAACTGTGTCTCCACAAACACTTAAAAAAAAATAAATAAGGCAGTCATGGTGACACATGCATATTGTCCCAGCTACTTGCTGGCTGAGGTGGGAGGATCGCTTGACCCTGGGAGGTCGAGGCTGCAGTGAGCCATGATTGGCACCGCTGCTTTCCAGCCTGGGCAACAGAGCGAGACCCTGTCTGAAAAACAAAACAAAACAAAACAAAAAACGAATGAGAGCTAGAATTCCATTTATTCATTTATACATGCATTGTAGATGTATTAAATGCCAGTTACTGGGAACTGGTGTACTATTTTCCTCTTTTCAAAGGACACCAGTCATATTGGAGTAAGCTGGGTCCCACCCTACTCCAGTATGACCTCATCTTAGCTAATTACACCTGCAATGACGCTATTTCCAATAGAGTCACATACTGAGGTACTGGGGTTAGGATTTCAACACATGAATTTGTGTGTGTGTGTGTTGGAGAGGCACATAATACAACCCAAAAAATTGGAGATATGAAGAAAATTTGTTAAAATCCCTGTCCTGCAGGAATTCAATGTGATCTACTTTTCAAGGGGGTCAGGAGCGGTGGCACCATAAGAAATGCTAACAGAGTAGTTTTCATCCTATAAATTCAAAGTGCATGTGGGTCTCTCATGAGTGTATCTAGCAACAATGCCTGACACATCCTTACAAGGGTACACCCTGTGACTGCCTGTTGGGAAGGATCGCTTTTCCTTTTGTTTATTGAAGCCTAACCAGGTCCTGTAGATTTTAGAAACGGACAGTCTCACTGACTTTTAAAAGCCTTGGGAGCAAACTTCGGTATTTCTGCCCGCTCCTGTCCACTAGAGATCCAGAATCCTGGTTTCACTGGCCTGGGAGGCATCTGGGAACAGCTCTCCCAATAATCATTTTCAGTTTTCACACCAAATCCAGAAGATAGACCCACTTTTTCATTTCTCCTCATGCAGGGTTCAGAAGAAAAGAATTCCGTGGGAAGCTGGCGATTGCCATCACCGCCAACTTCATAAACAGAAACAGCACAGCGGAAGCCAAGGTGGAAGAGATTAGTGGTGTGGCTTTCATCTTCAATCAGAAATTTTTTCAGGACCTTAAAGAAGAAACAGGTGGGACCTTCACCTTTCTCCCAACCAGGCCAAGGTCTAAAGTTTGCAGTTTCTAAAGTGTGCAGAGGCGTGTGCTGGCTTTCTGGGCTCTTGGGCCTCGAGGGACTCACTCTGATAGAGTGGAAGCAATGATTTTCCCTAGGATAGTGAATACAGACAGGATTCCTTCTGGGACAAGAGAGATTCTTGAGGGAATGTTCTGGATGTTGTACATGAAAGGAGATAGTGGACATTTGCTGAGTGCTCATTACATGCCAATTCTCAGTGTTGGGTAAAAAGTGAAGGTTGACACGATCCTTCCCACAGTGGCTCCCTGTCCAGTAAGGGATATCTGTATAAACCATCCTAAGGCAGGTGGCCAGCACCGCACCTGAGGTCAGCATGATATTTAGGGAATGCTAAGGAGGGAGCCAGTCACCTATGGATGGTTCCTAAAGGTTCCCGGGTGAGTTTGTGCAATACAGCACTGCCCTTCCCCAAGAAGGACATCTGGATACGCCCAGGAACATAACCTGTACTGGCACCAGTTGTCACCCAGCCATGGGCCTAGAGGATAGGAGGTATTGATTCATTCACTCAATATTTATTGAATGCCTACTGTGTGCCAGATGCTGTTCTAGGGCTTGAGAATGAGCAGTGAGCAAAACAAAATCCGTCCCTCCTGGGCTTATATTCTACGAGAATAGACAGTCAATACACAAATAAACCAGTGACTCATCAGGTGGTAATAGGGACGGCAGAGAAAAACAGGGTGAGGGGAAAGGGGGACGAGTCACCTCTCTCCAATTAAGTAAATTCCAGATACTTTTCCTTTCTTTTTAACCTGATTAAAAACACAGATTTCTCCTTGAAAAGCAATGTAACAACAATGTTAAATAAAATCTGTATATGGAAAATAAATCATCCGCAATCTGACCGCCCCACACGAGAATAGTCTTCAGACTCACCTACTCCTTTTCTGTAATTTTCCACCAGCGTTCTTGCTTGTTATGTGACTGTAGCTTAAATCGCAGTGTCCACACTCTTTAGTCAGCTTTTCTCATTCAGTGTCACATTCCAAACATCATCCTTCTGGTGGTCACTTTTAGGGGCTGTGGAATATCTCATCAAATTGATGTATTGTCACTGCCTAAGCATTGAAACCAGGGATTAGCAAACTATGGCTGGCCACATGGTTCTATACTGCCTTCGAGCTAAGAATGGTTTTATATATAGGCTGAATAAAACAATCAGAATATTTTATGACACATGAAGTTTATTTAAAATTCAAATTTCAGCATCCATAAATAAAAGCTGATTGTCGCCCAGCCATGTCCATTTCTTTACATAACTGTTGATGGCTGCTTCCACCATGAGAGATCATGAAAGAGACCATAGGGCCCACAGGCCAGAAATATTTCCTAGCTGGTCCATCACACACACACACACACACACACAACTTGCTGACCTCTGATTTAGGCCTTCCAGTTATTTACTGTTACAGATAACACTGCTTCTGTTAAATTATTTCTTTAACATCATTTCCTAGGAATGGCATTAGTTGTTGAGCAAGATTGTACTTCTCACTGGCCTGGAGGGTATGTGCTCACTGCACAACCCTCTCAGTTTCACCTCCATTGCATTATTCCATTAAAAGCTTGAATATTTCCTGCCAGCATATGGTGTCCTTTTGAATGCTTTGAGAATCCTCCAACCCTCCCTTCCTCTAAAAAACCAAGAAAATAAATACTTAAGCCACTCAATATAAATGAGAGCAGGACATTGAGTGGGTTTTTCCACGTTTCAGTGAACTTCCTTGAAACTTTGCTGTGGTTGTCACCTTCGGCCATCGTTTCACAACAGTGCCCTCAGACAGTGACAGTCGCGACCTTCCTGATTCTCCTGGGGGCCCTCTGCATTGATGCCTGTTTCCTATTTAACCGTAATAAAGGTGCTCCTATGGTTACCCAGCACGCCTTGTGTAAATGCTGATATGTCGCCATGTGCCTGTTCCTTTCTCTCCCTTCAAATAAGCCAGTCAGCCTCACACTTGAGTATGAATTGGCATCACCTAGAGCTTGTTAAAGCACAGCGTGCTGGCCCTATCCCCAGGGTTTCTGATTCAGTGAGTCTGAAGAAGGGCCCTGATAATTTGCATTGCTAGTATGTCCTCAGGTGATGCTGATGCTGTTGGCCAGAGACCTCCCTTTGAGAACCGTGGAGCTAAGCTCTCATTGCACAGCATGGTTTTAAATGCAGGAACTTAGTGTGTAAAATGTCTTGTGATTGGTGGAAAGCACAAAAAGATACAGCCCAGCCTTCTAACCTGAGTTGTTCCTACCACTGCACTCGGGTTTTCACATACAAGCCGGGAAACAGTAGAAATATTCCTTGGCATAGTCATTGGAGAATTCCCACAGCTCTATGCTACTATGGGCGCATGGAGGGCACAGTGGACAGGACTTGGAGCTAGATGGGCTGGGGTTCAAATCCCAGCCCTGTCATTGCTGAGCTTCTGTGGCCATGGCCGGCACTTGGCTTTTCTGCACAATTACCCGGCTCTAACTTATACTGGCCCACAACCCCTACAGACGTTGTGAGTTTTAACAGGAATAATGCCGCTATAGAACTATAGAAGCTAGCTGCTTTGACTTGGGTAGATTCTGGCACTCTGTTTTATCTTTGCCAGCCTTGTGTGCCTTAAAAACTGGTCTAACATGAATATTCTGCAGATAAATAACAAGACCAATAGTGAGGCAAAGTACAGTTCCTGGCACACAGTTGGTGCCGAGGAAGTAACACTGAGCTTGTGAATGCTTCTCTTTTCAGGCATAGATCTTGAGAACATTGTTTACTACAAGGACTGCACCCACTATTTTGTAATGACAGCCAAGAAGCAGAGCCTGCTCGACAAAGGTGTCATCATTAACGTACGTACCTCTTGGCTGCGATTTCCCGACTTCGCGACCTGGGCTGGTGACATCAGCAGGTGTGAAGGCAGATGTCGTCCTGCCAGAAACTGAGCGAGGGGAGGAGGGGGGAAGGTGCCACCAGCTTACACCCTTCTTTTTCTTGGTGTTACATGAGTATTGGATAAAGGAGCCCACGCCAATATGCACAGAGAATTTTCTGCAGAGGGACGTGTGCTGCTGTGAGACCTTTACCAGGTGTTAATGTGGATCAACTGAGTCTTTTCCTTCCCAAGTCTCATCCAGCCTTGCCTCTTCTCTGGGAGGTCACATGTCATTTGGAGGCAGATGGGGGCTCCTTGTCCTAATGAGACATAGGCATCCTTTGACTTGTGAATTTCATGCTGTGGAGCCTTGTCACAGTGTGGGGGAATTTCATTATTCATGCAGTCAAAAAGACTCGATCTGCATCTTGACTCTGCCACATACCTCCTCCAGACTGTGGGCAAACTGTGTATCCTTCCTGAACCTCAGTCTTCTTATCTACAAAATAGGAATGATAGTTTCTGCCTGAAAGGGTTCTTGGAAGGAGCAAACAGAAGATATATATAGAGCACCTGGCACAGTGCCCGGCAGAGGGTGGGTTTGTAGATTCCCTCTGTAACTTCTCAGCCTTGTTTGCACACTGGCTTTTTTGTCCTGCTGGCTTCCTGGCCTCTGCTTCGTGGCCTTGCGACTTCATGCTTAAGCACGGAGCAGGGTTGGAAGGAAGAAACATGGAGTAGTGGCCCCTGACTGGAAGCTTCTTCGGACAGGTGTACAACCCTTCCAGAGCCCCTGTAGTTGCTGCCACTGTCACTGCTGCTGCTGCAACCTCAAGATAAGGATCACACTGCCCAAGTTCAGCCTGCTGTCTGGGTGTCAGCCTGGAGCCCAGGCAGCACGGTGGCCATTCATTGCTGCTTGTCAGAGAAGAATGCAGCTATCTTCTTTCCTGCGTGTGCTGGCAGCCGTCTGGGTGGCATTAGTAACCCAGCCACCCCGTGGGCCTTCTCCACTTCAGCTCAGGTCTTTGCTGAGAGCCTGAGTTGTAGACGGAGGCTGTGAATGCGGGCTTGGTGAAGTGGGCTGAGCACGCCAGCAGATGGGTGGGCGATGGGCTTCAGCAGTGTCCCACTGCTGACTGTCAGTCTGGGAGTGGTGGCGTCCCCTTCTTCCCTCTGCCTCACAGAAGTTGCCTCCTGAAGTTGCCGCCTTAGTCTGAAACTGGGGGGTGCAGGGGTGTAGGGGTAGCGGGCAGCTTTGCAGAGGAGAGGTTAGGCAGGCAGGCAAAGCTTGATGGGTTTTGTGTTTTGCAGAGCACCGTGGCCTCCTGGGATGCTAAGGTCACCCTCAGGTCATCCCAGGTGTTTGCTCATGGCAACTCGCTTCCCTGGCGGTTGTCAAAGCCCCTCCAGGCCCATGCTTGTCTTCACCAAGGCCTTTCTTTCTCCTTCAGAGGCCCCTGGGAGCAGCTCCTGAGCTGGTGCTGAGGAGCCTCAAGGTACAAGATGGGAAAGAAATTGGAGGCCACAGGCTGGACACCTGATTGGAACAAGAGCTATAGCCTGAGCGTCCAGGTGTCCAGCCAAGTTCCCAACCCATCTTCCCTGAGCCGCTTAAATTTACATTGTTCTCTTGCTCCCTGGAGGAATGGCAAGTTTTCTGTTTTCCTCTCCCTACATGGATCCATATCTTCCTATAGCCACACAGAAGGTGCCAAGTAAATGTTTGTTGAATGAATGACTGACCTCTGGACAAGAGGTTTTCCTGCTTCCCCATTGATTCCAGCTGATCTCTGGGCTTCTTTCCATGGCTACCGAAGGAAGAGTAAAGTTTCTCTTCAAGCAGCCGTGCCTCTGGGCTCTCAGCTGTGCCCATCTTTCTCTTCCCCACAGGGAGGATGTCCCATCCCAGAGCCTCCCTGGGCCCCTGCCTCTGCTGGCCCATACGTGTGTGGGCTGGGATTCTGTCCTCCTGTCCTTGTCCTCATCTGCTCCCTATGGTTTTGCTCCTTCTTCCATCCCCCCACTCATCTGGGACCCTCCAGCCACTAAGAGACTCCACAGCAGCCCTAGGCCAGCTCTAGCCTAGTGTCTTCCCTTTGCTAGGTCCCCACTCTCCTGCATGAGGCGTCCACGCCAGGCACTGTCTTCACTGTGTAATGTCACCCACTCCATCTTAGGGATGCTTGGGTCATATTTTGAAGGGGGGGTGTTTGAGACCTCTCCCTTCTCTCTTCCCCCATCTCACCTCCACGCCTTCGGAGAGAGAAGTGATCATGTGACCGCGGAAACAGGGATCAGAAAGGAAATCAAATAACAGGAATTCCATCCTGGACACTGGGGCCTGACAAAGAGCTCTTGGACCAGTGCTGGATGCAATTTGGGCGGTTTGGTTTGAATGGGGGAAATATGAGTTTCCAGAACAGGGTATTTGAAATCATGGCTACTCAGAAAATTGAGGCAGTGGTCACTCTGGCTGTAAATGCGGCACTCTGTGATTGTCAAGACCTTTGTAATTGAGGGTGCCTTGGCTGGGTCCAGGATATACTTCATCATAAGCCATATCTGGAGCCAGCATGAATTACAGGGGACAGGAATTCCCATTCATCGGTCACTTCCCACATGGGGCTAGGGATTTCGTGTGTACACTCATTCCATCTTCTCATGTGGCTCTGTGAAGTAGGTTTTGATATTCCCTTTTTACAGATGAGAGAGTGGAGACTCTGAAAAGTTAAATAACTGGCCCAGATTTAGTTAGTAAACAGCAGAGGTGGACTTTGACCCGTTGCTCTCACTGGCCCCAAAGCCTGTGTTCATGTTACACACTGGTCCCCTCCCACTCCAGGTGTCTGTACTTTTTGTGTCACCTTTGAGAAAGGTGGTCTTTTAGTTTCTTTAGCCACACGGTGAGCAGCTTGGACTCTGGGGATACACTAAACTTGCCAGCTCTCTTCAATCCTCACATCCTGTGTTTCATTGCTAGTGTCCCTCCAGGATGGATATTCCAGTCCTCGCAGCTCAGGGCTCTGCACTCCCCATGAAAGAAGCATAACAATTAGCACCAAAAGCAAGCTACTGGGGAGGCTGAGGCAGGAGAATTGCTTGAACCTGGGAGGCGGAGGTTGCAGTGAGCCAAAATCACACCATTGCTCTCTAACCTGGGAGACAAGAGCGAAACTCCATCTCAAAAAAAAAAAAAAAAAAAAAAAAAAAGCTACGCTGTGAGAGCCCTCGGCCCATCAAGTAAAGGGGTCACTGATTTTGGAAAGTGTGAGAGGTTTCCCATTTTCTTTTTCTGGTCTTGTTTGACCACTAAACATGGCATATTTGGATCATACTCGCTTAGCTGAATTTATTATAAAATCACACTTTCTGATGGCTCCTTTGTCTCTTAATTGTACTGAAAGTTCTCATGAGAACCAGACCTATGAAATGTGCTCGTTGTTTGCTCCAAGACCATTATCAAGTGCACTGTTCATTACAACTCTCAACGCGCCCTGTTGAAATTCCTACGTGAGACAGATCTTTTAGAATTTAATGCCAGGGAAAAATTGCCTCCCCTGAGGAATTTCTACGCTTCCTTCTTTCTGATAAGGAGAGCTCTGGGGCATATCACATTTCCCTTTTGCCTTGGATGCCAGGAAGCTCAATGCCAAATTTGATGCTTAATCACAACCGTGTTAACCCTCACAGCTGGCTGATTTATTTCCTCTTTATTCCCTTGGTCCTGGTTTTTATATGTCTTTTCTGACTAGCCTCACTGTAGGGACCCATTCCAAGTCCTTTTGCCAAGAGGTGGGTATGAAGGCTAGCCCTTTAGAGGGGGAGGTTGCTGCACCATGTTTTCATCTTCCCCAGGACTACATCGACACAGAGATGCTGCTGTGTGCGGAGAACGTGAACCAAGACAACCTGCTATCCTATGCCCGGGAAGCTGCAGACTTTGCCACCAACTACCAGCTGCCATCCTTAGACTTTGCCATGAACCACTATGGGCAGCCTGATGTGGCCATGTTTGACTTTACCTGCATGTATGCCTCAGAGAACGCGGCCCTGGTGCGGGAGCGGCAGGCGCACCAGCTGCTCGTGGCCCTTGTGGGTGACAGCTTGCTTGAGGTACTGCCTGAGCTCGGAGCCCCCATGTTTCTCTGCGAGACAGATCCCACGTTTGTATTCTGGCAGGCAGTATCTGCTGTTGTGCAGCGGGGAGAGGACAGGCTCTCAGCCAGTTGGCAGGACTCTGCCAAGCCTGTCCCGGCCTCAGAGCCTGTCCTGTTGCTGCACTCAGAGGAGCCTATTCTGCCTCTGTGTAGTTAGGAGAGCCTTCTCTCCTATCTCCTGGCTCTTTTGCACTGACTTCTTTGATGAAGTACAAAATCAGGCAGCCCCGGTCTGGGCCATATGAGCCATCCTTCTCAGAGTGTGTGGACCCTCAGCTGGGCCGAGACTTCTTCCTCATGTGGGCGGCCCTTTGTGGCCTTTGAGATCACACGGAGTGCAGGAGAGGCCTATGGGCCCCAAAGTCTCCTTTCCATTCATAGCTTCCCTGCTGAAAATTCTTCCCAGAAAATCTGCAAGGGTGCAAGGATCCTTAGATTAAATGAATGTTTTCAGAAAGGAGAAAGTTTTCTCTTTAGTGTGAGCACTGATTATGTATTTATTCCAAGTTAAGAGTCAAATTCCAAACCATGCTTTGGGTGCTCATGGAGCAGATTAGTCAGCACTCAGCTTGGTTGACTTGGTCCTTGGGCACTATTGTGCATGGACTTGAACCTAAGGCCCTTGGTTGAGCCCTCAGTTCCCATCCTGCTTCTGGCCCAGACTCCTTTCCCAGCTCGGTTTCTCCCTCCCCTCCTCCCATGCTCCATGTTACACCCAGAACAGACGGCTGTTCTTCCATCAGGCGCCAGCATTTTCCAACCACCATGCCTTTGCCCACACCATTCCCAAGTAGCTCAGGATCAGAATCCCATCCATTTGTTAAAATCAGCTTAATGCAACTCTTAAGAAGCTTATTCTGATTTCCATCTCCCTCTCCCAGGATGGGAATTCGTCTCGCCTTTTCTGAGCCCTAAAGCAGTTTTGCTATGCCTGCGTCATAGCACCCTTTACATTTAACCTTCTGCTATAGTTATTTGACCTTGTGATGAATCCTCATAGGTAGCAGGGTCCCTGCCCTGTCACCTCTCTGTCCCTCCAGTGCCCTGCACAGTCCTGGCAATCAGTGTGTGCTGGGTCCAATGAGATCATAGATCGGGAGTCATCAGAATCAACTGGAATTTTGCACGTTTTCTTTTGCAGCCATTTTGGCCCATGGGTACAGGCTGTGCCCGTGGCTTCCTGGCAGCCTTTGACACGGCATGGATGGTGAAGAGCTGGAACCAGGGCACCCCTCCCCTGGAGCTGCTGGCTGAAAGGTGAGCTTTGACAGTAGGGCTCCTAACTGGGGGGCAGGGCACTCAGGCAGGAAAGGGGGCAAGATCACCCCGCAGGTGACTGCTGGATATACCTGGAGCCTCTGCCTCCTCCATTCTACCTTCCCATGTGTGGCCTGATTTGATCATCAGCATCCCCAAGGATGCTTTCTCCATCATTATCTGACTCTTACAGTGACTTTCTCTGGGGCCAGGACCTTGGGCCCTGGATGACAAAGAGAAATCTTCATCTAGGTTGGCCCTGCAGCTGGGGCTCCCCAGCATTGCTCATTCACCGAAGAGCCAGAGAGGTTTATTTAAGGGAATCTTCCAGGGCAGCGCTGAGTCTCCTGTCCTGGATGGGGGTTGGATTCTCTGGCTTTCCAGGCCTCTCACACCACTGAGATCCTGGGCTTCTTCCCAGACCCCTGCTGCTGGCCACGTGGCTGTGACAGCTGGTGGACGGGGGGAGGTCAGGGCTGGCGGGCGGAGGCAGGCCCTGACAATCTTGGGTGTGGAAGCCTGTGGTCGTGGGGAGCAGGCCGCAGGAGGCAGCGTGGCTGAACATGGTTATGGCAAAACCACAGGCCACCGTGCTGCCAGCCCTGCATCCCTCCCCCTGCCTGGGTGGAGGAGCCCAGCATCCCCGTCACCCAGGCGCCCCTTTCCTCTCGGCCCCTTTGACCTTCTCCCCACTTTGCAGATCTCAAGAACCAGGAGAGTCAGGTATTTCAGGGAAGGGTTAGACAAACATGTCCAGGAAGCCCTTGAGCCAGAGGAAGGGGGAAGTAGGGAAGGGTGGGGACAAGGCCTGAGGTGGCAAAAGTGATCCCTGACCTCCAGGCTCCGCCTCCCTCCAGGGAAAGTCTCTACCGGCTGTTACCTCAGACAACCCCGGAGAACATCAACAAGAACTTTGAGCAGTACACGTTGGACCCAGGGACACGGTACCCAAACCTCAACTCACACTGTGTCAGGCCCCATCAGGCAAGTCCATTGCTGGGGCTCTGTCTGAATCACTCTGCACTGAACAGTGGGAAGAGGTGGTGGGGAGGGGGTCACATTAAATTTTGGTCCATTCCTGGGACTAAGGCCACCAAGGCCTGCTGGCCTAATGGTGGGACCAGTTCTTCTCCCCACTCGAGTCAGCATTCTTTCTAGCCCGCAGGACAGAACTAGAACACATGTAGGGGGAGAGATTTATATGTATATGTGCATATATTTATATATATTGTCACTATGCATATGCATTGCTGATCTTACCTGTCTCAAATAAGCTACTTGGCCAAATATGATCTCTGCATACCACCCTTGGTCCTGGGGTCCATTTCTTCTTCCACTAATTTAAAGCCACCAAACTCTCAACCTCTTTGGTCAATAGAACAGAAAATTGTGTGAATTTTTAAAATTAGCTAATTACATACACACAAATTAGCTACAGACATTCCCACTTAGTTTGCCTGCATCTGGGTGGAAGATTGAGGCCCATTGCTCTATGACTGAAGTTGCCTGCGTTCCCTTGCCGAAGGTCATGCCTCCCAGCAGTAGAGGAAAATGGTGGCAGGCACTGAATTGGGGGTGGGTCGAGTTTAGGGGCCCTGAGACTAGGATTTGGGGGAAAACTGGTGGGCAAGCATGTCTCTCTTGCTCATAGGTGAAGCATTTGTATATCACTAAGGAGCTGGAGCACTACCCTCTCGAGAGACTGGGCTCGGTGAGGAGATCTGTCAACCTCTCCAGGAAGGGTAAGCGGCCCTCCTGGGACCCTGGTGGGTGGCTGGGAAGAGCTTTGAGGGGAGGAGGACTGCTCAGTGACCGTGGTGACACAGGCACTGCAACCAGCCTGGCTCTGCCCCTTTACCTGTGTGGTCATGGGCAGGCACCTGTCCTCTTTGTACTCCAGTTCCTCCTCTGTGAGACCAAGAGAACCCCTGCCCAGAGAATCATTATGAAGATGAAAGGAGCTAGTGTGTGTCGAGAGCTTCACACAGTAAACATGAACCAGGGGATTATTTCACTGGGACTTGTTCTTATTTTCCTGTTGTTTCCTGCATGGGGGCCTTGTCCCCTTAAGTAGATAATGAGCTTAATGCACTTCACCCTTTTCCTGATCATCCTGAGCCTAGCAGTGCTCTGGACACAGGACCAGTGCTCAACACAGGGAGATGGGATGGTTAAATGAGGAACTCCCAGCGCCCAGCTCAGCTCAGGATGCTCTCCTGCTTAGAGACCTCTTTGGCTACCTGTGCCTGTCCAGGCTTTGCCTCCTCTCCTTCCTTAGGCAAACTCAGCTGTACTCCTCCCTCCCCTCCACACACCACGACATGCCCCACTGCTGTAATAAACCACTTACCATAATCAACCATTTTACTGTTACGCAAACATAGCAGGTTTTTCTAGATTCTTAGCCACCACACAGTCCTTTCTGTCTTCCTGGAATGACTTCTTCCGTCTGATAAGTTCCTAGATGCTCTCAAAGAACAAGCTCAAACGTACCTCCCCATTACACTTTTCTTTGGAGAATTCCCCTCCCAGCGCAGACTCAGGCAAACCTGCTAATGTGCTCCCACAGCCCCCTGTTTCTCCCTCCATTGCAGCACTGTGTCATCATCACCCCCTCTGTGACTATCTTCCCCACTAGATGAGCATGTTGTTGGCAGGGCCTAAACACAGTAGGTCTTAGGAACTCTGCTGGAAGAGAACATGCTTCCTCTCCCCTCCTGCCACACTCCTGACCAGGCCCCCAAGCAGCAGTCCTCAGGGAGCTGCACCCGTGCCAGTGGCCCCCTGCCCTGGCCCCTTGCCTTGGGGCCGCTCGTCCTGGTCCCCAGCCATGGTGGCAATGAGAAGGGAGCGCCAGGGCAGACCGTGTGAGATTCCTGCAGAGCCTCACTGCCTGCGCTCTCCTTCTTGCAGAGTCAGATATCCGGCCCAGCAAGCTCCTGACCTGGTGCCAGCAGCAGACAGAGGGCTACCAGCATGTCAACGTCACCGACCTGACCACATCCTGGCGCAGTGGGTTGGCCCTGTGTGCCATCATCCACCGCTTCCGGCCTGAGCTCATGTGAGTCTGGGGCCCAGGCTGGCCCCTGGAGACGAGGGATGCCAAGGCCATTCTGCTGCATGCAGAATCTTCATTACTTGGTTCAATATTTCTCTTTCTGTGTTTCAATTTGAGATTTTTCTTAACATTTGTTCTTTTCCCTTTGCACTGATTACTCTGTCAGCAGTGTGTTTGATCTGTGTTCCTAATATGTGAGGATAAAAATTGGCTCCGGCTTAGTGATGGCACTCTTGACACCTCACCCCCCACTACCCTTCCCCCCCGAGCCCCATCACCACACTCTTTGGAATTTGAGCATTCACACCTTGGAGCTTCACCCTCAAGAGAGGAGTATGGGCCAGACCTAGTTCCAGGGACTAGTTTGAGGGTTTTATAGAATTAGGTTTGAGACCCAGATCCATAAGCTGTGTGTCCTTGGGCAAGCCACTTACCTTCTCTGAGCTTTAGATTCTTCGTCTACAAATTAGAAATAGCAGCAGGGTCATTGGGGAGATCAGGTTATGTTTGAGGAAACACTGTGGTGCTAAAGCATGGTGCATCTGTGTTTAAATCAGCAGCAGCAGAACTTCACAGCCAGGTGCAAATCACAAAAAAGGCTGACAGCAAACCTACCCAAGGGCTAGCAATTGGTACTTTAGGAAATGAGGTGGCCTTAGGAGGATGGACCGTCTTTTTTTTTTTTTAAGCTGGAGTCTCTTGCTCTGTTGCCTGGGCTGGAGTGCAGTGACGCAATCTCAGCCCATGGCAACCTCCGCCTCCCAGGTTCAAGCAATTCTCCTGCCTCAGTCTCCTGAGTAGCTGGGATTACAGGTGCCCACCACCACACCCGGCTAATTTTTGTATTTTTAGTAGAGATAGAGTTTTGCCATGTTGGCCAGCCTGGTCTCGAACTGAGCTCAAGTGATCTGCCCGCCTCTGCCTCCCAAACTGCTGGGATTATAGGTATGAGCCACTGCGCCTGGTCTCCCTTTTTACTTTATATGCTATATAACTTGATGTTTTTTACAAGATGCCCATTTTACTTTTGTAATTAAAAAGAAAAAAAGTAAGGGATATATTTAAAAGTAAAATAGCTCATAAATGTTCCCAAGAGGTTTAAATCATTTTCTGATGGCTTTAGCCCAGGCAGCAATAACGTCATCATGGCCCAGGTCTGATTTTGTCCCTTCCTGACCAGTGGAGTGGTGGGTGAGAACTGGGAGTAGGGGCTGGGGTCACTATTCCTCCCCTGTAACCTGCCGACACCTGGCAGAGTGTCACCCTCAGTGCTCCTTACCACCTGAAGGTGCTCAGCTCGCCACACCTCTGCCTCCTCTCCCTGAATTTCTCTGCTTTGTTTTGATTCTCTAGCAACTTTGACTCTTTGAATGAAGATGATGCTGTGGAGAACAACCAGCTCGCATTTGATGTGGCCGAGCGAGAGTTTGGGATCCCTCCAGTGACCACGGGCAAAGAGATGGCATCTGCCCAGGAGCCTGACAAGCTCAGCATGGTCATGTACCTCTCCAAGTTCTACGAGCTCTTCCGGGGCACCCCACTGAGGCCCGTGGGTAAGCACCTGCACAGAGGTTTTGCTTAGCCCCTTGAGCCAACTCTGTCCCTGTCTCTGAGTCTGGCTGCTCCTAACACTGTATGGTCTGTTCTGGGGCTGCCCAGTGTGTTCCCCTTGACTTTGAGGCCAAACAGGGGTGACTCCACTCACCCAGCCCCTGTGCATGTAAGTGGATCTGTATGCCATTTACATCTTGAGTTTGGGGTGACAGAATTATTTTAGAGGGACCTGGTTACAATGACACCTCCTTGTTTTTGTTTTTTTGTTGTTTGTTTTTGGTTTTTTTTTTTTTTTTTTTGAGAGGGAGTCTCGCTTTGTCGCCGAGGCTGGAGTGCAGTGGTGTGATCTCGGCTCACTGCAAGCTCTGCCTCCTGGGTTCACGCCATTCTCCTGCCTCAGCCTCCCGAGTAGCTGGGACTACAGGTGCCTACCACCACGTCTGGCTAATTTTTTTTGTATTTTTAGTAGAGACGCGGTTTCACTGTGTTAGCCAGGATGGTCTCGATCTCCTGACCTCGTGATCCACCTGTCTTGGCCTCCCAAGTGCTGGGATTACAGGCGTGAGCCACCACACCCAGCCAACACCTCCTTGTTATAGCCATACTTCCCAGAGCCAGGTTCCAAATCACAGTTGCGCTTTATTTCCCAACAGATTCTTGGCGCAAAAACTATGGAGAAAATGCTGACCTCAGCTTGGCCAAATCATCCATTTCTAATAACTATCTCAACCTCACATTTCCAAGGAAGAGGACTCCACGGGTAAGTTTTGGCCTGGTTTCGGTTTTATTTCCCATTGCACATGGACGGGGTATGAGGAACGGAGATTGTCACATTCTCAGCCTGTTGAGGCTAGTAAGTTACATGGATCAGGCGCTCCCGGAAGATGCTAGTAAAACTCGGATTAGTGACTGAGTGTTTTTGGAAGTTCTTCCTGGCACTGTGTAGCTAGTTTCAATGACTTCAAAGTGGTTATAGGAAGGACATGGTAGCGAGCTGATAGAACATATTGGTGAATGCTTTTACAAGTAAATCAGATCAGCTCTGCTTCCTGAGGGATGGGGATGAAATGATTTCTCACTGTGCTGAGCAGTTTAGATCTGGAACATGACGGCCATCAGTTTAGTGGCAGAAGTGCATGGTGATGATGCTCTGTTTACACATCTGTTCCATTAATTTGTATTTATTCACTCATTCAACAAATATATATTGGGCTCTCCTATAGGTCAACTTCAGGGCTATATTTTTTGTTTCTGATGAGGGGAGCAAATATACAGAAGTGAATAATATATGGACCTTGCCTTTGAGGAGCTCGGAGCCTAATAAAGAGGTTCCCAAACTTTCTCAACTTATAGCACCCTTAATGTCTCTGTAATTTTTTTCATGGTGGGCCTATACCAAAATAAATACCTAACAGTTTCATTTATTAAGTAGTTAAGACCAAATAACTTAATAGGAGCATTTTTCAAGATGTCTGACAGACATGATAGTGTTTTCCTAGAAAATTAAAAATATTCTGTGGCACCTCTGTGAGTTCACATGGTGCCATGGGACACAGTTTGGGCATCACATGCCTAAGGAGCAGTGACAGTTTTGTGTGAGTGCTAACATCTCTGTGGGAGGCATAATGCAAGTTCTCTTGCTTAATGTGCACATTTTACAGATAAAAATGGAGGCCTATGGTTGTGGTGGCTCACGCCTGTAATCCCAGCACTTTGGGAGGCCAAGGCAGGCAGATCACCTGAGGTCAGGAGTTTGAGACCAGCCTGGCCAATATGATGAAACCCCGTATCTACTAAAAATACAAAAAATTAGCCAGGTGTGGTGACAGGTGCCTGTAATCCCAGCTACTCGGGAGGCTGAGGCAGGAGAATCGCTTGAACCCAGGAGGCAGAGGTTGCAGTGAGCCGAGATTGCACCATTGCACTCCAGCCTGGATAAGAAGAGTGAAATTCCACTTAAAAAAAACAAAAAATTGGAGGCCTAGAGAGGCTAGGTGCCTTGGCCAGGTCACCTGCTACTCCGTTGTACTTCATTACTTTGCCCCTACCCCATGCTTCCTTCACACTAATTAATCAACTCATTGAAAGGCATTTGTTGTGTATCCAGTTATAGGACATACAGAAGTAATGTGAGCCTTGACCTTGGAGTCCAGTTAGGAAGATAGATGCTGGGAAGATAGGGAGAAAACTGAGAACCAAGAGTCCGAACCTTGGGGAACAAGGGAGTTTGAGGCGCTGGCAGAGGCAGAGCAGCCAGGAAAGAAGATGGGAAGGGGAACAGGCAGTTGGAAAGTCAGAGAGGGAGTCGGGAAGCCCACGGAGGAGAGCGCTTCTACGGGATGGGCCCTGGAGACCATGCCAGGCGACAGGGAAGCCAGCCAGGGTCGGGGCTGAGGACAGGCTATGGGATTTGGATGTGTTGGGGCGGATGGCAAATGTCAGAGTTCTAGGACTGGAGTGGGGAGTTCCTGGGGTGGTCAGTGGGAGCAGAGGAGAGAAGATGGGTGGAGGAGAATAGGACCAGAGTGAAGCCACTGGTGGGAGCAGGGGTGGCTTGGGGTAGGGGCAGTTGTAAGTACCTGCCCAGAGCTTGCCTGCCCTCTCCAGGATGGCAGGGTGCCCTCCACCAACAGGACAGTGGGCTGGAAGCCTCTGCAAGTTTCTGAGTCTCTCTAGGTGGCCAAGAGTCTATTTAAGCTTGGCCAAGGCAGCCATACCTAGCAGGGTGGGATGGGGCCACCCAGCCTCCTTTCCCTGGGCTGTGTGAGCAGTGGTCACTTTTTCCACTGAGGCCTGAACTCCCTGCTCCCTGGGATGCTGCAGCGGCTGTTTTGCCAACCCCAGGAGCAGGATACTTCATGCTTCTGTGGCTCCCTATCTCTAGGAAGGAATGGGCTAGCAAGGCCTTAGCTGGGCAAGGAAGATGGCAACAGAGCAGTTAAAATGATGAGCTGCACCCAGCCTCTCTCCCACTCTGAGCCGGCCCAACCTAGAGGCTCTGTGTGAGGGCTGCATTGTCCGCCATGTTCCCACTGAGTAAATGGGGCTGTCTTCTGGGTACCAGCGGTCAGCTTGTTCTACCTCCAGCCCAAGGACCCCTGTCTTGGGCTGTTTGGCCCCAGGCAAGCCAGTCAGTGTTTCTGGAAGCTCTCCGAGACAGACATTTACTGCCTTTCTCCATTCACCGCGTTTCTGCCACTTGGCCCTCAGAGGGAACTGGAGAGGGATGTTTCCACCTTTCACTCACCACACCTCTATTTACAGAGTGACAGAATTGAAACAGCCTGGCCAGCACTGGCTTGGGAGCTGGGGATGGTTAAAAGTCAGGAATCAGCAAGGTTAGCCAGGCCTCCCAAGGGCTGAGGGCCTCACTCCACTTCCCTCTGGCTCTGCTAGAAAATGCTTGTGGTAGAGGGCTCTGCCCAGCCCAATTCTGGCCCCTTTTGAATCTTGTTCAGTCTTCTTCAGGGTGTGTCCCTTGGCTGCCCATTTTGAGAGGAGTCAAGGCCCACAGATCTGTCCTCTCCCACAGCCTCATTTAATCCTTGCACTCTACCCCATCTTTGGATAGGTAGAGATATTTGGCCATTGAGTTAAGTGCCTGGCATGGGCATTGTTTGTTCTCTCAGAGCGATGGAGCACTTCCTGTGGGTGGGTTAGGTTGTTTCGTAAGGCTACTGGGTCACCACACTGTGCCTTGGCCATCACTGAAATACCTCTGCATTCTGTCTACCACTCAATGCCAGCACAGTGATCAGGGCCACGTAGAAAGTACCTTCTTCCCATCCTACCAGATACCTTGTTGTATCTGAATGCTTTTTTGATTTGGGGAACCGAATGGCAATGCTCTTTGACCTCAACATTTCCCATTAGCAAAGAACAGTGAGTCCACCTCGGTCTGGTCCTGCACAGCCACAGGGGATGTCTGCACGTAAGACTCTGAAATCCATACACAATTACACATCTGTACATAAAGGCTCCCTCACATTTACACCAAGATATCAGTACAACAAAACACGCAACCCTCAATGACCTTGCTCATCAGCCCTTCTGGAGTGGAGATACAGGGCAGGCATGCTTGCACGAGTCTATACAATAGCCCTCCCCACAAACACAGACAATATCTGTACATACAGGTGCATCCGTATTTGACCTTCCTCCCTGCCCCTCCCTAACTTCCTCTCTGTCTTCCAGAGGAATATATTGATATGGGAATTGAGCTGTGAGTGCACATTTATTTACAATGTGGCATCTTCATCTGAAGAGGATCTGCTGGTTCTCTGCTGAGTCAGGCTTAAGAACCTCCCTCCCTGATTTTCACTGACGATGTTAAATTCTTCTTTCCCCCCCCATCTTATTTTCCTGATAACATGCAATCCAAGCAAGATGTATCAACTTCAAGCAAAATGAAAGGCTTTTTCTCCATCAAGGATCTCATTTACTTTTAAAGAGAGTAACTTTTCCATTCCCACCATGAGTGGTAACCCAGTGGGTTGATTAGTTCTGAAAACTGGGCAGCCCATGCCTGGAAAGAGGAGAGCTTGGGGAGTATATTTTCCTCTTAAAAGGCCCTTGGTCTGCTTCTGCAGATCTGTCTGTGGTCCTGGTGAGGATCTAAAAGCCTCATGGCATGGGACAGTTCCTGGGGGCTCCAGGGCTCTTGTCATCATGCATGTAGGTGACACCTGGACATATAACCAGGGCGTCTATCATGCCTGTGTGCATGGGCACACACACAGACATACACCCTCAGACTCACAATACCTACCAGTACTCTCCTAGACCTGCCACACATGGTGACACCTGTACTTATGGCCACTACGGTCATTACTGTACACATATGCAGAACACCAATTTTTGTCCCATTCTGAGCCCACTCCTTGGGGGATAAAACAGAAGTTGTTACTTGTCCCTGGAGAGCTCATCCCAGAAGCCAGATGGGTAGCCCCAGGTTTGATCCTGCTCAACCAGGTCCTCCTCCTCCTCCAGCACTGGTCCCTGACAGAGTGGCATTCACAAAATGTGACTGACATTTTTGTCAGTGTGTGGTCTGAGTGGTCCAGGTCCCCCTCCCCAACCCTCCTCTTCCTGAGCCACCTGCACACTTTCCGAAGAGCCGGGTGGCATTACGTGCGAAGGTGCCTCTTCCTTCCATCTACTCATTCAACAACTGTTTCTTGAGTGCCTATTTTATGTGGAGTTCTCCTCAGTACTGGGGATGGAGCAGTGAACGAAACAAGCGAGGACCCTGCGTAGGCAGCTTACCTTCTAGTGGGACTTACGAACTTCCTCTCACCTCACTTCCCCAACTTCTCTCACAGAACCACACGCCCAGCAGCCAAAGCTCCCCACTAGGTTTCCAGGACTTCTCATGGCAGAGGTTTGAAGAAGGCTTAGGGGAGTCAAGAGTGCCGCTTTCCAAGGCTGGGCCAGCACAGGGCCCTGGAGTATCCCCTCCAGGTGCGCGCAGGTCATGGCTGAAGCTACTCTCTCTCCTTTCCTCAGCGCAATCTCAGTCCAGGATTCAGAGCTGATTTACAGATTGGGAATGCAGTTAGAAGTCAAGCAGACAAACACAGATTTACGTCTGCTGGGGGTCTGGCAAATGTTCTAGCCTCTCAGAAATCTCCTTTGCTTGTCTGAAAAATGAGGGTAACAACATGTACACCATTGTATTGCTGCAAAGATGAGGTGATCAAATGCGTGTGGCAGGTCTGAGCACGATGTCTGGCAGGTGGAAGGTGCTTAGTAAATGATAGTTCTTTTCCTTTAGAAATGATGATTAAATGAAGATGCTTGTTTTCTCAAAAGATGAGTAAAATGATCTGGCTTGAACACTTGGTTCTGTACTGCAACCACAATCAATACAGCCCTTTGCAGCATACAAAACACTTTCACATACATCTCATTTGCTCCTCATGTCACCTTTGGAGGAAGGCTGGGAACATATTTTCATGCCAGTTTTTAGATGAGGAAACTTGGACTTGGGGAGATTACATTTTGATAAGTCATGTAGGTGGTAAATGTCAAAGCCAGAAGTAGAACTCAGATGTTTAAAATTCTGTTACTCTGCCAAGCACGGTGTCTCATGCCTGTAATCCAGCACTTTGGGAGGCTGAGGTGGGCAGATTGCTTGAGGCCAGGAGTTCAAGACCAGCCTGGCCAACAAAGTGAAACCCTGTCTCTACTAAAAATACAAAAATTAGCCTGCGTGGTGGTGCACACCAGTAGTCCCAGCTTCTTGGGAGGCTGAGGCATGAGAATCACTTTAACCTGGGAGGCAGAGGTTGCAGTGAGCCAAGATCACACCACTGCACTCCAGCCTGGGCAACACAACAAGACCCTGTCCCCAAAAAGAGAATAAATAAAATAAATTATGTTACTAACACTAGCCTCACTAATAGTGTCTAATACTTGTACAGTAGTGCCCTCCTTATCTGCAGTTTTGCTTTCTAGGGTTTCAGTGACCTGTGTTCACCCATGGTCCAAAAATATTAAAAGGAAAATTCCAGAAACAATTCAGTTTTAGATTGCACACCATTCTGAGTAGCATGATGAAATCTCACAGCATCCCACTCCATCCTGCCTGGAATGTGAATCATCCCTTTGTCCAGCATATCCATGGTGTATTTGCTACCCACCCATTAGTCACCTTAGCTGTCTCAGTTACCAGATCAAAAAAACAGCATATCTAGGGTTTGGCAGTATCCATGGTTTCTGGATTCCACTGGGGGCCTTGGAATGTATCTGCCATGGATGAGGGGAGACTACTGTCTAGCACGTTATAGTTTAAGAAGTGTTTTACATCTGTGATTTCATTACTCTCACAACAGCTTATGAACTAAACAATATAAGATCCCTTCTTATAGTTAAGGAAACTGAAGTCAAAGTAGTTGGATGGTTTTCCTGAGATCACACAGCTGGGAAATAATTAGTACCAATGCTCAAATCCATGATTCCTTGAAGAAAGAGCTCTCTTGCTATCACTGGCCGTCTTCCTGACTATCATAGCTGCTGCCCAAATCAACAAAACCATAGCCTGCAATGGTCAACCTCTCTTCCTATGACCCATATCTAAATTATTCCTGGGCTAGGCTATACCAGCTAACTAAATATAAAGTTTGTTTGCTTTGAGCTAAAATCACATTAACTCGGGCAGTATGGGAACATGGTTATCTTGTGCTGATCAAATAAATGTTCAGATTGGCAGATATCTACGTCTTTGATTTTTTTTAATAGGAAAACCAATTAGTTTAATAAATGCCTTTTGGTATATAGACTCTTTCAAATCATTGGGAAATCATGATAAGAAAGTATTCTTAGGGCGGAAGAGCTGGAAACATTAATGGGAAAAGAACATAAGTTATTTATTCTCATGTTCTCTTTGGGCACAGTAAGTATTTTCTTTCTTCTTGTACTTTGAATTCTTTGTAGAGTGAAACAGGGTCCAAGGAAAAGGGAGTACTGAAGCAATTTTGGTTCACAAATATAGATATACAGATAAGAAAAAAGTAGATAAATCTCTAGGTTTGAGTGTTCTTAACCTTTTTGTCTTAGCCTAGCTCTTAGTTGAGAATCAGTGCTTCAATGTTAAATTCATAAGGAAGAGTAGAAACCATTTGGGTATATGTGTTGCTAACCTTTCCATAGACTGCATTTGGTTGTCCCATGGGTCAGGGTGGGTCAGAGGGGCTGAGGTTGTCCCCGTCCATGTCCTTTATTCCCCCTGAAGGATTTGGAGTCTTCTTAGGAGCTGCTGGTGGGCACGGCCTCCCCAGGAATGCCCTTCATAAGCCCATGGCTAATATGGCTGTCTTCAATCTATATAGGCTCCCGTGGAACAGTCCCACCCTGGGCTTGTTGAGTACAAAAGAGAGTAAAATGTTTTGCCCTTTGGAGGAAAAGCCAAATCCTCATTTAAGGTAGAAACCAAAAAAAAAAAACAACAGAAAACCCTAAGATTATGCATGAAGCATTCTTGTTGGGTAGGACATTCTGTACTTTCACAGGCCCCAGGTTTGGGCTGGCAAGAGTAGCATTCCCAGGCTGTGGAGCTGGGGGTCCAGACAGCCTGTTCCTCTAAGACCCAACATTGTTGCAAATAAGATCATCTGTTTCTCTTGGTGTTTGCCCAAGCTTTTGGCTTAAAATCTTTTCCATTCACAGAATAATGATTTATCAGAAGCTGAGGAAAACGTTCAAGAGAAGGCAGGGCCCTTTGATGTGTTGTTTTGTGCTGCCTGGGGCAAATTTTTGAACAAATATCAATGGACTAAACTGTGGTTGATCTTGTCTTTAAAAACAAACAAAAAAATCTGGTGCTGGTAAATATGGGGAGAGGGCAGGGGATGATGAAGAGGACAAGAGATGAGGATGCAGATGCTTTCCGTTGGAGGGAGGGGATGCGTACTGGGTTGTGTGTTGGGGCACCCGTAGCTAGGGTTGTTGTTTCAGACAACCAGGAGGTAAAAGAATCCTCCTGTGATCGGGTAGGTTAGGATTTACGGGGCTGATTGGGCTGTATGCCTGGGTTTGAGGTGAGCAGGTGGCCTGCAGCACTTCCCCCTGCATCCAAAATGGTAGAAAGGCTAGGATTTAATATGGGCCTGCGATGGAAGCCCCCTCTGAGAGGGTAGATGGCTCCCTGCAGAAGCGATCTATGGTCAATGGGACATGGCTCCCTGGTTCTGACAGAACTAGCCATTTGGAGAAGGCTCCCGTGGCTGAAGACTGGTAGCAGAGAGGTCTTACCCCAGAAAAGGATGGGGGAGCCTAGGTGGACCCTAGCCCAGCGACAAGGGTAGGCTTACCCATGGGGTACGGAGGAGGTACTAAATTCAGTCTTTCCCACTCCAGCCATAGCATCAGCTCGGCCTCCAGAGTTCTGCTCATTCCCTGAGGAGACAAGCCTGACAGCCGAGTGCCCTTTGGGAGCCCTTGCAGGGTGATGCAATGGGCTTGGGTAGAGCAGGGCTTTCTGGATTTCAATGCCCAGATGCAGGCAGCAGAGAGTGGGCTGTGAGGCGTTCTCAGTAGGGCAACCATGTCATGTATCATCTAAACCAGGAGACTTCTGAGAGTGAAGGGGGCACTGTTAACAATCAGGCTGGGGGTAAAAAGCGGTAAATCAGAACTACCCTCCACCTCCAACAAACTAGGCTGTATGGTCACGCTAGTCATCAGGCTATAGTTAATGCTTATTTGAAGTTAATAAAATATTGTTTACTAGGATCTGTGATGGTGAGTGAATTGCAGACTTGATTTGCCATCAAATCCCTAGGCAGCTCATTTGAGCCCTGAGAGTCCATGTGAGGTGAACCCGGTCACCTTCTTGTAGGAGAGAGGCTCCCTGGGTGCAGAGAGACCCCAGCTGGTCTCCATGAGGCAGCACACTGAAAGCATCAGCAGACCTGGCTGTGGCCTTGGGCAAACCATTAAACTGCTCTGAGCCCAAGGCCACTTTGCAATGGAGATCATCCCTGCCCTGCCTATGTCACCGGGATTCTTTTTGCTTTGATGTTTCATGAAGATCTTTTGGGGTGTAATTCCAGCCCCTTCTGACGAAGCCTTGGCTCCCTAGGTGGAGTGAGGTTCTCTCCGCTGTGCCTGAACAAAACCCTGTGACAGCATTTGTCACAGTGCGGAGTCATTTACTACCACTCCTGCCTGTAGGCTGACAGCTGTTTGTGGGCAGGGACACATCCTCAGCGCCAGCTCAAAGCCAGCCCTATGCCCTCAGGGATCTTAGTGGGACTGAAGCCCTTGGTGGCCCCCAGAGCTCACCCTGCTTTCTTGGCCATTGCAGGTGGATGGTCAAACCGGAGAGAATGACATGAACAAACGGAGACGGAAGGGCTTCACCAACCTGGACGAGGTTTGTGTACACAGTGTGGCTTTAAACAGAGGCTCGTTTCCTGACAACCAGTGGCCACAGGCAGCCTCACTGTGGTAGCAGCCTGGCCCTGTTCCTTCCCTCTCTCATGAACCACTGGGTTCCAAGCTTGGCGTGATGGAAAAACAGTTGGGGTTTTGGATCACGCTTCACTACTTACTAGCTGTGTAACCTTGAGAAACACAACCTCCCAGGATGTGGTTCATGTCTGTAACGTGCAATGATACACTTGAAATACATGAAACTTGGCAGGACTTTTAAAGATGAATAAGATGAACATGGTATCTGACACATGTTAATCAATATACAACCACTGTTAACAGTAAATAGTAAAGAGGCATCAGCACTCCCACTTTTCTCCCAATCATCGTTTGTATCCATTTGTGTTTCCTTTGCTTTTAGCCTTTAAGGCATATGTCGTGGTCTCCACAAGTGCCACCTTCTGGTGAAAGAAGAAAATTACAGGTTACTTTGTCAAAGGAGAGCCTGAATCTCTTGCCTGCTTCTGAAAAATTGATCAAGGGGAAAGAGTGTCAGTTCTTGCTTCCCTGGGCAGCTTTTAAAAGAGACCTGAGATATACACGTCATTCAAAAAAAGCCATTCCAACTCCACAAGCATGCATATTGTCAGCGAAGTGTGGGATGCCAGCTTTTGCCAGCCTACTGGCTGACCTCAAAATGATGACTTAGAGGCATGAGGGACGGTCTGTATAATACATTGATATCTGATTGATAGGAGGTAGAAGGGACTTTTTCTACTGTTTATGGTCGAAGAGTTTTTATTGCTGTATAGTTGCATGACATGGTTGTTCGTGTCTGACTTGCTGCCCCTCACAACAGTGAGCTTTATAATAAATAGAGTCATGAGGTTCACCTTGGGGAAAGCAGCAGCCAGCCATTCAACCCATTATCTGTGATGGTCAAAGGGAAGCGCTGACAAAGAAAAACGAGTTCAGTTCACATCTTAAAATATGAACAAACCCATTCTACCCAATGAGTTCAAAACACCCTGGGTTGAACATTTTCCTAGAGCTTCTTGAAGGTGCACTTCAGGAAGCACTGTTTCTTCTCCACCACTTGGCTGTGGTGTAAGCAAGAAGCCAGCAAATAGAGACACAGAGAGGAAGCGGAGACTGCACAAGGCTACAGACACATTCCATTTCCCAGATTACGGGTGTCAGCTCTCTAGCTTCAGGGCCTGGGATTTGCTCCTGCCTATTCCCAAGAAGCTTCCCTTGGGTACACTTTGTCTCAGGTGGAAGTCTTTTCCTATGTTTCACCCATGGCTTATTTATTTAAGGGTATGTGAGTGTTGTTTCTGTTATTGGCAACCTAGGAGTTGGAGTGGGAAGAAATCTGGTTTGTGTCTACCCTTTCTGAGACAGCCCTGGACAGTCTCCTGGGGCAACGGTTTTGCTTTAAGTCAGTTTTAACAAAGCAATATTCTTTCTAAATTCTTGCTACTCAAAATGTAATCCAAGATCCAGGAGCAGCAGCAGCAGCTGGGTGCTTGTTAGAAGTACAGGCTTTCAGGGCCCACCCCAGACCTACAGAAAGCAAATCTGCTTTTGAGGATTGATTTCCTGGTGATTCGTGGACCCGTTAATGTCTGAAAGTGCTGGCCTGTATGGCCCACCGTCCTGGCTAACTTTGGTCTTGTACAAATAGTGATCACCCAAGTAAGCACAGCCTCTTCTCACTCAAGCCTGTGCTGTTGTGCACAGTTACATTTCACTTTGAAGGAGGGTATGCCTCTTCGGTTTGTGTTCGTCCAACACTCAGAGTGGCTCTACATACAAGGTTCCCCATAGGGCTGCCACACCTAGGGATCTTTTTAAAAAAAAATTAACTATAGCTTGCCTTTTCCAGTGAATTTCTTCTAAATGAACACATCTTTGTTGTCGTGAGAATGTCTGTTCCTGTGAGGGACATTCCTGGTGTCCTTGGGAAAACTTACTGCCCACTTGCTGTGGCAGCACCATTTATACTCCTGAGGCCTGTGGGAGGAGATCCCGTAGTAAGGGGGAACAGACGTTCTTAGTAAACAGTGGTCATTTTCAATTTTTCACTGTTAGCAGATGAGCTAGAGAAATCTTATATGGAACTCCGTTTTATAAAATAGCATAACCGAATGATCAAGGTCTACATCACCACTTATAAGTCACGTTGATATCATGCAGCCCGCTGTACTGGAATGAGAAGAGCATTTCACCTCGGTGGTGTCCTTCCCCAAAGTCTAATCATGAGACAACATCAGACCAACCCAGATTGAGGGGCTTTCTATTAAACAGCTGCTCAGTACCCTACAAAAAGTGTCATTCTGTAACAGAAACTGTTACAGTTTGTAGGAAACCAAGGAGACAGGGTGATGAAATGCAGTGTGGGATCCTGGGACAGAAAAAAGATATTAGTGGAAAAACTGATGCAATCCGAATAAAGTGTATAATTTAGTTAATAGTATTGTGCCAGTGTTAATTTCTCAATCTTGATGACAGGAGCAATTATTCCAGATTTAACACTGTGGGCAGCTGGGTGAAGGGTATGCAGGGACAGTCTGTGCTATCTTTGCAACTTTTGTGTAAATCTAAAATTGTTTCTAAATTAAAATTTTTCTTTAAAAAGATAGCAAAAATAGAGCAGGGCTGGTTAAAGCTGGGGGTAGGTACAGAGGAGAAAGGAGAAAGATCTCCAGAGCCCAGGCCTTGCCTGAGTGACCCCACCCGTGCTTCCTTCATTGGCCCCCAACCCCTGCTCTTCTCCTCTTCTCAGCCAGATGATGTATTTTTGAAAACCATTTTGTTCAACACTTCATGATTATACTTGGTTTTTGCAGTAATCATGTGAAGTAGATTACTGTTCTCATTTTATACATGAAAAAATGTCAGAGAAGTAAAGTAAATCGCCAACATCACAGGGATAAGAAATGAGAGTCGGGATTCAAACCCCAACCACCTGGCTCCCAAGCCTAGCTGTGCCCATCCTTTGGAAAGACGCATCCCTCCTGTGAGCATTGCCTCTGCGGGGGTGGCCCTGCTGCCTCTGCCTCCCTTCCTCAGACCATGGAGGGAGCCCTTCTGCGGGAAGCTAGTCCCACGTCCTGAGTCCCCAAGTCTGCTTTCTGATATCCAGATTCCAGGATCCAACCATCAGTGTCCCGTTTCAACCTTTGCAGCCTTCAAACTTTTCCAGCCGTAGCTTGGGCTCCAATCAAGAGTGTGGGAGCAGTAAGGAAGGTGGAAATCAGAACAAAGTCAAGTCCATGGCGAATCAGCTGCTGGCCAAGTTTGAGGAGAGCACTCGGAACCCCTCACTCATGAAGCAGGTGAGTCATGTCAAATACTCACTGGACCTAACTTCCTGGTGACTTTTCAGCAGGAATGTTCTGGCTGCTGATAGACTTCAGATATGCCAGCCAGGCCTGGTCCCAAGGAGACTTGAGCTCCTTCTAGATCAGGAGTCAACAGACTTTTCTATAAGAGGCCAGATAGCAGTTTTTTAGTGCTTTGGAAGCCATACTGTCTCTGTTACAACTCTGCCATTGTAGTATGAAAGCAGCAGTAGACAATACCTAAACAAATGAGTCTGGCTGTGTTCCAATAAAACTTTATTTACAAAAAACAGGAGCAGGCCAGGTATGGCCCATGGGCCTAGTTTGCTGGTGGTTGTTCTGCATTAAATAAATCCATTCCCTAATTTGGTTTTGCTTTCCAACCGTGACTTGGTTTGCAGCCAGTTTTGAGGTGATACAGTTTGAAGGAGCTTTGAGAGGCTGGCTGGCTGGGAAAGTACAAAGTCCACAGTGAGAAGATCCATCCTAACCAGAGGAACTGAGTCTGAGCTCACAGTATTGAAGGCCAACCTCCCAGGTGTTTCCTGGCACTCCCCTCTCTCCCTGCACCAGGGTCAGCCTGGCGGGGCTGTTTTGTCTGATGGGGGTTAGTGTGAGGCTGGAGGAGGCAGAATGCTGCGTCAGGCTGTAGGCTTCCTTCTGACTCCGGCTCCGAGGTCTGTGCCTCGTGGTTCCGTTTGCTCCCCTGAACTTCCTTTAGGGTGCTGTTGTCACATTACAGAAGCTTGGGAAAAGAGGTTGGGTTTTTCTATGGTGAACACCTGTCACATGACAGAATGAGACTCCTTTTGGGAGGACAGACTCATAGTTAATTAGCTTTTGAGGCAACCATAGATGTCTCCTTAGTCTTGATGTGGACTGTGTCCCTCCTGGGAGAACTGACCTTCTCCAGGAAGTGAAGGAATTTTATTATAAGGGGGCCATTTCCTTGAGACTTGTAACTCTCCACAAATTTTCTTGATTGCCCATTCTGGAGGCTTGGCCCCTCACAGTCCCCAAGTGCTGATGAGGGCTCCATTCCATCAGAAGCACCGGAGCGTCCCTGTCCTTGAGTGGGCAGGAAGCTTTTCTGTTTCCAGGTAGACTCCTGGGCCAGCCACCCTGGCCTAGCCACCCTGGCCTGGCATGGGCTCTGGCAGTGCCTGCTTAAGGCCCTGTGTCTGAGCCAAAAGCAAAGCCACCCTGGGATTCACACATTGTCCATGAGAAGGGGACTCCAGGACTTGCTGTTCACATGGACAGGGAGCCAGGGCTCAAGTTTCCCAGCTGGGCCCGGCTTGCGGGAGCTCAGCCCAGTGCTTCCTCTGCACTTGCAACCTTCGTCTCCCTGCTCCTCTTCTCTTCTCCCTCCAAGCCTCTCAATCTGACTCACCTTTTCCTTCATGTCTCCTGTGGCTGCTTTTTTGGACTCGCCTTTCTTCTCCCAGGAACGCCGTGTCTCAGGGATAGGTAAGCCGGTCCTGTGCTCTTCCTCCGGCCCTCCTGTTCACTCTTGCTGCCCCAAGCCGGAGGAGGCCACACCCAGCCCATCACCTCCTCTGAAAAGGCAGGTAGGGCTCCTTCCAGTGGATGCTGTTTTGGTGAAGCCAGAGGGGACTTTGATCCAGATGGGTGGGGTCAGTGGCTCTTCCCACACCCCAAGTAGGGCTGATTGTAGATTTTCTGGACACACCTTGATGTCACCACACTTATAGGTAAGAATAACCAAGTATGCAACATCACAAAATACATTTTATTGATCCCTTAGCCAGTCAGAGGTATCAATTGACCAAATACCATGCTCTCGATGGTGCTGCTAGGGAAAAATAAACTGTACCACAGGGTATTTTGTATGATGCCCTATAACACTAAGCATTATCTGCAGACCATTCAAATAGGCTGATTTCCATATCAATGAAAAAGTGATGTTGGAATGGGCCCAGGTGGCCACTTGGCTGGACCCATTGAAGGGGTAAGGCTGGGATGTGGCGAAGGCCTTGCCGGTGCCAGAGTAGCTGAGGACCTGCATAGCGGGCGGGAAGGCAGCTGGCAGTCACGGAGTATGGCTTATGGCAGGTAGTGCTCCTGAGTTTGGAATCTGAACCGAATCACTGTTATTGACCATAAGCCACAAAGTTGTCTGGTCAGCATTAGGATTTGTGTGTTGCTCCCAGGTGGTGGAGGTTGAGTAAGGTCGGTGTGACTACAATGCAGCAATTTTTATGTCTGTCTGCCTCACCTGGGGAACTTTTAAAAAACTACCAATGTCTCATGCCCAGTCCAGAGCAATCCAATCGAAATCTCTGGGGGTTGGCCCCAGGCTTGGGTGTTTTTTTTTAAGTACCCTAAATGTCAGTATGCAGCTAGGATTGAGAACCAGCATTGTAGAGGTTTTGATTCAGGGGGTTGGGGGTGAGGCCCCAGACTGTGTATTGTGAATGAGGAGGCCAGACAATTTTGATGCAGGTGGTGGAGAGTCAACACCTGGGGCTAGTTTGGAATCTTACTTAGGGTTGCACCTGGTGCACCCTTTGTCTCTGGTCTTCATGGGGGATCCCTCATGGTGAGGGTGTATGAAAGGGCCGCAGTAGGGAAGGAAGCTTAATTTTCCCTCTTTCCCAGTTCCCCTCTGTGGTCGTGACGGGGCACGTGCTCAGAGAGCTCAAGCAAGTGTCTGCTGGCAGTGAGTGCCTGAGCAGACCTTGGAGAGCCAGAGCCAAGTCTGACCTACAGCTGGGTGGGACAGAAAATTTCGCTACCCTGCCTTCTACCCGCCCGAGGGCGCAGGCTCTTTCCGGGGTGCTGTGGCGGCTGCAGCAAGTGGAGGAAAAGATTCTCCAGGTGAGAGACTCACTTTTTGCCCGTCTCTGTCCGTGTCTGGGTGACTTCCTTTCTTCCCCTCCCTCCTCCTACCCGGGTGGGTTCCTCCTCCCTCTGCCCACCCCCTGTCTCTCATCCTGCTGTGTGTGGTGAGCAGGCAAGGCCCCCGGCTGCCTCCCTCACCCACTTCTTGGAAGCCAACTGTCTCAGTCTCTGTCACTATCTCTCTTTTCTTTCTCCTTTCTCACCTTCACTGCAGAAGAGGGCTCAGAACTTGGCCAACAGGGAATTTCACACAAAGAACATTAAGGAGAAGGCGGCTCACCTTGCCTCCATGTTTGGACACGGGGATTTCCCGCAGGTAAACATGGGGCTTTCAGAGCCCCCAGGAACCTGATGCTGGACATCCAGCCAGGTGACCTTGAATCAGGCTCTGAGCTCAATTTTCTCCTCCTTCCTCCTTTTAGAGCATGAAGAGCTCTTTATTTTTCAAGCCACCAAATAATACAAGCTGGCATCTAGAAAAGACCCAAATGCGAAGATTCAAAATAAATAAATACATCATGAGAAAGGAAAAACTAAGACAGGAAAGTAAACACAGATCGAGAAAGGCATTACTATAAGAAGCACAAGCCGGTAGACCCTAGGTATTTTCCAAGCAGGCTCTGAGCTTCCTAAGGGTCAACACAAAGAGGAAACAGTCATCAGTTGCAGAATCACAATGCCTTTACCCAGTTGCTTGTGATGTTTTTGAGTGGGAGAGAAATCTCCCTGTGGCCCTGATCAGGAAGATACTGAATGATGAGGCCAACCACATGCTGCAACTGGGGCTCTGCTTCCCCATGGGATAAAGTCAAGCCAACAAGAATGGCTTTGCCTTAGAATTAGGAAGTAGAGCCTCCTCCAAGCCAGGTACTTATTTGGAAATTTGCTGAAAAGAAGAGCATGTGCTCAAGAGGAAATGAAAGAGTTGATAATGAGATCCTACAGGTGGGTGTATGTGTAAAGTCCTCCCTCCCTCACAGCACACCTGTCCCTAGAACTTGCCTCTCCACTGTTTTCACTTAGTCTCCTCTTCTGCTACTTGGTGGAGTCACTGGCGTGGGAAGGATGCTTTACACTTCGTTCATTTTTAGGATTCCTCATGCCTGCCAGGAGGCTAGCACAGTTGCTTGCTGCAGCTATAGAGGCCCCTGCTGTGGCCACCTGCCCTAAAGCAGCCCAGGGTTCTCCTCTCCTAAGCTCGCAGCTGCTACTTCATACCAAGCTCCAGGGTGAGGGCTTTGGTAATTGGCATCGGTGTCTGAGGCGGATGTAGGCAGGAACAGATTGAATCTGCATGAGCTATTTCGGTGTGACAAGGGAGCTGGAATAGTTGCAGCAGAATGCAGTGTAACCAGGAGCCAGATAATCCTTTCTGGCTCCAAAGACAGGGGTTTCTGTGTTGTCCTGAGACATGGGTCTCCTTTCTTTGCCTTCTTGAGTGCACAGGCATGGGACTGCATGATTGAGGCATGTATCACCATGTGTGACTCCTGGGATAATCCTTGTTTCTTCTATTTCTGTTCTGTGCAGAATAAACTACTCTCTAAAGGCCTGTCTCATACTCATCCTCCATCTCCTCCCTCTCGCCTTCCGTCTCCTGATCCAGCTGCTTCTTCCTCTCCATCAACTGTTGACTCTGCTTCTCCTGCCAGAAAGGTAGTTGTCCTGAACAATTTGCTTTCCCTATTCCCTGCATGTTCCCAGATGTTCTCATGCTCCACTTGACCTGCACAAACATCTTGAGCCTGGCTTGGCTGGAATAAAAATTTGTAAGATATTTTACACCAGTGCTGGATTCAATTTTGTTTTTGTGTTAGAGCACACAACACGGCAGAACAGGCAGTGTACAAAAGCTTGCCAAACAGGGCTCATTCATTCAGCAAGCATTAATCAGGGCCCACCGTATGCCACCCTTCGTGCCAGATGCTGAGAAAACAGAGAGGGCGGTGCAGTTCCCTTACTACAGTTGAGATGGGAAATAGCACATTAGCATAGAAATAAGTGACATTTTTATAATATGAAATATCACATCACATACTGCTGATATTTGCCTGTTTTGTCCTAATAAGATGGCAATTTCACATGATAAACTTAACGTAACACTATTCATTCATTCTATAAGAGGTTTAAAGGGCAAGATTGTAGGAATGGAGAGGGGAGAAGATGGGGAGGTAATGCAGAGAAGGTAATATGGGAACTGAGTGAGTGTTGAAGGTTCCATGGGGGGATTTTGCTAGAGAGAAGTTTAGGGCAAGGGTGTTTTGGAGAGGGGCTAGCCTGTGCAAAGGCAGGCAGGCAGGGCTTACGTGACATGGAAAGATGGAATGTCTGGTGTGACTTGAACTTGGGGATAAAAGTATTTATGGGGGCATGGAGAGTGGAAGTGAGCACACTCTGTGTAAAGGAATTTCATTTTATCCTCTGGGTTATAGGAAGCCACTGCAGGATCTACTCTGTGTTCTAGAAGTACAGCTCAGACAGTAGTGCAGAGATCAGCCTGGAGGATGAGAAGAGTGGGGAGCTAACTTTGGTTAAGTAGTTAATGAAATGCACTCACAAACAATGATTAAGACTGGGTTTAGGGGTGCTTTTCATGTTTTTCACTTGTCCTCCTGTTACCTCCTGTGCTGAGAATAATACCAGGCTTGGGTGGGAGAGGGTCTGTCTTCTGGGAAGGCTGGCCTCTGGAATGAATGAATCTAGAAATGGGCGTGAAGCCTACCTCATGAGCTGTTGCTCATGGAGTAGGTTTGGAGTCTTCCCCCACTCCACCCACCAACTGTGCTTCTCTGTTCACAGCCAGTGCGTCTGGCTCCCACCGAGGCTCTGTGTGTCATGCTGCACGTGCCGCTGCCAGAAGGAGTGCTGGTCTGTTTCTGTGCTGTTAGACTGATGCACAAACCAGCTCCATGCTATTGCATTAGTGAAAAATTAGAAGCTGCCCCTTGGTGTGTAATTGGGGGTCCCACCCCTGTTGGCCTCCACCTCTGTGAGGAGAACGGTGTAGGTAGAGTCCCTAAGAAAGGAGCAAGGAATCTTACCAGCCCCATCCCATCTGAGGCCACCAGTGTTAATGGGAAGCACCCCAGAAAGGGCAGCAGCAGGTAACACAGAGAAACGCTAACAGGATCTTCAATGCCACTGAAAATAGCCATGGTCAGCATATCAAGATCCCCAGCCACCTGCTCCAGGTCAGCCACAGGCCAGCTGTTTGACCTTAAGCCTCCTGACCTGTCTGGGCCTCCTCCTCCTCAGTAAGAGTGGTTCTGGGCTCATGTTACAGTGAGCAACATGGGTGGAGACAGGCATTTTTGTCATCACCATCAGCAAGGTTGCAGGGTAGGCTTTTTGCCCAGTTAGGGAAAGGGACCTTCCCCAGGGTATACTCCCTACTACGGGAAAAGGTCATGGCACCCTTGGCAGGATGGTGGGAGGGGAGAAGGCACCTAGGCACGGACCAGGCAGTGGCTTGTGCCCATAGTTGGTCAGCCAGGCCCACACCTTGCTTCTCTCTGGCCCAGCCCACTCCAGCTGACTGGGCCCTTCAGGGTAGAGCCAGGCAAAGCCTTCTCTTGTCCCTGCCTTTCTCTCATCCCCAGAAAAGTCTGGCGTGGTCACTGTTGGGGCCAAAACTGCTGCAAGAAAAGCTCCTACACTTCCCAAATACCCTGACTTGGTTTCCACCGGGCATTAGATCCTTCTAAGAGACGGCAGGGAGCAGCCTGCTGGAAACATGCAGAGCTGCTGGGTAAGACAGAGATGCTGTCAGCCACTAAGCGTGTCCCCATCACATCAGCATCACACCGGCTGAGGCCCTGCCTGCTGCTGTCTCTGGCTCTTCAGGCAGCCCTCCCCTGAGGACTCGGCTCCCTATCAGCCATTAGTTAATTTTGCTCCTCCAGAAGGGAGGCCATTGCTGATCTGGTCTGTGGCATGGCTGCTGGCCATTTGCCACGCTGGTGAGCTCTTGCAAGAAGAAGAAGGCACAGCCTTTGCACAGCTGGGCAGGGGGGCCCTTCACTGGGCTGGGAGCTACCCTTCAGTCCTCCTGGGTCAGAAGAGCACTGAGCATTGCAAAAGGAGCTTTCTCCACCAATGTCACTCCAAAAGCCAATGTGTGAACATTCATTCCTTCAACAAATTTAATTTTTTTGTTTTTTTGGAGACAGGGTCTCTCTCTGTCACCCAGGACAGAGTGCAGTGGTATGATCATAGCTCACTGCGTCCTCAAACTTTGGGACTCGAGTGATCCTCCTGCCTCAGCCTTCCACCCCTGAGTACCTGGGACTATAGATGTGAATCACCACCCTCAGTAAACAAATATTTATTGAATGAAAATCCATTGTTAGGCATTTCAGGCTGTCAGGATATGTATTGATGAATAAGAGTTAAATCTCTGCCCTAATGAGGCTTACACCCTACAAGCCTACAACAATCAATATATCAGTAAATTATATAATGTGTTAGAGGGCAAGATAATATTTCCTATGAAAAAATTAGAGCTGGTGGTGGGGACCTGGAATGCTGGGGAGGGAAGGGTGGCAATTTTAAATGGAGTGGTTGGGTGGGGGCTGGAGAGCTCTTCCTGTGATGGTGAGAACTGAGCAGGAGCAGAGTCACAGGTAAGAAGGCAAAGGCTCAGGGAGGAGACTGGAGCCCAGCGTTCGGACTCCCAGGCCAGTGCTCTCCTGTGTCCTGCAGAAGCCACGCATGCATGGAGGCCTTGTCAGAGGCCCAGAGGCTGTGTGCATGTAAACCCTCACACTCAGGGACAGGGAGGGCTTTGGGGTGGCCAACCCCAGATCTGCTGTCCCCACCTCTACAGCTTTGTTCCTTGCTCCTCCCCAGTTGTGGTAGAACAATTGCCCCATTTTTGTTCTTTTAAAAAATTCTTTCTCCCTAGCCAGCGTTGGCCATTAGATGATGTAATTGGGCTATTTCGACAGCTTCCAACATCTTAATTATTGGCTGATGTTTCTTTCACAGTATGGCTGGGAATGATGGAGGACCTCTTAGAATGGACTCTTGGGCAAGTCACTTAGCCTCTCTGTGCCTCAGTTTCTCTGAATACCTACACTCGCAGGTTCATGCAGGTCACACTGTGAGGCCATTTTAGGCAGTTATGGATGGAGTGGTGAGTTTCTGGTTTCAAGCAGTCTTAGAAAGGATATTGCCAGCCTCACCCATTGCCTTGACTTCCCTCACTCCCCAAACTCTGCCCCACCATTGATTCAGCACTGGGCTTTGCACATGCAGAATTTGGCAGAATCACAACCACCTCTAGGGAGAGAACTGGCTGTTCCTTAAAGTAGGTGATGATTTGGTGATAAACAGATTTATTCTATCCTGGTGCAGCTCAGGGAGTTTCTCTCCTAGAGTCTGGGGCCTTAATACTTCTTCCAAACAGATTTTGGGCTGCTCTTTTTGCTCAATGGACCCAAGTTCACCTGAATTCAGGGGAGCAAGAGGAAGAAAAATGCACTTGGAAACTGATGCTTAGTCCTTGACAACTTCCTGGCAGGCAGCATGTCTCTGTTCCTGCCCTATGGTCTTCCACACTGATTCCGAGGATCCGTGAATAATAATCTCCTCATGGGAACAGACTTAGCCAAACTTACTATGAGGAGCAATTGTTACTCACAGGGATGCAAACTTGAGTTGCTGACTCCAAGACAGGGAGCCAGGGCTCTGCCTTCAGACTCCACTTGCCCGCCCTCTCAGATTGATATTCCACTTTAAAATTCAGAGTGGTGCTGTGGGTTTCTTGGCCTGAATGGTCACAGGGAGTCTTGAGGGCTCTCACGGGGGGCTCAGATCCTTGGCAGAGTCTGTCTTTCCAGGCTGTGGACTGTGAGACCTATGCCCAGTTTTATGTCCCCAGAACCATTTCCTCATCTATCCCACCAAACCAGCCCTCTTCTGTGATCTCAGCTCCCTATCAGCCGTTAGTTACTTTCGCTCTTCCAGAAGGGAGGCCACTGTGCTGCTCTGGCCCATGGAATGGCTATTGGCTGCTGGCTGTTTGCCATGCCGTTGAGCTCTTGCAGGAACAAGAAGGCACTGAGCGTTTGCACAGCTGGGCAAGTGGGAGGGGTGGGGGCCTTCACTGGGCTGGGAATTGCCCCTCAGTCCTCCAGGGTCAGAAGAGCACTGAGCATTGCAAAAGGAGCTTTCTCTACCCTTGGGGTGTTTGTTTTAAAACTGGATTTGCAGGGTTTACTCGAGAGATTTGCATAGTAGAGAGAAACAGGGAAATGCTGGGAAGTTTTGTCTGGGGCATCCCGCCTTTGTTTGACCTGGTAGGAGGATAAATCTCAGGGACAGGTCTCAAGGCTGCCTCCAACCTCACTGTTCCTCCTTCTATCCTGGGAATAGAGCTAGGCAACCTTTTGGAGGTCTCCTGTGTGCATCCCAGCTTGGGGGATTTTAATTTGCGTAGTGCTGGTGTGGAAGAAGGATATGAGTTTCAAATCAGACTTCAGTTCAGAGCACCAATTACTCACTGTGTGGCCTTGGACAAGTTTGTGAACCTCTCTGAGCATTAGTTTCTTAACCTATAAAGTGGAGAGGACAGCAACTACTCTTGAGGGTAACTGGAATACTGCAATGTCCTAACCTATGCAAAATGCCTGAAGTATCCTGTAAAGCTTCTCTTTCCCCAGTGGAAGAGAATTCGGAAAGAAAGCTTATTTACCTAAAATGCATGTTGATCCCTCTCTTTCTAAAGGAAAAGAAGTCACCTTCAGGGTTCCATTTTCATCCCAGCCATTTGAGAACAGTGCATCCTCAGGTGAGTTAGAGCCTCCCTGAACTTCAGCTGCCTCACCTGCAAAGGGGGATTATCAGACCCACCTGCAGGGCTCTGGGAGTTAAGCGCATATGATCAGCAGCAGTACAGTGCCTGGCACCAGGGGACGAAGGTGGGCAGACATGTGCTTGTACTGGGAGCTCACAGCCCCTAAGGCCTGCCTGCGTCTCAGCTCTGAACTTGTAATTTCCAGACACCCTTGAACACAGTGATTTCAGTTCTTTGCCTGCCCTCCTACCCCCAGCCCTGGGCATATGGCCGAGGAATCAGATCCAACAGGCTGTCCTCTGATGTCTTCTCATACAGGGACTCCTCAGTGAGGATGTCCTTGCCCAAGTGGATCCAACAGACCACCTCTAGCCCTACGTGTCAAAAGCTCCCCTTCCTGTGAGCCCTCTCTTCTGAGGCCCTGCACATTCTGCTCTCACTGCTGCCTTACCCACGTGGGCTTGCTCGATGCTCCTGGCAGGCTGTGTGGCCACAGGTGGCCAAACTCAGCGGAGAAGTGTAGCCGGGACACCTGGTAATCTTGGCTCAGTTCCAGGCACAGGGAGGAACGTTTCCATTGTTCTCACACAAACAGGGCCTGGAGCCTGCTTTTTCCTGCATTCGCAGTTTCTGCCTTGTGCCAGGAATGTCGAGGTGAATAAGACAGGTCACTCAGGGAGTGCAAACTGAGGAAGAGATGGGCCAGCTCGGTGCAGTGTGAGGAACGCTCTGATATCTAGGCGGGGACCATCATTCTGCGTGGGGTCACAGGATCACTTGGAAAATGCCTCTTTGTAGAGGTCTAGCCATCGTCTGCAGCCTCTGGCATGGGTGCGTGTGACAACAGCTGCGTCGCCGTGTTTCTATCTAGATTGGCTCTGGGGAGAGGAGGCAGGGAGCTCGTCCTGTGTGGGCCATGCCACTCTTGTGCAGAGGAAAGTGATTTAAGACAAGAGAGAAGTCCCAGAACATGGAAATGCAAAGCTGCACAAACGGCCGTGCTTTGTTTTAATTTTTGTGGGTACGTAGTAGGTGTATATATGCATGGGGTACATGAGATGTTTGAATACAGGCATGCAATGTGAAATAAGCACATCACAGAGAATGGGGTATCCATTCCCTCAAGCATTTATCCCAATGGCCGTGCTTTGGACTCACTATCTGCCGCGTGCCTCCTGCATGGCCCAGGTTCTTTCAGGAGTCTTTTCCTCAGCCCTGCAAGGTTGGTGGAAGTCTCTCCATTTTACAGATGAAGAAGTTGAGGCTCACAGAAGGGAAATGGCGTATGTGAGGTTAACCTCGTGTAATGTGAGATGATTGCCCTCCTGAAATGTTCTAATTAATTTGCTGAAAAATAATTAGAATTCAAAAGGCAGGAAAAGGTAATGAAAAGCACCTAAATTCTTGAAAATTACAAGAATATTGAGAGATATTTAAAGGGTTGCAAAAGCAGTCCCATGGGACTTTGAAATTACTAGTTCTTAAAAAAACTAGAGGCTGGAACATGATCATCTTTGACCAGATCATCAGATTGTCCAACTTTGCATTTAGATGAATTGTTCCCAGCCTAATTATAAGCTCTTCTCTTGACCAGCCTCCCCAGGAGTGTGGTGTCTTGCCATCAATGCATGCTTCTGTTTGGTAGGAACCACTGGACTGGCTCTAACCCTGAGGTCCACACCAGGGTGACTTATCTAGGATTTCTCCATGAGTTGAGCATTTATTTCTCAGGATCGTGAGAACCTGAGCAGTGCTACTCAAAGTGTGGGCCACAGGCAGGGACTGGGCTGTAATCCCATGATTATAGCAAGTGAGAGAGAGTAAGTGTTGGAAACTTGTAGAACCATTTGATATTGCCACACATTCAAGTGTGTGATCATATTTCTAGTTTATTTTCATTGTATCTGGAAATAACAGGCCATAATGGATTAAATGTTTAAAAAGAAAAAACCTGTCATTAGCCACAGATAGTTTGAGGAGCAGTGAGCTAAGCCACAGTGAGTTTGAGGAGCAGTGAGCTAGCAGAAGCCAGCTAGTTAGTTATATCCTCACTCTGAGAGCCGGTAAGGCCGTCCTGCTGTCAAGAAATAGAAGATAACCCTTGATGCCCAGGGCAACATTCACCTTCACATTGGCCTTTGGGGTTGGCTTCAAAGGCTCTCCCCTCATCCCAGGAGACAAGTTCTCCATCACCTTATTTCCCTGTGGCCTCTCAAAGAAGTGCTGGTCTACCTCTTGGTGATTCTGGAATGCATTTCATCAGGTTGGGAAGGGCAGGTAGGAGACCCAGTACTGATTTCCTTAAGGGTGCTTCCATTTCACTTTAAAAAAAAAAAAAAAAAAAAAAAAAAAGGAATGTCACCCTCTCGGGGTGGATGTGTGGGTGCCACGGGGAGAAAGGGGGCTTTTGGACCTAATGAAAGGTGGGACCAGGTGTGGTCTTCATCCTGGATCCCCTGCGCAGATGACCCAGACTGTGCCCTGTGCTGCAGGACAATGGAGCAGCTCTGCAGCTGCTCAGTTTTGGCTGCACCTCCCAGCAACCTCGCAGCCCTCTGCATGCTTCAGTAATGCCTCCCCAAGTCACGGTTGCTCAGAAGCTCAGTGCACAAAGTGCTTATTAGCTAAGTAGTTAATAAGGTCTCATTAGGGATTTGTATTAAAAGCTCCAAAAAGTATAGTCTCTGCTTACTCAGGGGAGGCAGTAATTGTGCATGGGTATCTTGGCATCACTGTGGTGCCTTTCTGGGAGAATACCGTGGAGCCCGTTCACACACTGTGCCAGTGGAGGCAGTCACACAAGGGGCTGGGCAGGCAGTGCTGAGAATATAACTGACCTCCCTGCCTTTCCTCCCACAAAGCCCAGGAAGTCCTTTGTATCCTATAGCCCCTATCTGAGGGGCCAAGCTGGGGGCCCCAGCAGGGGATGGAACATCAGGCAAACAATGGCTTATTGTCCTGAGCTGATACACCTGAACCTTTCTTGGAAGCAGGGGCTAAATTTCTTGGCATTTGTGGCCTCCTGGAAATGGCAGACAGTATGCTTAGAAGCAGAATCCTAATCCCTCCCAGGTTGGGCCAGAGTAGAGGCCAGGGTGGAAGGGGGAGCCAGGCCTGACAGCTGCTCCCAAGAAGTGGCAGGCTTGGTAAACTCTGATGAGGTCCCATCTGTCTAAGTTCAAGGGATCAGACACCCCCAGCAAGCCTGCATCCATGTCCTCTGCAGGCCCCAAAGCCACACACATGGTCTGGAGTGACCATTCCAAAGGTGCTGTAATGTTGGGCTTCCTAATCAGAAAGGGAGCAAGGAGCTCCTGGGCTTTGTTTGCACCAGTCTGCCAGGCACTCCTTTCCCTGCTCAGCCCTATTTAGTGCCTGTGCTTTCGCTGGAAGCCAGTGAGTTAGCCTTAGGCCCTGAGGATGGGCACTGCTACCAGGAATAGGGGAGCTGTGGTGAGCCCGTCATCTGCTTTGCAGTTCCCTGGACTCCCTGCTTTATGTTTGAGGCTTTCTCTTATCAGTTTAGATGTGACCTCCCAAGGGCAGTCTTGGGTTTTGATGGAAGTCATCATTTCACCCACACACAAGTTACTGTTATTTGGTGTGGTGATGGATATCAACCCCTGCCCAGAGGCCCTGCAGCCTCCATTGCTGCTCTCTCTGGCCACATCTCCCAGAGGCTGGGTTCAGAAGCTGGGGAGGACCTAGAGCTTCCCTCACTCTACGATCCTGGGATCAGGAGCAGTGTTTCTAGAATCTCATGCTATGTGTATTTACCTCCCACAAGAAGAGACTGCAGCGATACCAGGGTGGGCTTCCAGAGCAGGCTTCCAGAGCTGGGGGTGAGGGGTGAAGGGGAGAGCAAGCTGGGGTTTGCAGAAGGGGGTATGTATAATTGTGCCATGCTCTTTGGGCTGTCAGCTTCCACCCCTTCCCCAGCTCTTTGACACCTTGGTGGGGGTCCAGGCATTTGTAGGTACCCTCAGGAGCACAGGCACCCACAACCTGTCACTGGGCCATGCACCCCAG
Organism: Homo sapiens; assembly: GCF_000001405.40. Lineage (NCBI taxonomy): Eukaryota > Metazoa > Chordata > Mammalia > Primates > Hominidae > Homo > Homo sapiens. The sequence continues at coordinate 12,253,282 of NC_000011.10, forward strand.
GGCCCAGGCAGAGCTGCCACCTCGCTGTCTCCAAGCCGACCTTGCCTGGCGCTAGCTCTGGAGCCTGCTGCAGTCCCCATCCTGTCCTACCTGCCCAGTGTGCGCCCATTCCACATACTGCTCTTGTTGGCAGGGTGGGCTGTGGTCCTGCTGGGAGGGACCTGGGAGCTTCAAGGCAGGCTAGGGCAGGCTGAATCTAGAGGAGGGAAGGGAGGGAGGAAGCAAGGTATAAGAAAAAAACTGCTTCTCTCTACTCTCACACCACTCACCTCTGGTCACCAAATAAAGTGGGGATGTTTCTCCCCACCAACAAAATCTATAAATGGAAAGGTTTTCCCTGAGTTCTACGAGCGATCCTTGCAAATTAGTTAAACCCGAGGAGGGAAACACGGTTACTGGTTTATTATACAGGATCTTATCAAGGATAGGGAGGAACAGCCAGGTGAGGAGAGGCACAGGGCAGGGCATGTGGGAAAGGGTGGGCACCTCTCTGCCGTCTCTGGGGCACTGCCCTTCAGGGGCCTCTGCATGGTCCACCCTCCAGAAGCTCCAAACCCTAACCTTTTCGGTTTCTATGGAGGCTTCGTTATGAAGGGCATGATCGATTACATCACTGGCTGTTGGTGATTAACTCAACCTTCAGCCTCTCCGCCCTTGTAGGTCAGTGTGTGGGACTGAAAGTTCCAACCCTTTAATCACAGGGTTGGTTCCCCTGGCAACCAGCCCCATCCTGAAGCTATCCAGGAGCTCAAGAGTCACCTCGTTCCAGCAAAGGATGCTCCTATCACCCAGGAAATCCCAGGGGCTTTAGGATCTCTGCATCAGATGCTGCTGTCACTCAGAAAGGTACAAAGGTCTTAGGAGCTCTGCCTCAGGAACCAGGGGGCAGAGTCCAAATATGTATTTCCGACCATATCACAATATCACACAAGGTAGTCCTGGCCCAGAGCCTGCCAAGTGCCAGGCAATAGGACACACATTCTCTCGTGCAGTCCTTCCCACAAACTCGGGAGACAGGTATAACTCTCCCCATTTTACTAAATGAGGAACTGAGCTCAGAAGTTCTGTGCTTTACGCCAAGTCTCAGCACTGGCCCATGGTGGAGCTGGGCCCATACCCTTCCCCTGGTCTTCCTGGTCCCTGAGCAGCTGCCTGCAGCCCTCCGGGGACAAGGGGTCTCTGGAAGAGGGTGGCCGCAGTCTGGCAGTCTACCTTTCTGTCTGAGGGGGCTTGGTTCCTGATTTTCTTCTCCTCTTTGCTTGGCTTGTCTAACTCGCAGGTTTTTGGGGCTTTTGGGTAATGATTGGGTCTGAGTACCACGTTTACCCCATGCCCCTGCTGAGTGAAGCTGTGAATGCCCCAGGGCTGGGGGGCAGGAGACCAGAGTACAGTCTGGAATCTTGAATTTATTTGCTAAGCGGCCTCAGATAGACCGTTCCCTTCTCTGGGATTCATGTACATATCTGTGCAATGAGAGGCTCAGGAACTTTGGAAGGCCTTGCACCCCACGGTGAATGTAACAGTCCCATGGCCCACCCAGGACTAAAAGGCTTTTGGTTTTTAATCTTTTTTTTCCTCGAATTTTTTTATTGTGTTAAAACATACATGACGTAAAATTTACCACCTTAACTTTTTTTTTTTTTTTTTTTTTTTTGAGACAGTGTTTTACTCTTGTTGCTCAGGCTGGAGTACAATGGTACGATCTCAGCTCACTGCAACCTCTGCCTCCCAGGTTCAAGTGATTCTCCAGCCTCAGCCTCCCAAGTAGCTGAGATTACAGGCATGCACCACCATGCCTGGCTAATTTTGTGTTTTTAGTAGAGACGTGGTTTCTCTATGTTGGTCAGGCTGGTCTTGAACTCCGGACCTCAGGTGATCCACCCATCTCGGCCTCCCAAAGTACTGGGATTACAGGCGTGAGCCACCACACCCGGCCAGCCTTAACCATTTTTTAAGGGTACGGTTTAGTGGTATTAAATACATCCTTCGTGTGCAACCCTCACCATCCTCCCACTCCAGAACTCTTAGTTGTTGTAAAACTGGAACTCTGTACCCACTAAACAACAGCAACCACTGTTCTACTGCCTGTCTCTACGATTTTGACTACTCTAGGTACCACATATAAGTGGAATCCTAGAGTACTTGTGTTTTTGCGGCCACAGGGTTTTATTTATTTTCTTTTCTCCACCTCCAGAATCCCCGCGTTCTGCTCCTGGCTGGTTTTGCTTCTCCTGGGTCGTGGGGTGCTATTTGCATGTGGGTGAGGAGCCCTCTCCCCATCCATCCTGCTTGTGTTTTCCTCCTGGGTGCTAACTGGCCTCTACCTTTGTCTCTGTCTCCTCTGCCTCTGCTCTTGGTTAGCTGACGGTAGGGAAAGTGTCCAGCGGAATAGGGGCTGCAGCTGAAGTCCTGGTCAATCTGTACATGAATGATCACAGACCTAAGGCCCAGGCCACCTCTCCAGACCTGGTAAGGACATGCACCCCCAGCCTTCACCCACAGACACTGGCTCTGGCATCCCAGGGCGGGCACATGGGATGTCGAGAGGATGCCCTGGCCCTCCCGAGGCTCCTCTTCTCTTGGAACAAGAGGGGGCTGAGAATGAGCTGAATCAGGGCAGAAGTTAAAAGGAGCCTGCTTTTCCTTAAAGACAGATCTCACTCAGGTCCCCTGTGGTCTTTTTGAAAATAGAGATCTTCCTGCTCTCTGTGGCTTTGGAGAACGGCCTGGTAGAAAGGCCCAGGTGAGGCCGTGAGCATAATTGAATGGCCCTCACTTTCAGTGTTTAGTGTCCAACCTGAACAGACTCTGTGCATTGGATTGAGAAAAAGGTCATGGGGAAAATAGCCCTTTGATTTGAATTCTCCCTTTCTCTAAACTGGGCTGCTCGCTGCCATCACCAGGAATTTTAGTTGACCATTCTTTCTGTTTCCTTTTGGCCCATTGCCCTGGAATCGCCCAGGGGTACTGCTGCCCTGGCCCGTGCCCTCCCAATTCACAACTAGGACTATAACTGACCAGATTTGATGCCACAAGCTTTCCTCACCCAACCTGTGCCACTGCAGGGGAACAGGACACCTAAAACATCCTCAGCGGGCCAGTTTCAGGACCTTTGTCCAGAACCAGGTGACACTTAATCCCAAGGACAGATCCTGGAAAGAATATCCTGGGGTGGACAGGGTTGTGAGTAAAGCCCACTCCGTCAGACCAGGATCACTCCCACCCCAAAACCAGAGCAGCCAACCTCGGGGAGAGCCCCTCCCGGGCCCACCTTGTTGTCTCGGGCCTGTCTGGGAGTACAGTTAACAGAAGCCCCTGCAGGGTTGGGGTCTGGGTTGGGGGTGTATCTTCCTACCCCTCCCTCTTTGCTGCAGTGGCAGTAGCAGGAAGCAGAAGCCCACGAGGTCCCCAGCATTCAGTGTGGAATTTCTAAAAGCCTTGGCCTGGCATTTGAAGGCTCGGGATAAGCCATAATACACCCACTCTTCTCTCCCGATCCCCAGGAATCTATGCGAAAGTCATTTCCCCTTAACCTGGGAGGCAGCGACACGTGTTACTTCTGTAAGAAACGTGTGTACGTGATGGAACGGCTGAGCGCCGAGGGCCACTTCTTCCACCGGGAGTGTTTCCGCTGCAGCATCTGTGCCACCACCTTGCGCCTGGCCGCCTACACCTTTGACTGCGATGAAGGTAACCCCAGGGGCCAGGGCAGCACTGGGCTCTGGCCTTGGCCTCAGGTGTGACCTTGGCTCGGGTTCCTGTCCCTCTGGTGGCTCTAGGACACCCAAACATACCCAAAAGGAAGTATGATGTCATCAGGAAAGCTGCTCAGGGAGACTGGGAGCTCCTGCTAGAAGGGGAGGCTGCCTGTGGTCCCAGGGAAGGGGTAGCATCAGCACTGTGGTACGGCATACCAGGTCCTGGTGGGCACCTGTGTGCCCAGGGCTCTATGTACCTCTTCTTATGTAGCCTCACCACCCTCCATTGTCCCTGTATGGCCAAGAAAATCCAACCTGATACTCTCCATTGCATGCTCAGCACCACACCTGGCATGCAGTAAGGTTCACCAAATGATGCAATGTTAATATTACTTACATAGTATGTGTTTTTAAAATAACCATCATAATGATATTCCCTCTGATAAGTGGCCTAACAAAGACATCAATGGAGGAATCATGCTCATCGGAACGAATGATTATTTTCTAATTTTCAGCACTTGACATTTGCTCTGTCACCTATAACGAGAGGCAGTATAGCATGGTGCTCAATACACACCCTCAAATTAAACTGCCTGGGTTCCACTCCAGAGTCTACCACCTCCTAAGCATGGAACCTTGGGCTTGTTACTTAAACTCTTCGTCCCCCAGTTTCCTCATCTGTAAAATGAGGTTAACGGTAGTCCTTAGCTCTCAGGGTGGTTGTGATGACTGATGAGTTAATTCATGTGAAGCTCATAGCATCATGCCTGGCATACAGTCATTCCTATGTAAGTGTCCCCTACTGTTACAATTTTTACTATTGCTATTGTTACCAGTGCAGCAGTGAGCAAGGAAGGCTTGTCTGGAAGGCGCACAGTGGTCCTGGGCAGTGGCAGTTTCCCAGTGCGTGCCCCGTCTGGGTCTTTTCCTCCCCATCACTGCTGCCATTTGCTCTCAGCATTTCCCACCCGCCAGGTATTCCACAAAGAAAGACTGAGGGTGTTCATACTCGAAGCTGTCCATTTAGCTGCCTGGCAACCGGTCTTATGAAGAAACTTGGCCTCAGTTTGATTTGGGGATTTTTTTTAAATGTTGTCCTATTTATTATAAAGGATGCAGAGGAGCAGCCAGATGGAAAAGAGGCATGGGGTGTGGTATGGGAGAAGGGGCTCAGAGCTCCCATGCCCTCTCCGGGTGCGGGCATGCCACCCTACGGGAGCCGGCATGGTTTGAAGGTCTTAGCCACATCCCCGGGAGCCCCCCATTGCTGGAGCTTGTCTCTGAGGCAGCAAAGGGCCCTCCTACCTTATCTCAGTGCCACTTCTTTAAGGAAGGTGACAGAAGCCGTTTCCCAAGTTTGAGCCACCCTGGGCTATTTCCATCGTTACTATTTTCTGACTTGGACAGTGGTGGGCACTTGGCTTTTGTCTACTTAGCTCTAGTTTACAGGAGAAAAATTTTTCTGTATGTGTGTGCCTCTTTTTACAGGCAAATTTTACTGCAAGCCTCACTTCATTCACTGTAAAACCAATAGCAAACAACGGAAGAGACGGGCAGAGTTGAAGCAACAAAGAGAGGTATGTTTGTCTCAAACATGCTGGTGAAACGGGGAAGGCCCCTTGATAAGGGTTTCCAGTGATCCTCAAAGTTAGGCCAGCTTTGCTGGCCCTAGAGGGATTGAGATGACTCACAGATAAAGAAGAAAGCCTCTGCTTCCTGGTGTGGAGGGTTCTTTTGCTTCAGTCTGTTCCACAGCCTCTGGGGTGTGTCCCATTCCAGATGAGCTCCCAGGACAGTAGCCATGCTGGCTTCTCATAAGAAGCCTGGAAGAGCTTGCCCATGTGGCAGGGATGGGGTGATATGCTTAGCCACACAAAAGCCACATGGCCCTCTGTACCTGGAACCCACCTGGCCACAAGGTGCTGTTTGCAAGAATGCCTGGTATAGGACCGACCCTTCTACATTTTCCAAGTCCTCTCCCAGGCTCTCGAAGTCAACAAAGTGACCAGCCCACTGAATTCATAGATGGTTTGTGGAAGCATCTCTTCTGGCATCTCTTAGCAAATATCTTCTCTCGGGCTTGATTAATCATCTACCACTAGCAACAACCCATAACTTAAAACTTTTTTCTAATTAGCCAAATATATAGGTTCAGTGTAAAAACATGGGAAGGAAAGAATATAAAGAAACAAAGTTAAATCACCTGTAACCACTCTACCCTGAGAAAACCGCAGTTGACATTTTGTAACATCCCTTTCCAGGCTTTTTTTCTATGTGAATGTATTTTAACCAAAGTGGAATCCTATGCCTAGAGTTTTATATTCTTCCTTTTCTTCACTAACTGTATATCAAGAATAGTTTCCCATGACATTAAATTTTTTTATGTTGGAGCATAATTTTTAATGCCTTTGGAAGATTCTAGTCTATAAATGGTCAATAATTTACTTCACCACTTCTGTATTACTGGATCTTTACGTCGTTGGAATTTTTTATCTTACAAATGTTTTTACAGTGTATGCTAGTATGCATGTTGTTATCCATATTTCAAATTATTTACTTGATGTATATCATTAGGAGTGAGATTGCCGATCAAAAGGCATGCATATTTTTGAAGGCTCGTGACTCCTATGGTCAGTTGGCCCCTAGAAAAGTGCCCGTGTTCAGCACCGGCTTCAGCATGAGTCGGGGGGCTGAGATTATTGTGGGGGCTGGTTGCAGGGTCTGGCGAGTTCAGTTTGTATTGGCTGTTGGCTTTGTTGAAGTAGTCCTCTGGAAGACTTACAGACAAATGCCCTCATTTCCATCTCTTTCTCAGGAGGAGGCAACATGGCAAGAGCAGGAAGCCCCTCGGAGAGACACTCCCACCGAAAGTTCTTGCGCAGTGGCCGCCATTGGCACCCTGGAAGGCAGCCCCCCAGGTATCTCCACCTCCTTCTTTAGGAAGGTGCTGGGCTGGCCCCTCAGGCTGCCGAGGGACCTGTGTAACTGGATGCAGGGACTCCTGCAAGCTGCTGGCCTCCATATCAGGGACAATGCTTACAACTACTGCTACATGTACGAGCTCCTGAGCCTGGGGCTGCCACTCCTCTGGGCGTTCTCTGAGGTCCTGGCAGCCATGTACAGGGAATCTGAGGGCTCCCTCGAGAGCATCTGCAACTGGGTGCTCAGGTGCTTCCCAGTCAAGCTCCGCTGACATGGCTGGCTGCCCCAAAGTGCCTTCACATTTCCAGGGAGGCTTCAGATGGCAGTGCGTTTGCAGTTTGCTCAGGCTCTGGCCAGGAAGCCTAGCATTCTCTAAGCAATTAGCTCAAAGCCAAAGAATTTCACATGGGCCACCTCCGCCTGGCCTTATCAGGGTGAACATCTACTCACGGTGCTAGGGCCAGGGATGATATGAAGGATCTTTTCTATAGCTTTGTGAGCCATACTTCTGGGTTTACATTTCAATTTTTTTAATTTTAATTAGCCCAGAGAAAGCATTTTTTTCTATGAGTGTCAATTTTTCTAAACATGGGTTTGAAGCTTATAACCAGTTTTATAAACCCCTTGAACACTGCAGTGAGTTATCAAAGCCACTGCCTGCAAAGTGGATGATTTAAGATTTTACACGCATGAAAATGAGTGTGCCATCTCCTGACCAGTGCCTTTTGACTTAGGTACCCAGATGCCACTTGTCAGCAGCAGGATACTTTTTACAACACGAAAGCATAATTATTTTAGAAGAAGAGAGTAGAAGGGCAGAATAGAATTCAACTTACAGAAGCACGGAGCAGTGTGTGGTTGGCTGTTATCTGTCCCCCTGGGAGGAGGACTGTTTTGCTCCCTTGTTTTGATGTTAAACAGTAGCTTAAAGGCTTTCCCCCCCATACCAACTCACAGCCAAATGACAAAGAACCGTGGGGTTTCAACAGATTCTACAAACATGCATTTTCCCTTCCCACTAATGGGCACTGCAGGGAAAGCCCATTGGCATTTGACCATGGAGCTGATGCAGTGCCAAAGATGAGCTCTTTCAACTGATGGCATTTTAGCCCCTGTGGCTCCCAGCGGATCCCCCAGCCCGGGCTGCAGGCTGAGCCAAGGCTGTGCAGGGTCCATATTGGTCAGGCCAAGTGGAGTGGAAGACTCTGTCCACTTATGTGGTGTCCTTTGGGACTGAGGGGGTTTGTTAGCACATCAGGCTATTGCTGGGAAGCGTGGCCTGCCCAGTGAGCATTGCCTGTGGACATCCTGACTGCTTAGCTGCTCCGCTGCCACACATATGTGGTCAAAACAGAAACCAATTTCACACTGCCCTGGGAAAGGAATGGGTCTGACCTCCAGGGGAAGCTCTACCATATCTTGACTGGCAGGGAAGGCTGGGAGTGGAAGCTATTTATGGACTGATCCAAAGGACATATGCATGAGTAAGGGTAAAAATGAGCATGCAGGTCCACCTGTGTTCTTACTCTGGGTATCTAGAAGAGTCCTCAGCTCTCCCTACTCCACGCTGCCTAGACATACACAGCTGCAGGGTCTGGCTGAACAATCAAGGGGCCGCCAGAGAAAGGCCATCTACGGTGCGCAGTGTATCTGGAGTTGCTGGGCCCAAGATAGCTCTGTGGAGTTATCACTAGAGATGCCTCTGGATTAACTAAGAGGTGTGCCTGGGTGTGGGTGAGGAGTCAGAACCTTTGAGAGCTTTGAGATGACAGTTTCTATGGGGCGGGAAGAAGGAGGTGCATTTCTACAAACACTTCCCTGAAATCCTTGGGAAAAACAGAGGCATGGCCGTGGCCAACTCTGTGGGAACTGGCGCCTCTGTCCTTGTTGGCACTGTTCTCAGTCCGATGACTTGCATTGTGTTTTCTCCAATTTTTGCTGGGATTTTAATGTTCAGCATGGTGGGAGGAACCCTTGATTCCTTTTGTTTGAGTATAGAAAGTAAATTTTTGAGGTCATGATGTGAACGGCCATGTTATTGTGATTATCTTCAGCTCAGGATAGGCTGAGATGCTTTGTGGAGTGTTCCATGAAGCCCGAGTCGGAATCTCTGACTGTCGTGTACAGCCATAAGGAGACTGGTTTGAATTACTGTGGCGAGACAGGGCGTGCCTGTCAGAAATCTGAGATGTTTGTACGCTCTGAGATGTTGAACCTTTCTGGTGGGCAGCACCGACACCCAGGGGTGGACCCCCGAGGATGAATGCCTCTAGGCCTCCGCAACATATTCAAGAATGAATGGGAGACGCTAGAGTAAAATGGGGGCAGAGAGGATATCAGGGAGCAAGATGCAAACTGTGTGCATCCACTCTCGTAAACAAGTAGCTGGTCACAACCAGAAAGGTTCATCTCTCCTAAGCAAACAGCGACTCTTTCAGAGGAAGTTTCCCTCTTTCAATCGTGGCCTTATTTTCAACTCCGGTGCCTTCTCGTGATGTTAATCATTTCCTTTTTTCCCCACACTAAGCTCTCTTTTCTATCTTTCTCTCTCTTTCCAATCTTACGCCATGGCCATCAGTTCATTTCAGCCTTCCAGTGCTACACCCACTTCTTGGCTGACACACTTCTGCTCTAAGGTGACTGGTTTTCTTGCCAATTTTCAAAGAGTGGTACTAACCCCCAACCCGCTTTCCGCACCCCGTCCTCTCCGCCAGCAGTACTGGTTGCACTAACTGTGAGTGTCTTGCATACTGATGGACTCATTTGGTGGCATGGTTGGCTAACAGCATGGCGGGGGGTGTTCAGCTTGAGACCCATGCCTGTGTTCATTTCCCATGGAGCTGGCAGCCTGGTCTACCCCAAGTGCATGCCCCGCCTCTCCTCTCTCCCTTGGGTCTGCCTGCGTGCATGCTTCTCCAGTTGCGTCTGCGAAGCTACCTACTTTCTTGGGAGGGTCGACCTTGATCATGAAACAATACCATGAGGGGGCCTCTGTCACCTTTGAAAAGAACACTTTTTGAGCAGCCTCAAAAAGCTCATACATACCAGCGCCTTCTTAAATTGGCTCTAATGTAAAGATTGTTAATGTCATTTATCAAAACCATAGGTGATTATTTGGAGGGATTTAAAAAACTTAATTACTCTCAGGCCTCATCCCAAGCTTGACACATGCTCTGTAGGTTGAACACATAATCACAAATATTCTAGCAAATGCTGCCTTGGTTGCAGCCTGCACTGTAGACCCAAGGGTTTTGCTGTGGCTCTTCTTATCTCCCTTGGCTCATAAAGCCCCAGATGATGCCAGAGCTTCAATTAGAGCCATCATCATCCCAGGCAGGGATATCTTTGAGAAATGACTCAGTTCAGCCCCAGGCCCCTGTGACTCTGCTTAAAGCACACATTTCTGCTGACTCTTGTACCTGGGGCAGCAGGATAATCACCAACACACTCTTAACGAGAAACAACACACCAAGCACCGTGGAGCTGTCCTAGGCAACACTCGCGGTCTCAGGCTGCGGTGGGCGTCTGTCCTGCATGTGGCCCAGACCACCCTGACCCCCGGGCCTGCCTGCCTGGCCCTGCATGCTGCACGCTCACTGTATTTGTGCAGATCCTGGCCAGTACAAAGTCGTTGCTCTTGTCTTATCTTCTCTTACAGAGTCTCCCTCCCTTTATAGAATGTCAACCAAAGAGTGCCCTCCTCCCCTCTCAGCCTCCTCTTTAGCTAGCCTCCCCATCTCATCACAACGCATGTCTGTGACCTTTGGTAATCATTTACAGTGCCACACGGAACCCTGTATTTTGCACACAGCAAAACAAACAATGTTTAGCTTTATTTATGGTATTTGATGCTGTAAATGGAAATAAATATTGTTCTTTATAAAGCTCATTGTTTCCTCTCTTCTTTGCCGTGGAAGCTTCTAAAACCTCACACACAGGGATTGGTGTAGGGGGTTCATTTTCCCTAAACTGCTGGCGGGACTTGCACTTGAGGTAACACAGGACTCTCTGGGGCTGCGCTGGGCACTCTGAAAGGAAATATTACCCCTGGGTAATATTTGGAAACTGTCACCAATGCTCCTGGGCTAGGCTTTGGGATCTCTTTCTTGAACACTCATTGTACTTTGCTGTTCTAGATGCTGGGCATAGTGGGTGAGGGTCAGTGTCCCCTCAGCGATTAGAAGCAGACTGTATTGATGGCTACCTTTACCCGTTTCCCCCGCACACCCAAGCGTGGCTCTACAGGAGAGCTTTCCCCATGAACCTTACACTAATTTAGGTTCCTATTCAGCAAAGGTTGGTCTGGAACACTTCACGCTGGTGCACAGCTGAGTGGCAAGTGGAAGGTAAGTAGGAAGGACTGGGCATCAATATTAGGATGGCAATGAAGTTGGCAGTGTGCTCATCAGATGGAGAGCCACTGCCATCCTAAGAGACCTCTCCTGTCCCAAAGGCTCAGGGTATTCAGTATCTATGGTGTGAGGCCCTGCCCTAGCACCACCCGAAGTATAGTATTCATGGCAGGCCCCAGGCAACTCCAGGCTGTGTTTAAGGGAAAGATTTGGAGCCTCACTTGGCTATCCTGGGCAGTGCCAAAGTCATCTGGTCCTCAGCCTCCCCTGGGTGGGATGCCTGCCATTTCCTGGCTGGGCGTAGCTGGGCGTAGCTGGGCTTCTGACAGTGGTATGAAAAGTCACCTGTGAACCTCATGAGGTCCCTGGCACCTCCAAATGGGTGTTCCTGAGGCTCTGGTCTCTGATGCCTGGATCTACCTTCAGAGCTGCCTCAGGTCATGACCAAGGGTTCTGTACTCTTACCTGGGTGATATATTCCCACTTCCATTTAAGGAGGGATGTTAGGGACTGTAAGTCAGGTGCTGGGCTGTGCAAGTGACTCATTCCTTTATGCATTCATTTATTCAGCAAATGTTTGTCCTAGGCCTTATTCTAAGCCCTAGGTACAGCAGGGAACCATGCGAAGTCCCCACACCTCCCTGCACCTTAGAGATGTGGCTCAGTATTGCTGTACTAGATGAGATCTGTTATATTTAACTGTGCATGTGCTCATTTGTTTGCTCAACTCTGTGATATTTCCTGAGCATCTACTATGTACTAGGAATACAGCAGGGAGTAAAGCAGACAAAAATCGTCACTTTATTGTCAAAGCGTGACACCCCAAGTGGTGCTTCACCAACAAAGGAGTCCATGATCACAACATTTGAGGAATATTTTGTACTGATCTTGCCAGTCCTCCCCCGTCCTGGAGACTAGCAAGATTCATTAGCATGTCAAGTCTCTGAGGCATCCTTGTAGGGAAGTTTAATCAACTTTGTGAAAGTCAGCTGTCCCATACTTATGTGAACATTTTGTTTTTGTTTTGGTTTGCTTTTTTTGAATATTGCATTCTACATACATAGTTTTGGTAGACTAGTGTTTAATTCAGAGATATTGGATTAAAGACTTAGAATTTTAAAAGGAAAACCATATAATTAAATATTAAATGGAATTAAGTATTGATTAGATATGGGGTGATAACCTTCTAAGCATAAATCCTCTAATAGGAAGAACACCACACAGGGAAAACATGACACAAATCTGATTATATACATTTTTAAAACTTAATGTAGAGTAATAAAATATTAAATAGACCATTAGACTAGGGAAAAATATGAACTAAATGTAATAACAAAGAAGTTCATTGCATGGTATTTTCAAGGTTCATTTAAAACAGATGTTCCTGGGCACCTCTCATAGTGTAGATGATCAGTTAATATTTGTTGATTAAAGAGTCAATGATAAATAGGCAAAGGCTATGAACAGGCAATTTACCCTTAAGCAAATTTTAAAAGTAAACACTAAAAAGAAAAAGCAAGCATTTACAAAAGTATTCCTACTTGGTTTTTAAAGGAAGTAAATTAATTATGGTGCACATGGGCCAGGTGCGGTAGCTCACACCTGTAATCCCAGCACTTTGGGAGGCTGAGGCGGGCAGATCACTTGAGGTCAGGAGTTCGTGACCAGCCTGACCAACACGACAAAACCCTGTCTCTACTAAAAAAAAATTAGCTGGGCACGGTGGCACATGCCTTTAATTCCAGCTACTTGGGAGGCTGAGGCACGAGAATCACTTGAACCCAGGAGGCAGAGGTTGCAGTGAGCTGAGATCATGCCACTGCACTCCAGCTTGGATTACAGAGTGAGACTCTGTCTCAAAAAGAAAATAATAAAAATTATAGTGCATCTACTGAATTAGTAAAGAAAAAAGTAAAACTGTAAGAAAAAAATATGAACTTCATCCCAAGTATTGAGTAAAAAGTAAACTGGGAGAATCTTTTCCTGGGAAGCATTATGGCAACCCTGATTAAGATCCAGAAAAGGGCTCTGACCTCTTGGCCTAATAATTCTACTGCAGGGAATTTATCCTGAGGAAATAATCCAGCAGAAGAAATAAATCTGTGCAACTTGAATGTGTAAGTCGGTCAAGCAGAGTGGGTGGGCTGTTCCCCTTTATTTCTATAAATGCATTCATTTTTACAACTTAAGAAAAAAAAAGGCTTAAGTAAGTAAAAGAAGTTACTGCATCTTTTACTGCCCCCCAGCCAGCTGTTATATAGGGAACATTTTCTCTGTGCCAGGTAGTGGGCCAAGAATTTTATGTGCAGAACTTCGTTAGCTCTTCACCTCCTTGTGGCAACCTTGCGGTCAGTACTGATGTTAAAGAAGCTCCTGATACTAGGGAGGCAGAAGCAAGTCTAGAGCCACATTTTCCACTGTGAAGGGACTGAGTCCCACAGCCCAGGCTAGGAGTCAGGTGCCTGCTCTAAGAGGAACCTCGGTGCATGCTGAGGGCCTGGGCTCCACCAAAGACCAGGCTTTGCTCCCAGCAGTTGGTACTGACTCAGTGGCATTAGACAGGTCCCTTCTGTGAACTGGGGCTAAGGATGCCTCTAGTGTAGGGTTTTTCAAGGTGTCTGACTCTCAGGACAGCAAGATCTCTTTGCCATGTTCTAGATAGCACTTTCCTGATCTTGCACAGCATAGAGCGCCCAGAGGAAAACTTGTCGGGCATTCTCGATTAACTGGGGCTCAGAACGCCTGACAGGACACCTTCAGGTTGGGAACTAGACAGCGGTCTCGATTCACACTGGTGGCACCATCTGCTTTCCTCCAGGTTTCTGATTCCCCAGCCTTCTTAAAGGCAACAGCCACCTCCCTTCGGACACCCAGGCCTCAGCTCTGGAGCTCCCCTTCCCTCCCACCACCTGCCGGTGGACTTTGGTTTTGCCTTAGTGAGTGCCCGAGTCTCAGCAAGGAGGGGGCATAGGCTCTCACTTTGTGCCCAGCTGCCCGCTTGCTCCACACCTGATGTCTACTGGGCATGTCCAGCCCAAATGTCCACTCCAACTGCTGATTTTCCCCCAAAACAGGCTCTGCCCTTAGCCTTCCCCATTTCTGGAGACTGCAATTCCCCTTTTCTTGTTGCTCAGCCCAAAGGCCCTGGAGTCATTCTTGACTCTTCTTTCTCTTGACCTCACACGAAATCCATTAGCAAATTTGAGGAATATCCAGAAGCTGTCCATTCCTCACCACCTCCGCACTAACCACCCTCCGCCACTGTCATCCAAGTTATTGCAGCCACCCCTCTGAGGCCTCCTGCTTCTCCCTTCACCCCTCAACCTCCTCAACAAAACAGCCGGATTATCCTTTTATTTATTTGTTTGTTTGTTTTGAGACAGTGTCTTACTCTGTCACCTAGGCTGGAGTGATGTCAGCTCGCTGCAAACTTCACCTCCTGGATTCAAGTGATTCTTATGCCTCAGCCACCCGAGTAGCTGAGACTACAGGCACCCGCCACCACACCCAGCTAACTTTTGTATTTTTAGTAGAGACAGGGTTTTGCCAGGCTGTTTTCGAACTGCTGACCTCAAGTGATCCTCCCGCCTCAGCTTCCCAAAGTGCTGGGATTACAGGTGTGAGCCACTGTGCCTGGCCTGGATGATCCTTTTAGAATTTATGTCTCACTGCTGCTCAAAACTCCAGCAGCTCTCCAGCTCACTGAATGCAAACTCCATGAGGGCAGGGGTCTTGGTTGCCTTTCAATGCTTGTATAACCCCGACAGAATTGCACTTAGCACATAGTGGGCCCTCAAAAAATATTTTTAGGATATATGCCCTCTGGCCTGGACCTCAGACTGCAGAACATGCAGCCATCTCGGGCTGGGGAAGGTCTGGCTGGCATCCAGCATGGTTCAGGAGGGAGACCTGGAGGAAGAGAAGTCTGACATTGTGTGTCCTGGCTGCCACTGCAGACCCCCTGATTATGAGAAGGGAGTTTTGATTTTGCTTCTATTTTGCCTTCTGAGGGGCATCATTGTCATGTACAACTCTTGGGAGAGCTGGGTCTGCACAGCAGCAGGTGGGCCTTGGATGCCTCCTCTCAGGGACAAGCTGAGGTTGGCAGCAGAGAGCAGTTCCAGCAGCATCCCTTTTGGGGCATCAAGGCCCAGGCCACTGGCCCACACACATCCTCTGTCCCCTCTTCACTGTGCCTTGCTCTGGGGTCCTGACACAGGAATCCAGGTGGCAGATGTGAGACAAGGGACAGGGTGGGGAACACTCCACCCACCATAACCTGGGCTGGAGGGTGCGGCCCCCATGCCAAGGCATATGGGTGGCTCAGCATGGCTTTGATCCCCTGAGCCCAGTTATCCTGCAAGTGCCTATAACTGAGACCAAGAGAGGCTGCCTGCCCGGCAGCAGAGGGGCTGAGGAAGCAGGGGACCCACCCTCAGATAAAGAGGCCAACTCGGCCGGGCGCGGTCGCTCACGCGTGTAATCCAAGCACTTTGGGAGGCCAAGGTGGGCGGATCAGGAGGTTAGGAGATCGAGACCATCCTGGCTAACATGGTGAAACACTGTCTCTACTAAAAATACAAAAAAAAAAAAAAATTAGCCAGGCGTAGTGGCAGGCGCCTGTAGTCCCAGCTACTCGGGAGGCTGAGGCAAGAGAATGGTGTGAACCCGGGAGGCGGAGCTTGCAGTGAGCCAAGATTGTGCCACTGCACTCCAGCCTCGGCGACGAGCGAGACTCCGTCTCAAAGGAAAAAAAAAAATAAGAGTCCAACTCTTCCATTTGTAGGAGCCTAGAAATGCCAGAAGATCAGATTTTCTCTTTTCCCATCCCCAACCCACACCAGGCCCTGGCTGTGACTCCCTTGGGGACATGTGGCAGCTGGACGGGGATTGTTTGCTCAGTGCTGGGGTCTTGCTGCTGCTCTGGCCAGGTTCTGAACAGGAGGGAATGACAGTGGGCCCCAGGCTACTTCCCTTCCTGCTTTACAGGGTTGCTGCTGGGCTGCCTTCCGAGAAACTTAGAGTTCTTCCTGCCCTCCTCATTCAGAGGAATGCGGGTATGGGTCCTGGCTGTGCCCAAAGCTGAAGGCTCACAGCTGGCCAGACACAGTGCCTGTAGTGTCAGAAGAAGAGGGAAGAAAAGAAGCAGGTTCCAAGAAGAAGGCTCCAGACATGCTGCTGTTAGCAAAGAAATTCAGCTTCCCTGATACTCTGGAGCCTGCAGAGCTGTTGGGAAGATACAGCGTGTGCCCCCACCCCTCACCTGAATGGAGGAGTCCTGGTGTCCAGAGGGAGCCATGTGCTGAGGGCTGGTGCCAGATCGCCAGCCGTCTGTGGCAGCATTTCCCTGTGTCTGGCCCAGTGTCCAGGATGAGGGCTTCGTGGGAGGAGCTGCTCAGCTCTGCTGAGGGCCGTGGGGAAGGGGCTGAGGCTCGGCACTGCCTGTCAAAGCTTGCATCTTCCTCAGGTTTACATTTTAATTTATTGGTCCCTGCACAAAGGCTACTGCTAGGGCCAGCCAGGGCCCCTTGAATGACGCCTGGCTTGTGGGCAGTGGAGGGTGTGTCCGTGTGTATCTGCACACCTACACACACGGGCCAGGTCCACTCCTGGAAGGAGTACAGCAAGGCAGGACAGCCATGCCCCAGGGCAGAGGAGCCAGAGGCCGAAGATTGCCCATCAATTGGTTCACCCCCTGAAGATCCGTGGACTCCTGTTCCCATGACTGCACCCTGAGGGGTCACTCTCAGAAGCCCCCATGAGGGCAGCCAGCCCATCTTGGTACCTGTGCCTTTTCCCTAAAGGGCCACACACTGAAAAGGACTTTGGCTCTGGCATCGACTAGTCTCCTTCCCAGAGCAATTGTGACATACACTGGCAGTGGGTAGAAGGACTGCCTGCCACAAGCATCTTCCTAGGGCCCTCCCTCATCCTGCTGGGGACTTGTAGTGTCCCCTCTTATAAGAGGGCAGGGAGGCCACTCTGCTCAGAATCCCAGATATCTACCTGTGTGTGCTCAGATGCCTTCCCCGCCCTTCTCTGGCTGGCTCTGTATTGAAAAGGCGTATCCCTTGCAAACTACATTTTCCAGCTCCCTTGAAACTGGCTTACTGTTAGTTTTGACTGCTGGACGCGCTGGTGTGGGGCTGGAGGGCAGGATCCAAGGGGAAGCCAGGGTGTCCCTCCCAGCTCCCTGCCTTGCAGCAGTGGCAGTGTTGTGGCCTCTGGGCTCTGGTGGCACCAGCTCTTCTCCTTGTCCCTCTGCTGTTGAGGGACAGTGGCCTGCTGCTGCTCCTCTCTGGGTTGCTTCATCCCTGTTTGGCTTTTAGCTCTTCCGGCACCATTGCAGTTCATTTCCTGTCTGGATGCTTCTGTTGAACTCCCTGGCTTGGCCCTGTCTTCCTGACTGGATCCTGATCCTCTTAGTTTTGCCGCTTTCTTTCTCAACTTTTCTCTGCAGAGAGAACAGTGGACAGTGGCCAGAGATGGCTCTGGCCATTAGGAGCTGTGTGACATTGGTCAAGTGTGATAACTCCTCCAAGCTTTGGTTTCCTTTCCTGCAAAGTGGGGTTAATAGCAGCACACAGGAGGCCTGTTGCGTTGTCATCTCCCTGGGTTCTGGGGGTGAGTGGAAGAGTTTCAGACTTGAGTAGAAAGCAGCAGCAATTTCACCCGCAGAACCAGGGAGTGCCGCGCCTCTCCATAACCCTGCGGCAGGGGTCTGGCCAGGAAAGGGCCTCTGGACCTGGCTGTTGGGAGCCATGTGTGAGGACAGACGTTTCCCCAGACCCTGCCTGGCTCTGCCTTTCCCAGGCTCATAGGTAGGCCTTGGACCCGGCACTTAGGATCTTTGAAGTCCTATCTTTTGTCAGGGAGCAGGTATCTGGCCAGAGCTGAGATGAGGCTGAGGTGCTCAGTTCTGGGCAAAGCTGCTTCGTGCCACAGGCTGGCAGCAGCTGCTCTGCAGGGTGCTGGATCCTTCTCACCCATGACTCCTAGGTACCTCCTCTCCTGTCATCCTCCAGCCCCCATTAGAGTCCTTCATTCTCCAAATGAGCAAAGATGGCTTCAGGCAAACTCTTAAAGAGCAGCCAGCCTCAGGGAGACAGCAAGAGGGCTGGTGGTGTGGGCATGCAGCACAGGTGAGCACACCTGGCTCTTCACCTGGGGCTGGCCACATGTGCAGCTGCTCTGTGCCCAGCAGCCGGAGGCCCAGCTGCGGTGATACCCAGCACTGTGCACTCACTGGCTGGCCTGGTGGGTGTTCTCTCTGGACTCCAATCTTTTCCACTCATCCTGTGAGGATGCTAATACCGTTCTCTTAGGGCTGTTGGGATGCTAGGGTGGATGAAGGCATATGGGCACTCGATGAGTCAGTGTTGCTTTTGTTACTGTCATTAGCATTATTTCCAGTATTTGTACTAGTGCCACTAGTATTACTACTGTTATACGCACACAGATGGAGCTGTCTGGGAATGAAAAGAGATATCTGGAAGTAGCCACTTGACTGGAGGAATTTTCTCGTGGAGGTGGCACTGAACCCCATAAAACCCAGCACTAGCCATGGCCTGAGTGTTAGACTGCAGAAGTCGGGGAGGAGACTGGCCTCCTTTGAGGCTTTTTGTCTGGGCACATTGGCAAAAGGGGGCCCAGAGGAAGTACCAGCTTCTTTTTTACAGAGTCTCTACCTCAACACTGCTGTCCCTGCCCTGATGTCTGGGTTCACTGTGAGAGACGCTGGCCCTGGCTCTGTGCTCTGAGAGGCCATCTGTCAGCCGTGCCCTCCACCCTCCTGGAGCCCAGGGAGCCAGGCTGAGCCCTGGCCTGTTCCATCCCTCCATGGAAGGAGGAAAGAGAAAAGCAGGACACTGGGTGTTCCTTACAGGTTTGGTCTGGGCTCTGAGGCGTGGGGGCTGTGGGTCTGGTACCTCTGCAGACTGGCATAGCTGAGCTTGCCTTGGCCACCCGCAGCCGCCTCATCCTGCTAGGCCACCCTGGACTCCACCACTCTCTCCCCTCATCCCCAAGCCCAGTCATAGCAGTGCCTTTAACCCAAAGCTGCTATTGCATGGAAGTCAGATCTCCCTCCCCTTCTGCCTCTTCCATGCCTCACTCTTACATGCTTTGTCTTATCACGTAGATATTTGTGAACATGCCTTATCTCCCTTGTGAGACAGAAAGAGATCCTTGAAGGCAGGGATTGTGGTGGCAGGTTCATCCCCAAACCCCTAGCACAGGCCTGGATCTGAGGAGGACACAGCATCTATTGGAAATACAAGCATTTGGGCACACAGCTCATAGGCACACAAGAAGCAAGGCATGGAGCTGGGTCTTTGCCACAGTCATTCTATGTAATAAGCCTCCCCAGTCTCAGTGGCATATGGCACCTATTTTCTTGCTCAGGAGTCTGTGGGTTGACTGAGTAGCTCTGCTTCAGGCTGTAGGTCTAAGGGCGAGGGAGGCCCCAAGGGATTGACTGGGTTGGCTCCAGGCTATAGCTTGGCTCCAGGTCTGTTCCATGTGCCCTCAATCAGGGACCCTGACTGAAGGGGTAGTGGCCACCTGCGACAAGTTCTTTTCATGTAACCTAGCAGGAACATGAGTGACAGCCAACTGGCAGGCCCACTTAAAGCCTCTGCTCACGTCCCATCCACGAGTTACCACAGGTCAAAGCAAGCCTTGCCGCCAAGCCTCACGTCCATGGGGCAGGGCTATACACCCCACCAACTCCAGCAGGAAGGACTGCAAAGTCACAGCGTAAAGCGCAACTCTAGTATAGGGAGGGAGAAAAGAACTGGGGGCACTTTCCAGCCAAAACTCCCAGCACAAAGGTCATGCGCAACAGTGTCCATTCATGGTTCTGTTGTGCTCACAGACACGCAGACTGATCCCCGTCCTCTGACAGAATACATGACCTTGTGCTGGTGTCGTAACCTCTCTGTGCTTGAGTTTTCTCAGCAGGAAAATGGGGGTAATAACAACGCTTTTCTGAGAGGATCGGGTGAGATTTAATAGACTTAATACATGTCAAATGCTCAAACAATTATTGGTATATATTGAGCACCCAATAAAAGTAAGCTGCTACTGCTTTTATTATGACTAATGCTGCCACCACCACCACCATCGCCATGTCATTATTATTATGTAGTGAAGCATCTGACTACATTCCTCAAATGCCTTCCATCCCCAGTTACACTAACTTAGAAGTGTAGACACGTGCACACAGCAAGCATCCACACGCACCAGGGGCTACAAACTAGCAACCCACTTGCTCAGTCTGCTGCAGACATGTTTTTTTTTTTTTTTTGATGTGTCTGATATTTTAAGATGAGGTATTTCACATAAAAATCAAAATTTCTTCAGTCATCTTCACAGGTGATAAATACAGTTTGGGAAGAGATTGTATCTCCCAGAGAGAACACATGGGTAAAAAGATGAGAGGGCTCAGGTGGATGCATGGAGAACCCAGGTGTTTAAGGGTTGGCTGGAATACTGGATAGCTGAGACGGCCAGCCACAGGGGCAGGGAGAGAAGGTGTCCCCAGGAGCAGGGACAGGGCAGGCTCAAGGACCGCAGGAGGACTCCCAAAGTCCTGTGAATTGGACTTAGAAACAAGGAGGTCACTGTGGACTGTGCTGGGGGTAGTTTGGGAGTGGTGGAGGCACAGGCAGGATTATAGGAATAGAGGGTTCATAAAGAAGAGGAGAGAGAGAAGAGTGTAGCCAACCCTTCCAGGAAGCTTGGCTAAGAAGGAAGAAGAAAGAGTAGGCTGGGGGCTGGGGGTGAGGACTGGGATTAAAACAAGTTTTCTTAAGACAGGAGACTTTCAGCATATTTAAATATAGACAGGAAAGATTCAGTAGACAAATGAGGACACAAGAATGACACTGTGGAGAGGGAGGAGGGAAGTGAGAGGGAGCCAAGTTCAGGTGAAGGCTCCATCTTGAAGAGGAAAAATGACACCTGTTCTCTGGACACTGTCCCTGGAGATGAGGTCACCTAGCTAGTTAGTGGCCAAGACAGAGCTGGGCGCATTCACTCATGAACTCATTCAGCAGACACTCACTGAACGCCTACCGTTCACCAGGTACCACCCTAGCAACAAATGAAACAGACAAAAATCACTGCTTACATTCTAGTCATAGAAGAAAGAGACAATAAACAAAATGAAAAAAGGAAATTGTATAGTTTATTGGAGGGTGAGACACACTATGAATGAAAATCAAGGGGAATGGAGAGCACTGAGGCATGGGCTGCAATATTAAATAGGATGGTCAGGGCAGGTGACGTTCCACCAAGGACTTGAAGACAGCCAGTGAGTGAATGAGGCCTGCATGGAAACGTCTGGGGATAACACCTTCCAGGCAGAAGCAAGAGCAGTGCAAGGGGTCTGAGAAGGACGTGTGCCCAGAGTGCTGGAGGAGCATCACGGAGGTGCCATGGTGAGGACAGGGCAAGCCTGGGGCCAGTGCTAGGAGACAAGGTCACGGGACGCACTGGGGACTACGTTATCTTGGACTTTGCAGGCCTCGGTAGGGCCTTCAGCTTTCACCCTGAGTAAATGAGGGGCCACTGGGTGATTTTAAGCAGAGGAGTGGCATGATCTCACTCAGGTTTTAACTGAGTCACCCTGGCTGCTGTGTTGAGAATAGACTGTGGGGGTGGGGCACAGCAAGAGGCAGGGACGGAGGCCAGGCAGAGGCAGTTTCTATGATCCAAGCAAAAGACAATGGTGGCTGGACCAGGAGTGGGAAGCAGAGAGGCGGTGAGAGGGGTCTGGATTCCCGACGTGTTTTGAAGGCAGACCCACCAGGATTTGCCGATGACTTGAATGAAGAACGAAAGGACAAGAGCAGTCAAAGATGCTGGCGAGGTGTTGGCTGGAGCAACAGGAAGCTGAAGTTGCCATTTACTGAGAGGGGGAAGGCTATGGGCAAGACATGTTGGGTGGGTGGAGAAGATGAAGAACTCTGTTCGGACTTGTTGAGTCTGATGTGTCTGTTAGACACGTAGACGGAGATGCAAGTGAGCAGTGGTCTATATAAGTCTAGAATCAGGAATGTCCAGGCTGGAGATAGAAATCTGGGGGTCATTGTTGCCTGGGGTTATTTAAAGCCATGAGACCAGATGAGGGCATCAAGAGCATGAGTGTAGACAGAGAAGAAAAGAGGTTCAGAGACTGAGTCCCGGGATCTTTCAGTGTTACAAGGTCAAGGGGAGAAGGTGGAGCCAGGAGAGGAAATGAAGGAGATAGCCAGTGAAGAAGGGGCTGGGGATTGGGCAGGCCTTGCCATCCTAGAAGCTGAGAGAGCTGTTTCTAGGACGGAGTGACCAGCTGGGTCAAATGCTGCTGGTGTGTAGAATAGTCGAATAAGATGAGAACTGAGATGTTACCACTGGATTTAGCAACATGTTGGATGTTGCCGTCTTGACAGCAGCAGTTCAGAGGCTGGTTAGCCTGGAATGGCCCCTCTGAATGTTTCAGAACCTTCCCTGTGGACTAAATGGGATGATCTGTGCATTCACGCCCTACATGTGGGAAATATGCCCTAAATGCCTGGGCATCTGGCAGGCTCGGGGGTGAGGGTTCCAGAGGTGGCACGGAGGACAAGAAGGTCAGCTTTGGAGTATCTGAGTAGACCCCAGGCCTAGAGGGGCCCTGAGCCCCTGGAAGGGTCCTGCTAGGCCATTCATTTGCACCATCTCTCTAGACCCTGCTCTCCTCTCAGCAGATGAGCCCACCTCCCCCAAGAGGCCGAAGAGCATCTCTGAGCCACAGCACAGTGATGCGGAAGGGGACGCTGCCTCTCCCCTGCCCTCCGAGTGGACCTCAGTGAGGATCAGCCCTGGGGAGGAAGCAGCTGGACAGGATGTGCTGGCTGTGCGTGTCCTGGTCACCAGCGAAGACAGCAGGTATGCTCAGGCTGCTGCCAGATGGGGACAGAAGCGGGGTTGGAGGAAGGGAATCACATTTGGGATTGGGTCTTCTCTCTACTTGCTTGCAGTGTGGCCTCTCTGTGCCTCCATTTCCTCATCTGTAAAATGGCGACAATCATAGTACCCATCTCAGAGGGAGTGGTAAGATTCACAGAATTCATATGTGTTAAGTGTATAGAACAGTGCCCACACGTCATAAGCACTGTAAGTGTTAGCAATTGTTATTTTCTTGGGAAGAGAAAGGGCCTGGCCCCATGCTCTTCTCAGGAGGCAGTGTCATGCTGACTGTAGTGAGGGGTGCAGAATGGGTGTCACCTGTCCCGAGGGCCGCCCACTGCAAGATGGTGATGCATGGGGCTGGGCAGGCTAGGATTCAGAGTGGGGAACATGAGGAGCGAAGCCCTGGTGCCTTAGGTGACTGTTTCTCAGAGCGCTGTCCTCATCACCTGCATCAGAAGCACCTGGAGTGGTTATTAGACATGCAGACTCCAGGACTCGCCCAGATGCACTGAATTCACTCAAGAGGTAAGTCAACAGCAGGTATTGATTGCTTATTATTTACTAGACTCTGAGGAAATAGCAGCGGCCAACACAAGACAAGGTCCTTGCTTTCCCATGGTTTCCATCACATTGGGAGCCATCTAGGAAGCAAGTTAAGTAGCTAAACAAGAAAAGCATCACCTATGCGCCAGGTCGATAAATAAAATAGACACATATGCTAGAGAGTGGCTGGTCAGCTGCCTTAGATTGGGTGGCCAGGAAAAGGCCTCTGTAGCAATTATTGATGCCCACAATAATGCTGAGTGACAAACCAGCCCCAAAGCGAGTGACTTAAACCAGCCACCGTTCATTACACCACGATTGTGTAAAAAAGTAGACCGGAGTAAGCCAACCCTGACCAAGTAAGCCAGGTGCAGCTGGGCAGTTGTGGTCTTGGTGGGCTCGCCTGTGTGTTTGGGCCAGTAGGGTTCTGCTCTGGAGCCTGCGTGTCAGCTGGGGTGACAGAGGGCTATTGGGCCGTGGGTCTTTCATCCTCCAACTGGCAGTCCAGGCTTGTTAAGAGAAAGAGGGGAGGCATCCAAGATCTCCTGAGCCCCAGGCTTGACAACGCACAGTGCTGCTCCAGTGCCATCTGATTGGCTACAGCATGTCACAAGGCCTAAACAGATTCAACAAGTGGGGAATAGGCTGCTCTCTTTAGGGGAAGAGCTGCAAAGCCCCCATTGCAAAGGGGCATGGATCTAAAGGGAATAATTGCAACCATCTTTGCAGACAAATTCCCACAGCCTCCCAGAGGAGGTGACATTTAAGCTGAGAATTGGTTGGCAAGAAAGGACAGCAAAGGGAGAAGGGGAATGCAGGAAGTGACAACAGCTAGTGACAGGCCCCTGGGTGAGACTGAGTGTGTCTGGGCTAAGAGAAGGTCGGTGCGGCAGGTACACCCTGAGTGGGAAAAGAATAAGAGATTACACCAGGAAGGAAGGCAGGAGCAAGGCTTATAAGACAAGGTAAGGAGTTTAAATTGTGTTCTGGGTATCCAGTCATGCATCGCTTAATAGCCGAGATATGTTCTAAGAAATGTGTTATCAGGTGATTCTGTCATTGTGTGAACATGATAGAGGGCATTTATGCAAACCTAGATGGGCAAGCTCACTCCACTCCTGGGCTATATGGTGTAACCTATTGCTCCCAGGCTACAGACCTGCACATTGTGTTACTCTACTGAATACTATCAGCAATTGTAACACAATGGTAAGTATTTGTGAATCTAAATATATATAAACATAGAAAAGGTACAGTAAAAATACAGTAGAAAATATAAAAAATGGTTCACCTATATAGGGCACTTACTATAAATGGAGCTCACAGGACTGGAAGTTGCTCTGGGTGAGTGAGTGGGTGAGTGGTGTGTGAGTGTGAAGGCCTAGGACATCGCTGTACACTACTGTAGACTTTATCACACTGTGCACTTAGGCTACCCTACATTTATTTGAAAAATATTTTTCTTTCTTCAATAATAAATTGGCTTACTGTAACTTTGTTACTTTCTAAACTTCTTTATTGTAGTAACACAGCTTAAAACACACACACACATTGAATAGCTGGAAAAATATTTTCTTTCTTTATACCCTTATTCTATAAGCTTTTTTATTCTTTACTTCTTAACTGACTGGCAGCACTGTAGGTTTTAAACCAGCATCACTGCAAACACGTGAGTGACACCTTTCCCTACGATGTTAACAAGGGCTGCGGCGTAAATAGGTGATAGGAATTTTCCCGCTCCATTATAATTTTATGGGACCACCATCAAATATGGGTTATATTGCTGACTAAAACATCATTATGAAAGACATGACTGTAATTCAAAGAATTTTTAAGTAGAAGAGTAACATCTCATTTACAGTTTTCACAGATCAGCAGGCCTCGCTTTGGGGAATGGATGAAGCAGGCGTGTGTGAGGATAAAGGCAGGAAGAGCAGGTGGAAGCCTGCAGCTCGGGGTCAGGATGGGAGCAGTGGAGATGGATTTGTTAATGGACTGAATGAGAGGGAAAGAGAATTTCAGAGTGACTCTCAGAATTTTTCCAGAGTGACTGAATGGCTGGTATGGTCATTTCTAAAGTTATCTTGAGGTGGGGAAGATTTCAGAGAAGGTGCACGTTAGTGGAGAAAGTCAAGAGTTCTGTTTTGGGCACGTTGGGTTTGAGATGCCGGTGTCTTTGTGGATGTCAGGTAAGTGGTTGAATATGTAAGTGTTCTGGGAGGCAGGGCTGGAGATGGTGATTTTAGAGGCTATTAAAGCCCAGGGCTCTGATGGGTTGTTTCCACAGTAAGAATATCTTCCTGTAGACAAAGAAGAGCTGGGCTCAGAAGAGAGCTCTGGGGCATTTGAACATTCAGTAGGCAAGTGGAGAAGGAGCTAGCAAAACCCACTGGGGAGCAAAGGAACCAGGAGATGGCACGTGGTGGAAGCCAAGAGAAGAAAGTGTCTCAAGAGGGAGGGTTTGGTTCTCTGCATCAGAGGCTGCTGGAGAGCCCAGTCGGATATGTATAGAGAAATGACCTTTGGACTTTCCAACGGGAGGCTCATTGTTAACTTGGACAAAGTGGCCTCGGTGGAGTGAACGAGTAGATGTGGGGAGAACATGAGGGGAAAGCAGGGACTGCAGTTGTAGACAACTGGCTCGTCAAGTCTTGGTCATGCAGACTCTGGAATGGGGCTTGGGAACATAGGCTTGAGCATCCCACAGGTGATTCATTCTGATGCCCAGAGAAGGGAAATGACCTGCCCTGGATCACACAGCCTTCAGAGTCTTCTAAGCCTCCACGTAGGCAGGCCTGTTTCCATAATAACAGGCAGAAACCCAACTCAAACTAGCTTCGGTAACAAAGGCAAATGCATCGGCTCGTCTGACTGGGAAGTCCAAGGGTGGTCCTCATTCAGGCAGGGCAGGAGCCAGAGTCTCAAACAGCCCCTCTCCCTTCCTGCCTCTCTCTCTGCTGCTTTTACAGCCATTGGCAGAGAGGCTGTCTCCACACATGGAACTCGGCTACTGAGGGTCTCAGACCGTATCCATAAATTCATGTCCTCAGGTCAGGATGCCAAGGCAGGCCTCCAGCTGCTACTCCCACATCACATACTTCCCTCTGGGAACAATCAGTGAACAGGACTGGGGCACCATGACCAGCCAGGCTTGGGCACTCTGATGGATAGGGGGTCTGCCATAGACACAGGTGGACGAGTGGCAGTGACCTTGTGGAAGGAACCCTGCTGGATTTCCATGTACAGAGAGTGTGTGGATATATATAGTTTCACTAACACATCACTGCTTGAGCAGTTTTGTACTTTCCCATCCTGGAACTGCGTGTGCTTGGGCTGCCCCTCTGTCTAGGACACCCTGCCTCCACTTCTTTGCCACTTGAATTCCAGTTATTTAAGGCCCATGTTAAATACCACCCACCCCTCACCCCCACCCAGGTAGAATTTTCCATTCCCTCATCCATTCCATGGGGAAGAGAGCAGTATTTAAATGCCTGAAGTTTCGGGACCAAGTCCCTAATGATGAGCTTATCTGACCAGAGAGACCTTAGGAGTCATGCTCCGGGGCAGGTGCAGGTGAGCAGAGCAGGCTTTATTCAAACAGCTCCTCATGCATTGCTGGGCCCCTTCTGCTCTGAGCCAAGCCTGTATTGTTCTGCTCTGGCTGCCATAACAAAGCACCACAGACTGGGTGGCTGAAACAACAGAAACGTATTTTCTCACTGATTTGGAGGCTGGAAGTCTGAGATCAAGGTGTGGGCAGGGTTGGTTCCTACTGGGGGATTGGAGGGAAGGATCTGTTCCAGGCCTCCCTCTTTAGCTTGTAGATGGCATCTTCCTGTTTGCATAGTGTTTTCCTTCTGTGCCTGTGTGTGTCCACATTTCCTCTTCTTAGAAAGATATCAGGTGCATGGGACAAGGGCCCAGCCTAACAACCTCATTTTACCTTAATGACCTCCTTAAAGGCCTTATCTCTAGATGCAGTCATATCTGAAGGTACTTGGGGTTAGGACTTCAGCATATGAGTTTTCAGGAATACAATTCAACCCATAACAAAGTCCGAAGCTGGGCTCTGGGCACACAGGACTAAGCCCAGGCCCCCCAGGTGCGCTGGAGCAGTCCTGGGCAGGACGCAGTGTGGGTGTGTTGGGGCATGGGTTCCAGGCCCCCTGACTCACCCACCCACTCCTTCCTCCTTCCAGCTCTGACACAGAGTCTGACTATGGTGGCAGCGAGGGCTCCCACACAGAACCCTGTGAAGAGAAACCCTGGCGGCCAGGATCCCCGCATCTACCGCACACGTCCCTAGGGGAGGCCCTGAGCAGGGCAGTCTCTCCACAGTGCCCTGAGGAGCCCAGAGCTGTGCACGGTAAGCAGAGAGCCCACCAGGCTTGATTCTGGGAAGTGGGGAGGGAACAGAGACCCCCACAGCTGAATTTCCCTCTTGGAGGACCAGGTGACAGGAAGCCTCGCCCTCAGGCTTCAAGGCGGTGGGGCTAGGACCTTTGGGGAGTGGGACGCAAGTGGCAGTGAAGGGACTTGAACCAGGCCTGGCTTCCCTCTCCATGAGAAGCTTTGGAATCCCAGTGGGGAAGACATCACGGGGACTGGCTGGCTGTGGTTGGTCACAGGCTGGCAGGGATCAGGGGCCCGCAGGTCTCTCTTGCCTGGAGTGATCGCTCTCCTGCCTCCTGTATGGGCACCTCCTTAGGGGCCCCTCCAGCATCCCATAGCCCCTGAGGGAAGGGAGCTGGGTCCAGCTGCTGTTGGACAACATGCAGCCCTGGATGGCATCATCTCCCTGGGACCACCTGCACAGCACCGGGGCCATTACCAGTGTTTGGGGCTTGTGGGATGCACCCAAACTTCTACACAACAATTAATACACTTTTACTGCATACCTGTAATGGGCCAGGACTTTTCCCATACGTGTGGTCATCCCAGGATGACCCTGTGGGGTAACTAGTGCGAAGCCTGTTTCACAGGTGAGCAAACAGGCTGAGTGGTCTCCCGAAGTCTCAGCCAGTGCTGGTGCCACCCTCCAGCCACCACTGCCCAAGCTCTGGCTTACTAAGAGGTAGCTGTCTTTAGCAGCCCAGCTTGTGTTTAATACAAAGTTGACCTGGAACTGAGTGTTTTGATTCAGTCAACAATTTGGGACCAAATCGTCTGATTTATGGGTAACTTCTGGACGAGCCTGGGAAGAAACAGTCTAACCTGACGGAAACTTGCTGCCCAATGGCCCCACAGCCTTAGTTGCCCTGGGAGAGCTGGAGCTCAACTTGTCCTGCATCGCCACCTGGTGGTCATGAGCAGAATTGCCACCTGGTCCGTGAAATGTTTTCAGGAGTGATGGTTTCCCAGGAAGACGAGGGCTGGGGCGGAAAGAACTCATATAGATATTTTTAAATCCTGGAATTGTTGAATTTACTCTAGAAATGTTGAATTTTACCCTCATTTTTTAAAAAAGTGACACTTTTTAAAAAGGACAGATTATCATCCAAACACATTTGTTAAGTACCATTTGTGGGGCTGTGCAGAAAGGCTCAGCACTGGCACTGAACTGAGTACTCTCCTGTGCCCAGCTGGGTCCAGCCCCACCTCTGGTTACTGCGTGGCCTTGGTGTACCCTTCCATCCCCCTGGGCTCCAGCTCCCCATTTCCAGATATGAAGTTGGCCTGCCTTTCATCCCTTCCCTCCATTTCCCCTCCAATTGCCAGACGGTTTTAGGCAACTTACAAGAAAAACATAAAACAAAATTGTACATTTATAAATATGAAAGATCAAGCCTCAAAATCAGGTCTAACAAAACCAGTTTAGGAGGGATAGACCCCAGAGAGGCAGACCATAATCCTAAACAGTTGCTCTAATTGAATCATAAGTTTGATTCTGAGTTTTCTAGCTTCCAGCATTTAAAAGGAAACACAGAACATCGTTACTCTCATTGTTTATGAGGAAAACATATATTGGTTTGCAGCAGGTCTCTGAGTAGGCACAACTTCTCCTAATGCTTAACTCTGTAGTTTCTGGCTCATACCAAATAGATGATATTGAGAAATGTGTTCGATCATGTCTTAACAGTTCCTCAGAAAATGCAGCCTTAGTATTCTCGAGGCTGTTTCTTACAGCAACCCTTGCTGGAAGGTGAGGGCATGACAAAAAAACATGACTCAGTGATAGCAGTTTTCTTAGCGGGATGGGGTTGTGTTGGGAGACTAGTTGGGTTGGGTAGTGAAGCCAAAGCATTTTGTTTCTGACAGTCCAGTTTAACGCCAGAATAAAATACAGAGTAGGTAAGTGGGTAGAATGCGTGACTCTCAAACAATTCTTTGTCGAGTTAGTCTTCATCAGTCATTGTTTTATCATTGCTAGGTGGACCACATTGTACAGTTAAGCTCTCTGGCACAGGTCTAAGTGCTGTGCTTTGTGCTGCTGGTTATGGTAACCCCATCACTTTACCAAATAATGCAGGGTTGACCCTTTGTGTGGGTTTTATGGAGCTTCATTAACCACAATTCTCACCTGGATAAATGCCTCCAAGGTAGACCAAGGGAATGCCAGACAAGACCAGGATATTGCTTTGAAAAGACTCCTGGTTGCAGTGTGGAGTTTAAAAAAAAAAAAAAAAAAAGACTCTACGTTGGTCCAGCCATGCTCATAGAAGCATTATTCACATTAGCCAAAAGGGGGAAACAAATCAAATGTTCAACAGACAAATGGATAAACAAAACGCAGTATATCCATACAGCAAAATGTTATTCAGACTTTAAAAAGAAGGGACTCTGACATGTGCTACAACTTAGATGAACCTGCAAAGCATGCTGCTAAGGGAAATAAGCCAGTCATAAAAGGACATACATCAGTTTGGGATGAGGGCAGAGTTCTGGAGATGGGTGGTGGTGAGGTGGTGATGGCTGCACAGCAGGGTAAGTGTACTTAATGTCACTGAAATCTAGACTTAAAAATGTATAAGTAACAATTTTTATATTATGTATATTATTTTCCACAATTTTTAAAAAGACTTCGGGGACTACCTTGGCACATGAAGAAACTTATTACATCCTCAAAGTTCACAGAGCGTGCCCAAGAGGATGGCCTGAAATACAGCTCACACCCTATGTTATGGAGGCTGCAGAAAGCCCCCTAAAACATCAGGGTCAGGGATTCGTGATAATCTTGTTTAAAAGGCAGATTCCCAGGTTCTCACCATCAGAAATTCAGATTGAGTGGGTCTGGAGTGGTGCCAAGTGTGTGCATTCTGTGTAAGCATCCCCAGGGGCTTTGACACAGTGGACCATGTTCTACACTTTGGGAGTTTCAGAAATGCAGCTTTGTGGAAGGCCTTCCTAGATGAATTCATTGTGAAATCCACACCCAAGCAACTAAATGAATCGATCTAGTGCATTGGACTCTTAGCTATAAACTAATTAGATTTAGGAGAACAACCTGCCCCGAATTATTCTGGCTTAGAGGAATTGATATTTATCCATCTTTTTTTCTGGCAATAATTTGATCCAATGGAATATGGAGGACACTTATCAGTTTGTAGCAATGAAATGATATCATCAGCACCACATGGGAAAATACCCTCTCACTCCTTTTACAGTGGGTCATGCACTAAGATCTCTGAAAGTGCTCCTTTAAAATAAATAAACACACATAGAATATAAGCTAAAAAGAAGGGATCAGCCCACTTTATGCTGCTCAGCATTACTAGATGAAGTCATTACTACCCACCCTATTGTTCCCGTTGTGGTAAAAATGTGTGCATGTGTGTTCTATTAACACCAGTGATGGAAAATCTCTCTTGAACTTTAGCCATTTCCAATAGGTTCCATTCCACAAAGTTACAAGCTAAGAAGAAGCAATTAGAGCTTTATGCAATTTTTTTTTTTAGAAATGTCTTCATTAAGTGATTAAGAGGCTAGCTTTGGCCAGCAGGATGTAGCTGTGCTTAAGACCTGCTTGCTCCTTATGGAAAACATCCAGCCTGGAAAGCCCAGGCAGCCAGCAATTGGGGGGTGGGCTATTCATCTCCTCATGGGGAGCTGGGAAGACTGTGTGCCCATCCATACAGGCTCCTCCTCAAACCCATGGGCTTGATTTTGAGAGCAGGCCTGTGGGATTGGGAACCTGCCAGACAGAGCAGACATGAAGCGCCTCCAAATGTAACCACCCGAAGGGTTCTCCTTGCCTGCTGCCTAGACTGAGCTGATTTCTCAAGACAGGGGAATTGCGATAGAAAAAGAGTTTAATTTACACAGAGCTGGCTGTACAGGAGACCAGAATTTTATTATTACTTAAATCAGTCTCCCTGAAAACTCGGGGATCAGGATTTTTAAAGATAATTTGTTGAGAAGGGGTTCGGAAAATGGGGAGTGCTGATTGGTCAGGTCAGAGATGAACTCATAGGGAGTCAAAGCTGTCCTCTTGCACTGAGTCAGTTCCTGAGTGGGGGCTAAAAGACCAGATGAGCCAGTTTATCAATCTAGGTGGTGCCAGTTGAACCTCTGAGCGCAGAGTCTGCAAAATATCCCAAGCACTGATCTTAGGCTTTACAATAGTGATGTTAGCCTCAAGATGCAATTTGGGAAGGTTCGGAATCTTGCAACTTCCAGCTGCATGACTCTTAAACCACAATTTCTAATCTTGCGGCTAATTTGTTAGTCCTGCAAAGGCAGTCTTGTCCCCAGGCAGGAAGGGGGTTTGTCTGGGGAAAGGGCTGTTATCGTCTTTGTTTCCAAACTAAACTATAAACTAAGTTCCTCCCAAAGTTAGTTCAGCCTACGCCCAGGAATGAACAAAGACAGGGTGGAGGTTAGAAGCAAGAGGGATTGGTTAAGTCAGATCTCTGTCACTGTCATAATTTTCTCAGTTATAATTTTTGCAAAGGCATTTTCACAAATGGAGTAAGGGAAAGAGAGGAGCTGAAGGAGCTGGTCTTGAGGAAGGAAAGCCCCCAGGTAGTAATTGTCACCTGTGCTCCACAGCCTGGCTGCTAAGAAAGAGTTCCACTGTGAGACCTGGCAGGGAGTGGAATATCTAGGACTGTTTCTAGACAGAAAGAAAGACAGAGGGCTGGGCTAGCTGGGCCTTGGATTTAGGGTCCTGGATTCAGACCCTCCCTGCGTCCATCTCCCACACCCACATCATGCCCTTGGGCTTCCTTTCCGTTCATGCTTCCTGGCCCTGCCTGTGTGCACATTCAGATGTTCACCGTCCCCATCCTTTCTCTCCAGCAGTGATGGAGGCGCAGGGGCCTGAAGCCTGGGAATGCATCTGCAGGCCTTGCCTGGGAACAGGGAACACGTGGACCCCACTGCCCACTCTCACACCCTAAGTGACCAAGACCTGTTTTTCTTCTGCATGTGATGTTCATTTTGCTCAGCTAATCCTCAAGGCCCAGCTGGCAGAGGGGTCTTCCACAGGAAGTACAGTGTCCCGCAAATATGTTTCCCTTGGAACCAGGCCAAGGGAGGGCCACAGCAATGATGGTCCACAGCCTCAATTAAACCTGGTTTCCAAAGGGTTTGGGGGGCTCTGTGGGGAAAGGGGAGGCAGAGAGTAGAACTTCCTGCAGCTTCCTGGCTTCAATCAGAGCAGCTCCAGTTTTTAATGTATTACATATATGGAACATTGATGGCCCGTGATGACCTTAGCTTTAAATAACTGTTCTGACATGAATGAATATGTGCATGTACGTATGTACACATGCATGTATAAATATGTCTACACATATGCATATACGCATAGATGCATGTAGATGCTCACTGATGATCTTAGTAATGATGGTTCATAATTTGAGGCATTCTCTGAGGGTGGTACCTGTCCCATAGCAGGGTCTCAAATATTTGATGCCAGGTGTGGTGGCTCATGCCTGTAACCCCAGCACTTTGGGAGGCCGAGGTGGGAGGATCACTTGAGCCCAGGAGTTTGAGACCAACCTGGGCAACACAGTGGGACCCTGTCTCTATAAAAAATAAAAATTAAAAAATTATCTGCGTGTCGTGGTGCATGCCTATAGTCCCAGCTACTCGGGAGCCTGAGGTGGGAGTATCATTTGAGCCCGAGAGGTCGAGGGGGCAGTGAGCCATGACCCCACCACTGCACTCCAGCCTGGTGACAAGCAAACAAAAACACAAAAATATTTGATGTGTGAACAAATGAAAAGTTTGGTAGAGTGTGTTGTGGGGACAGCAGTATGGTGTGAGGGAAGGAGAGAGTTCAGTCTATTATAATCATTAGTCTATTGACTTGTGGTAATTGAGCTATAGGAGATAAATTCCTACTTACTCTACACATTTAATGGACTCTTCCTCCCACCCCATCTTCCCTGTCCCTTTCTTTTTCCACAGCAGCTCTGCAACGGGCCAATAGCTTCCAGTCTCCAACCCCAAGCAAATACCAGAACTGGAGGAGAGAATTCTGGTGGAGTGAGTCACTAGCTCTCTGGGGGTGGGAGGCTGGGGCTGGGCAGAAGATCTCTGGTTAATTCTCAGGGGCAGCCGTTCTCATTCCTTACATGGTATCTCTCTGGCATGGCCTCCTGGTTGTCAGAGGCAAGAAATAAAATATAAGCTTGACTTTATTTCCACTGCTGACTAGAGGGAGCCTTTTCCAAGGGACTCAAGATCTTCCCATCCCCCTCCACCCCACCCCTGGCTCAGGAATTATGGAGCCTTAGGATTCTACAGTTTCACCCAGACAGGGCCTTAGCCATCATTGCCTCTAAGCTTTTTGAAATACAGATGAGTAAACTGAGGTTCAGGAACTCTATGATTTGATTCTGTACACTGGAGTGAGACTGGGCCATCAGATTAACGGCCTCACACAAAACAGGATGCTACACACAGACACCCACACATCCACACACACACACATGCACACGCACACACACTCACACCCCTACACATACACACACATACACACCTGCTCCTTTTTCTGAGTCACCCTTGGTCCCAGTGTCCTGGGGAAGAGCAGGGCTGTGGCAGGTGCTGAGGCGGCAGGCCCTGCCAGGGGGCGCAGTGAACACGCACAGTCTCACAGCATCTAGGCAGGCCGGGGATCCAGGGACTGCAGCACTCACTGAGCAGAGTTACCTCCTCAGGCCCTGAGCGAGGGGCAGAGACTCTTCATCCAGTTCCAGGCTCATCGCTGCCTTCCACCTCCCCCCACACCCACTCCCTCTCCAGCCTCACCCTAGGAGAGGAGGACCCAGAAAGGCCTTGGCTTAGACAGGGGTTTCTACCAAGAAACGTTGTTGCAGTTGGAACTGAGCCCTGGTCTTCCTTCCTTCTGAGTCAAGGCTCCCAGCCAGTGAGTCATTCCCCCACCATCCCCAGACGCACCACCGTCACACCAGGTCAGGCTGGGACAGGGGCACCTTGGGAGCAGGACCCAGGGCTGCACTCTTGGGCAGGCCACTTCATCTGAGGACAGCCTAGAGTCACTCCTGAATCCTCTGACAGCCCCCAGCGGCGACAGCAGAGGGCAGAGGAGCTAGCATTGCCACACATGGGTCATCGCCTTTACTGCCCTGCTCTGGCCCTCCCCAAGTCCCTGGAAGCCTGCTGCCCAGGCCCGGACTATATGAGTGTAGGGTCCATCCCAAGGCTTCCAGCCCACTCTACTGTGTGCCACCAGTGTGGGGGATCAGTCCCTCCTCAGGAAGCTCCCAGCCTGGGGTGAGAGCAGGGAGGCTGGTGGGAGACCCTCCCAATAGGGCTGGGTCGCTGGGGGAGGTGCAGGAGCAAGAGGACTGCTGAGCAGCCCCATGGTGTCTGGGATGGGCCTGGGAAACTCAGCCTTTAGTTATCAAGGAGTATTGCACAGCGTTTCTCGAGAGTATACAAAAGCTGCTTTGAGGGCAGGGCTTGAGTTTTGATCATTTCAATCAGCCTAGTGTCTAGCATGGTCTGGCCCGGAGGAGGAACCCAATCCTTGTTTGCTGAATCAATGAATGAAGTAAGGAACCAAGGAGCGAGCTGGCTGGACTGCGTACAAAGGGAGGACATGGATTCAGGCCTGCTCAGGCTGCCGCCCCTAGAGGGCGCTCCAAGACTTTGAGGGGGATTTGAGCCTTGCAAAACCTCCAAGTTCTGGGAAGCTGCACCATGGAGTCCCAGTCTCCCGAAAATCCCCAGAGCTGAAAGCCACGAGAGCCATCTTTTTTATTGTCTTTACTTTGCCCAAAAGAAAACCTCAGGGAGCAGGGCTGGCATTGCCATTGGGAGCAGAATGCATGGTACCATCCCTCCTGTCCAGAGGCATTACTGCCCCATCACAGCTGGTTCTGGCCCCAAGCCCCAGGTGGGAGGGCCGGAGGGGATATGTGGCTGCCCTGGGCACCCTCCCCAGCTGATCATGCTGCCAGATGACCTCTAGGATCTACGAGAAAGGTTGCTGCTGCCAGAGGGCCCAGAGAGGAGGTAGCACAAGCGCCTGACCCAGAGGCAGCCTGGATGCTGAAACTCAGGCGCTGGTGTGCGCATCAGCCTCCTTCGCACAAAACAACCCTAAGGGCCAGCTGCACGTGTGACTGAGACCCCTGCAGAAGGCAAGGCAGCCCCCGGTGGGCCATACCAAGGTTTCAAGGAAACGGCCAGCAGAGGGGGATGTGAGTTGGCCAATGAGGAGCTCTTGGCTCAAGAGTTGGAGAAATCCTGGCTGGGTAGAGTGTGCAGCCCCCTCTGGAATGGGCCAGGGCTTCAGCAATGTCTTTACTGGACGCGGCTTGAGTGCGTGAGAGGGTGGGAAACTAATGGAGTTCATATTTTGCTGACAACTAGCTTTTACTTTGTGTCCTGTGCCACTGGGCACCTCTTGTTTTTTTTTGTTTTTTTTTTTTTTCTTCTTGAGATGGGGTCTCACTTGGTCACCCAGACTGGAGTGCAGTGGCGTGATCTCAGCTCACTGCAATCTCCGCCTCCCAGGTTCAAGT
This sequence comes from Homo sapiens, assembly GCF_000001405.40. Taxonomy (NCBI): domain Eukaryota; kingdom Metazoa; phylum Chordata; class Mammalia; order Primates; family Hominidae; genus Homo; species Homo sapiens. Next base: position 12,289,672 of record NC_000011.10, read on the forward strand.
GATCCTCCCACCTCAGCCTCTCGAGTAGCTGGGACCACAGGCGCGCACCACCATGCCTGGCTAATTTTTGTATTTTTGGTAAAAACAAGGTTTCGCCATGTTGGCCAGACTGGTCTTGAACTCCTGAGCTCAAGTGATCCATCCACCTCGGCCTCCAAAAGTGCTCTGATTACAGGTGTGAGGCACCATGCCTGGCCAACTGGCAATCTCTTTTTAGCCCATGTTATCTGCTCAACCACCCCATGAAGCTGCACCAGACAGCCCACTTTTTGGATGAGGAGACAGGGGTTAAGTAACTTGCTCAGAGCCAGGCAGCTGGTATGTGTGTGAAGGAGTGGACTTCCAGGCTCCCCTTCACCATCTTCTGAGAGAACCCCAAGACACAGTGGGCATCAGGAAGGGTAGGTTTCTCATCACCTCTCTCCCCAGGCTGTGCCCACCTCCCAAGCAGTGGCTTGAATGGCAGCCCAGGGACAAGGGGCTCGGCCTGAGCTGGGGCTTTGCTTCCCCCATCTCCTCAAGCCCTGCTGGAGTTCCATCTTGAAGGCAGTGCATGAGGACCACATGTGGAGAGAAAGAGACCCCCTAGCAGGGGTGGGAGTGGGGATTAGAGAAAGGAGAAGAAGGGAGTGGCTTCTGGGTCATGACCTCGTGAGACCTGAGGTGTTTCTGTCAGGCTTGTTTCCTGAGGTGGCCCTGGCTTCCTGTCAGGAAGTCCCTGAGGGATCCTCAGGGGGAACAAAAAGGCAGTCTGTTGAGCTGAGGGGACTTGAGGCAAGTGAAGGAGTTTGATTCAGAAGATGGCAGAGAGGGAGAATGAGGGTGCAAGGAGGAAGGGAAGAAGGAATTTGGCAAACTGAGGACAAGAACGGGAAGCAAGGCAAGGACTGACTCACAACTTTTGCCTTTTTAGGCTTGAACCTTCTAATCGTGGGCTGCGATGGGGGTGCGGTAGTGGGAGGCAGGCCAGCCGCCTCCCCAGCAGCTCCTTCCTGCCGCCCTCAGATCAGATCTGTTCCCAGAATTACCTTTTCCCTCCAAAGCTTTCTGCGAGGCCTCCCTCTGGGAGCTTGCTGACCGTGTGCGTGTGGTGCCATCTGTTCAGAGCCCACGGCTGGGACACACAGTCGCACATGTTCGCATTGATGTATGGGGGAAGGCAGGACAGAATATCGAGAACGGTGTGGCCTCCTGGGGGTGGAGGGGACTCAATGGGACTCTTCTTGGGATGGGACTTGGGTTTGGCCTGGCCTGTGTGGGTCCCTGAGGAAGAGCTTTTCACTCAGAGCTTTGGGGAAACTAAGACCAGGGGATTGTGTTGCGCTAAGAAGTGGATGAAAATCTGAAGGCTACACACCCTGCAGGAAAATCTGAATGGGTCCGCTGAGTGGCCAGAAGCAGGGAGTTGAACAAGAGAGTGGACTCGTTCCACGTGGAGGTCCTGGGAAGTTTCTGGGGGACATCCCTACGTGCCACCACGGTTCATGGGAGAGCTGGTTGGGCTGGGGGTAGGTACTGAGAGGGCAGATCTGAAAAAGAGCATGGCATTTTACTGAATCAATTTGAGGACAAGTGATCTCAAATGACCCAATATGGAGACAAAATGTTTGAGATTTTAGATTTAAGGTTACCATGCTTGAGGGGAGGAAGGGGAGAGCGGGAGAAGGAGGGGAGAGGGAGAGGAAGACAGTGCGCACATGTGAGCTTGGTTGATCTTACAGTAGGCTATGACTGTCAGAATTCTGCTCTAAGCAGACTAGATGATCTCAGCCCCCCACAGCACTGAACCAGGCCTGTCCTCAGGGCCCTGCCCCACTCCTTTCACCTCCATCTCTGAGTAGCCACACTGTATCCTGTTTGTTCCCTGACCAACAGGAGCTTGGCATGGGCCCACTCCATATCCTTCCAATGATTTGATACTCACTGTAACCTCCCTCTCTTGTGTGCTCTTAAAATCTCAAACGACTCTTCCTGTCTGAGAGCCTCTTGGCACACATATGAGAAGAAAGAGCCCATCTCATTAGTCGTGGATGTCTATCCTGTCTGTGCCCATGGCTAAAGGTCTAGCATCTTGTGGGAAGAAAGCTCAGGTGGTTTATTGACTGAGTGATTTAACACAGCCCAGCTCCCAACCACAATGGTTTTAGGATGCTCTTTGGAGGCAGATGAGCATTTCTAAGAAATGTTCTGGAAATGCCCTGATACACCTCTCAAGAGCATCATCGCATGAGTCTGAAACACAATGGTTATTAGACTTCTCACCCTGGGACTTCCTTTGCCCCACGGGACCCTGCCACTGCTCTACCCATTCCTCTGAGTCCCACGCCTTGGGCACCAGGAACCTCTGAGTCAGGCTCTGACATCTTCCTCTTTCTGACTGTTTATAGAATTGGAGCTTCACTTAAAGCCTCCTCTTTTCTTGATAAAATAATAACACCTTTGTAATGAAGAGTGTGTTCTTTCCTTGGTAGGTTTGACGCCAGTGAACAAAAGAACTATGTCACCTCCTAAGGACCCTTCTCCTTCTCTTCCTCTTCCTTCATCGTCTTCCCATTCATCTTCCCCACCATCTTCTTCTTCAACCAGTGTTTCTGGGAATGCTCCAGATGGTTCCTCCCCGCCTCAGGTGAGTGTCCCTGAGGGTCCTGCCCAGGTGTCAGGAAGCTAACCTACCTGTACTCTTCCCACCTTCCACACTTATCTCTGGATTCCACGTGCTCATAGGTCAACCTAAGTGCAAAGCCAGCGCCAGAAGATACTCTGTCAAGGGTCTACCCCAGCTGCCTTCATGTATACCTTTCACAAAAGCTCCTGCTGTTCCTTCACAGCCATCCCTGAGGACACAGTCATTCCCTCAGCAAACTTTACAGGGTTTAGACTCCATGCCAGGTCTCCATGAGATACAGAGCTGCTAGGACACCTTTCCCTTGAGAACTTGCAAAGGGCATTGAGGAATTTGCAGCTGTAGGATGGCAGGCACAGAAGTGAGGGTCCCTTTGGTAGGGTCCAAGAACCTTGGAAGCAACATCTCCCTTGAATATAAAATGTCATCATTGGTATGCAGGCTGGACTCTTTCCTTCTGTATGTATTTATCAAGCCTCTGTTACCTGCCAGGCCTGTTCTAGACTCTGGAAAGTAGAATGCACAAGACAGAAAAGATGGGTGCTCTGGTGAAGCCCCTGTGCTATGACCTGCCCTTCAGGCACCAGAGGTCTTGGGAGGGCACAGCCACCCCTAGAGTCCACTCATGTTCCCTCTTTGCCAAGGGCCAAGTTCCTGCATGCTAGAAATAGCTCCTTTCTCAGTGGTGCAATGTGGGAGGTTAAAAAGGGTCATTGAAAGGTCTTAAGGGCCATCCTTGTGCCACCACAGCTTCAGCCCAGAGAGTGACTGTCGCTTCTTACTTTGATGGCCTCCAAGGAAGAAGCCTTGGTTTCTTGGTTGTTGGAGGAACATACCTATGGGTGGATCATGCCTTTTAGTACAGACAATGGCTGAGCAAGAAAATGAAGAGCTTATCTTCCCCTATGTGCCTGGCCACCCACAGAGGCCCAGCCAGTCCTACCATCATGGGCCCGGGAGCTTATCAACAGCAGTGTCCTACCTTTGCCTTCCCCCTGGCTTCCAACCCAGCTAATCTGGGATTCAGAAAAGCCTTTCGTCAGTACTGATTCGGGGGTTCCAGGCAGATCCTGGCAGGACCCAAGGCAGCTACTTAGAACAAAGAGTATCCCTTTAAAATCATCTTAGGCAAAATTATTTTTTAATTTGGGCATCTGAGATGGGAAGAAAAAACAGGGAGGGGGTTGTAGATTGAGATTTGCTTTCATCATATAAATAAATGATGAAAATTTTTAAATAACTGCTATTTTTGCCCATCCCATCTAGATGACAGCTTCTGAGCCCCTCTCGCAAGTCTCGAGAGGTCATCCAAGTCCTCCCACCCCAAACTTTCGGAGGCGAGCCGTAGCCCAAGGAGCACCCAGGGAAATTCCCCTGTATCTGCCTCATCACCCAAAGCCAGAGTGGGCAGAGTACTGCCTGGTGAGCCCTGGTGAAGATGGCCTCTCAGACCCTGCAGAGATGACTTCTGATGAGTGCCAGCCAGCAGAGGCCCCTCTTGGGGACATCGGAAGCAACCACAGAGACCCACACCCCATCTGGGGGAAGGACAGGAGCTGGACAGGGCAAGAGCTATCTCCCTTGGCTGGAGAAGACCGGGAAAAAGGGAGTACTGGAGCCAGGAAGGAAGAAGAGGGAGGGCCAGTGCTGGTAAAGGAGAAGTTGGGCCTGAAGAAGTTAGTCCTCACTCAGGAGCAGAAGACCATGTTGTTGGATTGGAATGACTCCATCCCTGAGAGTGTGCACCTCAAAGCTGGGGAGCGAATTTCCCAGAAAAGTGCTGAGAATGGTAGAGGAGGCCGTGTGCTAAAACCAGTCCGCCCCCTGCTGCTCCCTAGGGCAGCAGGAGAGCCCCTGCCAACCCAGAGAGGGGCCCAGGAGAAGATGGGGACCCCTGCGGAACAAGCTCAAGGGGAGCGAAACGTGCCTCCACCCAAGTCCCCACTGCGGCTCATAGCCAATGCCATCCGAAGGTCTCTAGAGCCCCTCCTTTCCAACTCTGAAGGCGGGAAGAAGGCCTGGGCCAAGCAAGAATCCAAAACTTTGCCCGCACAGGCCTGCACTCGCTCATTCAGCCTTCGGAAAACCAATTCCAATAAAGACGGGGACCAGCATTCCCCTGGGAGAAACCAGTCCTCAGCCTTTAGCCCTCCTGACCCTGCCCTCCGCACCCACAGTTTGCCCAATCGGCCATCCAAGGTCTTTCCTGCACTTAGGTCCCCACCCTGCAGCAAGATTGAAGATGTCCCCACACTCCTCGAGAAAGTGAGTTTGCAAGAGAACTTCCCAGATGCTTCTAAGCCTCCAAAGAAAAGAATCTCACTTTTTTCCTCCCTCAGACTCAAAGACAAATCTTTTGAGAGTTTCCTCCAAGAATCCAGACAAAGAAAGGACATCAGGGACCTCTTTGGCAGCCCCAAGAGGAAGGTGCTGCCTGAAGATAGTGCGCAGGCCCTGGAGAAGCTGCTGCAGCCTTTCAAAAGCACCTCCCTGCGCCAGGCAGCTCCTCCTCCTCCTCCTCCTCCTCCTCCTCCTCCTCCTCCTCCTACAGCGGGAGGTGCAGGTAAGTGGCTCTGTCCTGATAAATGTCTGCCCTTCATGCTGGGCAGTTAGTAATCTTCATTGCATCGACAAGCAGGCATCTTTCACTTCGTTTTGCTTCTCAAATACTAACAAAAGTAGGAAAACTTTAAAGGCAAAAAATTTGAAAAAAATCTGAAAAAATTAGTTTTGAAATTATAGAAAGTTGAAAAGAGACCAATCAACCATAACCCTACGACCACTTTCTCATTTATTTTCTTTCTTTCCATAGGAATATTTTTTACTAAGTTGTACATAAAATTTTGTATCTTTTTTTTTTTTTGAGACAGAGTCTCACTCTATCACCCAGGCTGGAGTGCAGTGGCATGATCCCAGCTCACTGCAACCTCTGTCTCTCGGGTTCAAGTGATACTCATGCCTCAGCCTCCCAAGTAGCTGGGATTACAGATGTGTGTCACCACGCCCAGCTAATTTTTGTATTTTTAGTAGAGATGGGGTTTTACCACATTGGCCAGGCTGGTCTTAAACTCCTGGCCTCAGGTGATCCACCCATCTCAACCTCCCAAAGTGTTGGGATTACAGGCATGAGCCGCCATGCTCAGCCTCTTTTTTTTTTTTTTTTCTTTTTTTTTAGAGAGACAGGTCTTTCTCTGTCCCCCAAGCTGGAAGGCAGTGGCCTGATCATGGCTCATTGTAGCCTCAAACTCCTGGACTGAAGCACCCAGCTAATTTTTTATTTTTTGTGGAGATGGAGTCTCAATATGTTGCCCAGGCTGGTCTCAAACTCCTGACCTCAAGCAGTCCTCTCACCTTGACTTCCCAAGGTGTTGGGATTACAGGTGTGAGCCACTATGCCTAGCCAAAAATTTTGTATCATTTAAAAGTCAACATTATATCATAGATATTATGCCAATTACCATGTAGTATACATAAATGTGATTTAATTGAATATCCTGTCTGGTGGGTATGTTATTTAATGAACTATTGTCTTATTGTTAACTTATATTTGTATATATGTTATATATGCATATATTTATATTTTACATACGGTGTTGAATGAACATCTTTATGCATATAATGTTTTTCCCTTTAAACTCCTAGCCTAAACACTTACGCATATTTGCATACCACCAATGAAAATGTAGGCTTTTTAAATAATTTAAACCTGATTAAAATTTTTAAATTCTAAAATTAATATATCAAATAATCAGAGTAATCCAACAATATGGAAATATCTAATAAAAACTAAAATGTATTATCTCATCCCCTCTCCTCCTTGCCAAAGTTTTAGTCTATTCCCTTAGAGACAGTTTAGCTAAACATTCACATGAGTTCTTTTTTGTCGTTGATACTTGTTTGACTGCTTTGAACAAACTGTGATCCTACCATCCCTATTGTTGATCAACTTTGTTTTTCTTTTTTCCTAAAAAGCTTTTTTATTTTCTTATTTAACTTCTATTTTGAAACATAAGTTTTCAAGTAATATATTATTTCTCTTCAGTAGTACCTTAATCAAACAGCTGTATAGATTAACAAGAGACTTTATTTTCAACCAGGTTCAGGATAAGCATGGAAAGGCTGCAGTATAACTCTTAAACATGCATAATAAATTAATAAACTATTAAACTTTAGTTTAATAAATTAAATAGATTATTTAATAAACTACTAAAATGCATAACACATTAAATTTTGTGATGTGTGACATAAGGGTATATTATGTCACACATCACAAAATTTAATGTGTTATGCATTTTTTGATAATACATTTGCATGGTTCAAAATCAAAGGGTACAAAAGGTGCAAAATAAAAAGTCCTCTTTCCCTTCCTTGTCCCTGAGCAATCCAGGTCCTATCCTGGTGATAGATATTGTCATCAGTTTCTTAGGCATTCCTGCAGACAGAATTTATGCATGTAAGAGCAAATTTATATACTATATTTTTTCTTTTTTTAACACAAATGATAGCATGGCAGCATGCTGTGTGCACTTTTTTTGAACTTTTCATTTTATTTTGGAGCTCATTCCATATTAGTACGTAAAGCACTTTCTTCTTTTGTTTTATAGCTGTACAGTATCCCAGTGTGTAGATGTAACATAATTGATGTAGCCAGCCCCCTATGATGCAAAGTTTAAGTTATTTCAAATCTTTGGCTATTGCAAACAGTGCTACAATAATTAACTGATAGCTTAGGCCATTAAGCATGTGCGTGAATTTATCTTTAGGATAAATTCTTAGAAGTGGAAATGCTGGAGCAAAGGATATGTGAATTGGGAATTTTGATAGATATTGTCAACTTGTCCTTCATCACAGTGTGCTTGTTCACATTCCCAGCAGCAAAGTATGAGAACTCGATTTCTACATTTGCACTAACTGGTGTGTTACTGATCTGATGGTGAAATATAGATTTCGGAGTGGTGTGAATTTCATTTTTTGTTTAATAACGTGATTGAACATCTTTTTATATGTTGAGAAGCCATTTGCATCTCCTTTTCTGTGACCAGTTGATACTGTCCTTTGTCCAGTTTTCTATTGGTTTGTTGGGTTTTTCTTAATAGTATGTAGGGATTCTTTATCAAAAGGGAAATTTAACCCTTTTTTGTAATGATACAAATTACAAGTACTTTTTACCAGTTTCTTGTTTGTGCTTGACTTTATTTACAGTGGCTTTTCTTATGTAAAATTTCTAGCTTTATATACTAGTTTGAAACATTTTTATTGCATGTCTTCTGGGTTTTATATAGTAGTTAGAAAGAGCTTCTTCCAAGTTTGTAGAAGAATTTTCTCACAGTTTCTTCTAGTCTTCTTGATTGTTTTCAATATTTTTACATTTAAGTATTTACATCAAGAAATTATCCTAGTATAAAATGTGAGCTATAGATTCTGCCTTACTTTTTAGATGTTTCCCTGGCTATCCTAAAAAATCAGTGAATAATCTCTCTTTCCCTCTCTTATGTGAGATGACGTATTTATCATATATAAAATTCCTGAACTTGGACTTATTTCCACACCATCTATTATATTCCATTTAGTTGTCTGTTATATATCAATACCACACTGTTTTAAATTTCTAATTTTATGTATTTATATATTTTTTTATTTTAGGTATTTTACTATCTGATAGGAAGAGTATTCCATTATTGATTTTCTTTTTCTAAAATTTCCTGGCTCTTCTTGCTCATTTGATGTTCTATATGAACTTAGTATAAGCTTGTCTATCTACCAAAAAAAAAGTCCTGTGAATACTCTCGTGGGATTGAGTTAAATTTATAAGTAACTTGGCAAGAACTTATAAAATTATGATATGAGTTATCTTTCCATTTGTTCATGTCTTTTTTGTGACCCTCAGGAATATTTTACACTTTACAGCACATAGATCTAGCATAATTATTAATTTTATTAATAGATATATTAGTTTTTGTTGCTATTGTCAACAAGATATTTTCCAGTTTATCATTCTACTGTTGTTTGTATATATGAAAGTTATTGATTTTTGTGTGGTAATTTTGTACCCATCCATTTTATTAATTCCTCTTTGTTATAAAAGTTTTTCAATGGATTCCCCTGAGTTCCCCCCATATATACAATCATAACACCTGCAAATTATAACTTTACTTTTTGCTTTTAAATTGTATACCTCTGATTTATCTTGTCTCCCTGGTTTCTTTTGTTTCTAGAATCTCCAGAACAATGTTAAATAAAAGTAGAGATAATTATTTCCTTAATATATTCCTACTCATAATGAGAATGCTGCTGGTGTTTTTCCCAGTTAAGCATGGTAACTGGCTTCTGGGTTGACTGAGATATATTTTATCATTTGGAGGAAATAGCCATCTAGTTCTATTTCGGTGAGAGTATTTTTAATCACAGATGGATGTTGAATTTCATCAAATGTCTTTTCAGCATCTTTTGAGATGTCTGATTTTTTTCTCCTTAATTTGATTAATATTACGAATTATATCGTAGATTTATGGGTATTGAACCATCCTTGCATTGCTGAGATAAATACCACTTGGTCATGATGTGTTATTACTTTGTCTTATTACTTTACATGATGTCTTATTACTTTTTGATTATGTTTGATAATTTATTTAACATTTTTGCATTTAATTCATAGGTAATATTGGCCTACAGTTCATTGATATCACTTTTATATGATTTCTGTATGTGCTAATTACAATAACTTAGGGTAAATATATTTTCCTGGCTTGCTTAGCATGGAGAGCTACATTCATTTATATTCATCAGAAAATAGTATGACTTCCTTGCCTTGGAACAGAATGGGAATGTACAGAATGGAATTAGGTTAGAGTTAGCACTGGAAGTAGTGCCTGCACCTATTTCTTAGAAGAGTTTTGTGTTTCTTTCAAGTGTTCTTAGGTCAGTATCCTAAGAATGTAAAGATTTTACCTAGCCTATCAGATTAGACCCATCAGTCTTTTTTTTTTAGTTTCCTTGCTCAGTCCACCAAACACACACTCACATATATGCACTGACACTGTTGCCTCCGCATTTAACTTGGGGGTGCACACTTCCATGCAATGGAGAGAGAAAACAGCATCATGCTCATTCAAATTGAAGTACCTAATATTTATGATCATTTGAATAAGAGCCAGGCTGAAATTATTTAATTTGTTTTTATTTTTATAAGACAACTTTCCAATTAAATTAATGGTGTACATAAACTTATCAGCATATTTGAATGACTTGGAGGCATAAACTAATTTCAGGTACTTGTCAGTGGTCATCTTATAGAAACAATTTTAATGCTAGTTATCATTCTTGTGTATAATTAAAGAACATGCCCTGAGAACCTTTAATTTTTTGCATAAACGTTTTTATTGCAGTATTACATACATACAGTAACATCCGCAAATGTTAAGCCTACAGCTGATGAATTTTTGCAAAATGCACATTTGTGTAATCGCCCCTGAGATCAAGCTATAGAATGTTATCAGCACCCAGAAGACTCCCTCATGCTTTCTCCCCATTATATGCCCTGCCCAACAAAGGTACTTCTCATCTGCCTCTTATCATCTTAGATTACTCTTGCAGTTTTTATTTTATTTGGTTTTACTTTATAAAAATTGAATCATTCATTATTGTGGTAGGCAGAATTCTAAAAGGACCCCATGCTTCCTGCTCCCTAGCGTGCTTGCTGTGTAGAATCTAGTCCTCTAGACTGGGCATGGTGGCTCACAAATGTAATCCCAGCACTTTGGGAAGCAGAGGCGGGTGGATTACCTGAGGTCAGGAATTCAAAACCAGCCTGGCCAACATGGCAAAACCACGTCTCTACTAAAAATACAAAAATTATCTGGGCATGGTGGCAGGTGCTGTAATCCCAGCTACTTGGGTGGTTGAGGCAGGAGAATTGATTGAACCCAGGAGGCACAGTTTGCAGTGAGCTGAGATCACATCATTGCCCTCCAGCCTGGGCGACAAGAGCAAAACTCCATCTCAAAAAAAAAGAATCTAGTCCTCTGGAATACGGTGGGAACATAAATATGATGGATTTCATTTCATCCCATGATTAAGTTAGGGGATTGTGCAAATATAGTTAAGCCCCAAAACAATTCACTTTGAGTTAATCAAAAGAGAGATTGTCCTGGGTGGGCCTAACTCAATCAGATGAGCCCTTAACAAGGACTTCCTGAAGTCAGAGACTGGATTCATAGCTTGAGAGAGACATGGTCCTCCTGGGCTTGAAGAAGTAGTAAATTTGCTGTGGTGTGGGAGGGCCCATGAACAAGAGGCCTCTAGGAGCTGAGATTGACCTCCAGCTGACAAGCAGCAAGAAAACAGACCCTATGCCCTCTAACCACTAGGAAGTGAATTCTGCCAACAAACTGAATGTGCTTGGAAGAGAACCCTGAGCTATAGATGAGACCTGCAGCCCAGCTGACACTTTAATTGCAGCCTTATAAGACCCTGAGCAAAGGGCCCCATTGAGCCATGCCTGGACTTCCAACCTACAGAACTGTAAGATAATAAAAGGGTGTTGTTGTAAACCTCCAAACTTGTGGGAATTGGTTCCACAACAATAGAAAAACCCATACAAGTATATACTCTTTTGTGCCTGGCTTCTTTCATTAAACATTCTGTATTAGTCCGTTTTCACACTGCTGATAAAGACATACTCGAGACTGGGAAGAAAATGAGGTTTAATTGGACTTAACAGTTCCACATGGCTGGGGAGGCCTCAGAATCATGGCGGGAGGCAAAAGGCACTTCTTACATGGCAGTGGCAAGAGAAAATGAGGAAGATGTGAAAGAGTAAACCCCTAATAAAACCATCAGATCTCATGAGACTTTTTCACTATCACGAGACTAGCACAGGAAAGACCAGCCCCCATGATTCAATTACCCATCCCTGGGTCCTTCCCACAACACATGGGAATTCTGGGAGATACAATTCAAGTTGAGATTTGGGTGGGTACACAGCCAAACCATATCACATTCTTTGGAGGGGATTTATCCATGTTATGTGCAGAAGTGGTTTGTTCTTTTCCATTGCTCCATTTTATTCCATTGTATGACTATATCATAATTTATTCGTGCCTTCTGTTTTTGGGCATTGAGGTTGTTTTCAGTTGTTCTGATTGTGAATAGTGCTGTTAGGAGCACTCTTATACGTACGTATTTTTGGTGTACATATGTGCTTGTGTCTGTTGAGTATTGCTAAAGATAAATAAAGCTGGACACTAGTTAAAACAGTAAGGGCAGATTTTAATCAGTAACATGCTATTGCAATAAGATAGAGGTTCCAGTGTAAACTGAGCTCAACTTCAATTTCTACAGAAGTGACTGAGTGTTTTACAGGGAGAAGGAGGGCATAGGGAGGTGGTCAGGCTGGGGCTCAGTAGAGTCAGGGAAGTGAAAAATCACAAAGGGCTGGTCAGTGTCCATGCAGGTTAGTCCAGCTGCATCTGTTAGCTGGCAGTTAACAAAGTCAGAATTCTGTCTTTCCACAGAGACTGGGAGACAGTGGCCCTATCCTTCCGATGATTCCATTTCAAAGGAATGGCTTATCAGGTCCTTGAGAAAGACACTCCTGAGTTGTAGGAGATACACATATGTCTCAAACGGACAGAGAAAGGATTCATGTTGTAAGCTCTTTTTAATAAATGTTCTGAGAACAAGTGACAGTGGTGCCTGTCATCCCGTGTCGGCTAAAACAAGCAGTCCATTATTCTGGCAACCTTGAGTTTTCTTAGGCAGGAACTTTAAGGGAGGCTATGGCCATCTTAGTGATTGGGTCCTGAGCTTTCAGAGACTATGTTAGTGTTTGTTTAAGCCTTTTAATGTGGAGAGAAAAGGGATGGACAAAATCACTTATGTCGCGAGTCTGTTCTTTTCATAGGCCAAGGTGAGGCCTAGTTAAGAAGAGGATTCAGAGGAGCCTGGCTCGGGTTTGGTTAAGAAAAGAACATTAGCATATACCTGGGGTGGAATTGCTAGGTCATAGGGTAGGTATGTATGATAGTTTTAGTAGATACTATCAAACAGTTTTGCAAAGTGGTTGTACCAATGTATATACTCTCAGCAGGGAATGAGAGCTCCCCTTGCTCCACATCCTTGCCAACACTTGATAGTCTCAGCTTTGTTTTGTTTTGTTGATGTTGCTATTTTTACAGGTGTACAGTGGTGTCTCATTATGGTTTTAATTTGCATTTGCCTGATAATGATTTTGCATAACTTTTCACATGCTTATTTAGATATTCTTCTGTATGAAGTCTCTGTTGAAGTCTTTTGCCCATACTTTTATTGTGTTGTCTTCTCCTACTCTTTTGCTCCCTTTTTCACTCTCTAATGATGTCTTTGGATAAACAGAAGTACCTTTTTTTTTTAAGAGACAGTGTCTCTAATAAAAGCCTGGGAATGCAGTGGCACAATCATAAAGTACAGAAGCCTCAAACTTTTGACTTCAAGCGATCTTCCCACTTCAGCCTCCCAAGTTAGCAGGGATTACAGGAAGATGCCACTGCACCTGGCCAGAAGTATTTATTTTAATAAAGCCAAATTTATCAATACTTTCTGTATTAGTTCTCACACTGCTATGAAGAAATACCTGAGACTGCATAATTTATAAAGGAAAGCGATTTAATCGAATCACAGTTCCACATTGCCAGGGAGGCCCCAGGAAATTTACAATCGTGGTGGAAAGCACCTCTTCACAGGGCAGCAGGACAGAGTGAGTGCAAGTAGGGGAAATGCCGGACGCTTATAAAACCATCAGGTCTGTGAGACTCACTCACTATCACAAAAACAGCATGAAGGAAACTGCCTCCATGATTCAATTACCTCCACCAGGTCCCACCCTTGATACATGGGGATTATGGGGATTACAGTTCAAGGTGAGATTTGGGTGGGGACATGGAGCCAAACAATATCACTTTCCTTTATTGCTGTTGACGTTTGCATCCTGTTTATGAAATCTTTCCCTACTCCAAGGTCATGTAGATGTTCTCGCTTACCTTCTAGAACTGTGCTGTCCAAATACAGTAGCCACTGTTTCATACTTGAGATGTAGCTAGTGTGAATGAGGAACTGAATTTTTAATTTTTAAAATTTTAATTAATTTAAATTTAAAAACTGAAGCAGTGTAAAATGGTTTTCTATTAAACACAACTTTATTTGATAGGGTTACATTTCACTTTAACCATTAAAAATGTATCATCTGAACAGAGACATACTATATGTGTAAAATATGCATCAGATTCTGAAGACTTAGTATGAATGAAATAATGTAAAACATCTCATTAATAATTCTTGGCTCAGTGCAGTGGCTCATGCCAAATGATGTTGCATAACTTTTCACATGCTTATTTAGATATTCTTCTGTCAGAAGTCTCTGTTGAAGTCTTTTGCCCATACTTTTATTGTATTATTAGCCCTTTTGTCATTGATTTGTAATCTGTATAGATTCTGGATATAAGTCCTTTGTTAGATATAAGAACTTTGAGAGGCTGAGGAAGAGGATTGCTTGAGTCCAGGAGTTCAAGACCAGCCTGGGCAACATAAGGAGACCCTGTCTCTATAGAAACTAAAAAAATTGGCCAGAGATGTTGACACATGCTCATAGTCCCACCTACTCAGCAGGTGTGAGGATCACTTAAGACCAGGAGGTCGAGGTTCAGTGAGCCACGATTGCACCACTGCACTCCAGCCTGGGCAAGAGACCAATACTGGTCACAAACAAATAAACAAATAAATAAAAAGTTGAAATGATATGATTTTTGAAATTGGTGGTAAATAAAATATATTAAAATTAATTTTATTTTTAAAACATTTTTTATGTGGCTATTAGAAAATTTTTAATTACATGCATGGCTTGTATTATATTTCTATTGGACAACACTGTTACAGAAGCCTTATTATTTTTCCTTTCACAGTCATATCTATGATGAAACTGGGATAGATTTTTGGGTATTCTGTGAGGTAAGGTGAAGGTTTACTTTCTTCCATGTTGTTATCCAATCAATTAAGCAGCATTTATTAAAAAGGCCATTCTTCAGCCAGGCACGGTGGCTTACACCTATAATCCCAGCACTTTGGGAGGCTGAGGCGGGCAGATCACCTGAGGTGGGCAGTTTGAGACCAGCCTGACCAACATGGAGAAATCCCATCTCTACTAAAAATACAAAAAAAAATTAGCCGGGCGTGGTGGCGCATGCCTGTAATCCCAGCTACTTGGGAGGCTGAGGCAAGAGAATTGCTTGAACTTGGGAGACTGAGGTTGCAGTGAGCTGAGATCGTGCCATTGCACTCCAGCATGGGCAACAAGAGCGAAACTCTGTCTCAAACACACACACACACACACACACACACACACACACACACACACACACACACACACACAAAACATTCTTCTCCTCCCACTGTATTACAGTGACAGTTTTGTTATAAATTAGGCAGTCTGTTTTGGGTCCTTCTCTTCTGTTTCACTGGCTGGTTTGTCTGACCTTGTTCCTGAATCACACTGTTTTCATTATGTGGTTTTATAATAAATCGTCATAGTCTAGAGTAAATCCTTCACTTTGTTCTTCTTCAACATTGTCTTAGTATTCTTGGCCTTTGCATTGCCATGTGACTTATGGAATGAATTCATCAATTTCTACAACATTTGCTGGGAATTTGAATGGGATTGTATTGAATCTATAGATAAATTTGGGGAGAATTAACGTCTTTGCAATACAGTAGTGTCCCCCTTATCCACAGGGGGTACGTTCCAAGACCCCCAGTGGATACCTGAAACCATGGATAATACTGTATTAGTGCATTCTCACACTGCTATAAATATACTACCCAAGACTGGGTAACTTATAAAGGAAAAAGGTTTAATTGACTCGCAGTTCCACATGGCTGGGAAGGCCTTAGGAAACTTACAATTGTGGCAGAAGGGGAGGCAGGCGCATCTTACATGGTGGCGGGCAAGAGAAAGCATGTGCGAGAAGCAAAGCGGGAAGACCCCCTTATATAACCATCATATCTCGTGAGAATTCACTATCATGAGAACAGCATGGGGGAGACCACCCCCAAAATCCAATCACTTCCCTCTCTCAATATGGGATTACAGGTCCTTCCTCTGACACTTGGAGATTAGAATTGGAGATGAGATTTGGGTGGGAACACATAGCCGAACCATATCATTGTATTTACTACTACATTTTTTTACTGTACATACATACCTATGATAAAATTTAACTTATAAATTACCACAGTAAGAAATTAACAACTAATGATAGAATCATTATAACAATATACTGTAATAAAAGTTGTGTGCCTGTGACCTAGCTCTCACAAAATATCTTACTGTAGTGTACTCACCTATTTTTTTACCACAGTCAACTGTGGATAACTGAAACTGAGGCAAGTGAAACTGTGAACATGGGGTACTACTGTAGCGAGTCTTCAAATCCATGGACGTGATACATCCCTGAATTTATTGAGGTCTTCAATTTTTCTTAATGTTTTCTAGTTGTAGAGACCTTGTACAATTTTCATTAGATATTTTCCCAGGCATGTGGGGTTTTTTAAATGCGGATTCAAATGATATGGTTTTTAATTGA
The DNA here is from genome assembly GCF_000001405.40 of Homo sapiens. Taxonomy (NCBI): domain Eukaryota; kingdom Metazoa; phylum Chordata; class Mammalia; order Primates; family Hominidae; genus Homo; species Homo sapiens. Next base: position 12,305,905 of record NC_000011.10, read on the forward strand.
TTAAAGACGTTTGATAGCTTTAGAATATTGAGTCTTCCATCTAAGAACACCTTATAGCCCTCTATTTAGTCAGATTTTTAAAAATTATTTACATTTTACAGTATTGTTGATAAAGGTATTTTGCATTTCTGAAGGTTTATTTCTAGATAGTCATTTTTCTTGCTTATAATACACAAAAGAAAAATACTCGTAAGTATAGAGCTTTTCACACATTGAACACATACATGTAATAGGAGTTAGATGAAGACGTAACATTACCAGAACCCCAAAAGTCCTCTGTTTCTTTCAGTCACTAATCCCACATGGCTACCATCTACCACAAAGATAACCACTGATTTCTAACAGTATTCATTAGGTAAATGTAACCTTTTCTTTCAACATTTTTTTTTTGAGATTTATCCTCATTGTTTCTTGTGGTTGCATTATTCTTCTGGTACACTATATTTCATTGTGGGAATATACAGTGATTTATCTGTCGGTTCTGTGATTGACTATATGGTCATTTAGGTAGAAAAACAATTGAATTCATCTACTCTACCAAACTCTAATTTTTTATTGAGGTATAATTTACATGCAATAAAATTTACCCTTTTAAAATGTGCAGTTCCATGTGTTTTTACAATTGTATATAGTAATGGAACTGCTTCCAAAATCAAAATAGAGATATTTTCACCATCCTAAATGGTCTTCTCATGACTCTTTAGAATTAATCCCTTTTCCATATTCCCAGTCCCTGGAAAACACTGATTTGTTTTCTGTCTCAATAGTGTCGCCTTTCCTAGAATGTCATATAAATGGAATCATACAGCATGTTGTCTTTTGTGTCTGGCTTCTTTCACTTAGCGTAATGCTTTTGAGATTTATGCATGTTGTTGCACATTTCAGTAATCCATTCCTTTTTATTGCTAGTAGAATTTCATTGTATGGATGCACCAACATTTGTTTATCCATTTACCAGTTGATAGACATGAGATGGGGTTTAGTTTTTGAATGCGAATAAAGCTTCTATGAACATTAATGTACAGGTCTCTGTGTAGAGACATGTTTCCATTTGCCTTAGCCAAGTTCCTAGCTATGGGGTTGTTTGGTCATTTGGCAAGTGCATGTTGAGTTTTATTTTTAAACTTGTCAAATTATTTTCCAAAGTGACATGCCATACAACCATGCACAAGAGTTTCGGTTACTGTACATCCATGCTAACACTTGACATTGTCAGACTCAAATTCTAGCCATCCTAATGCCTATGGTAGTATCTCATTGCAATTTTAATTTGCATTTCCCTAGTGACTAATGATGTTGAGCTTCTTTTAATGTATGAATTTTTTATTTGTATATTTTTTGGTAAAGTAGCTTTCAAATCTTTTGCCCATTTTTAAATTGTGTTGTTTCTTAGTTTTGAGTTTTAAGAGTTCTGCATATAAATAAATCCTTTATCAGATATATGTTTGCAACATTCTTTCCTAGTCAGTGGATTGTTGTTTCATTTTCATTACAGTATCTTTCAAAGAGCAGAACTTTTTAATACGATGAAGTCAAATTTATTGATTTTTTCTTTTATAATTTGAGTTATAGTTAAGATATCTTTGCTAAACTCGAAGTCACTAAGAATTCCTCATATGTTTTCTCCCAAAAGTTTTATAGTTTCTAGATTTTCGGCTTCAGCCTTTAATCTGATTCTAGATAATTTTTTTACATTGCAATGAATGCAAGATTCTAGTTAATTTTTTATAGTGAATGTAAGTCATGGGTTTTGTTGTTGTTGTTGTTTGCCCAGAGGTATCTAATTGCTTCGGTACCACTTGTTTTAAAGACTGTTCTTTCCCCATTGAGTTACTTTGACACCTTTGTATATAATCAATTGACCATATATGTGTAGGTCTATCTCTGTACTCTCTAATCTGCTCCATTGATCTATACAATCATCTTTACACTAAAAGCACACTTTCTTGATTATTGCAGCTTTAGAGTAAGCCTTTCTTTTTCTTGTCTTGTCTTTGAAACAGAGCCTCACTCTGTTGCCCAAGCTGGAGTGCAGTGGCTTAATCATAGCTCACTACAGCCTCCAACTCCTGGGCTCAAGTGATCCTTCTGCCTCAGCCTTCTGAGTAGCTGGGACTGCAGGCACACACCAGCATGCCTGGCTAATTAAAAAACAATTTTTTTTTAATAGAGACAAGGTCTCACTATGTTGTCCAGGCTAGTCTTGAACTCTTGAGCTCAAGTGATCCTCCTGCCTTGGCTTCCCAAAGTGCTGGGATTATAGGTGTGAGCCACCAAGCCCAGCTAGAATAAGTCTTGAAAACAGGTAGGGAAAGTCTTACAACTTTGTTTTTCTTAAAAATTAATATGGCTGTTCTAGGTCTTTTGTGTTTTCATATGAATTTTAGAATTAGCTTATCAGTTTCTACCAAAGAAGCCTACTGGAATTTTGCTTGTTATCTATAGATCAGTTTGGGATAAACTGACACCTGTTTGGTCTTTCAATCCATGAAAATGGTGTATCTCTCAATTTATTTAAGTTTCTTTCACTTTAATTTAGAATGGTTTTTTTAGTTTTCAGTGTGTGGATTTTTCACACATATTAAATTTATCTTTTAACTATTTCATGTTTTTGTTGCCATTGTAAATAAAATTGCTTCCTTAATTTTGCTTTTAAATTGTTCCTCATTAATATGTAGAAGCAAATTAACTTTATATTGACCTTACTAAACTCACTTATTATTGTAATAGCTTTTAAATAGAATTTTAGCAAGACAATCATGTTGTCTGCCAATAAAGACAGACTGACATCTTCCTTTCCAGTTTGTATACCTTTTTTTCCATTCTCTTGCCTTATTGCACTGCCTAGGACCTCCTATACAGAGCTGAATAGAAGTGGTGATAGTGTACACCATTGTCTCTTTCCCAATATGAGAGAGATTGTATTTCACCATTGAGTATAATGTTTGCTGCAGATTTCTTTTGTCAGTCCTTTATTAGATCAACAAAATTTCCTTCCATTCCTAGCTTGCTATGAGTTTTAATCACGAGTAATGATAAATGTAAGCAAATGCTTTTTCTGCATCTGTTGGATAATCATATGCTTTTGTTACTTTAGTCAACATGTGCTAAATGACATAATTTTATATGTAACTTTTTTGTATTTTTTACTTGATAAATCATAGTTTTATTTGTGTTTTGGATACATGTGATATTTTGATGCATATATGTAATGTGTCATGATCAATCAGTAATTGAAACATCAATTTACTTCAAACATTCATCTCTTCTTTGTCTTAGGAAACTTACAATTCTTCTCTTCTAGCTATTTTGAAATTTACTATAAATCATTGTTACCTATAATTTTCCTATTGTACTATCAAACATTATAACTTATTTCTTCTACTAATTGTATTTTGTACCCATTACCCAGCTTCCCTTTAGCCTTCCCTCCCCACTTCTGCTTCCGTGGTAACCACCATTCTACTCTATCTCCATGAGATCCACTTTTTCATTTTTAGCTCCTGTGTAAGTGATAATATGTGATATTTGTCTTTCTGTGCCTGGTTTATTTCACTTAACATAATGACCTTCAGTTTCATCCATGTTGAGGCAAATGACAAGATTTTATTTTTTATGGCTGAATAATATTCCATTGTGTATATATATACCACATTTTCTTTATTCATTCATCTGTTTATGGACACTTAGGCTGATGCTGTATCTTGGCTATTCTGCTGCAATAAATGTGGGAATGTAGGTGTCTCTTCAATATACTGTTTTCCTTTCTTTGCGTTATATACTCAGCAGTAGGCCTGCTAGATCATATGGTAATTCTGTTTTTAGTTTTTTGAGAAACCGCCATACTGTTTGTCATAATGGTTTTACTACTTTATATTCCCACCAACAGTGTATAAGTAAATGTTCCCCTTTCTCCACATCCTTGCCAGCATTTTTGATTTTTTGGTCTTTTTGATAATAGCCATTCTAACTGGGGTGAGATGATATCTCATTGTGGTTCGGATTTGCATTTCCCTGATGATTAGTGATGCTGAGTATTTTTTCATACACTTGTTGGCCACTTGTATGTCTTCTTTTAATAAATATCTATTCAGGCCTTTTGCATTTTTTATTTGAATTATTTGGTTTTTTGTACTGAGTTATTTGAGTTTCTTATATATTCTGGTTATTAATCCCTTTTCAGATGGATACTCTGCAAACATTCTCTCTCATTCTTTAGGTTGTGTCGTCATTTTGTTAATTGTTTCCTTTGCTGTACATAGGCTCTTTTGCTTGAATAATCTCAATAGCCTGTTTTTGCTTTTGTTAGCTGTGCTTTTGAGGTCCTTCCCAGAAAAATCTTTGCCCAGACCAATGTCCTATAGCGCTTCTCCAGTGTTTTTGTCTAGTAGCTTCATAGTTTCAGGCCTTAAATTCAAGTCTTTAATTCACTTTGAGTTTATTTTTGTGTATGGTGAACGATGGAATCTAGTTTCATTCTTCTGCACATGAATATTGAGTTTTCCCAGCACTATTTATTTAAGAAACTATCCATTCCCCAATGTATGTTCTTGGCACCTTTGTTAAAATGAGTTGACTGTAAGTGTGTGGACTTATTTCTGGGTTCTCTATTCTGTTCCATTGGTCTATGTATCTGTTTTTATGCCAGTATCATGCTTTTGGTTACTATAGCTTTGTAATATAATTTGAAATCAAGGAATATGATGCCTCCAGGTTTGTTCTTTTTGCTCAGGAATACTTTAGCTATTTGGGGTCTTTCGTGGTTCTGTACAAATTTTAGGATTTTTTTTTTCTATTTCTGTGAAGAATGTCATTGGTATTTTGATAGGGGTTGCATTGAATCTGTAGATGGCTTTGGGTAGTATAGACATTTTAACGATATTCTTCCATTTCATGAGGATGAGACTTCTTTCCATGTTTTGGGTGTCTTCTTCAATTTCTTTCATCATTGTTTTATAGTTTTTCTTGTAGAGATCTTTCACTTCTTTGGTTAAATTTATTCCTAGGGTTTTTTTTATTTGTTTGTAGCTATTATAAATGGGATTGCTTTCTTGATTTCTTTTTCAGAAAAGAATCTTGATTGATTGCTCTTAGTGTATAGAAATGCTACCAATTTTTATATATTGATTTTGTATCCTGCAAATTTACTAAGTTTATCAGTTCTGAAAGGGTTTTTGTGTGGAGTCTTTCAGTTTTTCTGAATACAAAATCATGTCATCTGCAAATAAGCATTATTTGACTCCTTCTTTTCCAGTTTGGATGCCACTTATTTCTTTTTCTCGCCTAACTGCTCTGGCTAGGACTATTTAGATATTTGAATGTTAAATCATTATTGTGTTCCTGAAATAAACCCAGCTTGGTCATAATGTACTACCTTTTTATGTATCACTGTATTGAATTTACTAATTATTTTTCAGAGTTTCACACCTATGTTTATAAATGATGTTGGCCTAAAATTTTTCTTTCTTTTTTTTTGGTTGGTGTTGTTGGTTTCTTATTTATTTTATTTTATTTTATTTTATTTTGAGACAGAGTCTTGCTCTGTTGCCCAGGCTGGAGTGCAGTGGCACGATCTTGACTCACTGCAACCTCTGCCTCTGGGGTTGAAGAGATTCTCCTGCCTTAGCCTCCAGAGTAGCTGGCACACGCCACCACACCGGCTAATTTTTGTATTTTTCTTAGAGACAGCGTTTCACCGTGTTAGCCAGGCTGGTCTCAAACTTCTGACTGCCTTGGCCTGATCCACCTGCCTCGGCCTCCCAAGGTGCTGGGATTACAGGTGTGAGGCACCATGCCTGGCCAAATTTTTCTTTATATCTTTATCAGGTTTTGGTATTAAGCTTACGCTAGTCTCATAACACAACTTGAGAGTGTCCTTTTTCTGTTCTCTGGAAGAGCTTTTTGTTTTAATATTGGTGACATTTTTATTAAACATTGGGAAACAAATGAAGTCATATAACCTAGAACTGTTTTTGTGGAACGTTTTTTAATTATAAATTTAGTCCCTTTAATAGAGAACTAATCACATTTTCTATTTCTTCTTGTGTTTGTTTTGGCAAATTGTGTTTCCAATGAATTTATTCAACCTATGTTTTTTAATTTATTATAATAGTTTATATAAAAACAAATTTTTAAAATTATTATTATATAATAGTTCATATAATAACTTCCTTTAATAATACTCTATGGGACTTCTCATCCCTAATATTGGTAATTTTTGTTTTCTGCCCATTTTTTGCTTAATCATTCTTAATTTTGTATTTTTAGAGTCAAATTTTCGCTTTGTTGATTTTCAATTTTATTTCTGCTTTATCTTTATTGTCTTTCATAATCTGTTCTTATCTTGATTATTTGCTTCCTCTTACATTCTTTAGGTTCAATTGTGGTTCTTTTTCTAGCTTCTTGAAATGGATCTTAGAACAACATTTCTCAACTTTTTTTTTTTTTTGCATGATGTGCGTTTTATGTAAGGCTCTAAATTTCTCTCTAATTACTACTTTAACTGCATCCCAGTCATTCTGTTATGACACACTTTTATCATCAGTCAGTTTAAATTTATTTATATTTTTTCTTCGATCCACAGCGTGTTTAGAAAAATATTACTTAATTTTGTCAAGTCCAAGAGAAAACTTCCCCCTCACCCTCTGAAAGGTTGCTGAAAATCACCAACAAAAGGCAGTTTAACAGGAGAAAAGGCATACAAATTTATTTGATCATAGTTTTTTGTGACATGGGAGTCTTCAGAATTCAGATCCAAAGATAGAGGGAAACTGTTCATTTTTATGCTTAGGTTCAACAAAATATGGATTGTCATGAAGAAATATAATTGGACAAAAAGAGTAAAATCTTATGCTAATAGACTGGGGAAACCCAGCAAGGCCTGTCTCTTCAGATCTTTCTTGGCCTCTCTGTACAGCATTCCTTTATTTTGGGTATGGGGCAGGATCGTCTCTGGAATAGGAGTCTTAAGATCTAGAGTCGGCCGGGCGCTGTGGCTCACGCCTGTAATCTCAGCACTTTGGGAGGCCGAGATGGGCGGATCACAAGGTCAGGAGATCGAGACCATTCTGACTAACACGGTGAAACCCCGTCTCTACTAAAAAAAATACAAAAATTAGCAGGGCGGCATGGCGGGCGCCTGTAGTCCCGGCTACTGGGGAGGCTGAGGCAGGAGAATGGCGTGAACCGGAGAGGCGGAGCTTGCAGTGAGCCGAGATAGCACCACTGCACTCCAGCCTGGGCGACAGAGCAAGACTACATCTCAAAAAAAAAAAAAAAAAAAAAGATCTAGAGTCAAACAAGACAAGTCAGATTATTTCTTTATGGACAGTTTTTACACAGAAAGGGAGGTGGAAAGTTAGAGTAATATTTTTAGATTTTATGTCTGGCTTTGAGGGAAAGGGGTTCTGGTTGTTATGACCTGCCTTGAGGAAGAGGGAGTCTAGTTTCTATGAATAACCGCGGGGGGAGAATGAGAGGCCAGGAGAGCAGGAGAAGGTCAGAGGAAGCTGCTTCTGAGACCCTACAATTTCTACATGATTGTATTGATTTCTAGCTTAATTCCACTGTTATCCAAAGACATACTGTGTGTGACTTAAGTCCTTTGAGATTTGTTGATACTTGCTTTATAGCTTGACATATCATCAATTTAATAAATGTTTCTTATGTACTTCAAATAATTTATATATGTGTATATGTACATAGATATTAATATACTCTAGTTATTGGATGTGATATTCTATATTTGCTTATCAATTAGGTCAAATTTATTAATAGTGTTTAGTTGTATCTTCTATATCCTTGCTGATTTTTTTTTATTTTGTCTGGTTTTTCTGTCACTTGCTAAGAGAGCTTTGTTTAAAATGTCTAACAATGGTTGAGGGGTTTGACTATTTCTCTTTCTAGTTAAGTAAGTTTTTGCTTTATATAGTTTGAGGCTATGCTGTTAGGTATGTACACATTTCTGATTGTTATAGTATACTTTTGAATTGATGCTTTGATAATCACTAAATGTCCCTGATTTTTGTTGTATTTCTGGCCTTAATGTCTTGGTCTGATTTTTTTTTTTTTTTTTTTTTTGATAGCTATACAAACTTTCTTTTGGTTTGTTTTTCACATGATATCCCGTTTTCCTTCTTTTACTTTAATGTTACTGTATTATTATATTTAAAGTGTCTGTCCTATAAGCAACCTATAGTTTGGGTTTCTGAAAATCCAATTTGATGGTCTCTTTTATTTTGAATATTTAGTCTACTTACAGTTAACATAATTACTGATATATTTGGGTTTAAATCTATCCGTTTACTGTTTGTTTTTCATTTGTCTCATCTGACTTGTTCATTTTTTCTCTTTTCTTGCTTTATTTTTAATTAATCCGGAATTTAAAAATTCAATTTCTTCTTTTACTTATTATTTATGTAATACATAGTATGTAGTGCTTGTCATTATGTATAGTTTGTTCATTATTATTTTGGCTGTTACCCAAGAGACTATAATGTTAATTGATAACTAAAATGAATCTATATTAAATTAATTCTCTTATCTCCTTCTGGATAACCTAAGACTTTAGAAAACTCTATTTTTTTTTTCTTTGAGATGGAGTCTCGCTCTGTCACCCAGGCTGGAGTGCAGTGGCGCGATCTCGGCTCACTGAAAGTTCCGTCTCCTGGGTTCACGCCATTCCCCTGCCTCAGCCTCCCGAGTAGCTGGGACTACAGGCGCCCGCCACCATGCCCAGCTAATTTTTTTTTTTTTTGTATTTTTAGTAGAGACGGGGTTTCACCGTGTTAGCCAGGATGGTCTCGATCTCCTGACCTTGTGATCTGCCTGCCTCGGCCTCCCAAAGTGCTGGGATTACAGATTTGAGTCACCTTGCCCGGCCAGAAAACTTTAAACTCCATTTATCTTCTTTCAACTTTTGTGTGATTGCTGTCATATATTTTAAATCAATACATATTTTAAACCCATAGATATTATAATTATGGTTTGAAACAGTCCTGAATGTGCATGGATTCATGCACATTTTCTGTTTTAGTGGTTCTTCATCTTTTTCTGCATCACAATACTTTCATCTTAGATTGGTTTTCTTCTGCCTGGAGAACTGTCTGTGGCATTCCTTTTAGTGTGAGTCTGCTGAGGATAATTCTGCCAGGTTTTGTTTGAAAACGTTTCACTTTTGCCTTTGTTTTTAAAGGATATTTCTTTAGAATATAGACTGCAAGTTGACAGTAGGCACTGTCTTTCATCATTTAATGATATCATGCCATTGTTCATAGCTTCCATTGTTTCTCTTCAAAGTCAATTGTCAGTCTTATTTTTACTTCTTTGAAATTAATACATATTTGTTAGCTTCTTACAGTATGCTTAAATCATTGATTTTAAACCTTTCTTCTGTTCTAATATAAACAAGGTAAAGCCATACATTTCCCTCTGGGCACTGCTTTAGCTGAATCTTACAAATTCTAATATGTTGTGTTTTCATTCCATTCAAATTGCTTTTAATTTTCTTTGTAGTCTGGGTGACAGAGTGAGACTCTGTCTCAAAAATACATTGTTTTAATTTTCTTTGTGATTTCTTTTTTTGACCTATGGGTTATTTAAAAGTGTATTATTTAATTCTCAAATATTTTGTGGATATTCCAGAGTATCTTTCCGTTATTAATTTCTAATTTCTACTTTAATTCTCCTGTGGTCAGAGAACATGGTTTTCATTATTTCAATCTCCTTAGAACTTTATCAAGATTGTTTTAAAGCCAAGGATATCGTCTAACTTAGGAAATGTTTCCTGTGCGCTTTCAAATAATCTGTTGCTGTTTGGTGAAGTGTTCTATGATGTGAAATAGGTCAAGTTGTTTAATAGCGTGTACAAGTCGCATACTCTTACTTTTGTGTACTTATTCTATCAATTTCCAAGAGAAAAGGGTTAATACCCCTTAGCTATAATTTTTGAATTATCTATTTTTCTTTTCAGTTTGGTCAATTTTTGCTTCATGTATTTTGGAGCTCTGTAATTAATTAATATTTAATTAATCAAGCACGTCTGTATTTTGTTTCTTTAATTTAATCAAGTGTGCACATATTTAAAATTGTTTCATTTTCTTGATAGGTTTACCTTTTATTATGGAATGTCCCTCTTTATCTTTGTTAATATTCCTGGTCCACAAATTACTTTGATACAGCCACATGATCTTTCTTATTGATTAGAGTTATCACACTCTAGTTTTTCTAAATTTTTACTTTTAATTTCTCTTTATATTTAAAATGAATTTATTATAGACAATATATAGCAGGTTCTTGCTTTTTTAAAATCCAGTCTGACAATATCTTCTTTTTAATTGCAATGCTTTGACTGTATATATTTAGTGAAAATGTTGACAGTAATTGTTTCAATACATTAACATGAGATATCTTTTGATTTCTTTGTGTCTTCAATTTCTTTTATTAATGTTTTATGATTTTCAGTGTATAGGTCTTTCACCTCCTTGGTTAAATTTATTCCTAGGTGGTTTTTTTTTTTGAAGTTATTATAAATGAGATTTTTTTCATTCTTTTTCAGATAGTTTGTTGTTCATGTATAGAAATGCTCCTAATTTTCCTATGTTAATTTTGTGTACTGCAACTTTACTGATTTATTATAATAGTTTTTTTTGGTGGAGTTCTTGAGCACATTTATAATAGCTATTTCAAAATTCTCATCTGCTAATTCCCTCATATCTGTCATTTCTGGGTCTGCTTTTATTGACAAATTTTTCTCTTGATTATCAGACTTGTCCTGCTTTTTTACATATCTAGTAATTGTTCACCAGCTGCCAGACTCTGAATGTTACATTGTAGCATGTCTATGTTTTGTTTCTTTAATTAAGGAATTAAATAGGCAGTAAAGAATATTTGGCAGGCAGAAGTAGGGTAACTTGCAGATCACTTGTTTTCCTTTGAAGGCTTGCTTTTAAGCTTTTTTCAGGTGAATCTATAATAACCTTTACTCTAGGGCTAATTCATTCCCCGTGATTTTTCTGTGGTCTCTATCAATGCCTTAAATTTTTGTTCTACCCTGGCTAGGTAGAACTTGAACATCTCTCAGTCCTAAAGAAGCTTTCAAGATTGTTTAGGCTACAACTTTCCAGCAGCTATTTGCCCAACCTCATAGAGTTTCTCTTTATGTATCTATAGTTTACTATAAGCAATAGACTCAAGGGGATTTCTATGCTTAGGTGTGAATTTCTTCTTTTCATAGCTCCCTCTTCTCCAATACTCTGCCCCACGTATTCCAGCTGTCTCAGCCTGCCCAAACTTTCATCTATCTTTTCAACTCAATGAATCTGTTATGCTTTATTTAGTTTCTTCTTACCTGTACTGTGATCTGGAAAGACCCTCTAGGCAGAAAGTTACTGTGATTGTAGGACTTTCCTCATTTGCTTCTGTTCTTGCCTTTATCACAGTTCTGCACTGCCTGCTGTCCAGTGCCTGAAAATAGATGCTTCATGTATTTTTTCTTAATTTTCAGTGCTTTGTGTTGGGAGATGAATTCCAGAATCAGTCATTCTAACACAGCCAGAGTGGAACAATGCTGCAAAGTCTTTAAGATTTTACAAATGAAAAGTGTACTAGGCCAGGTGCAGTGGCTCACACCTATAATCCCAGCACTTTGGGAGGCCGAGGCAAGTTGATTACCTGAGATCAGGAGTCGAAACCAGCCTGGCCAACATGGCGAAACTCCATCTCTGTTAAAAATACAAAAATTAGCAGGGCATGTTGGTGGGCACCTGTAATCCCAGCTACTCAGGAGGCTGAGGCAGGAGAATCACTTGAACCCGGGAGGCGGAGGTTGCGGTGAGCCCAGATCATGCCACTACACTCCAGCCTGAGTGACAGAGCAAGACTCCGTCTCAAAAAAAAAAAAAAGTACTAGAATGGTTGGTTCTGTAATGGAGAGAGTAACAAGAAAAAGACTCAGTGGCAACTATATAACTTCTTTCTTGCCGGAAGTGTAAGAAATGCCTTATCTTTGGAAGCATTTTCTCCTCAATTTCAAAAGAAATTTCAATGGAAATATTTATTTTTTGAAAGTTAAAAGAAGTTTCAACTTAAGTTTATGTTTCTTCCATAAACAAAGGCTAAATAGGCAGTTTTCTAATGTTGCAGTATTGTTATTTTAGATCAGTGATGATGATCACGTGGTTCCTGCTGCTCTTGCTGCTACCAACAATAAGAACATTTACTCAGGCACCGCTAATATACCGGCATTGCGCTAGGCACTTTACACTGATTATCTCCACCCTTCCACAACAATTCTGCAAGTTAGAAATCATGATCCTGAGAAACTCAAGGAGGTAAAATTATTTCCTCAAGGTCATATGCTAAGAAGTGAACACTCAGTGACTGAATTACTCAGTGGTCATTTAGTGGCTAGAAGTGGGAAACAATCTCAGCTCATCAGTAACAATGCTTCCTCCCATTATTATACTGCTCTCTGATTCTATCTTTACCTGAGCTTTCCATCTGGCAAATTAAACCAGAAAACAGGGATGTTTTGCATTATTTTGCTTTGAATAACAACATATGTAAATGTGCTCCTGGAGGCTAAAGCACCCTTATTTTGTCAAACTTGGCCTCTCTCACTAGGGTGAATAGTTGAAAATTTTAAGGAGGAAAAGGCAGGCTGGAGAGAATGTTAGTTGACGTGGAGGTGCTTCTCCTTTCCCCCGACCCAACACCTATTTCTATTCAGACATAAGCAGCCACAGCAAAATAAAGATTAGTAAATTTCGTATCGTGGAGTCCTAGCTGGTCCTGATATTCAGTAATCAGAGTGGGTTAATCCAGCTATTACTCATTAACTCTGCATCATGTTGATGTGTAGGGGCAGATGTTCTTGCTGAGAAGAATAAAAGCCTCCTGTGGCACCTGGAAGACCTTATCACACATGGTCCCCGGCCAGATCACAGAGCGATTCTAGTTAACGTGGGCACTTTGCTGCCTCTAACCATCTACCTCTTGTTCAGAGACTGGCATATCTCCTCGAATTCGGCTCTCCCTTGGGCCCTGTGTTGTTGAGCCATCCCTATCTTAAACTGCCTTTCCTGGCATTTGAATCACCACTTCGATGATGTGATAACATCTGCAAGTTGGGAAAATAAAAATGGCATTTGTTTAGCCATAATTAATGAAATATTTATGTTGCATGAGACTATGTGATAAAACCTTAGGCTTAGAGTCCTTTTGCTTCTGATTACATTTGGGATTTTTTTTTTCTATGACCAGACATTCTGACGCCAGCTCTTTTACACTGAGCAGATGTCATGTAGTAAAAATGGGTGCCAGATGCTGTGAGCCGCAGAAGGGCGATTTGTTTAAGAGCTGGCTCCAACTTTTTTGCATTCAATTACTCTGCAGAACGAACCTTACACAAGCATTTAGGTAACTCAACTAACTTCAGACATGCATTTTAATAATAGATTTTATCTCTGAATGCATTCTGAGCAACACACCATATAAATGGTGTTTAAGGAATTAATTGATTTCTGCATAATACCTTGGTTTTTTCTTTTTTTTTTTTAATGTGAAAAGAGAGCTGCAAAGCTCTTGGCAGGGACCCAGAAATGTAATTAACATGGAGGGCCAAATTTTCAGTTGCCCTTAGGTACTGTTGCCTCATGCTCACGGCAGGTGCAGTGAGGGGAGGGCAGGGAGGAAGGGAATGAGAGTAAGTGGGGGAGGAGGAAGCAGCAGCTTTGGTTCATAAAGCAGGAAATGAAGCTAGCAGTTCATTGAGTTTTTCTGTTCCCATTTCAGACTCCAAGAACTTTCCCCTCAGAGCACAGGTAACAGAGGCTTCCTCTTCTGCCTCTTCAACCTCCTCCTCCTCTGCAGATGAAGAATTTGATCCCCAGCTTTCCTTGCAGTTAAAGGTAACAACACTTGACCAGCCAAAGAGGGCCTTGGCTGGTGGGGGCTGCTTACCATCCAGATTTCAGAACCAATGTGGGCTCCAGCTGCAGTGGTTTCCTTAGGAGGATCATGTTTCATTGCATCTGACAGAGTGCTCTCTTTACCTTGAACACCCAAAGAATTATCTTCTTTAAAAAAAACTTGTAGAAGTTTGCCTTTCTCAGACGCAAATTTGGGAGAAAAAAAAAAGACATATTTACTTGAAACCATTTGGTGATGGCAGCTCTTAAAGTGGGTTTAATATGTGGTCCAACAAGCAAACCATCGAAAACATTACAACAAGCAGATGCATATTTCCCTGGGGGAAGCACAGCTTCATTTAAGAAGCACTAGAGGCAGATTGCATGGAAAATGTTATGTTTATTCTAATCAGAAATATGAAATGAACCATGCAGTTGCATCTAGACATGGATACTCCAAAGATCTCTGCTGTGGAAGGGACAAGCCCCGTGCCAGCTGGGGAGATGGCAGACTTCTTTTCTCAATGAACATTAATGTTTTTGGAGAACTCTTTAAACAACTCTCATATCCATAGATTAAAAAAACACAAACATTTTATATGTTTATAAATGTGTCTGTATGTCACATACACAGAGACAGACATCCCATAACCAAAGCCCATCATTGTTTTCTTTATCCACTGAAGCTGGAGCGTTTTCACTGAGACAGTAGAGTACTTGGTGGGGTGGGGGTGGCAGGGGTTATTGAATGGTTGGACCTAAAATGCTTCCCGGGTAGAAAGAGAAGCAGTTCACTGCTCTGGTAGTGTTTATTTTTTGGAGTAGTGAGGATCTGGGGAGGGAGGAGGAGAACCAAATTTATTTACTTACACTCAACTTTTCTATATCTGGCATTAGGAGATTTGACATCATCTCAAGTCACTCTGGGGTTCCAACTCCCCATGGCCCAGCTTGGAGCAAGGCAGGAGGGGTCTGGGAGGTGTGGTGTGGGGAGGGGAGGAGAGAGGAAGAAAGAGGGAGGGAGAAGAGAGAGAGACAGAGAGAGTTGAGGGAGAAAGATGTATGAATTTCTCATTTCTAACAATGGTGTCCCTGATTAATTCAGTATTCAACACAAATGAATTCCGTGTGTCTTGTGTTGATTTCTGTGGTTTTCTTACTGCCCCTCTCATCCCCTTGAATGACCCTGAGTTAATTCTATATTCAAATTAGGCAGAGATCCCAGCATCAGCCATCTTGACACTCATGGAGAATAAAAGAATAGAATGGCCCAAACATATTGAAATAGCAAGACGGTGGTATTTAGGACCAGTCTCACAAATAGCTCCTTGTTCTCCTGCTGGCCCAGAACAGAGCCCGCCATCACGTCAGCTTGCCAGGTGGTAAAGCATGCCCGCTTCACCTGGCTTCTGACCTGGCCCACTCTTACACTAAGGGAAGCTGGCAAGAAGATTTCTTTTTTCCAAGTTCTCGAGGGCTCACACTGAAGGAAAGAGAGGAGGTTTTCGTCCTCTGGTTTCTTTGTCTCTTCTATCCCATGCAGGTGTGTCCCCAGCCAGGTGGCACGGAGACCATGACAGCTCAAATGAACCTTTGCACAGGAAACGAGGCAGGATGTGTCCTCTTGGCCTCTTCCCTTTGCTTCACCCTTGCTCCCCACTGCCTCTCCTCCCACACCACACCCAGATCTAAGAGACTAAGGCAGGAAGAGACGCAGCAGCTTGTCTTTGATTCTGCCAAGCTTCTGCATCTTTTCTTCCCTAGCCCTTAGCGTCTTTCCCTCTCTGCATCATCACCATCAGTGAGGATATAAGAACTGTGCCTTGTATATGTAAGGCTGTGTGTTTATTAATGAAGCATTCTTCTTTTCTGTATCAGCAACTTTTTAATAAAAGGCAATACATGACTTTCTTTCCTCCTCTAGGTTCTGTTTTGCTGACTCTTGAGAAAGAGTCAGAGTTTGATAGCTTTGCTGCTGGGAAGCGCTAAGACCACATGATGCTGTTGAGGCAATTCCCCCCACCTTTCGCCTGGGAATTGCATTCAGTGGTCTTCATTTAGGGGGAACATTGGCATTTCTTTTCCATAGTCCCACTATGGAAAAGTAGAGTAGGTCCTTGTTGTGTCTAAACGGTATTTGGCACAAGGAAAGGCAGTATAGACCAAATGAAATGTGGATACTAGATTCAGGCTACCTGTGCCTAACTCCTGGCTCTGCCTATTAATAATTGCATCATCTTGTATAAGTTAATTTCCTCTCTGAGTTTTTATTTCCTTACCTATAATGTAAGTGCAATTTGAGGAATAAATGGGATGATACATGTGAAATAATTAGTACAGTATCTGGCATATAGCATTTGGTAAATGAGAGGATTTATTACGTAGGTTAGTATAATGGAAGCTCAAGGGGCAGTTGTTAATAAATGAACTGACTCCATATAGGCTAAGTTAGACAATCTCTGGATGACAGTTACCATTGATCCCCACCACCTCTTCCCTAGAGCCTTTCCAGAAAGATCCTAGCTGCCCCATGAAGAATCCCCCGTCCAAAAGGTCTGGAATCCCCATTCAGAGTGATTGACAGTCAATCTGGTAGTCATCTCATGGAAACAGAGATGACATGATATGGAATAAGTTGAGTTCTGAGAGTAAAATTTTCTTCCAAGGATGAAGATCTTTAGGATTTTAGGTCCTAAGGAGAATTCCAGAAAAATAGCCTGTAGGCACCAAGCTAGCTACGACAATTTTTAAATTTCATATTTATTTATTCCAGCATTAAAAAGAAATGTCTAGCATGCTCTAATCCTCATCCTAGTATACAGAAAGTTGATGTGTATGCTCAGAGAAGGCAAACGAGTAAAAATAGCCCAATTTGAACATTTATTTTGTAGATACAGAATGTCTGTGTGTGTATGTATAATATATACTCCTACACACAAAAATCATAATAGATTTTAGTAAAATGTGATAATCATGCTAATTTAAAATATAATAATATACGAATGCTATAAAAATCATGCTATTAGTATTTACTGAGTGTTCTTCCCATGTCTTTTTCAGGTATTCTACAAAAGGCTTAGCCTTATTATTTCATTGAGTCCTTAGTGTATCCCTACAAAGTAGGCAGTAAATTCTTCTCATTACTCTAAAGAGAGCACTGAAGTTCAGAATGTTGTGTGACATTCTGAAGCTCACACAACTCAGCTGGGATTGGATGCCAGCTTTGCCTGTCTTGTGGGCCCAGTGCTCAACCATTAGTCTCTGCTATTTCTCCCATTTTTAAGTGCCTCCTGAACTTTCCAGTATGTGGAATTAACCACACCATCACTTCTTTTTGCTCTTGTGTCTAAAACCTGGAAGTGATACTATCAAGATCTAGACTTCTACTTTATATGC
Organism: Homo sapiens; assembly: GCF_000001405.40. Classification (NCBI taxonomy): domain Eukaryota; kingdom Metazoa; phylum Chordata; class Mammalia; order Primates; family Hominidae; genus Homo; species Homo sapiens. Next base: position 12,323,208 of record NC_000011.10, read on the forward strand.
ATCAATTTAAAATTTTTTTAACAAGCACAGGTACACACACACCCAGTGACAGTAATGCTATAATTGTATAAACAAAGTGAGGTTGGGAAGAGAAGCAATCTCATGCTTCCCTCAAGCCAAAAAACACTTTCATTGGAATGATACATTTCTCCATTTCCAGGTTTAATTAGCCACTGTAGACTCAACCTAAGCACTATTTAAAGTTGTTAACTGGTTTTCATGTAGTGAGAGAGAGAGAGTATGTGTGTGTATGTCTGTCTACTTGCCTACCCGTCTCTCTCTCTCCCAAGCCCCTCATCCCTGGGCCATATCGTAGCACCCCTGTAAAGTATAATTCTTATACCATTCCTTCTCTCAGCTGAACCCAGACAGTATTCTATTATAGCAATTCCCAGCTACAGACCTACACATACACTCCCTCCCAATACACACATAGCAGCTTCCCAATCCAGAACCTACTAGCGACATGTGGCTACTTAAGTTTACATTTAAATTCATTAAAATTGAATAAAATTTAAAATTCAATTTCTAATCCACACTCACTTCAAGTGTCCACTAGCCACATGGGGCTTGTGGCTTCTGTATTTCAGACAGCCACAGCTATAGGTTATTTCTATCATTGCAGAGAGTTCTACCAGATGTCGTTATTTTAGAAGGTAAGCAGTGGCTGGGAATCATTAGTTGGAGAGGGTAGAAGCCTATAACGATATTTTGTAAATTTCAACCCCATTTTTCTCTGACATAATTTTTTTCTCCATTGGTTTTCATAGGAGAAGAAGACACTTAGAAGAAGAAAGAAGCTAGAAAAAGCAATGAAGCAGTTGGTTAAGCAAGAAGAATTGAAAAGACTCTATAAGGCTCAGGTCAGTAAATAAACTGGACATGAGTGAGTGGGCCTGGGTCCAGGATCCTGGGACTCTGGATGGGAAAGAGTTTTGGGGGTCTGCATTGTATTAGGGAAAGCAGGCTGGAGAAAGGTCAGTCTTGTTCTCTGAGGAACCAGATTTGTGGCCGTTTTAAAGAGGCTCTGGCTTAGTCTCAGTAGGACTCTGGGTCCTGGAGAGCCCCCGTGTTAATCTGGCCTATTCTCAGCCACCCCTCCATCTGCAGACATGTGAGGCTGGAACAAGAGCCAACGCATGGCCTTGGGAGTCATCCCTGACTGCCACATAGCAGTGAACTTAGTTTTGTCTTCTGTGAGGACACAAATCTTCCACCAACTCCCTGACAGTGTCTTTACTAAACTGACAGCTGTTAAGGGCTGTCTCTATTTCAAGATTAGTTGAAATCATAAGTATCTAGCATTCCAATACAGATTTCCTGGCCTGATTGCTTACTTCAAACACTTCCTCCCAAGTTGCTCAGCCACAACTCCATCACAGACAGGCAAAATGAAGCAGAAATTCAAGGCATCCTCCACCTCTCTGAGGAACCCAAGCCTAGTCTTGAACAAGAGTTGGGTTTTAGGATACACGGACTTAGAATGACCACTCATGTTAATCCAGTATACCCTCACATCCCTTTCTCCATTTATTCCCTTTATCTGGCTAATAATCCTATACACTATTTCTGACAGAGTGACGTCATTCAATCCACCCTCCTTTACCCTTCCCCGTGGCTGACTTGGGAGCTACCTCTTTCACCTAGTGAATGGGGAAAAGTCACTTCTGTCTACTTGCAACCTCTAAAACAGGTTTCCTTGAAACACTGCAACTTTTCCTTCCAAGAACAAGACAAGTCTTATGATATTGATTGGCAAACTAGGCAATGCCTCTTCCTTGTATTTTCATCCCAGATGGTTGTGATGAGAGAGGAATTACAATGGCCTTTTGAGTCCTGCTGGCACCCATAGCAGCCCTTTTTAATCTCTGAGACTTTCATCCTTAGTTGTTGTTTTTTGTTTTTTGGTTTTTTATTTTTGAGACAGAGTCTTGCTGTGTCACCCAGGCTGGAGTGCAGTGGTGTGATCTCAGTTCACTGCAACCTCCACCTCCTAGGTTCAAGCGATTCTCTTGCCTCAGCCTCCTGAGTAGCTGGGATTACAGAAGCCCACCACCACGCCCAGCTAATTTTTGTATTTTTAGTAGAGACGGGTTTTCACCATGTTGGCTAGGCTGATCTCGAACTCCTGAGCTCAAGTGATCCTCCCACCACATTTTCCCAAAATGCTGAGATTACTGGTGTGAGCCACCGTGCCCAGCCTCATCCTTAGTGTCTAAAGAATGACACTGTATTCGTCTGCTTGGGCTGCCATAACAAAGTACCACGGACCGGATGGCTTAAACAACAGAAACTTATTTTCCTCATGTTCTGGAGCTGAGAAGTCCAAGATCAAGGTGCTGGCAGGTTTGGCACCTGGTGAGGCCTCTCTTCCGGGCTTATAGACAGCTGCCTTCTTCATGTGTCCTCACATGGTCTTTCTGTGAGTTCACGTGAGCAGAGAAAAATATCTCTGGTGTCTTTTCCTCTTATAAGGACATCAGCTGCATTGGATTAGGGCCCCAGCCCTATGACTTCATTTCACCTGGATTACCTCCTTAAAGGCCCTATCTCCAAATATAGTCACACTGGGGGTTAGGGCTTCAACATATGCATTTGGGGTGGGACACAATTTAGTCTCTAAGAACCAGATAGCTGTTACTGCACAGTGATCAGCAATAAAGCCATTTAGGTGCTTCCTTTCTTTAGCAATTCTACAGCATGCCAGCAAGAGATGGATTTATAAAGATATAATTGTCTTTAAGGGAGAGACAGGAAGAGGGCATGAAATTACAAATAGTTTTAAGTAGACTTTCCATCTATTTCAGATTTTATGTTGGGACTTAAGCACTCATAGCTGGGACAAGAAGAGCCCGGTGGCTGTGCAGGCCCCACCCCTCCCTGCTTGGGTCCCTTTCCAGGATTGGAGGGGCCTCGGCTGCTGTACTTGTGATTCCAGGGGAGATTTAGAAAGACGTGGGGTTAAGGAAGAAGGGGAGTGAGACAGAGTAAAGTAAAACAGAGGAGGAACACAGGCATTCTGTCTGCCCAAACAACTGACTGTTCCTTGAATATGCCTGTTCTGCCAGGTGCAAAGTCTGTTCTGCCAAGGGATGTGCCTTTTGACAGCATGGTATTTGAAAGCAGAGAAAATGGATGGGGATGAACAAAATTTATATAGGAATGGCTTTTCCCTAACTTCTTTCTAATATACACAAGAGATTAATAGTTAGTAAGGAAAATAAATATGTAAATGCAAATAAAGTCATGACCCCAGACCTTAACAGGTGTCTATAATGAACCTAAGGAGAGTATGATGTCATCCCCTAACAAGTTAAACATCTTGTGTCTCACCTTAATAACCTGCTAGTAACAAAGGCACAGTACACTTCCACAATGAAAGAACGCTGGGCATCTGCCCATGGTGCAATGAAAGAACAGGTACAATTTGTAGCTAAGGACAGGAGCAGGACAATCTAAAACAGGAGCACGAAACCCCGGGATCTGGCCCAGTTCTCTTGCTCCAGACTGACTCCTTGGGAGGTATAGGCTGGTTCTTCTTGGAGAAAATAGATTATGCAAGTACTTTGTTTGCCCCTGGACCCCCTACCCTACTCTGAACAGTGGCTGCAGCTCCAATCATTATGCCACGGCCATAGTTAGGAGCCATGATGACTGCTCACCTCACCCAACAGCCTCTGTCTTGGAGGACATCTGTGATTGGCCTTGTCTAAGGGGACTGTTTTAATGTCTACTTAAGGGCCAGTTGAACATACATACAAATTCCTTGCTTTATGTTGCATGCTAAGGAAGGGAAACATCAGGGTATAGTTGTCTGGGAATTCAGAGGTCCTTGCCTAGTTATTCAAGGCAGGACCATCACAAGTGAAAGGGCCTCTTTCTCCTGGAAAGTAAGTGGCAGAATCAGCCCCTCTTGGGACTCTATGTGGAAAGTCCTTGTGTGACATCTGATCCTGGTGTTGCAGGCCATCCAGAGGCAGCTGGAGGAGGTGGAGGAGCGGCAGAGGGCTTCTGAGATCCAGGGTGTGAGGCTGGAGAAGGCGTTGCGAGGAGAAGCAGGTACGGCATCCCAGCAGATCCGGAGCAGTGGGCATGGTCTGAGAATAGTGCTAGCGTAACCATCTGAGGAAAACAGACCTTGTCACCTGCTGGAGATCTGTCAGCATGGACATATGGTGGTAAATCCACAAGTGCCGCACACTTTAAACATCAAACTATTGTTTCTCGGCCTTTTGGCCAAGATCAAATGTAAAAATCAAACTAGTGGCCCACTTTGAAATTCCCAGGAGCATTGGTCAGCCCGCGGGCCTTGTAACTGGGCGTCTGTTCAGCCCCACCTCTCCACTGGCTAACACGAATGTTCTTTGCAATTCAAAGATTAAGATAAATTCAGGAGAAATATATGGGTATTGGAGCAGTGTTGGTAGTAATTCAAAACTCAGAGTGAGAGTCAATGTCCTGGTTTTTCCTTTACTACCTGTACGACCTTGGGCCAGTCACATTATAAACCTTTATACTTTTTCATTTCCTCATCTAAAATGGGGATAATGTGGTTTTCTCCTTTATAGAACTGATATAAGCCACCTCTCCACTGGCTAACATGAATGTTCTTTGCAATTCAAGGATTAAGATAAATTCAGGAGAAATATATGGGTATTGGAGCAGTGTTGGTAGTAATTCAAAACTCAGAGTGAGAGTCAATGTCCTGGTTTTTCCTTTACTACCTGTACGACCTTGGGCCAGTCACATTATAAACCTTTATACTTTTTCATTTTCTCATCTAAAATGGGGATAATGGTGGTTTTCTCCTTTATAGAACTGATATAAGGATTAAAGAAGAAATTATATTTGATGCTTAAGTTAACACATTGCCTGGCCCAAGGTAAAGCAATAAGTGGTAACTTTTCCAGTAATAGCTTCAGCTTCTTGGATTCAAACAGAACTCATCTGGTGAAGACCTACTATGCATTAGACATTAAAACACTGGGTCTGTAACAATGAGTATGATGCAGTTTCTACCTTGAGAAGTTTATAGTCCATTGAGAGGCACACATAGGTAAAGAGGTAATCCACAATACAGTATGACAAATGCTGTCATAGGAACAAGCATTAGGGTACAACGTGAACAGAACCAAGAGGTTCCTAACTGATCTTGGGGCGAGGGAAGCCATCAAGCAAGGCTTCTGGGAAGGGGTGATCTATAAGATGAGAACCAGAGGAGGAACAAGAGTTAACCAGTAAAGAGGAGATTGTTTTGGCAGAGGGAACAGCACCTGCAAAGGTCAAATGTGGAAAGACATGAAATATCTTCACAAATGAGCTAGTGAAGGGTTTTCAGGTAAGGAGTGGCTTAAAGAAACCTACATTTTCGGAAATCTTCCAGTAGGGGTGTGGCTCATGAATTGGGGGGCCCTAAGAGTTTGTTGGGGGTATTGTCTCTTTAGTTTTATAATGTGATGTCTTCAGCCTTCAGCATTTGAGATATAAAAGGTGAAAAACTGAGCACTGAAATAATGTGCAATAATATAAACAACAGGTTACTTGTTACTTAACAAGTGAAACATTAGGATTTCAATTCTTTAAGAGTCCAGTTACATGAGAGCGATGAAACTAGCAGGTGCAGACCCAGATTTCCTGAGGCCTGGAGTTCATGCAAAGTCATGCATGTAAAATTGTGAGGGCTGCTTCCAGAACCTTGCAAGGACCCATCCAAGTAAGGGGTCCTGAGGTTTCAGTTTCATTAACTGCATGGTTAATTTAGCAACTAGATTTCAGGGAAATGCTAGAGTCAGACTTTACCTCTTCTGTGCTTCAGTTTTCTTGTTGGTAAATTGGGAGTGCTAATAATACTTGTTACTTGTATTTGTGGTGAGGATTAGCTAAAATAATTTATGTAATATCCATAGCCAGTGCCTGGCATGGAGCAGATGATTAATCAATACCTGTTTGTTTTTTTTACTACAATGCACTGGATTTCCTTGCAAAGATGACCCAAATTTGCTCATTAGAAATAGGCTTATTACAAATATAAAGAGTTTCTTGCTGCCTGGACTGAGAGTCACTGTCCATCTCTACAGCTGCTGTGGGACTTTTGGTAGAATGAACTGCCCTTGTTTGGTGCTTGGTCATATTCCCAGTCCAGAAGGCTCTGGTCCTTGTCTTTGACAATCTGCTGATCTCAGTGAGAGCATTAGAAAAGAAGAGGAAAAACCAGAAAAGCCAGGGCGTGCTTCAGTTTGCCGCCAGCAACACAGGCCAAGAGGTGGCATGGTGGGAAGTGGGGAGCTGTGGGCGCCAATAAGCCAATAAGCCCTGTGTTCAAATTCTATTCCACTCCGCTTAGGCTGAATAGTCCTGGGAAAATCACTTAACCTCTCTGGTCCTAGATTTTTTATCTGAAAAGTGAAGATAATAATCCCCATATTATCAGGTCATTTTGAGAATTAGAAGTGTTGATAGGCAAAGTCTCTACCGGAGTATTGCCTAGGTTGTAGGCATTTAGTAAACACTACTCATATCATTTTACAAAATATTACTAAGTATCCACACACATCTTCTTTTAAAGAATTTGTCTAATTTTTACTGCTTGAAATTTAAATGATAGAAACCAAAATTGTAAAGCATCTTCTGAAAATCTTCCTCATCCCCAAATATGAAAAAAAAAAAAAAAAAAAAAGAAAAGAGAGAGCTAGTTTGAGTTATAGCAAAAGAAATCTGGCCAGCTTGTGATGTTTCGGAGGTGTGCCAAGCCAGACAGAAGATGGATTCCATTCATTCCCTTTATATCCTTGGTAATTTAATTCCCCTGTTAAGTTTATGGGCCTTTTTCCCATGATTGTCCTTGTGTGGGTGACAGATGCAGATCAACAAGGGGCTGGAGACTAAAAGAGTCAAGACGGGAGAGTGGCCTCAAAAGCAACCAAATGGAAGTTTTGCAGACCAGCCACCAAAATTAATATACTCTAACTTGTAATAACATTTGTGCAATAATAATATTCCTTGGTGGTTTAATATTCTATTCAGTCCCTTTAAGAGATTGCCCTGTTGCTTAATGAATGACCAACGCTTATTAGGTTAAGTTGTATTTGAGCTGGCCTGTGCTGCTCCGGTTCAAGTGATTTAATGGGAATTATTTAATAGGTATTATTAGGATAATTAGAAAATGATCACAGTTAGGCAATAATATTGAGCTATAAAGGTTGTGAATAACCAAATTTAGAGACAGACCTGAAAACATGAGTAGTCTGCGACAGTTATGCAAGGCTCCTCTGATAATTATGTAGGCAGCCTGAAAGGGGCTTTTGTTCTGGGAGTTATTCATTAGGCGGGCATTGAATTAGAGGAACATGCGGGGGTGCGGGATGGAGGGCAATGATGGCTGATGAGCAAAATGAGGCTTTGATGAGCTCCTCATTGTCGTGACAACAATTCCTGCTTTCTTTTTTTACAGCAGTCAGAAATAAGCTCTCCCGCCCCCGGGAAGGGTTTTTCCCCATTTTGTCAAGGAAAGGGAAACAAAGGAAAACAAAAATCTAATAATCCACCCCAGATGACAAATCATTATGTTTTGCAGGACGTGGAGAGAGAGAGAGAGAGACAGAGAGAGAGAGAGAGGGAGAGACAGACAGAGAGAGAGAGAGACAGAGAGAGGGGTAGAGAGAGAGAGAGAGAGAGACAGAGAGAGAGAGAGAGAGTGTGTGTGTGTGTGTGTGTGTGTGTGTGTGTCTGTATGTGTGTGTCTGTGTGTGTGATGTCTTTGACAGAGGTAAGAGAGTCCCCTCTTGGTCCTAGCTGCCCAGGTGAAGGACCAGGATATGCAGTAACCTGATTCCTGGGGGCCCTACCACCTTCTGGAAAGAGGCCAAGCCCAGCTCTGCAGCCACTTAGACTCTTATTGGTTGAGGCACTGTTACCTACTGGCTTGTTGCTTGTCAATATGATGATCAGTGTTACATACTAGGGGCATGGAATACCCCAGTCTAGCAAGAGACCACCATTCAAATTTAAATGGTCTGGATAACACAATCTGGGCTTTCTTTCAATACCTGGAATCTGATGAAAACTGAGTAACTTCGAAAGAGAAAGGATTTCTCCCCAGGGGAGGTCGATGAGAATAATTATTCCCTTATAGCTTTACCAGCTTTGGGGAAGATTTACCAGCTAGTTGTCTGCATGGAGCTTCTTGCCTTTTTTGGAGCCAGATGGTTTCTTCTTCCCGGAGATTGAGGGGTTTACCAAGAAAAATTAGGATGCACAAAGTGCCAGCAGGTGGCAGCAGGAGCACACATTATGTGAGAAATGCTAGCGAAAGCCTCTCCAGGACCGGGGAGGTAGCTGAGCTTACACTCCATGGTTTTCACTGCTGCTGAGGACCCGAGGAATAAAAATTCCTGGATAATGTACAGTGAGGTGTCCTGGACAGAGCACAGGCATTAGAATCAGACACTCCTGAGTTTGAATCCCAATGTAGTCCTTATACAATTATTTACTTTTCTGCGAAATTTTCTCATCTGTAAAATTGAATGAATAATACCAACCTCACAGAGGTGGTATGAAGAAAAGATGAAGTGAAATAATGTTAGTAAAGCACCCACAAAAGGGCCTGAAATAAAATAGGTATCCAAAAATATTCCTTCTCTTTTCTTTTATGTCCCTATTATTATAAAACACAGCTGGATGGTCAATGACTTCTCAAATTGTATTTATTTGTTTGTTCATCCATTCACATTCATTTGTAACTATACTCCCTACAAGAGATTTAAGCCGGTTTCTCTAAATATTTGTAATACATGAATTTTGCATGCCTGATCCAAACAAGGATCTCAATGAGGACTCATTGTTATCACTCCCACACCCCCGCCACCACCGCCCCCAAAAAACAGTAATGCAATAAAAGCTGTTCAACAAAGATAGCAGACTATGGGTTTTGAGGCATGCCTCTCTGACACTCTGCCACAATTTGGGAATGGGTTTTAGGAAATAGATATTCTTTAGGTTTCCTTCCATAACTATTTGTTCTCAAAAGGTACTTGAAGGCAGTGAGTTAAAGGTTGTACCCTTTCATCCATCATTAGACATGGCTGGTTGCTGTGCATTCATAAGTCAGCAGAGCAGGGGAAGGGTTGAGATCTTCTGTGATTCTAAAGGAGTCTCTCTAAATACAGGTAGCCATGAACACAGAAACACAGATAATATTATTTTGTCACATAATATAATGGGATATTGTCAGAAAAGGACACCAACCTTATAGATAATGGTCAGGAGTAATAAGACTTCAAAGTGGATGATTAAGCATGCAAGGAACTTGGGTTGTTTGCCACAACTATGTAGGTGCAAAAAGTAAACAACAAAAGTCAGTACATCAGAGCAAGAGAGTTTATTATTCACAGCATAGCAAACAGCAGGAACATCAGCTCGGTAGCCCAAGTTGCCCTGTTCCCAAGTCCCATGGTGTGACATGATGAGCCCAGATGGCACCTGTGCGTGCAGTGAGTTGTCCCATAGCTAGGGAGCCCCAGGAAAAGGACTCAGCAGCTTTTATAGCAAGCAGTAAATGAGCCAATTCCCCTTTCCCAGGAAGCAAGTAGTTGTGCAGTAGTCACACAGTAGTATCCTGACCCCCTTCTTGGAATTCTCTACCTGACTAGTTAGAGGAATGGCTAAGGTTCAGAGGATGGTAGGGCCTTGCAGTTTGGCTCACTCAGCAAAGATGTACAGGGACACTCCTAGTCTATGGAAGACTGGCTCACTCAACAAATACCGACAGTCCGCTTGCTGTATATTCACCTCTGTTTCCAGCTTCACTGGCCACTCTGTAGGAAGTCCATGGCCTCATTGCAAGCCAAATATTGAACAAACGTATTAATGAGAGACTAAAGCTGACCCTTGCAAGTTGTTTTTTAAAAATAAGACAGAAGACAGAAATAAAGAAGAAATGGAAAGGGCAGATGCAACCACAGATACAGCAAAGATTCAAAAAGATAAAAGAATATAACAAACACTTAATCCCGTTAGTTTTTAAATCTGGCAATCTAAGGGTGATTTTACAACTACCATATTGAAAAATTAAAGAGGAAAATCTTATGGTCTTTTCAATAGAAGAAGGAAAATCATTTGACACAATTTAACATCCATTTGCTAAAAACTTTTAGCAAAAAAAAAAAGCAATAGAACAGAATAGAACTTTCTTAATTGAAACATATTTTCCAAAACCATGCGGCAAACATCACTGTTAAATAGAAGCATTTCTTTAAAAATCAGTAATAAAATAATGTTGCCTACTCTTAAGTCTTCTATTTAACTTTGTGCAGGAGATCCCAACCAGTGTGGTAAGACAAGGCAGAGAAAGGCAAGAGGTTTGGAAAGAAAGAAAAAAAATTTTGTTGTTTCCAGATGCTAGGATTGTCTATATGACAAAAACCCCAAAATGTACAAGTAAACTATTAAACATAATATGGACCTAAATAACAGTGACTGGATATAAGCTCAAACTAGAAAAATTAATTGCATTTCAATATCTCAGCATGAAACACCTAGAAAATGAAGTAATAAAGATATCACTTACATTAACATCAAAAATATAAGGTACCTAGGAGTAAATCTAGCAAAAAACATGTACTATCTTATGGAGCCAATTTTAATACTTTTCTGAAAGTCATCAAAGGATCCAAACATATTCTTATATATATGAAAAGTTGATATAAGCCATCAGTAGCATTAGAGATCACAGGAAATAAGTGATTCTGAGACAATTGGTTTCCATAGAGGAAAAAATGAAATTGAGTCTTGTTTCGTACCATACAAACAAATCAATTCCATAAAGATTAAGGACTTTAATGTGAAAATTGAAACTTGAGATGTTAAGAAGAATCTTTTTTTGACCTCAAGTTGTTAGTCAATAGATACTATAAAGGAAATGAAAAGACACTCATTTGGAAAATATACAGTCACACTCTGTTATCCACAGAGGATTTGTTCCAGAACCCCTGAAGATACCAAAATTTGAGGATGCTCAAGTCCCTGATATAAAATGGCGTAGTCACTGCGTATAACCTATGCACGTCCTCTTGCATACTTGAAATCATCTCTAGATTACTCATAATACTGAATACAGTGTAAATGTTGTGTAAATAGTTGTTATACCATGTTGTTTAGGGAATAATGACAAGAAAAAGAGTCTGTGTATGTTCAGTACAGACACAACCATCCTTTTTTTATCCAGAATATTTTCTTTTCTTTTTTTTTAATTTTATTATTATTATACTTTAAGTTTTAGGGTACATGTGCGCAACGTGCAGGTTAGTTACATATGTATACATGTGCCATGTTGGTGTGCTGCACCCATTAACTCGTCAATTAGCATTAGGTATATCTCCTAATGCTATCCCTCCCCCCTCCCCCCACCCCCCCACAACAGTCCCCGGTGTGTGATGTTCCCCTTCCTGTGTCCATGTGTTCTCATTGTTCAATTCCCACCTGTGAGTGAGAACATGTGGTGTTTGGTTTTTTTGTCCTTGTGATAGTTTGCTGAGAATGATGGTTTCCAGCTTTATCCATGTCCCTACAAAGGACATGAACTCATCATTTTTTATGGCTGCATAGTATTCCATGGTGTATATGTACATTTTCTTAATCCAGTCTATCATTGATGGACATTTGGGTTGGTTCCAAGTCTTGGCTATTGTGAATAGTGCTGCAGTAAACATACGTGCACATGTGTCTTTATAGCAGCATGACTTATAATCCTTTGGGTATATACCCAGTAATGGGATTGCTGGGTCAAATGGTATTTCTAGTTCTAGATCCCTGAGGAATCACCACACTGTCTTCCACAATGGTTGAACTAGTTTACAGTCCCACCAACAGTGTAAAAGTGTTCCTATTTCTCCACATCCTCTCCAGCACCTGTTTTTTCCTGATTTTTTAATGATTGCCGTTCTAACTGGTGTGAGATGGTATCTCATTGTGGTTTTGATTTGCATTTCTCTGATGGCCAGTGATGATGAGCCTCTTTTCATGTGTTTTTTGGCTGCATAAATGTCTTCTTTTGAGAAGTGTCTCTTCATATCCTTCACCCACTTTTTGATGGGATTGTTTGTTTTTTTCTTGTAAATTTGTTTGAGTTCATTGTAGATTCTGGATATTAGCCCTTTGTCAGATGAGTAGGTTGCAAAAATTTTCTCCCATTCTGTAGGTTGCCTGTTCACTCTGTTGGTAGTTTCTTTTGCTGTGCAGAAGCTCTTGAGTTTAATTAGATCCCATTTGTCAATTTTGGCTTTTGTTGCCATTGCTTTTGGTGTTTTAGTCATGAAGTCATTGCCCATGCCTATGTCCTGAATAGTATTGCCTAGGTTTTCTTCTAGGGTTTTTATGGTTTTAGGTCTAACATGTAAGTCTTTAATCCATCTTGAATTAATTTTTGTATAAGGTGTAAGGAAGGGATCCAGTTTCAGCTTTCTACATATGGCTAGCTAGTTTTCCCAGCACCATTTATTAAATAGGGAATCCTTTCCCCATTTCTTGTTTTTGTCAAGTTTGTCAAAGATCAGATAGTTGTAGATATGCAGCATTATTTCTGAGAGCTCTGTTCTGTTCCATTGGTCTGTGTATCTGTTTTGGTACCAGTACCATGCTGTTTTGGTTACTGTAGCCTTGTAGTATAGTTTGAAGTCAGGTAGCATGATGCCTCCAGCTTTGTTCTTTTGGCTTGGGATTGACTTGACAATGCGGGCTCTTTTTTGGTTCCATATGAACTTTAAAGAAGTTTTTCCAATTCTGTGAAGAAAGTCATTGGTAGCTTGATGGGGATGGCATTGAATCTATAAATTACCTTAGGCAGTATGGCCATTCTCATGATATTGATTCTTCCTACCCATGAGCATGGAACGTTCTTCCATTTGTTTGTATCCTCTTTTATTTCATTGAGCAGTGGTTTGTAGTTCTCCTTGAAGAGGCCCTTCACATCCCTTGTAAGTTGGATTCCTAGGTATTTTATTCTCTTTGAGGAAGTTGTGAATGGGAGTTCACTCATGATTTGGCTCTCTGTTTGTCTATTATTGGTGTATAAGAATGTCTGTGATTTTTGCACATTGATTTTGTATCCTGAGACTTTGCTGAAGTGGCTTATCAGCTTAAGGAGATTTTGGGCTGAGACAATGGGGTTTTCTAGATATACAATCATGTCATCTGCAAACAGGGAAATTTGACTTCCTTTTTTCCTAATTGAATGCCCTTTATTTCCTTCTCCTGCCTGATTGCCCTGACCAGAACTTCCAAAACTATGTTGAATAGGAGTGGTGAGAGAGGGCCTCCCTGTCTTGTGCCAGTTTTCAAAGGGAATGCTTCCAGTTTTTGTCCATTCAGTATGATATTGGCTGTGGGTTTGTCATAGATGGCTCTTATTATTTTGAGATACATCCCATCAATACCTAATTTATTGAGAGTTTTTAGCATGAAGGGTTGTTGAATTTTGTCAAAGGCCTTTTCTGCATCTATTGAGATAATCATGTGGTTTTTGTCTTTGGTTCTGTTTATATGCTGGATTATGTTTATTGATTTTCATATGTTGAACCAGCCTTGCATCCCAGGGATGAAGCTGACTTGATCATGGTGGATAAGCTTTTTGCTGTGCTGCTGGATTCAGTTTGCCAGTATTTTATTGAGGATTTTTGCATCAGTGTTCATCAAGGATATTGGTCTAAAATTCTCTTTTTTTGTTGTGTCTCTACCAGGCTTTGGTATCAGGATGATGCTGGCCTCATAAAATGAGTTAGGAAGGATTCCTTCTTTTTCTATTGATTGGAATAGTTTCAGAAGGAATGGTTCCAGCTCCTCCTTGTACCTCTGGTAGAATTCGGCTGTGAATCCATCTGGTCCTGGACTTGTTTTGGTTGGTAAGCTATTAATTATTGCCTCAATTTCAGAGCCTGTTATTGGTCTATTCAGAGATTCAACTTCTTCCTGGTTTAGTCTTCGGAGGGTGTATGTGTCGAGGAATTTATCCATTTCTTCTAGATTTTCTAGTTTATTTGCGTAGAGGTGTTTATAGTATTCTCTGATGGTAGTTTGTATTTCTGTGGGATCGGTGGTGATATCCCCTTTGTCATTTTTTATTGCGTCCATTTGATTCTTCTCTCTTTTATTCTTTATTAGTCTTGCTAGCGGTCTATCAATTTTGTTGATCTTTTCAAAAAACCAGCTCCTGGATTCATTGATTTTTTGAAGGGTTTTTTGTGTCTCTATTTCCTTCAGTTCTGCTCTGGTCTTAGTTATTTCTTGCCTTCTGCTAGCTTTTGAATGTGTTTGCTCTTGCTTCTCTAGTTCTTTTAATTGTGATGTTAGGGTGTCAATTTTAGATCTTTCCTGCTTTCTCTTTTGGGCATTTAGTGCTATAAATTTCCCTCTACACACTGCTTTGAATGTGTCCCAGAGATTCTGGTATGTTGTGTCTTTGTTCTCGTTGGTTTCAAAGAACATCTTTATTTCTGCCTTCATTTCGTTATGTACCCAGTAGTCATTCAGGAGCAGGTTGTTCAGTTTCCATGTAGTTGAGTGGTTTTGAGTGAGTTTCTTAATCCTGAGTTCTAGTTTGATTGCACTATGGTCTGAGAGACAGTTTGTTATAATTTCTGTTCTTTTACATTTGCTGAGGAGAGCTTTACTTCCAACTATGTGGTCAGTTTTGGAATAGGTGTGGTGTGGTGCTGAAAAGAATGTATATTCTGTTGATTTGGGGCGGAGAGTTCTGTAGGTGTCTAGTAGGTCCGCTTGGTGCAGAGCTGAGTTCAATTCCTCGATATCCTTGTTAAGTTTCTGTCTCGTTGATCTGTCTAATGTTGACAGTGGGGTGTTAAAGTCTCCCATTATTATTGTGTGGGAGTCTAAGTCTCTTTGTAGGTCACTAAGGACTTGCTTTATGAATCTGTGTGCTCCTGTATTGGGTGCATATATATTTAGGATAGTTAGCTCTTCTTGTTGAATTGATCCCTTTACCATTATGTAATGGCCTTCTTTGTCTCTTTTGATCTTTGTTGGTTTAAAGTCTGTTTTATCAGAGACTAGGCTTGCAACCCCTGCCTTTTTTTGTTCTCCATTTTCTTGGTAGATCTTCCTCCATCCCTTTATTTTGAGCCTATGTGTGTCTCTGCACGTGAAATGGGTTTCCTGAATACAGCACACTGATGGGTCTTGACTCTTTATCCAATTTGCCAGTCTGTGTCTTTTAATTGGCGCATTTAGCCCATTTACGTTTAAGGGTAATATTGTTATGTGTGAATTTGATCCTGTCATTATGATGTTAGCTGGTTATTTTGCTCGTTAGTTGATGCGGTTTCTTCCTAGCCTTGATGGTCTTTACAATTTGGCATGTTTTTGCAGTGGCTGGTACCAGTTGTTCCTTTCCATATTTAGTGCTTCCTTCAGGAGCTCTTTTAGGGCAGGCCTTGTGGTGACAAAATCTCTCAACATTTGCTTGTCTGTAAAGTATTTTATTTCTCCTTCACTTATGAAGCTTAGTTTGGCTGGATATGAAATTCTGGGTTGAAAATTCTTTTCTTTAAGAATGTTGAATATTGGCCCCTACTCTCTTCTGGCTTGTAGAGTTTCTGCGGAGAGATCAGCTGTTTGTCGGATAGGCCTCCCTTTGTGGGTAACCTGACCTTTCTCTCTGGCTGCCCTTAACATTTTTTCCTTCATTTCAACTTTGGTGAATCTGACAATTATGTGTCTTGGAGTTGCTCTTCTCGAGGAGTATCTTTGCGGCATTCTCTGTATTTCCTGAATCTGAATGTTGGCCTGCCTTGCTAGATTGGGGAAGTTCTCCTGGATAATATCCTGCAGAGTGTTTTCCAACTTGATTCCATTCTCCCCATCACTTTCAGGTACACCAGTCATACGTAGATTTGGTCTTTTCACATAGTCCCATATTTCTTGGAGGCTTTGTTCATTTCTTTTTACTCTTTTTTCTCTAAACTTCTCACTTCATTTCATTCATTTCATCTTTCATCGCTGATACCCTTTCTTCCAGTTGATCGCGTCAGCTACTGAGGCTTGTGCATTTGTCACGTAGTTCTCGTGCCGTGGTTTTCAGCTCCATCAGGTCCTTTAAGGACTTCTCTTCATTGATTATTCTAGTTAGCCATTCATCTAATTTTTTTTCAAGGTTTTTAACTTTTTTGCCATTGGTTCGAACTTCCTCCTTTAGCTCATAGTAGTTTGATCTTCTGAAGCCTTCTCTCAACTCATCAAAGTCATTCTCCATCCAGCTTTGTTCCGTTGCTGGTGAGGAGCTGTGTTCCTTTGGATGAGGAAAGGCACTCTGATTTTTAGAGTTTCCAGTTTTTCTGCTCTGTTTTTTCCCCATCTTTGTGGTTTTATCTACCTTTGGTCTTTGATGATGGTGATGTACAGATGGGTTTTTGGTGTGGATGTCCTTTCTGTTTGTTAGTTTTCCTTCTAACAGTCAGGACCCTCAGCTGCAGGTCTGTTGGAGTTTGCTGGAGATCCACTCCAGACCCATTTGCCTGGGTATCAGCAGTGGTGGCTGCAGAACAGCGGATATTGGTGAACCGCAAATGCTGCTGCCTGATCGTTCCTTTGGAAGTTTTGTCTCAGAGGAGTACCCAGCCTTGTGAGGTGTCAGTCTGCCCCTACTGGGGGGTGCCTCCCAGTTAGGCTACTCGGGGGTCAGGGACCCACTTGAGGAGGCAGTCTGCCCGTTCTCAGTTCTCAAGCTGTGTGCTGGGAGAACCACTACTCTCTTCAAAGCTCAGTTGGAAATGCAGAAATCACCCATCTTCTGCGTCGCTCACGCTGGGAGCTATAGACTGGAGCTGTTCCAATTCAGCCATCTTGGCTCTACCTTCCAGAATATTTTCAATCCACAGTTGGTTGAATCTGAGGATGTAGAACCCTCAGATACAGACGGTCAACTGTGTTTGCAAAAAAAATAACCAAAAAAGAATCAGCATTCTAGAATATTCCCACTGTTACAAATCAGTAAGAAATAGGCAAACAACCCAATATAAATATAGACAAATGACATAAATATTCTCTTCACAGAAGAATACTTAATGTCCAATAAATCTGTGAAAAAGACAGGAAAATACAAATAATTCAGACTACAGTAAAAAACTATGGAAAACTATTAAATTATTAGAACTTTAAAAATCTGATAATACTAAGCATTTGGCAAGGGTGAGGGACAAGGTGCACTCTTATTCAATGTTAATGGGAACACAAATTGTCACAACACTTTGGAAAACAATTGGGCTTTAGGCTGTGAAGTTGAATATGTGCATACGCTACAATTTAAGAATTTCATTCCTAATATATACTCCAGAGAAACTCTTACCCACGTGGCCAAAAAGACACATACAAGAATGCTCATAACAGCATCACTCATAATAGCAGAACTCTAAGAACAACTCAGATATCCATTAACAGGAAAATGGATAATTTGTGGTATAGTCATACAACCGAATGTTATATATACAGCAGTGAAAATGAATCAGTCACATGGATGCATTTTTACAACATAATTTTGAATTTAAAACAAGCAAGTTATGGAAGAATACATATAGTATAATACAATTTCACTAAAGCCCAAAGTCAAGAAAAACTAATTTTTTTGTTTCTAAAGAATATACAGATTAAAACAAAACAAAAAGTAATTTAAAAGGGAAAGATTAGAATTTTTATTTTTCAGCTGCATGCTCTGACTCCCAGAACAGAATTGTGAGCTAGCTACTAGCATCTTGGGCTTGTCAAGACTGAATCAGGCCAGATTCACAGCACAGCTTTCTGGATTATCATCATTCTGTGTAAGGAGCCTGTGGGAGGCAGACATACCCAGAGCTCCACATATGAAGGGTGGTAGAAACTTGAATGAAACAGGTCTGTGCATGAGCTCCAGAGTGGAGTGCTGACCAGAGACCAGAGAACAAAAGACAGGGACCGAAACCCAGCCATTCCAGGGGAGAGGCCCTGCACAGTGCTATTGAGAGTTCCTGCTCCACTTTCTCTAAAGCCCCTTGAAGGCCCCTAGATCATCAGTGAAGATGAAGACTACATCAACAAAATTGCAGCGAACACTGAATTAGGACTTCTCACAGATTCTAAGGAGGTGCAAAATCACATCAAAAGAGATAGATAGTTATGAACCACGCAGCAAAACAAGACCCAACTTGGATAAAAAACACACACCAATACATAATCAGAGAAGCCTTCAGCATTACCTACAAAAAAAAAGGTTAAAAACAAACAAAAAAAAAGACATAAGTTTAAAGAATAAATAGATCGTTTTTTTTCTCTACTACTATCTATTCCAAAAAATGTTATTGGCCCGGCGCGGTGGCTTATGCCTCTAATCCCAGCACTTTGGGAGGCCAAGACAGGCAGATTACCTAAGGTCAGGAGTTCAAGACCAGCCTGGCCAACATGGTGAAACCCCATCTCTACGAAAAATATAAAAATTAGCCGAGCATGGTGGCGCATGCCTGTAGTCCCAGCTACTTGGGAGGCTGAGGCAAAAGAATAGCTTGAACCCGGGAGGTGGAGTTTGTGGTGGGCCAAAATTGCACCACTGCACTCTAGCCTGGGCATCAGAGCAAGACTCTTTCTCAAAAAGAAAAGAAAAGAAAAGAAAAAAGTTATTGACCTTTACATGCCAATCATCGTAGGGTAAGTAGGGACTAAGATTTACCAGCCTTGGTGGTTGGAAGTAACATAGTGTGCTTTGCAATTTTGAGAGTACTCTTGGGCAAAACTGAGTCAATATAAATGACTCTATTAATAAAAAGTCACTTTGTGTTGGGTTTTGATCATTTCACCTCAGCAAGTGGGATACTTACATTTCGCACAGGAAAAGGCATGAGATGAGGACACAGGAGCAATTGAAGAGCCAGTTGACAGTGGACCCAGGCAGAGGGTGAGCGGAAGAAAGGGCTGGAGAACTGGGCCATTCTATTCACAGGCAGAGGCTGCTTGCCTTTTGGCTGCACCATTGCAGCTGCGTCCTGGTTCCTAGCTAGTCATAAGAGTCCCAGCCATGCCCTGAAAGGGCTTTCCATGCACCAGCAGCTATGGGACCAGATGGAGATGTGGATAAGCAAACCATCGCATAGGTACCAGGTGCTTGTGTCTTCCCAAGAAGTGCGGATGATCTACGCAGCCACATGACCTTTTCATTTACATGAGGCCAAAAAAAAATTATTATTTATGAGTTTTTGTTAACTTCATTTTAAGTTACAAAATAAAGTTTAGCCATGTATAGTCAAGGCAGGGGTTATACTCTAGCTGAATTCTAAAGGTGAACAGAAAATAATCCATATTGAACTATAGAACTAGACGTTGGAAGAAATGGCAAGGTAGGTGTGGTATGGTATAGTTTACTATAGAAATGGCATGGTATAGTTTACTGAGTGTTTACTATGTGCCAAGCACAATGCTTAGCCAAGCACAATGCTAAGCATTTGACATGCGTCAGCTCATTTAATCCAATTTATAAGGTAGGTACTATCATCACCATCCCCATTTTCCACAGGAGGAGACTCAGGCAGACAGACGTGAGGTTACGTGCCCAAAGTCACATGTTTGTAAGTGGCAGAGCAAGGTCTGATTGACTTCAAAGCCCATGCTTCTTTCACTTTGCTCTATTGCATTTATAGTGAGGGGCAATGCTGCCTTCGTCAGGACCCACAGGAAGGAATCTTACCGGGAGGGGGCAGGGAGCTGATGGAAATCGTAGAGGAGCCTCTTGGGGCGTGGTTGGAGTGGAGAGCAAGGCAAGGTTGAACTGGGCACAGTCGTCCTGAACCCAATACTTTGGGAAGGCAGATTCCCTGGAAACCTGCACTTGATTCCACACCCGAAGATCCCCCAAAGTGCTTTTGACTACTGAAGAAAGGGAGACTGAAAAATAGGCTGGGCGCCGTGGCTCACACCTGTAATCCCAGCACTTTGGGAGGCTGAGGTGGGCGGATCACCTGAGGTCAGGAGTTCGAGACCAGCCTGGCCAACATGATGAAACCCTATCTCTACTAAAAATACAAAAATTAGCCAGGCATGGTGGCAGGTGCTTGTAATCTCAGCTACTCAGGAGGCTGAGGCAGGAGAATTGCTTGAACCCAGGAGGCAGAGGTTGCAGTAAGCTGAGATCATGCCATTGCACTCCAGCCTGGGCGACAAGAGCTTCATCTCATTAAAAAAAAAAAAAAAAAACTGTAGCCAATAAAATTAGAAGTTATTCCACTGAAAAAATAATTAAATTGAGTGATTCTGTTCAACCTGTGTTTGTCAAGTACAGTGTCAAGGGGAATCAGTGTGGCAGCACAGGGAACTCTCTAACAGGCCAGATTTTAGGACACATAAGACTGAAAAAATGACATGTAATCCCGGATAAAAGTCTAGCTAGAACGTGTGGGTATAATGCAGGAAAGAGGCTGAATCTGAAAAACAACAACAAAAAATGCTCTAAAGACAGCAAAATAGTGTCTTGAAAGCTGCTTCTTTTGGATCGAGAACAAGGAAGGATAGGCCCAGTGCATGTGGCAGATGGTATAATGTTAGATACGAGGAAAGGCAGAATTCTCAGCTCTCAGCTTTTCTGTTTTCTCTATCAAGGAAAAACGATCCTTAATCTAGAAACATTAAACAAATATCTAGAAGGGACTGAATCTAGATACGTGGAAAAAATGAGAGAGCTGTAAGGCCAGGTGAAAGATGGAACATAGAACAGTGTCTTGGATGTAGCATTACTCAATCAGAACTTGCTGAATTAAGCCCCTGCTTTTGAAATGTCTTGCATATTGACCGGGCACGATTGGTGACACCTGCAATCCCAGCCCTTTGGGAGGCTGAGGCAGGTGGATCGCTTGAGCCCAGGAGTTCAAGACCAGCCTGGGCAACATAGCGAAACCCCATCTCTACTAAAAACACAAAAATTAGTCGGGCATGGTGGCACATACCTCTAATCCCAGCTACTCAGGAGGCTGAGGCAGGAGAATCTCTTGAACCGGGGAGGCAGAGGTTGCAGTGAGCTGAGATCATGCTACTGCACTCCAGCCTGGGTGACAGGGTGAGATTCGGTCTCAAAAAAACAAAACAAAACAAAAAACAAAAGAAAAGAAATAGCTTATACATATGACCTCAGTCTTTGAAAACTCATGGAGAATTTTGGAACCAAAAGGCTAGAGGTCTTGGAGCACATTTTCCGTTTTTCATATGGAAAAGAAGCATGAATTATGATCCTTGTCAAAATTCTAGAAACTATTATTATTATTATTATTATTATTATTATTATTATTATTATTTTGAGATGGAGTTTTGCTCCTGTTGCCCAGGCTGGAGTGCAATGGTGCAATCGGGGTTCACTGCAACCTCCGCCTCCCAGGTTCAAGCGATTCTCCTGTCTCAGCCTCTGAGTAGTTGGGATTACAGGTGCCTACCACTATGCCAAGCTAACTTTTGGTATTTTCAGTAGAGACGGGGTTTCACCATATTGGCTCAGCTGGTCTTGAACTCCTGACCCCAGATGATCCACTCACCTCGGCCTCCCAAAGTGCTGGGATTACAGGCGTGAGCCACCGCGCCCGGCCTAGAAATAATTATCAAAGAAATTGTGGACCAGGTGCGGTGGCTCACGCCTGTAATCCCAGCATTTTGGGAGGCCAAGGCGGGCAGATCACAAGGCAGGATATGGAGACCATCATGGCTAACACGGTGAAACCCCGTCTGTACTAAAAAAAAAAGTACAAAAAATTAGCTGGTGTTGTGGTGGGCGCCTGTAGTCCCAGCTACTCGGGAGGCTGAGGCAGGAGAATGGTGTGAACCCGGGAGGCGGAGCTTGCAGTGAGCCGAGATTGCGCCACTGCACTCCAGCCTGGGCGACAGAGCGAGACGAGAATCCATCTCAAAAAAAAAAAGAAAAAAGAAAGAAAGAAAGAAAGATTGTGAGTATTTAGAAAGAATTTTGAGATTACTAGAAACCACTCGTGTTTCGTGAGAAGCTGTGAAAAACAAATGTCATTTCTTTTTCTGGATGGAGTTGCAAGGTTTGTAGTGCCAATGAACATGACAGACATTGTGGAGCTTCAGTTCAGGAAACTATTTTGACCTTGGTCATTTCTCTAACAGCCTCATAGACAAGATATAGCAATGTGGGCTGGATGACACCAGTTTGGTGCATATAGAGTCGGCTTCATCCAAAGGCTGAGAAAGGTCCCTAATGATGTGCCAGATGGCTGTCTTCCATGTCCAGTTCCATCTGACATTTTGCTTTCTAATATCACATAAATGTACAGGATGCCCATTTATCAGTTCTGCAGAAATCTCAGGAGAAATGTGTCAGCTGGATAAAATATTCAAAAGATGTCTCCATAACGTGCCAAATAAGTAAGGTGATATTTAACAAGATGCATACAAAGTCTTGAATTGGGTTATGAAAAAGATCAGTTGCACAAGTAAAAGATGAAGGTATCAGACTTAACTACCACCATTGTGGAAAGGCCAGAGTTCATTTACTGGTAAATAAGAGCCCCAGTGAAGATGCTGCTAAAAAGACTTCTGCAATCTCTGGGCATAGGATGAAGGTGTGAGAGAGAGGGTCTCTCCATTTTGGGTTGTTTATATAGTGTTTAATTATAGACTCTCTTTAAGATATATCTTGGAAAATTAGAGGGTAAGCAGAATGGGCATCCTTCCTAGGACAAAATGACAGACGATCTGGAGGCGCTGTGAAAAGAGCAAACTTAGTGAATTGTGAGACGTGTCCTCAAATATCTAAAGGTCTGTCATGTAAAATATACTTACTGTTTTCCATCTTCCTCCAGGAAGAAAAACTGGAATCAGTGGTTAGCGGCCAACCCATTGAAGGCCGATAGAAAGAAGTTTTCAGGACTTAAAGTACACAGCCCTGCAGTGGGCTTCCTGGACAGGAGAGAGCTCCTTCGTCCCATGGATAATTATAGAGCAGCCACCTGTGAGGGAGGAGCGGAGGGAATTCCTGCACTGGCTCATGGCTGGACCAGATGACCCCGGAGGGTTCTTCTACCATGTGTATTGTATGATTTCAATAGTGACAGTTCCCATTTATTGAGCTTATACTGTGTGCCAGGACTGGGATAAGGGCTTTGTGTGCATAATCCCACTGCAGCTGCATGGCAGATAGAAACTGAGGCTTAGGAAGTCTATGATAATTGCTCAAGCCCACACAATGGGAAGTAGAGGAGTGGCATTTTGATCCCAAGTCTGAGTTTAAAGTGTACATTCTTAACTTCTATGTTCTATATGATCTCTGGCGTACATACTTCATTCTTTCATCCAATAACAAATGTCCGTGAATGCCTTGTTCTTCCCCTCCTCTCCCTGGCAAACTCTGTCATCCATTTAGACTGAGTGCACCTGCTGTCTCCTCTCTGAGGCTTTCCCTCGCTTTCTCCACACACAATTAATTGCCTGCCTCCTGTGTTCTCACAAGAGGCATGTTGTATTCTATTTGGCTACGTTGGTTTTCCCCAATGGACCATGAGCTCCCAGTTACCTAAAGAGCTGGAACCAGTGTTTACTCGCCCCTGTCCGGCACCACTAACAATGCATAGAAGATGTTGGCCCTCAATGTTTATAAATTTGGTTGCTCATACATTCATTCACTCAAGAAACCTAAGAAAGATTAACACCTTATTTCCCTCCCTCCTCCCTTTCTCACTTTAGTCCTTTACACACGACACTTCACACATCATTCTCCTACTCCACATCCTTTAATGTCCCTTTGTGTTCTACAGCATGAAGTGCAAATGCCTTAGCACTACTCTCTGTGATGAGATCATCAAAAAATGCCAGGCCTCCTTGCCCACCCCTCCATGCCCCTCAGCCCCTCCCAATCTCTGTCTCCACCGTCTTCTTCCCCATTGCCTTGTGTTTCCTCAAGTTGTTCCCTCTTCTTGAAAAATGCCCTCTTCCACCCTCATTATTTCCTCTCAAAAGTGTTACCTGTTCTTCCACCCCAGTCCCTCAGAAAGTCCAGCCTCACACCCTGATCAGGAGAATCCTCCCTCCCCTGTGTGCCCACAGTGCTTTTTGTTGCTTTATTGTGATTGTTTTCTAATATTCTATTTTATTCTAGCTCTTTGAGTCCCTGTGATCCAAAGAGTATCTAATGATATCCTTTTTGGTAGGCACAATGCCTCACTATCTGCAAATTTCTCATGCAATGTAACATTATATATCACTGTATCTCCAGTACCTAAGGCAATACCAACACATAGGAGGTGTCTGATAGATAGATGTTATTAAGTGAATGAATGAAACAGAAGCCAAGCTCTGCATTCTAGCACCAGTTTGCCCATAAAGTAAATAATTTGGGATATTGCATATACAGTCCACCCTTCTGCATCTGTAAATTGAAAATATTTAGAGAAAAATTAAAATAATACAATAAAAAATAATACAGATAGAAAAACCAATACAATATGGCAAATACTGACATAGCATTTATATCATATTCAGTATTATAAATAATCTAGAAATTATATAACGTATACTACAGGATGTGTATAGGTTATATGCAAATACAGTCACCTCTTGGTGTCTATGTGGGACTGGGTCAGAACTCCTGTGCAGATACTAAAATGTATGAATGCACAAGACCCTGATATAAAATGACATAGCAGGCCAGGCACGGTGGCTCACACCTGTAATCCCAACACTTCGGGAGGCCAAGGCGAGAGGACCATCTGAGGCCAGGAGTTCGAGACCATCCTGGCCAACGTGGTGAAACCCCATCTCTACTAAAAATACAAAACTTAGCTAGGTGTGGTGGCACACACCTGTAGTCCTAGCTACTCAGGAGGCTGAGGCAGGAGAATCACTTGAACCTGAGAGGCGGAGGTTGCAGTGAGCCAAGATCGTGCCACTGCACTCCAGATTGGGCAACAGAGAAAGACTCTGTCTCAAAAAAAAAAAAAAAAAAAAAGGCATAGTATTTGCATATAACCTGTGTACATCTTCCCATATTTTAAAATCATCTCTAGATTACTCACCATACCAAACACAATGCCTACAAATTACTTCATTTGTATGGATTCAACATAGTACTTGAAGTGCAGCAAATTTGTGTTTTTTGGAACTTTGTGAAATATTTTTTTCTGAATATTTTTGATCCACAGTGGGTTGAATCCACAGTTGAGGAACCCACAGATTTGAAGAGCTGACCATACTGTGTCATTATATATAAGGGACTTGAGCACTCATGGATTTTGATATCCAAGAGGGGGTCCTAGAACTAGTCCTCCATAAATACTGAGAGATGACTGTAAATCTTTCTGGGCCCTGGTTTTATTATCAATAACAAGGTGGTCCAGGAGACACAGAGAAAAGGGAACTAATTTTTATGGATTTCTTGCTATGTGCAAGGCAATGAACTAGGCATATTATTTATCTTAGACTATTTTAGCAGGAGGGAGGGAGAAATATACATAGCAGTGAAGATTGTGGGTTTAGGATCAGACACAGTTAAGTTCAGGCTCTAGCTCTGCTGCTTACTGTGAACTTGGGCAAGTTTAATCTTTTAAACCTCCATTTCTTCAGCTATCAAGTGGTGATGATAAGTGTATCTACAGAAAAGTTTGTTATGAGGATTAAATTAGGTGCTGCATATAAGGCACATAGCCCATCAACTGGCATGTAATCACTACAAAATAAACAGCAGCTCATTATTATTGTATTGCCTGTGTGTCTTATTATTCCACTTTAACCAGTGAAGAAGCAGAGGTTCGGAGAAGTTAAGCAACTTGCACAAGGTCACACAAAGCTTCTGTCTGCCTTGTTTTCCCCTCTGCGTATGGGACCCTCCAGGATAAATCCTTCTAGGATGACCATGAGCTTTGCCATACAGCTTGTGTTCTCCTTTCAGGGTGAAATATTCGAAAGCCACCTTTTAACATTTTAGTACCTAGATATTTAGTATCTAACATTAAATATCTAAGAAGCAGTGCCAGTTTTCTCGTGATTCTTCTTCTGTTTAATAAAGGTCATAATCTAAGTAATAAGAATATATGGATATAACTTTTCCCCCATGAGACACAAAGCTAATAACTTTTGTATTATTATTATTTGGCTTTTCTTTGTTCAAAAAATCAAAATGCCAGTCAGCACTCCTCTGTGACCAAATGTGGCATGAGCTTCCCTGCCCCATGGAAGGAGCCACACACCACCTGGGTACTCAGTAGGCATTTGATCTGGGGGAGAAAAAGAAGAAGGAAATGATGAGCAGCAGCTAGGGTTGTCCTTGGTGAAGGATGTGATGCATACACATATGTAAGTTTTACAAAGAATATACGAGTAGGCAGGGGGAGGGTCGTTTGTGGTGGGATGTTATCGTGGTTATGTGACCATTGGAACTGGAGTAGTCATGCCCTAAGTGTCCAAGAAGACCCCCTCACACACGTACCCACAGCATGCACAGGTGGGTTTTATTTGTCATACCCATAACCTGGAGGCACCTACAGGGTGTCAGGGAGCTGCTGCCTGCAGAGCCCTTGTCACTACAAACATAACCTGCTAAAGTGGCTCAAAGCAGTTTGATCATGGGGAGAGAAATGCCAATCTAACCCATTTGCTGTTGATTTCTTAAGCAGATTCAGGCACACAGGATGAAGCACAGCTTTTGCAGGAATGGTTTAAGCTGGTTCTGGAGAAGAATAAATTAATGCGATATGAGTCGGAGCTCCTAATCATGTAAGTAAGGCAACACAGATACCAGCGAGTCCTAAAAGCAAAGGGGCAAAGGGGGGTGGCTTACCCTCCTAGGCCGAAGTCTCGGGACTTTTTCTCCTTGTGCATACAGAATAGTGATTGAGGCAAATTGATATTTTATGTCTTGCATATCATGCTGGCATTAGTGCAAAGAATCTTTAGCTGTCTGTTCTTTCTCTCTGCAGAGTCCTGTGGCTAAAATAGGTTTTGGGTAATGGGTCTGGAGCTGAAGGTCATTTGGATAAGGCATTTTCAATCCATCCCTGTTCCCTGGGTCCATCTTAAAAGAGGGATCACACACCTGCAATGGGAAGGCTGTGTCTGGCCTCTGAGTGTAAATCTTGGGAAGGACTCAGTGACATACCCCTGACCACTTCCTGTGGCTTTAAGAGAATGAAGGACTGAGTTCTGTCTGGCTGTCCTCTCTGAATGCAGTTGCAGCCTCGTTGGGAGACCAAAAAGTGGAGATGGATGTCACCACACTCTGAAAAAGCTGAAGGTCACTATACCTGTCATCATTCTAGAGGGAAAAAAGTAACATTTAGTATCAATTGAAGTGCCATAAGTTGTGCTGGGTGCTTCCATTTATGCTGTCTCGTTTCATTTTTGCCCCAACCCCAGGAAGTAATTTTAAGGGCTTTTGAAGGGGTGTAATAAATACTATCACTCTTCCCTGCCTGGGTTCTGAGCCAGGTGAGAAATAAGACAACCAAGTCAATAGAGGGAACATCAAAATATTATCTTTATTACCGATAATGGCTTATATGATAATGGCTTGTACCTGGCTAAGTATGACAGCCCAGATTAGCTTGCTACCTTTATTCGTTTCCTAGGCTGCAATAACAAATTGCCACAGACTGGATGGCTTACAACAGAAATTTATTCTCTCACTGTCTGGAAGCCAGAAGTTCAAAATCAAGGTGTTGGGGGAGCTGTGTTTCCTGCAGAAACACAAGGAAGGACCTGTCCTTGCCCTTTCCACTTTTTCTGGCTCCAGGCTTTCCTGAGTTTGTGGCTGCATCACTCTAGTCTCTGCCTCTGTCTTCACACAGCCTTCCCTGTGTGTCTGTGTCTTCTCTTCTGCTCTTATAAAGACACTTGGGTCATTGGGTTTAGGACCCACTGAGATAATCCAGAATGTTCTTATCTTAAGATCCTTAACTTAATTGCATCTGCAAAGACCCTTTACAAATAAGGTCACATTCAGTTTCCATGGGTTAGGACGTGGACATATCTTTTAGGGAGTCACCATTCAACCCACTACACTAACCAACCCCAGAATTAGACATATACCTACCTAATCACAAAAGGTAGTAGACTCACCTGCTCCTTAGGGGCAAGGCTGTTATCCTAGACCAGTGGGGTTCAGCCAGGGGCAATAACCTCAGAGGATATTTGGCAATGTCTGAAGACATTTTTGTTGTCACATCTAGGGGCAGGGGTGCTACTGATATCCAGTGAGCAGAGGCCAAGGATGCTACTAAACATCCTACAAAGTACAAGACAGTCCCTTCCTCCCACCAAAAAATAATTATTTGGCCTAAAATGTCAAAAGTGTCAGGGTTAAGAAACCTTGCCCTAGAACTATGGCAAGGCTTATTGAGAACACATGTTTGCTGAAGACTGGCTGAGCCTGGGAGAGAAAGAGAGGAGTGAGTTGAGCTCACGTAGTCTATTTTTCCCAAATTTACCTCCCCTGGGGTGAGAGTGAGGAAGGGTAGGGTTGGGAGAGGTGGCCCGGAGTTACATTCATTGAGTTCCATTGACATGGAAGGTAATGCCAGGAATTGGGAAGAAGGGGGGTCATCTCTAGTGATGATTTGTTGTATTATAACTTTTTTTTTTTTTTCTTTGAGACAGAGTCTCGCTCTTTCACCCTGGCTGGAGTGCAGTGGTGTGATCTCGGCTCACTGCAGCCTCCACCTCCTGGGTTCAAGTGATTCTTCTGCCTCAGCCTCCCAAGAAGCTGGGACTACAGGTGCACACCACACCCAGCTAATTTTTGTATTTTTAATAGAGACAGGGTTTCACCGTGTTGACCAGGCTGGTCTCGAACTCCTGACTTCAAGTGATCCACCCACCTCGGCCTCCCAAAGTGCTGGAATTACAGGCCTGAGCCACCATGCTCAGCCTTATTACAACTTTTTAAGTTGATGCATATACTGAGATTCAGGGCAACTAAGTAATTTGTCCACTCTACCTGACTACAAAGCCCTTTTTATATAGCTACTGTGTCTGCATTGAGGCCAGGTATGAATGATAAATTGTAAAAACGTAAAAATTATTTTAAAAGTGTAAAAAATTTATCAAGCACATTCTGTGCACCAGGGACTATGCTGGGTTCTGTGAAAATAAAGATGGATAAGGTCATAGACTCTATTTTCTAGGATCTTGTAGTTTTAAGGGAAACACATAGGCACGTGCATAGCACAGTAGTGATAAGAAAACTTAGAAGAGCTCCATGGCGACAGAAGGGTCTGCCTGAGAGTCAGGGAGGCACGGCTGCTGCCTGTGTCCCATAACTGCAGCTTCCCCGGTCAACGCACTGTAGGAAGGACTTTCCTCTCCAAAGGAGGGTGAATAGGAAAACTTTGACATGTGAACTAGACAAAGGCTAGTAGGAGCTCTGCTAAAGCATGGGTTTTAGTTTGGAGAAAGCCCTGAATGAGCATGGAGAAATGTCTTATTGGTATCTTGATTCAAGGCTTTTGGGAACCGGATGCCAAGACACTTCAAAGAACAAGAGGTCTATTGGGGAAAATGCCTATGAAGGGAGAAGGAGCAGGAGGAAGTGAGAAGTCTTCAGACTCCACTGCAGTTCTGATGCCTGTAAAAGGAGAGTGGGGAGGGAGAAGAATTGGGCAGGAGGAGCCCCAGATGCAGCGCAGCTCTGAGAAAGTCTTGGCCAGGCCAATGGGAACATCAGTGCAAAGACTGCCCATCGAGGAATTCCATGCAGGCAGGAACGGGGCAACTGCAGCACCTCCTCTCTGCCCAGTCTGCATGACATGGAAGTGGATTTTGCAGCAGCAGTGAGCTCATTATGCTTCTCCCAGAAAGTTCTCTTAAAGGAAGATCTGACCGGTCCATCTCCATTGGCTACCACAGTGGGCCACAAGAAGTTCAGGGTTGATAACAAGAAGCAGGGACCTTGGCCCATGTAGTAGCAGATGTAGTAAAAATAACGCCAGTAACCGGGTATAACAAAGCGACCCCAGCACCTATAGGGGTGATGTGTGATACACATGCAGATGGCAGGTGGAGGCTGGAAGAGGAGGCCCCACCAGGTCAAACCCAGGAACCTAGTCTCGGCCCTCACCCTCTTCAAGTCTCTGTTGCAGTGAACACCTTTGACCTTTCTCTTTTCTCTCAAAACATCCCTTGCTTGTCTCTGTGCTGGTGCACTTCTTGTTTTGTTCTTCCAACCTTTGGATGGCTTCTTCCCTGGCTACCTTTTTTGTTTGGCTTCTAAATGTAGGTATTTCCAGGCTTCTGTCTTCAAACTGTTTCTTTATCTATAGCCTTCCTTTAGGGATCACACAACTTCAGCTCTCACCTCTGACCACTGCCACATCTGTGTGTGGTCCTCCTTTCTTCTGAGAACTCCAGAGTGGCATTTGGGAGCCTCCACATTACCACATGGGCTAGCCTGTGGGGAGCTCACACACCCACGGTGATCTCAATGGGGCATCCCCTGGCATGGAAAACTTAAGTTCCATCTAACCTTCCCTGAGGACTCACCTCATTTCTTGACTTTGCTGCTCCTCTCAGTGGAAATGCTGAGCCCCCAGCACTCAAGCCTGACCACCCCAAAGCATCACTGACTCTTTCCACCTCTCCTACAGCCAGCTGGAGAGTTGCCTGAGTTTTAAGTCCCCCACCCCACCCACACAAAATATCTCACTTTTGTTTGCTCTATTTTGTTTTCTCATGTACCACAGTCAGAGACTTGGGCATCATTGGAGTTAATGCTCTAAGTCAAGTTACTCCTAAAAGAGAGAAAAGCTTTTGATTGTCATTGCTTCTCCCGGGCCTATGCTAGTCATTTCTTCACTGTTCTCCTCACCCCCACCCCATCCCTAAAGGGTGGTCTGGATGGCCTTCCAAAGCCTACTGAGAGCACATTGCAGCCTTCAGCTGCTCCCCCTGGTCTCTTGAGTTCAGTGTATCTCAGCAATCTTTCCATGTACCTTCAGAGATCCCAGCAGTAGCAGAACCTTCAGTTTAAAGACAGGCTAAGGCTGGGTGCAGTGGCTCATGCCTGTAATGCCAGCACTTTGGGAGGCCAAGGAGGGCGGGTCACCTGAGGTCAGGAGTTCGAGACCAGCCTGGCCAACAGGGTGAAACCCTGTCTCTACTAAAAAGACAAAAATTAGCCCAGTGGCAGATGCCTGTAATCCCAGCTACTCAGGAGGCTGAGGCAGGAAAATCGCTTGAACCTGGGAGGTGGAGGTTGCAGTGAGCCAATACCGTGCCACTGCAGTCCAGCCTGGGTGACAAGAGCAAACTCTGTCTCCAAAAAAAAAAAAAAAATTAGCCAGGCGTGGTGGTGCACGCCTGTAATCCCAGCTACTTGGGAGGCTGAGGCAGAAGAATCACTTGGACCTGGGGGGCGAAGGTTGCAGTGAGCTGGTGCCACTGCACTCCAGTCCAGACGACAAAGACTCGGTCTCAGAAAAATAATAATTACAATAAAAAATAAAGATAGGCTAAAACTCCAGTCTTAATTAGGAAAAAAGAATGCTGTAGCTACTCTCAATGGGCTTATTCATCAATGTTTCCTCACAAATCTATAGTATTCATAAAATTTGAACATTTTCTCACCCAGGGCCCAGGAACTGGAATTAGAAGATCATCAAAGCAGACTGGAGCAGAAACTGAGAGAGAAAATGCTCAAGGAGGGTGAGTATGCTTGGGCCTTTGTTGAGAACTTCCCCCTAGAAAGGCTCCTGAGCAGCGTGTGCCACAAATCCCAGAGTGGGGCGCTCTTCCTGCCTGCCAGCCTGCAAGTTAGAGGAAAGTACAAAGCCAGCCTGCCTCCCACCAGCAGCACCACAAGCCCCATTTAGCCTCATTCACTTGGGCTGTGAGGGCAGTGCTTTCCCCCATCCCAAGTGGCAGTAGGAACAAAGTCCTATGTTCACTTATTCATTCATGTATCCACCCATTCATTTAACACACATTTACTGGGAACTATGGTCCTGGTTTATGATGAAGAGCAAGTCCTGCCCTCTAGGAGTTTGTGGTCTCACTGGGGAGACTAACACCCCCAGTTCCGTAATGCTAGTTCAGTGAGATGAAGGCCACATCAGAAGGGCTTTGGGATCCCAGAGAAAGGCGGGCCTAGTGCTGCCAGGCACTAGAGCTAGTAAAGGAAACGTTCCCTCCCAGCGTGGGCAGGGCCAGGGCATCACACATGAGAAAACGATTCCACCAGGAAGCAAGGAGAGTAGAGATAAACTCAACTGACACAGTATACTGCTGTATGCATTTATTAGTTCCTGCCAGAAAGGCATATTCACTCCGTTTTGCACCTGTGTGTTTGCAGTGCCAGATCGATGCATGACCTTCCCATATTCAGACCTAGATCTAAAAGAACAACTTAAAGAATGTCTATACCTCAGGGATCTAATACTGCACCTACCTTATGAGGTTGCCCAGTATAGGGCAAGTACTGAGCAAATGTTAGGCATTATTATCACTGATTTGTATTTAGGTATTTTCGCGCCCAATTTACAAATTAGAAAACTGAGTCTCAGAGAATTTAAATCCCATGCTCAAGGTGAATGGTAGGGCTAAGATTTAGGAACAGATCACAGATCAGGGTCTCCTGTTCTTTCCCATATGGCAGTAATTTGCAGACTGTTTCTTTATAGCAACAGAATTCTAAC
This sequence comes from Homo sapiens, assembly GCF_000001405.40. Taxonomy (NCBI): domain Eukaryota; kingdom Metazoa; phylum Chordata; class Mammalia; order Primates; family Hominidae; genus Homo; species Homo sapiens. The sequence continues at coordinate 12,355,847 of NC_000011.10, forward strand.
AAAATCCTTATGCAGCAGCACTGTACAGACTAAAGTGGTATAAATCATTTTTTATATGTCAGAGGGGCTCAGATGGGTCCATCCACGACAAGCCTAAACTGAGAGAGGATTTTTTTTTTATTTTTCTGTGCTGTTTATTAAATGAATAGTAATCCTGGAATATACCTAACTTAATAAACCATAGGTTCTAACTGATATCTGATTTATATATCAGATTTGAAAAGTTTAATTTGTTCTGTTTCAGGATACTAAATAAATACCACCAAAGACTATTTGCCACCTTTGATTCTTTTTAAAAAAATTCTTACTAAGAAGTGAAGGTCATAGGTTTTTCTCAACCCTGTCAGATGTATCCAAAAAATGTAGTTTCTTTATTCTGTCTGTACCTGAGCTCATCTTCTGCCTATGCATCCTCCCACTGATTAGCAAGGAAAAAAAATAGGAACTCTTTACCCCTCCATGGTAAACTTAATCTGATGCAATAACTTAAACAATCCGTGTAGGAGATGCTCGGTCTCTTTGGGATGAAAATGTGCAGTCTTGAAGATGCCACCCCTCCCTTCTCTGTCTCTCCCCAGGGTGACTGGCAAGTAATGGGAAAAGGCAGGTCTGTGTGACCTTGTGGTGGCATTAGGACTCTGTGTGGGGTGCTGTGCTTATTGAGTCCCCTCATGGCATCCCCCATCATTGGGCTGCAACTCTCTCTGGTGGCATCTGCAACTGAGGTGTGTGCTGGTCTCATCCGTAGCCTGCCCACTCTCTCGGGGTGCCTGAGAGCCTGCGGGCATTCCTGGCTCACCCAGCCTCACCTCAGCACATCCTTCATTCAGCATGGCTAGACAGTCTCTCCTGTGGGGTCACTCTGCCCCATGGGGGAACCCTGTGGCAGGTCCACTAGCCAGCTGTCTCTGGTAACAGTGGGGCAAGTGGACCCTTCTAGGCTCCGCCCATGCCGCATACAGCACACCAAGATCTGGGGGGCCACACTCAGACCCTTCTTCTCTGCCCAACCATGAAGTACTGTCTTATGTTTATACATAGGGATGCCCTTTAAGCTGGCTTCTTTCCAGAATTCTGAACAAGGGCAGGGCAAGAGTCCTTTGCCCATCCACCAATGAGATATGACATTACCTGTCCCCTTTGGGGCTTCTAAGGCCCAGAATGGAGAGACCGAGCATGGGGCTCTAACCCTCTGCCCCTCCTGCCTCTCTTCTTTCTTCTTAAAACTTGAGGTGCAGTGGGATGGTGTTTCTTTGTCTCCCTTTCATCAGACCTACCTGCTTCCTGGCCCAGACCTCAGAGCTAAGCCTGATGAAGGAAGTGGCACCCTCTCTACTCTGGGAGGAGGCTCCCCACCCAGTCCTCCGTGTGTTAGACACAGGGGCTCTAGGAATTTAGAAAGTCTTCTCCCAAGGCAATTGTCTGCTTGACAAGACTTAAATCTGGCTTCAGAATCCTGTTTTCTGTGTCCAAAGCTCATTACTACTTGTTTCCTACTCTGTCCTTTCATTTTCTAACAATCCTATCTCCCCCAGGCAACCAAATGCCTCAGGCCAATTATCAAGAAGGTCAGGTACTCGAGAAGACAAAGGGAAAAGCAAAGTCAGTGTGGAAACACCTTCCTATCAGACAGTTGTAGCCTCACTTTGCTTCCCTGTGGTCCCTAAACAAAAGGCTAGTTTGTCATTAACTACACATGAAAAAGATTCTGGCTGGGCGCTGTGGTTCATGCCTGTAATCCCAGCACTTTGGGAGGCTTAGGTGGGCTGATCACTAGGTCAGGAGTTTGAGACCACCCTGGCCAACATGGTGAAACCCCGTCTCTACTAAAAACACAAAAAATTGGCCAGGCGTGGTGGGAGACACCTGTAATCCCAGCTACTCAGGAGGCTGAGGCAGGAGAATCACATGAACCCAGGAGGTGGAGGTTGCAGAGAGCCAAGATCATGCCACTGCACTCCAGCCTGGGCAACAGAGTGAGACTCCATCTCAAAAAAAGAAAAAAGAAAAAAAAGATTGTGGTCATTGAAACAGTAGCCACTGGTGCAGGTGGTTTACTTAGAAACTTCTCACAGATTTCTTTGCTGTGGCTCAGCTATGTTTATGGAAACCGCCTTTTTTGTTGTTTTGTTAGCTTCTCTTTGGGGCAGAGGGAAGGTTGGGGGATTTGATAGGGTTTGGCTGGTATTAAATTCCTTTTCTTACAAAGGGGTTTTCCCTGTCGCTTTGTACATATCTTCAAGATGAAAACTGAGTGAACTGTTTCACCGCACACACCTTTCTCATCTCTCACTCTAAGGGCGGTTCCTTGGTGTTAAATTCATTTCCTTGTTTTCTCCATTAAAATTAAAGGCAGAACAAGTCCATAACAATCGAGAATGTCCATGCCAAGAACTCTGCCGGGGCCCAATCTTCTCTGAGCCCAGTGGTTTTCTTTTTTTTCTTTAGAGAGCCAGAAAGATGAGAAGGATCTAAACGAAGAGCAAGAAGTATTCACCGAGCTGATGCAAGTGATTGAGCAAAGGGACAAACTCGTCGATTCCTTAGAGGAACAACGCATCAGAGAAAAAGCCGAGGACCAGCACTTTGAAAGCTTCGTATTCTCCAGAGGCTGTCAGCTGAGCAGGACTTGAGGAGGCCCGTAGTCCCTCTCCCTGGCTGCACGTTGGGACCGGATCAGGCCAAGTGCACCACACACCCTCATGGGTCTTTCTGCAGGATTTATCATCCCTGGAACTTGTTATACCTTACTGCATTTTTTAAAATTAAAATTCTCTTGCACGCATGGCAGCTTCCCAAGGTTCTTCCAGAGATTCAAATGAAGAAAACCCAAAGACTCTTTGGCAATTGGCAGTCAACTTCAGCCAGGCTCTCAGACTGGAGGTGTTGTTGGCAGATGACCAGCATTGTTTTCCCTAGAAAGTGACACAAAGACTTGACTTTCCTGCTACTTTTATCATTTTCCTTCCCAATTCATTGAGTTACATACTTTAAGATTTTTGAGAAGCTGCCTTTTCATTAATATATCCATATTTGCCTTTTTTGTATGGATGACCAGTTTCCAAATGTCAGAAAGAAGCAGCCGCAGTTTAAAGATTAGGTTAATATTTAAATTGTGTTTCCAGAGAAAGAGGAGAAACCTTGAGATTACTGATTACATAAAGCAAATAACTCATATAGCAGGTGTTAATTCAATCCAGGGTGAATTTAATTTACCAGGTGCATTTATAAGCCTTAATATAATATACATAAGCAATGAGAGCTTAATAGAACATTTGAGCCTTAATTTTATTTTAAGAAGAAAAGAAAAAAGGAAATAAAACTTTAACTTTATGCCAGTGGGATTGTTAGTGTTCACCAAACACTGCTGGCTTAGAAAAGCTTTTCGTCCCCGTGCTATGCTTTTTATGGACCCTGGAAAATAATGAAAAGCATTTTCAGAAAATGAATGATTTTAAAGTACTTTTTAAATAAGTGTTGATGATGGCAAAAAAAAAAAAAAAAAGAGGGGAACTTCTTTTATTTGTTGATAAAATATTGGTGAGGTTGGTGCCGCTACTGAAACTGAACACACTAGGGTACAAGAGAAGGAATGCTTCTCGCTGGTGGTCTTCTTAGACTCAAAGAGAGAAGTATCTCTCCCTCTCCCCAGGAACTCTACAGAGCAAGGACAAAACCACTTCTGACTTAGAGGGAGGGCTGAATGCAGTGACCCTATTTACCAAATCCCAAACTGGGTCATGAATTTTTTTAATGACATTTCAGTTTGAAAAGAAAGCTGGAAGATGGAGTTTGTGTGCTGACATGTTGGAATTCCTGGGGCATTATGAGGGTTCCCATGGGGGCCAAAGAAGAGAAGATTTAATATGGTGATGTGTTGTCATAAAACATTTGATTGTTTTTGCTCGGATTCTTTGAAGATTTAGTCTATTATCGATAAGAGAAACACTAAAGAACTCTTGGTTGTGTATTTGGCCGCTCTCATTTCGGCAAGTGTTTAAATGTGTCATTAGACAAAAGGTGCTCTGCAACAGTTGGCTCTGACTGGAGACCAAATTTCTCTCAAATCAATCCATAAACCACTTCTGTCAGAGACGCTCTCTGCACGCACCAATCTGGCCAGCTCACAAGCCAGAAATTAGATGTATAACTGGATTTCCTCTGAGTCAGCCAATGCTTTGGGTTACATTTAAGCACAATCTTTCTATGTTATAGCAAGTTCCAAAGGTTGCAGTTCTTTTTCCTTTTCTTTCCTTCCTTCCTTTTTTTTTTTAAAAAAAAAATAAGAATCAGGTCTTCCAGGGCCTGAATTCTATTATTAGGCAATATGAGGAGGCACCTACCTACCTGCCTACCTATGAAAACTGTACCACTTCTGGATATTTATCTATTTTTATTTATTTGTGTATTGGTGAGAATTGATAATATCATTTCCTCATAATTCAGGTTTTCAGGTGTTATAATTTGGAGAAGACCTATTAGCACTAAGAAATTGGTACATAAGCTATTTAATATACAAATAACCCAGATGTTTGGGGCAGTGAGTTGTATAGTATTAAAGATTTCAGCTATCAGGCATTTAGAGGTAAGATTATGGATGCACAAGAATATCAACTCATTATAAGAAAAAGATTTATAACTTCAGTTTTCATTCTAGAATATGCAGCAATATTCAGGCCCCAGTCTTTTCTGTCAGTTGCATAAAAGTGCATCCTTTGATGCCTGCATACACTTAACAGATGATGTTCAAGCGTGTCATGTTTGAGTTGTTATTGTGCAAAAGAATTAATTGCCACTTATTTTAATTTGTTATATTTCCATCCTAAAGGATGAATCTCCCAAGAGGGCCAAGAGAGAAGGTGGTTTGGCCCCTAGTATTCTGTTAATAGATGAGAGAAGCAATTTGTTCACTTGCTTTCACAGGCTGTGCTCTGTGGTTTATGGCTCAGTTTTATCTGGCCAAGTTAAAACGTAAACTTCATCCTTAACAGTTTTCTATATACACTGGCCTTTCTGTTTCACTAGTACATAAAAACCATTTCAACATTTCCAATGGACACAAATATTGTGTCTGTTGAACTATCTAAAATGATTCCATTCCTTATTTACAAGAGAGAGCATTCTAAGACTCTCAAAATGTAAAATACTATACATTTTGAAGACAGTTTCTTTGTATGCAATATGAGTAGGATTATGATGAAAACACACAGAGTCTGCAGTGCCCCATAAAAGGGCACTAGTGAATGTGATCAAGGCCAAACTATATAGGACTCTGAATGGGACAGAAAGCCCAGCCTCAGGTCATATTTCACAGTCAGTCTCACACAGCTTCTAAGTTAAATCAAAGTGTTTATGATAGTTATAAGGTCAGAATTGTACCTAAGTTGGGCCAAGAGGACATTTCTTAAGCTTGCTCTCCCAAACCATTGATTTATTGGTCTATTTATTTAACATCCTCTGAATGCCCATGGGGTTCTGCAGCCCTGTGCCAGATGCTGAGATACAGAAAGAATATTAGTCCTTAACTCCACCTCCAAATAAATACAAAGATCAAGAAATAGGTACCATCCCCAAATACAAAGATGAAAAGCTATTTTTATTATAAGCATCAACCTATTCTACTCACGTTTATCTCAAGCATAAAGAATATCCCCCACTATCACAGGGCTTCTTGGGCAGTAAAAATAAGTTTGTATTTCTAAAACTGTGAAAAATCATCTCAGGTTGTACTGTTCATTTAAACCTTGACTTTGGCAGTGTTAGGCTGCTTGGAATCAATCAATGCCAAGATGCACCATGTTAATTGCAACCGAGAAAGGAAGTGGCAGGTGTTTCCAACCCTGATGAGCTGCAATGAAATTGATGTTTTCTGCATTCTGGAGGCAAATGACAATTCAGCAGTGTCTCTCTTCCCAGGAAGCAGATTTACAGGCTTTTCCTTCCAAACTGAAAATGGCAGCATGCCCCACCCAGGTGGCTGATCAGAGAACTACCTCAGCAGGGCAGAGGTGGCAGGGGGCAGCCGGGGCCGCCACATGAACAGAGAGGGGCAGTCATTGGATGTGGTGAGCTCAAATGTAGGAGTTTATTGTAATAAGAAAGTTCACATACAGGGGAAAGTGTACGATTTCATCTACTGTTTATCTTCTAACCTCACTGCTGAGTAGCTTGTAAAAGATTAATTTGCTCCAACAATTGGGAACTATTCATGTGGATGGAAATGTGTTATTTGTGCACTGCTATAGATACTGAAATGAACCAAAAATAAATGGTTTTGTGTCTCAGGAATCAAAACATTTTCATGTGGGCTTGGTCTGGCACCTCTGAGGGCAGCATCCATTTCATTTATTTGTTCTCAGTGAAAGAGCCTGGGCAAGGCTTTGATTTTGTGTGGGAGTCTGTTAATTAACCTGGGAGATTTTATTACCATGGGGCATCTAGAAGGACTTACCTGACCAGCAAATTGGATTTGAATGGGAGGAGAAGCGAAGAAGGCTCACCTCAGGTGTATTCCTTCAACAAAGAAAGCTGTTTTCAAGGCTGGGGAAGGGGAGGGATGAGGCTTATGGTAGTCCCAGCCCCTCCCTTTCTCTCACCTTTCTCTCACCTGGTTTTGTATTTAATTCGCTCAACAGGAACGTTTCCTTCTGCGCAGATCTAGCCTCTTCCTTCAAGTCACATTCTTTTAGTTTGTTCTTATTACCTCTTTTCTTAACCCCAGCACATGCATATTCTTAAACTATGAGTGCAGGGTACACCAGAATTGCCACATCACAGTAATCAACCCATGAGTCCCAGGAGCTCCCATCATTCCACACGAAGGTGCCCCATTTGTTTGAAAGCTTTTGTCTGCTGATCAAATATTTGAAAGGATTTATTTTTCCATTGAGCATCAACAACAAATATACATAACTGCAGATGAGAGCTCCTGTTTTACCAGCACTAATGTGGGGAGTGAAGAGCTCCAAGCAACAGCCACCTCTGATGGCACTTTGCAAGTTTTTCCTTGGGGCTCAGCTGACATCCTCATACTCACAGAGCTGCAGACTCTCAGCCATTGCTGCAACTCACCGTCTCTGAGCCTTCAGGGCACACTTTCTAATTTCATGCTCACTCCCTCTCCCAGTTCACTTAGAAATAAAAGAAAGCAAAACCAAACATCACAGCACCCTTCCCCCAGCCCCTCTGACCCTGATAATGGTAACAGCTACTGTGAACTCAGCTCTTCTCACCTACCAGGTGAACTAGGCCAGGAAACTCACTCCCCAGAACTCTGTCACCTCTCTGATTTCATCTGACTCACTAGAGTGCTCGTGGAATCTCTTTGGGGACCATCTCTTTGGACTGCCCTCTGCTGACCAGATGTCCAGCCCCTTGCACAGCTCTTTGGCCAATACTCCTTCAAGTATACCCTTTAGTGTTTCCAGCAGACAACATCTGGCCTTGGTGATTTGGTTCCATTTCATTGTTAGACATAATACTTCTAACCTTCCTCCCTAAGAGGAAACATCCAACGTATGAATAGCTATAATATCTCCCCCCAAGAAAGATGGAAGCGGGGTCTCTCACTCCTCCAGATCACACTGACCTAGGAAAGAATTGGGGAGAGGAAAATCAAGACCATGGGTATAATCTCAGTGGCCTGGGACATGGACCACACACCAGTACAATCACTGGGGCCCCAGGTATTCCCCCTTGCCTGGCTGAGTCTGCATTGGCTCACACCTGCTGCTTTCTGCCCTTAAAAGCATTGCTGTGCTCTTGTTTACCTGTGTGTTATTCATTCCTCTGTTTGATTACCCAAGGAGGAACTACTGATTTTAGGGCTTCACTTCTGCAGCTGGCCCTCAGCTATCATGCTGAGGTGAGAAAATCTCTCCACCACTGTCTGTAGTTCATTATTACCCCTGAAGGGTAGGTGAGCAGGTCATCTGTCTCAAAGAACTTTGGACTCATTCCCCCATGGCTGAATCAGAGGCGATTTGAGTGGCATCATCCTGTGTGGTCCTCAAAAACAGCCCTGCCCTCAGTCTACCATGTTACCAACTAAGGCTGAGGTTGTCCAACTTCCTCCTGTCCTGTGACTTCCCTGCCCACCAAGAGAATTCCTATTCTCCCACTCCATCCCTGCCACCTGGACAGCCTTCACCCAGACAGGTAGAATTCCTGGAGGACATGCTCACCGGCAGGCTGACCTTCAAAGGCCACCACTAATATTCCAGAGTTCCCAAGGGGGACATGCAATGAGGCTTGTCCCTTAAGACCCCCACTCCACAGACATTTCATTTCTCACGCATTCCTTTCATCCTAAGAGCACATCTTGCTTGCAGTGATCAAAGAGATCCTCAAGAGGCTCTGGCTGGCTTCTCTCTTCCCCCTCCTGCTTTGCTGCAGTCAAATAACTCTGACTATTGGTTGGGATCCAGAGCTTTTGTAAAACCCTCATCTTGATCTGCAGGGGATGCCATTTTGTCCCTTAGATGGTATGTGGTTCATGTCCCAGGCCACTGAGATGACACCAAGTTCTTGATTTTCCTCTCCCCAATGCTTTCCGAGGTCAGTGTGATCTGGAAGAGTGAGAGTCTCCTAGGGCTGCTGTTACAAAGTACAGCAGGTTTAAAACAGCAGAAATTTATTATCTCCCAGTCCTGGAGGCTAGAAATCCAAAGTTAAGGTGTCTGCTGAGCCATGTTCCCTCTGAGACTCTAGGGGAGGATTCTTTGTCGCCTCCTCCACCTTCTGGAAGTCCCAGGCATCCCTTGGCATGTGGCTGCATCACTCCAATGGCCATCTTCTTCCTGTATCTTTGCATCACATTCCCTCTGTGCATATCTGTGTCCAAATTTTCTTCTTCCCATAAAGATACAAGTCTCATTGGATTAGGTGCCCACCATATTCCAGTATGACCTAAATACAATTTTTAGCAACTAATTACATTGGCAATGACCCTACTTCCAGGATCCCATTCTGAAGTACTGGGTGTTACACCTTCAACGTATCTTTTTTAGGGGACAAAATTCAACCCATAACAGATGGCCTTCACATTTAGGAAGAATATCTTTTCCTAGTGAAAGCCACTTTGGGCTTGAATTTTGCCTTAATTTGCTTTGATATGATTGGTTTACCTCTATCCTGGGTTTTTAAGCTATTCAATAAAAAGCAACCCAGTAAAATAAATAGATAACAGAATACAAAAGAAAAGCTTCCTTCTATATGACAGATACAGATCACATGTAATTTATGAAATCTGAATGGAGCACCTAGACTCCAATTTTCGTTCCATTATCTTGGTACTTATAGTTACTATTTTATTATTCCTTTAATGGTTACCCTAGAGATTACAACATGATCCTTGATTTATCAGAGTCCAATAGAACTTGCTACTTTTACTTCTTCCCAGACAATGCCTGGATCTTAAAACACTTAACTCCATTTATTCACTTCCCGATTTGAATGCTTCTGCTTTTGTGTATTTTATTTTGATTTAGTTTTTAAATCCTGTATTATTTATGTTGTTGTGTATAGCGAATAGGCTTTTATGCTTACCCATATACTTACCCTCACTTGGGATGATTTTCCTTCTGCCATTCACTTCAGTATTTCCTCTTGTTTGGATCAACTATTAATAATTTTTCTCATGGTGGATAAGCTTTTTGATGTGCTGCTGGATTCGGTTTGCTAATATTAGTCTCTCAATTATTGGCTACATGTGATCTCTAGCCCATAATTTAAATTCTGGGTTTTGAATTACTTGTCCATAAAATGGTGGTGATGATAATATCATGTATGAGTCTCAAATGACATACTAATAGCTTGGCCGGGCCCAGTGGCTCATGCTGGTAATCCCAGCATTTTGGGAGGCCAAGGCAGGCAGATAACGAAGTCAGGAGTTTGAGACCAGCCTGACCAACATGGTGAAACCCTGTCTCTACTAAAAATACAAAAATTAGCCAGACTTGGTGGCATGCGCCTGTAATCCCAGCTACTCAGGAGGCTGAAGCAGGAGAATTGCTTGAACCCAGGAGGCAGAGTTTGCAGTGAGCCAAGATCATGCCACTGCACTCCAGCCTGGGCAACAGAGTGAGACTCAGTCTAAAAAAAAAAAAAGAAAAAAGGGCGCTTTTAAGATGGCCAAATAAGAACAGCTCCGGTTTGCAGCTCCTAGCGAGATCGATACAGAAGACAGGTGATTCTTGCATTTCAAACTGAGGTATCTGGTTCCTCTCATTGGGACTGGTTGGACAGTGGATGCAGCCCATGGAGGGCGAGCTGAAGCAGGGCAGGGCATCGCCTCACCCAGGAAGTGCAAGGGGTCAGGGGACTTCCCTTTCCTAGCCAAGGGAAGCCATGGCAGACTGTACCTGGAGAAACTGTACACTCCTGACCAAATACTGCGCTTTCTCCACAGTCTTAGCAACTGGCAGACCAGGAGATACCCTCCCATGCCTGGCTTAGTGGGTCCCACGCCCACGGAGCCTTGCTCACTGCTAGCACAGCAGTCTGAGATCGACCTGCGATGCTGCAGATTGGCGGGGGGAGGGGCGACTGCCACTGCTGAGGCTTGAGTAGCTCACAGTGTAAACAAAGAGGCCAGGAAGCACGAATTGGGTGGAGCCCACTGCGGCTCAGCAAGGCCTACTGCCTCTGTAGATTCCACCTCTGGGGCAGGGCATAATAGAACAAAAGGCAGCAGACAGCTTCTGCAGACTTAAACATCCCAGTCTGACAGTTCTGAAGAGGGCAGTGGTTCTCTCAGCATGGTGTTCGAGTTTCGAGAACGGACAGACTGCCTCCTCAAGTGGGTTCCTGACCCCCGTGTAGCCTGACTGGGAAACATCTCCCAGTAGGGGCCAACAGACACCTCAATCAGGCGGGTGCCCCTCTGGGATGAAGCTTCCAGAGGAAGGATCAGGTAGCAATACTTGCTGTTCTGCAGCTTCCGCTGGTGATACCCAGGCGAACAGCATCTGGAGTGGACCTCCAGCAAACTCCAACAGACCTGCAGCTGAGGGGTCTGACTGTTAGAAAACTAACAAACAGAAAGGAATAGCATCAATATCAACAAAAAGGACATCCACACCAAAACCCCATCTGTAGGTCACCAACATCAAAGATCAAAAACCACAAAGATGGGGAGAAGCCAGAGCAGAAAAGCTGAGAATTCCAAAAAACAGAGTGCCTCTTCTCCTCCAAATGATCACAGCTCCTCGCCAGCAGCAGAACAAAACTGGACAGAGAATGAGTTTGATGAGTTGACAGAAGTAGGCCTCAGAAGGTCGGTAATAACAAACTTCTCCGAGCTAAAGGAGCATATTCCAAACCATCGCAAGGAAGCTAAAAACCTTGAAAAAAGGTTAGACAAATGACTAACTAGAGTAAACAGTGTAGAGAAGACCTTAAATGACCTGATGGAGCTGAAAACCATGGCACAAGAACTTCATGATGCCTGCACAAGCTTCGATAGCCAATTCGATTAAGTGGAAGAAAGGATATCGGTGATTGAAGATCAAATTAATGAAATAAAGCAAAAAGACAAGATTAGAGAGAAAAGAGTGAAAAGAAACAAACAAAGCCTCCAAGAAATATGGGAATATTTGAATAGACCAAATATACGTTTGATTGGTGTACCAGAAAGTGATGGGGAGAATGGAACCAAGTTAGAAAACATTCTTCAGGATATTATCCAGGAGAACTTCCCTAACCTAGCAAGGCAGGCCAACATTCAAATTCAGGAAATGCAGAGAATACCACAAAGATACTCCTCGAGAAGAGCAACCCCAAGACACATAATTGTCAGATTCACCAAGGTTGAATTGAAGGAAAAAATGTTAAGGGCAGCCAGAGAGAAAGGTCAGGTTACCCACAAAGGGAGGCCAATCAGACTAACAGCAGATCTCTCGGCAGGAACACTACAAGCCAGAAGAGAGTAGGGGCCAATATTCAACATTCTTAAAGAAAAGAATTTTCAACCCAGAATCTCATATCCAGCCAAACTAAGCTTCATAAGTGAAGGAGAAATAAAACCCTTTACAGACAAGCAAATGCTGAGAGATTTTTGTCACCACCAAGCCTGCCTTATAAGAGCTCCTGAAGGAAGCACTAAACATGCAAAGAAACAATCGGTACCAGCCACTGCAAAAACATCCCAAATGGTAAAGACCATTGACACTACAAAGAAACTGCATCAATTAATGGGCAAAATAACCAGCTAACATCATAATTACAAGATCAAATTCAAATATAACAATATTAATCTTACATGTAAGTGGGCTAACTGCCTCAATTAAAAGACAGACTGGCAAATTGGATAAAGAGTCAAGACCCATCAATGTGCTGTATTCAGGAGACCCATCTCGTGTGCAAAGACTCACATAGACTCAAAATAAAGGGATGGAGGAAGATCTACCAAGCAAATGGAAAGCAAAAAAACAAAACAAAACAAAACAAAAAGCAGGGGTTGCAATCCTAGTCTCTGATAAAACAGACTTTAAACCAACAAAGATCAAAAGAGACAAAGAAGGCCATTACATAATGGTAAAGGGATCAATTCACCAAGAAGAGCTAACTATCCTAAATATATATGCGCCCAATACAGGAGCACCCAGATTCATAAAGCAAGTCCTTAGAGACCTACAAATAGACGTAGACTCCCACGGAATCACAATGGGAGACTTTAACACCCCACTGTCAATATTAGAGAGATCAACGAGACAGAAGGTTAACAAGGATATACAGGACTTGAACTCAGCTCTGGACCAAGCAGACCTAATAGACATCTACAGAGCTCTCCACCCCAAGTCAACAGAATATACAGTCTTCTCAGCACCACATCACACTTATTCTAAAATTGACCACATAATTGGTAGTAAAACACTCCTCAGCAAATGTAAAAGAACAGAAATCACAACAAACTGTCTCTCAGACCACAGCACAATCAAATTAGAACTCTGGATTAAGAAATTCACTCAAAACTGCACAACTACGTGGAAACTGAGCAACCTGCTCCTGAATGACTACTGCGTAAATAACAAAATGAAGGCAGAAATAAAGATGTTCTTTGAAACCAACGAGAACAAAGATACAACATACCAGAATCTCTGGGACACATTTAAAGCAGTCTGTAGAGGGAAATTTATACCACTAAGTGCCCACAAAGAAAGCAGGAAAGATCTAAAATTGACACCCTAACAACACAATTAAAAGAACTAGAGAAGCAAGAGCAAACAAATTCAAAAGCTAGCAGAAGGCAAGAAATAACTAAGATCAGAGCAGAACTAAAGGAGATAGAGACACAAAAAAACTTTCAAAAAATCAATGAATCCTGGAGCTGGTTTTTTGAAAAGATCAACAAAATAGACCACTAGCAAGACTAATAAAGAAGAAAAGAGAGAAGAATCAAATAGACACAATAAAAACTGATAAAGGGGATGTCACCACCAATCCCACAGAAATACAAACTACCATCAGAGAATACTATAAACACCTCTATGCAAATAAACTAGAAAATCTAGAAAAAATGGATAAATTCCTGGACACATACAACCTCCCAAGACTAAACCAGGAAGAAGTTGAATCTCTGAATACACCAATAACCGGTTCTGAAATTGAGGCAATAATTAATAGCCTACCAACGAAAAAAAGTCCAGGACCAGACGGATTCACAGCCGAATTCTGTCAGAGGTACAAAGAGGAGCTGGTGCCATTCCTTCTGAAACTATTTCAATCAATAGAAAAAGAGGGAATCCTCTCTAACTCATTTTATGAGGCTAGCCCGGTAGAGACACAACAAAAAAAGAGAATTTTAGGCCAATATCCCTGATAAACATCGATGTGATAATCCTCAGTAAAATGCTGGCAAACAGAATCCAGCAGCACATCAAAAAGCTTATCCACCATGATCAAGTCAGCTTCATCCCTGGGATGCAAGGCTGGTTCAACATATGCAAATCAATAAACATAATCCATCACATAAACAGAACCAATGACAAAAACCACATGATTATCTCAATAGATGCAGAAAAGGCCTTTGACAAAATTCAACAGCCTTTCATGCTAAAATCTCTCAATAAACTAGGTATTAATGGAACATATCTCAAAAAAATAAGAGCTACTTATGACAAACCCACAGCCAATATCATACTCGATGGCAAAAACTGGAAGCATTCCCTTTGAAAACTGGCACAAGACAAGGATGCCCTCTCTCACCACTCCTATTCAACATAGTGTTGGAAGTTCTGGTCAGGGCAATCAGGCAAGAAAAAGAAATAAAGGGTGTTCAATTAGGAAAAGAGGAAGTCAAATTGTCTCTGTTTGCAGATGACATAATTGTATATTTAGAAAACCCCATCGTCTCAGCCCCAAATCTCCTTAAGGTGATAAGCAACTTTAGCAAAGTCTCAGGATACAAAATCAATGTGCAAAAATCACAAGCATTCCTATACACCAATAATAGACAAACAGAGATCCAAATCATGAGTGAACTCCCATTCACAATTACTACAAAGAGAATAAAATACCTAGGAATTCAACTTACAAGGGATGTGAAGGATCTCTTCAAGGAGAACTACAAACCACTGCTCAATGAAATAAAAGAGAACACAAGCAAATGGAAAAACATTTTCCATGCTCATGGATAGGAAGAATCAATATTGTGAAAATGCCCACACTGCCCAAAGTAATTTATAGATTCAATGCTATCCCCATCAAGCTACCACTGACTTTCTTCACAGAATTGGAAAAAACTACTTTAAAGTTCATATGGGACCAAAAAAGAGCCTGCATAGCCAAGACAATCCTAAGCAAAAAGAACAAAGCTGGAGGCATCACACCACTTGACTTCAAACTATACTACAAGGCTACAGTAACCAAAACAACATGGTACTGATACCAAAACAGATATATAGACCAATGGAACAGAAAAGAGGCCTTAGAAATAACACCACACATCTGCAACCATCTGATCTTTGACAAACCTGACAAAACCAAACAATGGGGAAAGGATTCCCTATTTAATAAATGGTGCTGGGATAACCCACTAGCCATATGTAGAAAGCTGAAACTGGATCCCTTCCTTATACCTTATACAAAAATTAACTCAAGATGGATTAAAGACTTAAATGTAAGACCTAACAGCATAAAAACCCTAGAATAAAACCTAGGCAGTACCATTCAGGACATAGGCATGGGCAAAGACTTCATGACTAAAACACCAAAAGCAATGGCAACAAAAGCCAAAATAGACATACAGGATCTAATTAAACTAAAGAGCTTCTGCACAGCAAAATAAACTATCATCAGGGTGAACAGGCAACCTACAGAATGGGAGAGAACCTTTGCAATCTACCCATCTGACAAAGGGCTGATATACAGAATGTACAAAGAACTTAAACAAATTTACAAGAAAAAAACAATCCCATCAAAAAGTGGGCAAAGGATATGAACAGACACTTCTCAAAAGAAGACATTTATGCAGCCAACAAACATATGAAAAAATGCTCATCATCACTGGTCATCAGAGAAATGCAAATCAAAACCACAATGAGATACCATATCACGCCAGTTAGAATGGCCATCATTAAAAAGTCAGGAATCAACAGATGCTGGAGAGGATGTAGAGAAATAGGAATGCTTTTACACTGTTGGTGGGAGTATAAATTAGTTCAACCACTGTGGAGGACAGTGTGGTGATTCCCTAAGGATCTAGAGCTAGAAATATCATTTGACCCAGCTATCCCATTACTGGGTATATACCCAAAGGGTTATAAATCATGCTACTATAAAGACACATGCACACGTATGTTTATTGCGGCACTATTCACAATAGCCAAGACTTGGAACCAACCCAAATGCCCATCAATGATAGACTGGATTAAGAAAATGCACATATACACCATGGAATACTATGCAGCCATAAAAAAGGATGAGTTCCTGTCCTTCAAAGGGACATCGATGAAGCTGGAAACCATCATTCTAAGGAAACTATCACAAGGACAGAAAACCAAACACTGCATGTTCTCACTCATAAGTGGGAGTTGAACAATGAGACACATGGACACAGGGCGAGGAGCATCACACACTGGGGCCTTTTGGGGGGTGGGGGGCTAGGGGAGGGATAGGATTAGGAGAAATACCTAATGTAAATGATGAGTTGATGGGTGCAGCAAACCAACGTGGCACATATATACCTGTGTAACAAACCTGCACATTGTGCACATGTACTCTAGAACTTAAAGTATAATAAAAAAAAGAAAAAAAAAGAGAGATACTAATAGCCAGTATTTATTAAACTAAGGTCTTATCATCTGCTAGGCACTGAGCTGAGTTGCTTATTTATTCTCACTCTCTTGGTCCTCTCAACAACCTCATGAGGAATTACTCATTTTATGATAAAAGTGAGGCAACAGCAAGGTTAAGTAACTTGCACAGGATTATACAGCTTTGGCTGCAGAATGGTGATTTGAACCCATATGCTTCACCACTACATGACCCTTTCTTGTACAACACACAGCCTGCCTGTTGGCATTCTTGAAGGAAGATGACAGGACCCGGATAGGAAAGCTGCTGGGTGGCTGAGAGTAGCCACAAGTTTATCTAGAAATGTAATTGCCTAAGAAAAGGCTGGGGACAGAACTGGCCTCATTTAGGAACTGTGAAGTTTTGAGTGACATGGGCCACCCAGGGATTTGGAGGAGACTAGACATAAAAGAAACCCTGCAGGGCATATAGTCCCATGGCTTCATTTTTAAAAATTAATCATGTTTGCGATAAATTCATAATATTTTTTTGAGACAGGGTCTGGCTCTGTTGCCCAGACTGGAGTGCAATGGCACAATCTCGGCTCACTGCAGCCTTTGCCTCCTTGGCTCAAGCCATCCTTACACCTCAGCCTCCTGAATAGCCGGGACTACAGGCACATGCCATCATACCTGGCTAATTTTTGTATTTTTTGTAGAGACAGGTTTTTGCCATGTTGTCCAGGCTAGGTTTTTGCCATGTTGTCCAGGCTGGCCTTGAATTCCAAACTCAAGCAATCCACCCGGCTCAGCCTCCCAAAGTGCTGGGATTACAGGCATGAGCCACCATGCCCAGCTGTAGATTTTTATTGAAGTATAAAATACATACAGAAAATCTGCTGAAAGTACTATGTGTATGTCTCATTGATTTTTAAAAGTGAATATATCCACGTAACCAGTATCCAGATCAGGAAACAGAACATTAGCAGCTTCAGTGGTTTTCCTCATGCCACCCACTCCATTCTAGTCACTACACCTTCCAAGGCTAATCAATATCCTGACTTCTAACATTATAGAGTAGTTTTGCCTGTTTGTGAACTTTACTTGAATACAATTATACAGTATGTGCTCTTTTGTGTCTGATTTCCTTCGCTCAACATTATATTGTAAGATCCATTCCTGTTGCTGCTTGTAGTTGCAAATTGTTCACTCTCATTGCTGTGGTTATCACAATCAATTCAACTGTTAACAGGCAGCTGAATGGTGCTGCTGTGAACTTTCTAGAGCCTATCTCTGTGTGTACACATGTACTCATTTTTGTTGGGTATAACCTATAATTGAAATTGTTGATCATAAGGTATGTATGATGGTTGGCTTTAGTAGGTACTGCCTTGGCTTCATTTTATAGATGATGGGAAAAATAAATGCAGAAAGGGAAGAGATTTACCCAAGATCACCTGGCTGCTAAGCTAAGATTGGAACCTGAGTTTATTCTCTTCCAGTGCATTTGTCTAGGCCCCAATTTCAAGAAGAGGCAGCCTAGAGATTCAGCAGAGTCTTACGTATCACACATTTAATTGATGATCTGTCCTTAGAATCAAATCCCTTGGGTAAGATGAAAACAATGACCGAGCATGAGAGGAGGTGCTGTTCAGTGGGGACATAATTGTAAATACCAATTTAGAGTGGAGGGAGCTGGTACAAGGTCTTCCCATCCTATCAAAGAATAGCATGCAGCATGTCTCTAAGTAAGATTTAGATTCAGCCTACTTCAGTGCCAGGCCCTGTAGATGGTGCTTTCCCACAGATTATCTCATTTACTCTTCTAAACAAAAACCAGATCAATTCACATTCTTAAGGATTCTAAAAGCATTATATCAAATGAGAGTAGATGAACTCTCTAAGTAAACACGAGCAATGTAGAACAGTGCTTCTTAATCTGCTAAAGGACCAATTCATCATAGAGCAATATTTTTGTAAATAAAAATAAAAAATTACTAGAAAAATAGAATGAAAAGATATTCAAAATATAAGCTTCTGATTATTGTTAGATTAAACAGACATAAAGTGTTGTTAAATTGCTATAAAAGTTTCTAAAAACTCTCAATTTCTACATTTATGTCATTGGCTAATTGTTGGGAACAGGCCCCCCAAAATCTGGCCATAAACTGGCCCCAGAACTGGCCATAAACAAAATCTCTGCAGCACTGTGACATGTTCATGATGGCCATAACGCCCACGCTGGAAGGTTGTGGGTTTACCGGAATGAGGGCAAGGAACACTTGGCCCGCCCAGGGTGGAAAACCACTTAAAGGCGTTCTTAAACCACAAACAATAGCATGAGCGATCTGTGCCTTAAGGACATGCTTCTGCTGCAGATAACTAGCCCAACCCATCCCTTTATTTCGGCCTATCCCTTTGTTTCCCATAAGGGATACTTTTAGTTAATCTAATATCTATAGAAACAATGCTAATGACTGGCTGGCTTGCTGTTAATAAATACGTAGGTAAATCTCTTTTCGAGGCTTTCAGCTCTGAAGACTGTGAGACCCCTGATTTCCCACTTCACACCTCTATATTTCTGTGTGTGTGTCTTTAATTCCTCTAGCGCCGCTGGGTTAGGGTCTCCCCGACCAAGCTGGTCTTGGCAGCTAATAATGGTATCCAGATCAATACTGGTTTGCAGACTACACTGTGAGTAGCACTGATTTATAATTCACCACCCATTCCCACTGGCCTTTCCAGAAAGATTGATAATGATCTTACCAGTAGAAATGCTTGAATAACAAGGTATCAGCATAATATTGAGACCCTGGCAACCATTCCCACCAATGCAGGTTACTGCATACATTAACAGGACTTTATCGTTCCCCTGTCTTCCAAAAATTTCTTGCCCAGGAAGATAAAAAGCTATGAATAACTTTCTTGTTCTTTTCAAGAACTCCCCACCAAATCTCATTGAAATGAACATAAACCCATTAGACTTTTCAATAGATAGCATTAAAAAGACTATTTACTCTCCAAGACTCTTGGAAAGCTTTGCCTAGGGTCTACCAGTCCTTATCTATTATATCATGATCCTTAGTCAAACTTAATCAAGCACCATCCCACTGGAAGGCCTGTCTTCATCAAGATTCCAAAACCTTATAAATATCCCTTCCCCTACTCCAAGATGCTACTGAGACTCTGCCAAGGCAGGGCTCTCCTTATCATGGTGTACAAAAAATTCAGCTTTGCCTTCTTCCACAGCTTATTTTGCTGATATTTTCTGGGAGCTAGCATTCAACAATCAAGACTTTACTCCTCCTTTTAGCCTTGCTCAGTGGTTTTCCAAGTTTAACGAACATAACAATTACTGAGGAGTATTATATATGCAAAAGCATGCATGGGCAACTGAAGGAATCTCCATGGGTAATTTTGATTATGGCACATTTAGGACTAAGCCTTGCATACAGATATTAGCAATTTTTGAAAGAATAAAGAACCACAGACTGTTAAGAGCTGAAAGTAGCCCTAAATGGCAAGACATCAGGGTGTGAATCAGCTATTAATACATCGAAATCACCTGATGTAGTCTGTTTAAAAAACACCTATCCCTTGGTTTCACCTGAGATCGACTGAATCAGAATTTCTGGAGATGGGGCCTGTGAATGCAACAAACTTCTAAGCGACTGTGATGCACGATCGAGTTTGAAAACCACTGTTCTGTGCCAACCATTTCATTTTGTAGATGAGGAAATGGAGACTCAGAAAAGGGAGTAAACCTTTCCAAGATCACACCGCTATTGAGCTACGTGTCTCTTAATTCCCTGACAAGAGCTCTCGGGGCTGGAGATACGCTTTTGGAGATGTCCTATATCTGATATCCTGAACAAAAATGATTAATGATGTAATCAAAACACACTTATATTTTGGCTTCTCACCATCCCTTTAAGATTTATTGTCTAGGAGGAGTTGTAGTAATCTTCCCAGGCTAGCAGACATCATGACTTTTCTGCTGTTAAGTAAGAGGCACCAACTAAAGCAGATTTTTTTTTTTTTTAAAAAAGGTAAAATTAAGACTCTTAAGATAAAATGAACCTATACGGTGTTGAGAATCTGTTGACTATCTTTTTGTTAAATTTTAGTTCTACTCAGAAACTGTTGCTTGTCACTTTATTTAGTTTAAGGAACTGTGGATGGGTTAATAAAAGGCTGAGTAACATCTCCTGGGAAGAAGCACAGCTGGCCCTGGCAGGAAGTGCAAGTGGGGTCTGGGAAAAGATTCAAGGTCCAAGCAGCTACTCCCCACGGTTTCCATTACTCAGACCACGTGGCTTCTTGAGCACACTTCTTTGCTCCATTCTTTGGTTTCCCTACTCCTCAGCATGCACGTGGCTAGAAACAGCCACCCTAGTTTTGATTGCGAATGATCATCAGTCACGAGCACAACTTCTGACAACAGTCTCTCCAGCTTAGTGCAGTCTTAACTGGGGCCAGCTGATCGTCTGCTCTTCAGTAAAGCAGTAGCGCCCTTTGGATTAGGTGTTCACCCAGGTTCAATCAGCTGTGGCCTAGAAGGGGCCACAAGGAGGAAACACAGTTGCCAAGGTGCTGTGAGTCTGTGTGTGAGAGACAGACAGAAGGACAAAGAGCCAGAGTGAGAACTTGAGATGGGTAAGCTCAATAACACGTGCCTTTTAATCATTTCCAGTATGAGTCCTTCAAACACTGTGCTTTGTATGACTCCCCTGTTATCTCAAATGAGTCTGGTTGTCACTCTCTTGCTTTTATTTAGGCAGGATAAATTTTGCGGGAAGTCCTGTAGGAGCTCATGGTTGTGCTTTTCCCATTCATGTTTCCACCACCACGTGGGATCTTCCTTTGTATAAGCTGCTGGAAACACGGATGTCTTACAAGAATAAGAAGCCTCGGCTTTACCCTTGTGCACTCCAAGCTTCTCAGTCTTGGATGGGAGTAGAGACGAGGAGGTTGACGGTCATGGATAGGTTCAGGAGTGATTGGTTCTGCCCACTTTGGTGGGGCCTGGACACATTTTGGTTCACTGCAATAATTTCTTCCAGGAGCTGCAGTCTTGTGGGCGCAAGACGTGGGCCTGATAACCCCACAGGCAGTAGTGCTGGGGCAGAGCGAGCTCACCAGCCGCCGGCTGGAAGACCCCGGGAGAGTAGCAGGGTTGGGTTGGTTCTCAGATGTGTTTTGCGCCAGGCTGTGTGGTGGGGACAGAGCCTGGGTAAATGAAGCTTTCCGGCTCGACCGCTCCCAACCTGGGCACACACGTCCTCCTGTCCTGCAAGGGGCAGTTTTGGGGCATCCTCCCTGCTTGGGGCAACCCAGGGGCGCAAGGCGCGGCCCCGGGAGCGCAGCTCCTTCCAGGGCAGAGGGCGGCGCGAGGGAGGGAGCGAGGGAGGGAGCGAGGGAAGGGAAAGGCGAGCGTGAGCTGCCTCAAATGCTTGGAATAATTCCGCTTCCGTTTGGAAAGCCGCAGCCTCAGTCCCGCCGCCGCCCGCTGCGTCCGCCCAGCGCCAGCTCCGCGTCCCGACCGGCCCGCGGCAGCCTGCGCCGCGCCATGGCCACCTCCCCGCAGAAGTCGCCTTCTGTCCCCAAGTCTCCCACTCCCAAGTCGCCCCCGTCCCGCAAGAAAGATGATTCCTTCTTGGGGAAACTCGGAGGGACCCTGGCCCGGAGGAAGAAAGCCAAGGAGGGTGAGTGCGGCCAGGCCGGCCGGGCGGGCGGTAGGAGCCGGGGGTGCCGTAGGGGCCGAGGGGCCGGGGCACTGGGACCGGGCGGGAGCGCGCCGCGGGTGCCCGGCGCGGTGGGGCGCGCGGCGATGCGTGCGCGCGCTTCCCGGGTACGTCGGGCAGGAGCGACGCGCACCCCACACTGAGCCCGGGGCTCGCGGGCCATCGAGGCCACCCCGCCCGCTCGCGGTCGCCCGGGCGCTGCCCTCCTGGGCCGGGGACCAGGCCAACGCCCCCGCCGGGCCGTGGGCGGGCGCCGCTTGGCGGCCGGAGGCGGCGGGACCGGAGCCCAGGCGGGGCCCCAGCCCGCAGACAGTGCGATCCAGTAGGCCCTGCCCCGCCCTCTGCGCCCGAAGGCTGGCATTTCCCAAGTTTCCGCTGCAGCTTTCCTGGGCGCCGTCGCTCTTACTCGTTGCCTTCATTGGTCCTTAAAATCAGGTCGTTTCCTGGACCTGCTGACGTCCTCTGGCAGCGGCGTCGTGGCTTTGGCCTCTTCGGGATCTTTTGTCCATCCCGAGGGCTGAGAAGGGCTCTGTTAATGGAGTAGGTGGACATCGAGTGTTTGTTGAATGAATGAGCGAAAAACTGGCAAACCTAGCGTGCCCTCGGTGTAATACACAATAAACTCCCACCAAAGGAGAAAACCTGCGTGAGACACAAACTTCGTCATGGGCCTGCTGTGAACTCAGGCATTCAGGGCTTTCGTAAAAACCTTTGTTTTTTCCCCACCAGAGTGAATTGAGGCGACCTTATTCTTTTTTTTTTTTTTTTTTTTCAGGGTAGTTTGCATGTAAAATATTTTTTTTTCCCATGCACAGATTTTGCGTCCTGGTTTTTGGTTTGAAAACGAGGTGGCAGTTCTCAAGAAGCACTGTGGTGACTGGTGTGTAGATAGAAGTTGCTGAGTTAAACATTTTTGTTTTAAACATTTTTTAGTTGATGCATGATGTACATAGTTCTGGGGCACATGTGATAATGTAATACATTCATATAATTTGTAAAGATCAAATTGCACAGGAAAGGGGTCCCAGTCCAGACCCCAAGAGAGGGTTCTTGGATCTCACGCAAGAAAGAATTCAGGGTGAGTCCACACAGTAAAGTGAAAGCAAGTTTATTAAGAAAGTAGAGGAATAAAAGAATGGCCACTCCATAGACAGAGCAGCCTGGGGCTGCTGGTTGCCCATTTTTATGGTTATTTCTTGATGGTATGCTAAACAAGGGGTGGATTATTCATGTCTCCTCTTTTTAGACCATATAGGGTAACTTCCGGACGTTGCCGTGGCATGTGTAAACTGTCCTGGCGCTGCTGGGAGTGTATCAGTGAGGACGACCAGAGGTCACTCTTGTCGCCATTTTGGTTTTGGTGGGTTTTAGCCGACTTCTTTACTGCGACCTGTTTTATCAGCAAGGTCTTTATGACCTGTATCTTGTGCCCACATCCTATCTCATCCTGTAAGTTAGAATGCCTTAACCTTCTGGGAATGCAGCCCAGTAGGTCTCACTCAGCCTTGTTTTACCTGGCCCCATTCAAGATGGAGTTGCTCTGGTTCACATGCCTCGGACAAAATCACTGTACTTGGGATATCCATCACGTTAAAGATTTGTCTTTTCTCTATGCTAGACCACTGGAATTCTAGATATTTTGAAATATACAAGAGGTTATTGTAAAATATAGTTAGTTTACCAATCTAACACTAGGTCTTCTTATATCAAATGGTATATTTGTAACCATTAATCAACTTCTCTTCCCCCCTAAAAAATGTTTTTAATAGATTGCTCCATGAATTAGAAATAACCTTTTGAAAGCTGTGATGCTGTGTGAAATTTTCATGTTTGTAAGTCATCTTAAAGTATAAAAACATCTTCAGCGCTGAGGATTATCAGACTTGATGAAGAACTAGACTTCTATTCCCTAGATTGAAACGAGAAGCAGCAAAAACATACAAAAGTTTCCCCACATTGGTTATTTTGGTAACCCATCGAGTAGTGTACAGTTGGTGGCAAATCATGAAACCCTGGCTTGGGAAGCTCTTTTCTAGACCATGTTTCTAACTTCTTCCTTGCAGCATTCCTGACATAGTCTCATCCAGTTTAAGATGGGGCAACTGAGAAATATTGAAGCTCATGACCTACCAGGATAACCATCTTTACCTACTCTGTAGAAATTTATCTCTCTGTACCTATCACTGTTGGTAGAGCCAGAGAATGAGTCTGGGGTGGCCTTTTATTACTACCTTGCTGAAGTAGGCTATCCTGCTTTCTAGAGTCTTCTCTCCACCAGGCCCAACATCCTCTATTCCTCACAGACATAATTTTAAGGACTTTTGCATCCTGTCTCTTTAGTTTCAGACAGGGTCCCTGCAGGAAAAAGAAGGCCAATTTAGTTGAGATTTTGAAAATAATTTAGTGAAAGGGCTATTGACAGAGCTGTGGGCAGGGTTAAGGGAACTAAGAAGGGATGCTGAGGTCCCTAGGGGCTAGCAACAGGAGGAAGCTCTTAATCACTCCGAGGCCTGAGGGACAAGGGAAGCAAATTGGAACCTATTACAAGCTGGGGTTATGGACGAGGGGCTGCTGGACTGGAACTATAGTCATAGAGGGATGCAGCTACTGTCCGAAATATGCAGACAGAGCAAGGAGAGAGTGGCACAATAAATGCACATTCTGCATGTTCTCTGTCTTCTTGCCCGTGCATCACCTACTGGTGCTGAACCCAGTGGGAAGCCATCAGAGCAAGGGATCTGCAATAGATAGGGGCAGCGTCCATAGGGCACAGAGCAGTGCAGAGAATAGATCACAGTGGGGACGGTGGAAATGGAGAATACCTAGCAGATCAACCTGTTACCAGACCCGCTCGAAGTGAGCTCTCCAGAAGTCACCATAGTACAGTTGTAGTGCAAGCCAGCCACCCCAGATTAGGACTGTCATCTCCCTTATTCTAGCACAGACACAATGTTCTTTTAATGCAGCTAAGGTTGCCTCTAACTATTCTGCCAGCCACGTCGCACTGTGATCTCTCATTGAGCTTGCTATCAGCTTACTCAAAGACATTTTTATATTTGTTGCTCCTAAATCACAGCCTTCCCTATCTTGGATTTACTCAGTTGGGTTTTTGAAACCAAGTGTAAGATCTTATTTTCATCCCTGTTATATTTCACTGTAAAGTCCTGATTCCTTCATTCAGTCTGTCAACTAATCCAGGGGCTGTAAATGGATGAATGGAAGAACACAGAACGTCTTCTGAAGGGCCAGCCACCACCCAGCTCCAGCTGCTTGCTGCGGCATATGGTATTTCTGCAAGCCCAGGCAAAGAAGGCAGTGGGTTGGTTTGAAATGACTGTCCTTAGTGAGTATGTGCTGGATCTCAATGATCAGTGCTGAAGTGATGGTTAGTAGGTGTGGGGCCCCATTAACCATCACTTCAGTAATAATAAGGCCGGATCTTGCTCTGCATCCTGGATAAGCTCACAGCTTTGTGCTCTGTAGAATCTGCCTTCTTCAACTTTCTCTTTGGTGTTCTTGAACCTCTCATTCTTCATTCCTCAAGATCACTGCCATCAGTCTGTCCACAGATTATCTCAGTGCTTTGGTGTAGCATTCTCCGAGGCCCAAGGACTCCCATTCATTCATTTGGTACCTGCTATGTCCCACTGTAGGACACAACAAATGGAAAGATATAATACTTGTTAGAATATAGTTGACCCTTGAACTATGTGGGGGTTATGGACATTGACCCCCTGTACAGTCAAAAATCTGTGTATAGTTTTTAACTCCCCACAAACTTAACTGCTAATAGCCTACCGTTGACCAGAAGCCTTACTGATAATGGTCAATCAACACATATTTTGTATTGTATACTGTATACTTAACAATAAACAAACTGGAGAAAAGAAAATGTTATAAAGAAAATCATAAGGAAGAGAAAATACGTTTGCAAAACTGTGCTGCATTACTGATACTGTAAGTTTACATTGTCTGACTGAAATGGTAGGTAACCACAGCTGCACACCTCAACCTATGGTACACATCAAGCAATTCAACTTTTCTTATAATGTCATGACTTTTCTCTGATACTTGGGAGTACTTCCAGCATCTCTAGTGGCACTTTGTTAGAGTCCCATGGTGTTAGTCAAGGTTTATGGTATTTCACTAAGCATGAAAAATATGCGAGAACCTCAAGAGATCACTTTTAACTGCGGTACACAATTTACTGGAGAGATGAACTGTTCACGTGGAGATGATTAGCGTCACAAGGTGTTTTAAGCAGATACTTGCAGCGCTTGAGCTCACCACAATAGCAACAGGAGGTAGCTGTGAAATTATTACAGTGGTACAGTATGTACTACAGTTCATTTCGTGCAGTGAGGATTTAATCTTTACGTTTACATTTCTCTCATCTGCAGATGGCATCACGCACAGTTCTTGTGTGTATGTGTACATTTTGACATTTCGATAAGTTCTAACTGTTTGTAATAGATTTGTTTATATTTTATGGTAGTAAATGAGAAGGCAGACAAGTATTGATGTATATTTTATGCATTTGTGACATGAGTAACTTTTTCTTTTTTTTTTTTTTTAATATTTCTAGGCTACATGGTTCATCTCAAGGTTTTTCTAATTGTCACAGATCTCCAAAAATATTTTCCCATATAGTTATTGAAAAAATTTGCATATAAGTGGACCCTCGCAGTTCAAACCTGTGTTGTTCAAGGATCAACTCTATTTAGGTTAATAATTTCATGTAAAAAATGTCCTCCTAAGGAAAACTACATCATAGAATGACTATGAGTCTCATAAGAATGCACTCAACTAGTCATCACTCCTGTGTTTTCATAAGAAAAAACAGTGTTAGAGTCCAAGAGAGAACAAGGGTTAAAAGCATGGTCTTTAGGATTAGACACATTTCAATTGGATTTCTGGTTCAACCCCTTATTCATTCTATGACTTAAGACAAGTTACTTAACCCCTGTAAGCCTCTGTGTCTTCATCTATAAAATGAGAATAAGAATTCCTTCTTTACATGGAAGTTGTGAGGTTTAAATGAGATCGAGAATGTAAAATGCATTGCATGGCACAAGTAATGGTAGCTATTAAAATTGACAACTCAATTTTCATTGGTCTTTGAAATTTGAAATAGTCTTTTTATTATGGACTGCACTGGCTTTTTCAGGTTCTGTAAATAGCCTAGTAGCCCATGACTATATGCCTGTGGGACACTATTTTGTCCCTTTAGGAGTTAAGGGATCTTTCTTTGCAAGTGAGATCCTCCCTTTTCCCAAGATGACACATTTCAGCACTTTATCTGGGCCCCTTCTTATGAGTTGTAGCTTAAGTGGCTTTTGTTTTTCTCTGTTGATCTTTTTCTTCTTCTTTTGGGTTTTCAATTCCATTTCTGTTGGACATGGCCCTCCTGTGTGGATTCTTTCACTGCCCTTTCAGAGTCTACTTGCCAGAGGGCCACTTTTCAACTTTCTTTCTCTGAAACTGTCCTCAAGACGTGCTCTTTCAAGCAACACTAACTTGAATTGTACCTCTCTGCTGAAGGCACCCGAATTAGGCCAGCAGCACTGGTCATTCCTGTCGTTTACCCATTCATTTAAGTTTTTATCCCCCAGAGTTTTACATTTTGATCAGGACCTGAGGTATCCAATGAAGGCTTTAATTTCATAATTCTTCTAATAATACTAGTTCTTACCACTTGATTCTCATTGGCTGCCCAGTGTTGCTGGAGAAAAATCCACAAACCTTGCAACAAATTTATGGTTTCTAGAGTGAGTAGAACCCTTAGCACTGCAGAGCTACCCTTTTCTTCTAATCAGCCGGTGCATTCTCATTTTTCCAAAGTACATCTTTTTCTGTAGAGACACAGTCTTGCTATGTTGCCCTGGTCGGTCTCAAACTCCTGGGCATATCTAACTTTTTCTTAATTTTTTTTGATATTTCTAGATCACAAAATTCATCTGCAATTTTTTCAAATTGTTGCAATTCTCAAAAAAGTTTCTAATACATTTATTTTAAAAATTTGCATATAAGTGGACTCTTGAAATTCAAACCTGCATTGTTCAAGGGGCACGCCTTGAACAATGGCACCCATGTTGTTGTCCATAGCCCCTAAAACCCTTCCCTGGATTTTCAGATAGAAAATTGAGACCAGCTATGAGCTCCTTCAAGTTCCCTTTCTACCATATCTGGCCAGTCCCACCCATATGTGCAACTGTCTTTGTGCTCCCCACCTGCCCTAGTCCCTTCCAAGGAGGTCCCTTCTCTCCTTGCTCATAAGGCCATTTCTTTCAGCTTCCTCCCAGACTTGGCATAGCCAGATATGCTATTTCTCATATCCCATCTTTTTTTGCCACTCTGTCGCCCTGACGTTCTGTAAATATGCTTGAGTCTTTCCTATTTGGAGAAAGTCTCCTGATACTGGTTTCCTCTTTAGCTACTCACCAGATGCCTTGAAAGAGTTATCTCTACCTGCTTGTCTTTTCTTATCTCCCAGTCACTTTCTGATCCATTATTTCCATTCTTTCAGCAACTATTTATTGAGTGCCTAACACGTACCATGCACTGTACTAGGTTCTAGAAAGGAAAACAAAACAAAAACTCTTGCCTTCCTGGAGCTTACATTCTAACAGGGGAGACAGGTAATAAACAAGATAAATTGGTAATGTTTGTATTTTGTTTGAGTGGTAGTAAGTGCTAGAGAGCAGAATAAAGCAAGAAAAAGAGAAATAGAGGGTTGTGGTCTGAGGATGGTTGTCAGTATTAAGTAGGATGGCTAGAGAAGGCCTCACTAAGAAGGGTAGATTTGAGTCCCAATCTGAAGGAAGTGAGGAAGAGAACCATATGTATATCTTGGAAAATAACATTACAGGTGGAAGGAATGACAGATGCAAAGACCTTGGGGCAGGTGTGGACCTGGTACATTATTGAGGACCAAGAAGGAGGTTGATGTGACTGGAGAAGAGAGTGAGCATGATTGTGGAACGGGGGTTGGTCCCGGGTGTAACAAGAGGAAGGGCAGAGGCAGGTTTTGTAGGGCCCTGGAAGCCATTGTAAAACTTGGGCCTTTACTCAGAGTTAGATGGGAAGGCTCGGGAAGACTTTGTGCAGAGGAATGGCGTGATCTCACTTCTGTTTTAACTGATGGTGCTAAAACACCATCACTCAGATGGTGTTAAGTGACTGAAGCAGGCAGAGATGAAGCAGGGAGATGAGGCAAAAGGTTTCTAGAATGAGGCTGGGCATGGTGGCTCACGCCTGTAATCCCAGCACTTTGGGAGGCGAAGTGGGTGGTTTGCTTGAGCTCAGGAGTTCAAGACCAGCCTGGGCAACATGGCGAAACCCCATCTCTACAAAAAAATTAGCCATGGGTGGTGGTGCACACCTGTAGCCCCAGCTACTCAGGAGGCTGACATGGAAGGAACGCTTTAGCCCAGGAGTTTGGGACTGCAGTGAGCCATGATCACACCACTGCACTCCAGTCTGTGTGACAGAGCAAGACCCTGTCTCAATAAATAATAAATAAATAAAGGCTACCAGAATGACCCAGCTGAGAGATGGTAGTGCTGAGGAACAGAGTGGTAGCAAGGGAAGGAGTGAGGGTCAAATTCTGGATATATTTTTAAAATACAGCAGATCTTGATGAAAGATCGGTTGGCAGCTAAGAGTAGAATTAAGATGACCCCAAAGGTTTTGGTCTGGGCAACTAAAAAGATGAACTGATTTTAACTGAGTTGGAGAATCCTGGAGGAGGTCAGCAACTTTTTCTGAAAGGGCCAAATAGTAACTATCTAAGGCTTTATGAGACCTATGACCTGGTTTGCACTATTCAGCTCTGCCTTTGCTGCCAGAGACAATAGGTCAATTAACAAGTGTGGCTATGTTCCCATATAATTTTAGTTATGGTCACTGAAATTTGAATTTCCCATTATTTTCATGTGTTACAAAAGATGCTTCTTTTGTTTCTTCTCAGCTATTGAAGGAAGCATGTACGTGTACATGAGAATGTAAAAACCATTCTTAGCACTTGGGCTGTACAAAATAGATGGCAGCCTGCACATGACCCAAGGGCAGTAGTTTGCTGCCCCATCCTCCATTTTATTCCCCATGTCTAATCATCTTTTATGAAATCCTGCTGAGTCTACCATCACTAAATATCTAAATATCACTGCTTTAATTCAGCCTTCACAAGTGCTCTGGATTGTTCGTTCATTTTCAAAATTTTTACTCTTATTTTCCACCTGAAATACTGTGTTATCCACCCAGCTAGGCTTCCTATCATGGGTCCATTTTTGTTCAGCCCATTCTTCATCCTTTTGCCACTACATTGTTTTTTAAAGCACAAAGATAACTTCTCTCCAGGACAAACTTCTTAACATGCCATCCAAGGCCTTCACAGCTACTCCTTCCCTTACCTTTTTGCTGTCTCCTCTATTTCCCTTCCAATAAATCTCCATTTTTACCATAGGAAACCACTCTTAATCCCCCAAACATGTCATTTTCTTTCACATGTTTATGCCTTTACATGCTGTTCCATATTCTGGAAATACCTTTTCCGTTTCCTATACAACCAACTTCTGTTCATTCATAAAGACCCAACTCAGAAGTCCTCTTCTGCATGAAGCCTTCCACAGTGCCCACAGGAAGAGTGAGATGCTTCCTCCTCTGTGATCCCACAGTGCCTTGTCTATACTCTGTGCTAGCACTGGTCATGTTGCATTGCAGCTGCTTGTCACACACTATGGTGACAGCCCTCTTGCCTACCATAATATCATCAAACACACAGTTATTAGAATTTCTGTGGAATGAATTTCCCCATATTTACCTTGATGAAAATAGCCCACCATTAACTGGCCATGTAATCTTAGACAGATCTCTTCCCCTTTTGGTGTTATTTGCCCATTTCTAACATTAAAAGATTAGACTAAATAACCTCTTAGGTCCCTGCTGCACTGGTATTCTATGATTTCTGAGCTCTTATTTCACCCAGCTTCTCTCAAATTCAGTTTTATTGTCTGTGTAGGGTGGTCTGGGAATTACATCATCACAAAGACCTCTTTCTTTCCTCTACTAATGAAGGCACCTCTGTGTCGGGAGGAGGAGATGGATACCAGGATAAGTGGGCCCCGGCCCAAGGACACCTCCATATTAGGAATCAGCCTTCTTGTCTCATGGAATATCTCTATTTGGTTAACAAGCACAGTTCATAATTATGTTCCAGCCATGAGTCCAGGAGAAGAGATGAAATCCTCATGTAAACATTTGTAAGCATCTAAAATCTCCACTCACTGTCATGGAACAAAGAACAACATTTGAGGAAAGCCCTACAATCATTTCAAAAATAAAATACTTTTAAAAAGTATGTGTAAACACATTCTGTTAGGTTTTCAATAGGTTGTGCAGCCTGAAATCAGTAGGAAATCCAATGAGGGCTTTGCCTGAGGACCAGAGCACCAGCACAAGGAGACCTCCTCCTGCACAGGCCCTAGGCAGCATCCTTTCTTTTCTGTTTTTTCTGCAGATGCCATGAGGGTAGCCGTTGTGTGGTATCTTTGGTGCCTAGCATACTACCTAGTACTTAACCAGTGCTCCCTAAAATGCTTCTTAACTAACTGTCTGAATCATCACTGGGCATCTTATTCCCATAGAGGGAGTCCCCAGGTTACCCCAAACTCTGCTTTAACCTTGGATGACTCTTCCAGTCCCCAGATTCTATCCAGGTCTCTATTTTTGAGCGTGTGTGTGTGTGTGTGTGTATGTAGCTTATGAAAATGCCTCATCCCTACCCCTAGGAATCTCTTTTCCTTTTGCGGGAAGACATTGTCAGTTAATCCTGTTATTTGACAAAGGCCTGTGAGACCAGAGGGTCCTAGAGTCCATGGGCACTGATTTCCCAGTGGCAGCAGTGAGCCCGGAGGAGGCCCATCGGTTGGGGGGTTTGGGGTGGGGGTGGGGGTGCAGGGGGTGACCAGATGGAATGTGAAGGCCGGTTGACTTCTTTGTTTTCATCCAGAAAAGCTTGCTTTTCTGAAATGGCATGGTACGTATTTATATGAAGGAGGACTAAGGTAAAAGAGCCCAATAGCAAGATTTAGGAGAGATAAGAGACTTACAGACCAAAACTCTATAGGAGAGATTCAGAGTTCCCTTAATTCCCCAAAGTCTGTCTCATTCTCCCTCCCCTGCCTATTCCATCCCCTCTTGCCCATCTCAGCTTCATTTCCTCACTAAAGTGCAAAGTGAAGGCAGCTGAAAATCAGCCAGATGCAGAGCCACTATCATTCCTCCTCAACAAGAGTCTCCTCACTTCAGCCCTCCCCCAAAAGACAGAACTCACCAAGAGGAGAAGATGGCTGGAGGGCACACCTTTGGTGAGCTTTGCCTAGCCTCAGTTAATTGCAGCTGCTTAATTTTTGTTCAGGCCTGGGACAAATGTTAGCTGAATGTGTGGATCACTATAGGACTTACCTAAAATCTGGTTCTACTAGCATTTAATAAGTGATAATTCTGTTTGCTTGGAACAGGCCAGCCTGCCAAAGCCTTAGTAAACCGACACGTGACCAGTGTCACTGTCTTTGCTTCAAACCAGCTTTAGGGCAATGAGAGGCCGTGGATGGAAGAGGCAGTGAACTTTTATCAGCTTAAACAGAAACATTCTTAATGACTGCACACTCTCTTGGGGGAAAGAAGAATGAACCAAATCACTTACCATCTGATTTTTTTTAATAAAAGTTTTTCCTTCCCCATTATAAAATTAGCCCATGCTTACGGGATTTATGGAAAAATAGATAAAACCGTTGTGCAAAGTTCCAGCTCCCAAAGGCAATTGCTATTAGCGTTTTGCTTCATTTCTTTCTATTCTTCTTTATTATAATTTTTTTCTTTTTTAGTATTGTGAGTATACTATGTATGTTGTAAAGATAAGTTTTTTTATCTTTTTCATTTATTATAATGTAAATATTTTTGTGTTATAAATCTTATTAAACACAATTTTATAGGCACATAATACTCCATTGAGTGATTATCTTGTTGTTTACTTTGGTCTCATTTTTTTTCTTCTGTAAATAATGCAACCTAAAGCTTTTTTAAAAAAATTCAGGGTACTTTACTTTGGGTAGAGTCCTAAAAGTGCAATTACAGGGCCAGAGTGTGATAATTAGCTTATCATCAATAGGTTAGAACTGATAGCCAAGAAGAAATGATTGCCATTAATCATTATCAGAGGGATCTGAGTGATCCCTCTGATAGGTTGCTTGGAATTAAAACCAACATTGTGAGGCTGAAAGTTTCTATTTGCTCTGGGCTGGCAGGACCAGATTACCTAAGGGGTAGGATGGGAGGATGATGGGTCAGGGAGAGGAGATTTCCAGCCTGGCCAGTAATGTGCTCAGAAGCAGGCCTTTATTTGAGAATGTTCTCTATGGCCATCTTTCCATCCATAGATGGCCCTGTATATCACCCCAGTGTCTGCTCCCTTCTGTCAGAGCCCAGAGCGTGGCTGCCCTGGGGACTGCCATCCTTGAAGCTGTCTGAGAAGCATGGCCACCATCCCCTCTTCCCCTCTGAGCCCTCGCCACTCCTGTGTGAGACCCAGTGGAGGTCTGGTCAAGAAGTCTCTTTCTCTTGCACACTTTTCTCCCCACCTCCCAGCTTCTGAGTTCTTGGACTTACCCCAAACTTGGCAATTACAGACACATGGGAGGTAATTGCAAGACAGTGGGCTGAGTGCTGCAGTAGAAGCATTTAGGTGGAACTCTTAGGAGACATGGTGATTTCAAGCTGGGTCTTGAAGCCAGCAAAGGGATCCCCTCCCACCCATTTCCCCTCCAGGGCAACAAGAGAAGGGATGGGCTTTGGGAACCTGAGTTTCAGCTGGTTTTGACAGAGTGGGTTGGGCTGATGCCTCAGGGGCTCAGTTTCCTGTACCTGCATTAGAAGTCAGTAGGCAGGTATCTCATTGCATCTCTGAAGAATGGATCTGAGCCAGTTAGAGCACGTCATTATCACACCTGACACCTCAGGGAGTGTTTCTGGGGAGTCACTGGAGGACGTGGATGCTCTCCCTGGGAGGGATGTGTCAGGGCATTTATTTCATCATTGAATCATACTCTTTTCCGTTCACTCATTCCCTTACCTCTTTTAAAATCCAGAGGCAATGCTCCTCTTCTACTCTGAAAAGCAGCCTGGCTCTGGGGAGCTGTGAATGAGGCTCTTCATGAAAATGCAGCCCATCTCTTGGGGATGATGATGAACTACCAAGGGGCTTGGCTGGGGGCCTGTTTCTTCTCTCTTGGTGACATAAACCCAGGTGGAGCAGACTCTGTGCTCGTTTCTTTCCAGGAAACATTCATAGGCAGAATCGTTAATCTGCCAATTGCAGTATTACATTGACTTTCCAATTCAAAACGATTATTCTGAAAGCATTTTCTGTCTTGGCTAGCATGGTTTTGGCCGTGCGATGTGTTGAGAGCCCCTGGTGGGGATGGGGAAGGAGAGAGGAATTCAGGAGGGGTCTGTAGTTCTAATCACCATGTTTAGGAAGCAGGGCACACCAGGTCTGTTGAGGTGGGCAGTGAGATGGCAGGGTGCAGAGATTCTGAGCAGAGAATTCTTGGCATCTCTTGAGTGCCTGAGTCCTGAATCAAGGAGACTCCTCAGAGTCCAGGGTGAGGTCTCAGATTCAGAGTCCTGGGGACAGAACCTGGCAGAATGTAGCAGGCAGGTTACGACCCTAGCTGAGTAAGTAAGGGGCAGAGGCTGCTGTAGTCTCTATGTGGAATTAGAACTCCTGGCCCTGCAAAGTAGAGGTCGGTGGGGAGGCTCACAAAGGGACCCTGGTTCTTGCCTCCCTCACTCCATTCTCCCACACTTGAGACTTGAAAATAAACTTTCCTCTCTGTTGGGAGGGGTTTTCCTATTTACCATGAGGCTGAGCTCTCCCTGGCTCTCAGCCCTGGTGAGGCAGACCTGCAGATGACAGGTAATTAATAATGACAGCTGGGAGAAGCAGGGGCAGCAGGAACCAACAGTTTTGATGCTGTTTGCAAAACACAGGAGGAGGGTAACACAATTCCATTTTAAAGCAGCTCTCAGGATACAGGCAAGTCCTGAAATAGCCCCATGTAAGGAGTAGCAGCTGCCTCTTGGCTGAGTGTTACAAGGCCTCTCTTGGTGGGCTCAGCAGCTCCTTCAGCACATGCCCAAGTTCCCAGAGAACAGAATGATCCCTTTGCCTGCATTTCCTCCATGGCCATCATTACAGTAAATTGCAAGGCTCTCATGATGACTATAGAGAGGCAGATTGATTTGTTCCTTCTGATTGTCACTGTGCTGAACGTGGCCGGAGTGATGGGCACCCAGATTTCACACCTTGTAATGGCCCTGCCAGGGTGGATGTTAGCACAATTGGGACCTGACGCTTCAATAAATCTGAGACATTCTGCTGTGGAGATCAAAGTTCGGAATTGCTTAAATTGGTGTTGGAGCAGGTGGGAAACAGGAGTCCAGGGCCATGAATTGGCTAGATGGCAATTGTCGTTCAGTTTGTGAGATCCCAGTGTCGCCTCTTCAGATGATATGGCATCAATTTAAGTAATTTGGGCTCCCAGCTACCTAGCCCTTTCAGTATTACTGGTTCTGGGAAGTGTGATTCATGGTCTAGCTTATGCTCTTGTGTGAAAAAGAAAAACAACACCCCTGCTTGTATCTCTGGGGTTGGAAGGTTGTGTTTGTGCAGGTTGGTATCAATGGGTTATCAGTTTTCACGTGAGTGTGGACGACAATTTCATCTCCTACCTGCATATGCTGCTAACTCCCCAAGCTACACTTCCAGCCATGACCTCTCATCTTCACTTCAGACTCATTAGCATGTGTGTGTCATGTCATTGTCACTTGCACACAGAAATGGACCGGATTTTAACACACAGCATGGAATTCCCAAAGACTTCTTATGAGCTGGGAACGTGCTCTGCCTTCTGATGGAAGCTCAAGTCCAGAGGAGAGGTGGTCTGATCCATTGGGAGGAGTGGGCACTTTTTTAATATAGCAGCTTTATTGAGATACAATTCACCCATTTAAATGGCATAATTCAGTGGTCTTTAGTATATTCATAGTTGTGCAACCATTGCCACAATCAATTTTAGAGCATTTTCATCATCCTGAAAAGCAACCCTGTACCCATTAGCAGTCACTCCTCCTCCCCTCCCCATTTCCTAACCCCAAGTTGTCACTAATCTACTTTCTGTTTCTCTGAATTTGCCTACTGTGGACATTCCATGTAAATGGAATAATATATATTATTATAATAATGGAATAATATATGTGGAATAATGGAATAATATAATATATGGAATAGAATAATATATGGTGTTTTGTGACTGGCCTTTTACACTTAGCATAATATTTTCAAGGTTTCATCTATGTTGTAGCATGTATCTGTACTTCATTCCTTTTTTTTTTTTTTTTTCCTGAGACGGAGTCTTGCTCTGTCACTCAGGCTGGAGTGCAGTGGCGCGATGTCAGCTCACTGCAACCTCCGCCTCTTGGGTTCAAGCGATTCTCTTGCCTCAGCCTCCCAACTGGCTGGGATTACAGGCACCTGCCACCACGCCCAGCTAATTTTTGTATTTTTAGTAGAGACGGGGTTTCACCATGTTGGCCAGGCTCGTCTCGAACTCTTGACCTCAAGTGATCTGCCCACCTCTGCTTCCCAAAGTGCTGGGATTACAGGCATGAGCCACCATACCCTTCATTCCTTTTTATGACTAAAAATATTATTTGAATATGCCACATTTTGTTTATCAGTTGATGGACACTTGGATATTCATACTTTTTGGCAATTATGAATAATGTGACTATGAATTTGCATGTACAAGTTTTGGTATAGACACATATTTTTCTTTGTCTTAGGTATATACCTAGGAGTATACACTCAAGTGTATTTAAACATTTTACAGAGTTCAGTGCACATCTCCTCAGTCCTGAGCCTTATGAGTTATCTGACTGTTAACCCCGAAAGGTACACACTGGATCTCCTTCACTCATTTTTTAACCCTGACTGGGACACCAGAGACATGCTGCATCTTGTATTAGGTGTTTCATCTTGCAGAATGGCTGTGCTCCTGAAATATTTCCTGTGAAGAAAATTGTTACAATCCCATTACATCACTGGCTTTTATTATTAAATTGGAAATTGTTGGCTGGAAACAATTTTAACCCCAAATTGTGAAAAAAAAAAAAAAAAAAAAAAAGAAAGAAAAAAAATACCAGAAAAGTAGCAAAGATTTACACGTAAGTGAAATGTAGACATTCTTGATGATGTACCATTATTTTTCAAATAATACTACTGTTAATAACAACAATAATAATGTAAGTGCATCAGGGACAAGCACTTACAAAGTGCGATTATGGGCCAGGTAATGTGGTAGCTTTACATTTGTTAACATATTTGGTCTTCCTAACAACCTCACAAAATACATATTAATATTAGCATCTTTGCCCCTTTACAGATGAGGAAACTGAGGCACAGAGAGACCAGGTAACTTGCCCAAAGTCAAGACTAGTGTACTAGTTAAGATAACATTAGCTGCTGTAACAGATAAGCCCCAAGTTCTTGGAAGCTTAACATAATAAGCTTATTTCTTGCTTACAGCACAACCTGGTGGCATTGTTTTTGATTGAGTTGTCTTCCACATGGTCATTCAGGGATCCAGGCCCCTTTCATCTTATGGCTCTACCTTCCTGAAGGTTTTTCAAATCCTCATCACTCAGCTGGTGGGTGAGAAAGAAAGCAAGGACTCAGTGGGAGGTCTTGGGGGACCAGCCTGAATGTGGCGTATGTCACATCTGCCACTTCCCACTGGCCAGAACTCAGCTATGTGGCCACACCTAAGTGCAAGAGAAATATAATTTTGTTCTTGGCCCCAGGGGAAAGGAAATGGGTTTGAGCAAACACATGTTTCATTTTGGCACTGGTAGCAAGTGGAAGACATGGATTTGAACCCAGACAGTCTGGCTCCAGAAGCTTGCTCTTGAGTGGCACGCTCCTCTACCTTCCTCTGAATAGTAGCTCAGAGGTCTGGGAAAAATGTGTGGTTGCACAAGTTTTTACTCAGTTTTCTTCCCACATATAACTATTATGTGGTTGCCTGGATGCTGTTGAAGTCATTGCCTTTTAGAAAAAGAGAAACAATAAAAACCAATATTAATCAAGTATTTGCCCTATGCCAGGCACTGTTCTAAGCATTTCACACTTACTATTTTATTGAATTTTTACAAAACCCTATGGGATAGGGAATTATTATTATTTTCATTTTTCAGATGAGGAAGCTGAAGCAGAGAGCTTGGTTCCACGTCCAAGGCCATATTATTAGTAAGAGGTATCACTGGGCTTGGAATGCCCCCACACAACTACTGTGCTAGGAAGGGATTGAAGGGAAGAAGAAAGAAGATGAGAGATCCAAAGCCACCAGAGACACAATTCAAAGTCAAAACCCAGCTAGTTGTTTTGAATCCTGCTTCAAACAAATCAACTTCTACAAGTCACTTATGAGACTATCAAGAAAATGTAAACACTCATGGGAGATCTGATGATATTAAGGAATCATTGTTAGCTTACTGGGTGTGAGAATGATGTTTTGGTTATCTTACCAAAAATGTCCTTATCTTTTCAAGGTACATACTGAAATGTTTGTGGATGACACAATGAAATGTCTAGGATTTGCATCAAATAATGCAGTGTAGGGGTCAAGGTAAAGATGGAATCAAGAGTAGGCACAAGTTGTTCCTTGTTGTAGAATGGTGGTGGGTATGTGGAGAGTTGCTGTAGTATTCTGTCTACTCTGGGTATATCTGAAATTTTCCATTATGATTACAATCATCCTCCTGTATACACAAGAGATTGGTCCCAGGACCCCTGTGTATACCCAGATCCGAGCACACTCAAGTCCTGCAGTCAGCTCTACGGAATCCACCTATATGAAAAGGCCCTACAGGCTGGGCGTGGTGGCTCAAGCCTGTAATTCCAGCACTTGGGGAGGCCGAGGTGGGCAGATCACCTGTGGTCACGAATTCTAGACCAGCCTGACCAACATGGTGAAACCCCATCTCTACTAAAAATACAAAATTACCTGGGCGTGGTGGCTCATGCCTTTAATCCCAGCTACTTGGGAGGTGGAGGCAGGAGAATCGCTTGAACCCGGGAGGTGGAGGTTGCAGTGAACCAAGGTCAGGCCATTGCACTCCAGCCTGGGCAACTGGAGCGAAACTCCATCTCAAAAAAAAAAAAAAAAAGAAAGAAGAGGCCCTATGGAAGTTTTTACATGGGTTTTGCATCTTGCAGATACTTTATTTTTGATTCACGTTTGGTTGAAAAAAGTCCACATATAAGTGGGTCTTACAACTCAAACTGCTGTTGTTCAAAGGTCAACTGTATAATTTAAAAAAAAAGACTTTAATGAATCATGAGTGTAGACTTTCTGTAGTCCCCGGATAGTAAACTAAGAGCACCGAATGTGTTTACCGAAGAACAGCTTTACACAGGTCTTCAGGGGCTCTGTTTGGGAGCCATTGGTCAGCTTTTGAACTCTGATTCTGAGATACTCCTGGAGGTAGTGGTCAGTGCCGGGAGAATCGGGCTGCTGAAGATGAGCGCCGGAGCCTCTAAAAGTTAGAAGCACAGGCTTCCTGGGTAACGGGGAAGCCAGGCCAAAGTCTGGGCTCTGCCCTGGCCAGATTGGCTCAGCCTGGGTTAGTTGTTCAACCCATGACACATATCTTGCTTGAAAGGTACGGTGCGGCCCAGATCCCAGCTGCATGTTAATTAAACAGTGAAAATCCATCAAAGACTCGGCCTCTTCCACTGGCTAGTTCTCCTGAGTCCCAGGTGAAGCTTGCTCATGGCTGGCCAGGAGGACCTCCCAATTCTCCACCTAAAATCAACAGCCAACACTTGGCAGCCCAGCTTCTGACCCAATGCAAATTAAGCCTGGCATTTGGAGATGGTATTAAACGTCCTAAATCAATATTTTGGAGGCAGAATCAGAACAATTAAAACCCTGCTTTCCTATTCAGACCATTGGAATATGAGTGGATATAAGATTTTCAGTTCACTTTTAAAACTCAGAAGGTTGAAAAAGAAAGATTATCCTTGGCAATGCTCTGAGCATAGTTGATTCCATCTTCAGCATCTTTTCCTTTTATTTGTATACGTATCCAACATATGTCAAGCACCTAGGGACCTCCATATATTATATCACATTTAATCCTTACAGGAACCCTGGGAGGTCCCAATTTTACAGATGAGGAAACTGAGGCCCAGAGAAGTGAACTGACTTGTCTAAGATCTCTCAGCTATTAATTGGTAGAACAGGGATTTCAACTGGTTTCTTCATACCAAAGTCTAACTCTTTGCCCACTATAACACAGCTGGCTTTTCTGAAGTATTTATTTTTCATTCATCAATAATAATTATTAATAAGATAAATCAACAGTGACAATAGAAACTGTTTAATAATTTACCATTTTTCTAGTCTTTAAAGGTGCTGGCAATTTGTCTAGTTTGTCCATTTGTTCAACAAATGTTGATTGTGAGGCAAGCCTGGGAAGGAGGTGTCTGGGCCCTGGAAGCAAAGTGCCTGGTCCTAGCACACACTGGCTGTGTCACCTGGGACAGGTTCATCATTCTCTCTGAGCTCCAGTCTCCTCATCTGCAAAATGGCATGACTAGCACTGTCTCATAAGGTTGTCTTGAAGATGAAAGGAATTGATACTTGTGAAGTGTTTAAAACAGGGCCTGGCCCTCAGTGGGCATTCCAGAAATAGGATCCCCTGCCAGGCATTGCCCAAGCTCTATGTCTTTGCTCGCATGGAACTTCCTCTTGTTCACAGTACGTTTAACCAGTTGGTATTATGACTTCTATGTGTATTAACCTAGCTAAAACTGTTTAGGTTTATGGTAAAACAGAATTTTTAAAGGGTAGAAATATAAAATGAAAAGTAAGGGCCCCCTCTTTCTTACTTCCAGGCTTTGACTGTAGTAGTGTAGCCTGTGAGAAATGCTTGTTTTGTTCTTTCTTCCTTTCTTCCTTTCTCCTTTCCTTTCATGTACTTGTTTTCTTTCCTTTCCTTTCATGTACTTGTTTTCTTTCCTTTCCTTTCCTTTCATGTACTTGTTTTGTTTATATACAGCTGCAATATTATTGTTAAGAGTGTTCAGCGGTTTATTCTTTTTCACGTACCTATTTGTCCTGGGTATGTTTCACATGGGGGATTGACCTCATTTTTATAAACAGCTTTATGCATTGCTTGGATGTGCCACTCAATGCATAAAGGTGTTTAATAGGTTCCCTATTGATGAACATTTAAGTTTTTTTATAG
Organism: Homo sapiens; assembly: GCF_000001405.40. Classification (NCBI taxonomy): domain Eukaryota; kingdom Metazoa; phylum Chordata; class Mammalia; order Primates; family Hominidae; genus Homo; species Homo sapiens. The sequence goes on from NC_000011.10 coordinate 12,397,194, forward strand.
GCTGAAAGATAATTTATTTAATCATATCTTTCATTTATTTATTCTTATTTTTAGAGATGGCGTCTTGCTATATTGCCTATGCTGGACTTGAATTCTTGGGCTCAAGCAATCCCTCTGCCTCAGCCTCTCCAGTAGCTGGGGCTACAGGCATGAGCCACTGCACCCAGCTTAAATTTATTTTAGTGTTTTGCTACTCTGAACAATGCTGCATTAAACATGCTTGCAAACAACATTCTATGCCAGTTTGTCTGCACAATAAATTCTTAGAGGTGGAATTGCTGAGGCAAAACGTTTTTAAGTTTGGATTTTGCTGGATTTTACCATATTGCTCTCCAAAAAGGAAATGATAGAGAAGAAAAACACCTACACACATTTTAGTAAAACTCTTATTCTTGTTAAGAATTCAGTCTTGAAAAGAGAGGGTGGAAACTAAAAGTTATCCGGATCTCTAATCTTATTGGAAATACTTCTCTTTAGCCACACATTTTTAGGCAACAAATTCTCAGGCTCCTAGCTTCAGCATGTTGGTTCAGACAGGATGTTTTGGATCTCAAGGCGAAATCCTGTGTGTTCTTAACCATCTCTCCACTCCCAAGTCCCCTGCCCCCATTTTCTGGGGGAAGGTCTTTTTTTTTTTTTTTTCTTCAACTTTGAGGATAAACATTTAGAGATTTCACACTCCTCTGGATGCAGAGGGGCCAGATTTCTGACGAGAGGAGGAAGTCATGGAAGAGCATCCACACGCAGAGGTCTGAAGCCAGTGGTTGCTAAGTGTTCCACTAGCCCAGCACGGGCCTCTCTGCCCCCTTGAATTCCTCCAGGCCCAGAACAGCTGGGCCCTGCCAGTGTCCTTCCCTCTGCTTCCAGTCCATTTGGCAGGGAGAGATGGGAGTTGTTAACAGGCTGATTTCCTTTTAGGGATGACTGCTCCACCAACCCCCAGCCAACTAGGAGCAGACACCCAAATGATGAAGATAATAAATGACATCCAAAGCCATGGTGAGGAGGGAGTGTTGAGTGACTCACGAGCCCCTGCATCCTCCCGTTACATTCCAAGAGCTGCCCTCCTTGGGACTTAGATCACTCCCTGAGAACAACACCCCAACCAGGCTGCGGAGGAAGACCAGCTGCTGTTTGCTGGCCTGCATGACAGGGACCAGGTGAGGGCCCTGGCTGGAAACAAGTTCTGGATTTTTATTTTGGCCTGGTCTTTTGAATAGGCTGGTGACCCTGGCTATTGTAAGAGCCCTGACTGGGGTAGGCACAGGAGGACAGGGGTCCCTAGAGGCTAGACCGTGAACCCCTTATAAGAGCAGAAATGAGACACAGGGCATTTCTACTTTTATAAGGGGTTCACAGTCTAGCCTCTAGGGACCCCCGTCCTCCTGTGCCTAGCCCAGTGTCCTGGAGGGAGACAGACCTAATAGCTTGGTGACCCTGGACATGTCAGTTCATTTCTCTGAATCTTGGTTTTTCCTTCTACAAAATGGGCATAAGAACTCAATACCAGATCTCTAGTGTTAATAATTAAGGAGCTAATTCATGTTAAGTGCTTGGCATGGAACCAGGCTCATATAAAGCACTTAATATTCCTTGCTGTTATTACCACATATACCACTCCTCTTAACCCATGTTGCAAATAAGACATTGGAAGATATGGTCTGACTGTGGCTGTCACCCATGCCCATGACTTGTGATAATAATAGTGGGCACTTACATAGACCTTATTGTGTTCCATCACTTTGTATTTATTGAATTATTTAATCCTGCCGAACCCTATACGTAACTATGAGATAGGTTCTGTTTTTATCCCCATTTTATGCATGAATAAACTGAGGCACAGAGAGGTTGAGCAACTAGCCCATAGTTAGTAAATGGTGGAGCCAGGATTCAAACCAAGATTGTCGGTTCCAAAATCTATTTTCCTAACCATGATGTCATTCTGCCGCTCAGTATATATTACATTTCTATAGAAAAGTTTTCCAAACATAGCAGTCCACTGACATTTACTTTTCTCTGTTTTCTTTCATTAAAAAAGTTTTTTCTTGTAATAGCTATAAAGCATTATAAAAAATTTTGAACATATGGAAATATAACAATATTTTCCCACAGTGCTACTACCTACAGCAGAGGGGCAGTTCTTTTTTATTTCCAATCCTTTGTGGACTGTGATGTCCTACTGTGTGTGACTACTATGCAGCTTGTGTAACCTGTAATTCTCCACTGGAGTTGGACAGCAGTCAAGCTGGTCTATACCCTGTTCAACTAGACAGTGCCATGGTACACCCTCCTGAATGTCATAGCAATATCAAATTGCTAAATATTTCTAAATGTTTATTATAAGTTCTTGTCTTATCATGGACAGGGAGCAAACAGTTCCCAGGCTGATGCTGGTCTGCAGATCACACTCTGTGTAGCACTGACCTAGATAAACACTGTTTGCATTTTATCATATTTATTTCCAAGTTTCTTGTGTGTGTGTATTTTGTTGTTTTTAGCTTGTATATACTTTTTGATTTTTTTCTCATTACATTACCCATTACAATGTTACAGTAAATAATTCTTGTATATCTTCTTTAGTGACTATAATGTAAATAATATAGCCATTTGGAAGATGTACCATAGATTACCAACCTTTTCCCTCATTGTTGGAGCTTAGGTATGTTTTCAGTTATTTGCTGTCATAAAAATACATTGATTAAGTTTTATATAAATATTTTTTCCATATTTAGTGTTACTTCTTTAGGGTAAATTTCCTAGAATGGAATTACTGGGTCAAACATTATGAAGGCTTTTAAATTTCTTGATAGATGGCAGAAGGATCACTTGAGCCCAGGAGTTTGAGACCAGCCTGGGCAACATAGTGAGACCCAATCTCTATTAAAAAATAAAAATTAAAACATAAATAAATAAAAATTACTTGATATATATGCCTGATCAAATTCAAATTACTTTTTAAAAGGGATGTGCCAACATATGTTCCCAGCCGTAGTCTATGAGAGTGCCTATTTAACTATATTATTTTTAGCATTTATTGTTTTAATTTATTACATTTGCTTTGTGGGAACAACTTTAATTGTTTTTATTTGAATTTCCATGATTACCAGTGAGGTTGAATGTTTTTCGTGCATAAACCCATTTATATTTCTCCTTTTGCTTTATAATTAGTTGAGCACTAGAATAAAAATATATTACTTTGAGTAGATTTCAAACTACTTCAGATTGGAGGGCAAGTCAATGTGTGTAGAAAGTCTGTGCATATGGACATACCTTATCTCCACTGTCTAGATCCTTCTCTTTTTCTCTGCTCTTGGAATTGGGGAGTACTTTTATATGACCTTGATGGTCCTTGTCTTTAGAAAAATGCACTTGAATTCCAACCAAATACTATGTATTGATAATGTAGCAAGTGTATGGGACTTTTCTTGAGTATTTCCAATTATTTCTTCAGCCTTATTAAAAATTTTTCTTTCCTTCCGTCTCTTTTTTGTGAGTTGGGCCTATTTTGTAAGTATTACATACCAGTTTGAATTAATTAATTTTTGCAACTGTTTTGCATCCAGTGGAATTTCTGACATATTTTTGTTAATTATAGGGAAAGCAAGAAGAATATTTGAAATCTGGGTTATTTTGGGAACTTCTAGATGCCTGAACACAAATATTTAACTGTATTCCCATGTGATCTGTGCTATACTAGCAGTGTGGGCAAAGGGAGGCCTGAGGAGCAACATAGGCAGTTGGGGCTGGAGTCTGGCAATAAATGTTGACCTGTATTTCCCTTGAAGACTTTTTGAGGGCTCATTTGTTGTTTAATAACATGAGGAGATGTTTATCAATAAGACAGTGATTTCTCAGTGTGCACCAAAGTGCACACTTTCAAAGTGTGTGCCACTGCGGCATGTAGTGGGACCAGGGTATTCCATCACGGTCGATTCCCACCTTAACAAGCCTTAGGTCCTTTCCCTGGGCTGGTAGTTATTTTTAAGCAAGACAAAAGAGCATACTTGGAATCTGCAGCGACCTCACAGGCAAATAATTATAAGTGGCTAAAATATGTGGATATCTGTTTTACATTTAGGAAAGCTATGTTAATAAATATCTACAGAAAAAATGTATTATGCTCAACTTTTTGGAAAAAGCAAGGTTAAAGGGGCTTCTTTTCCTGCTAAGGCTTAACACACTATTTCAATTTCCAAAGAAGAGGCAAAGGTGGGATTTAATATGCAGTTTTTTCAGAACTTTTTTTGCCAATGGGATCCTGTTTTTCAAAAAGCACCTACTAACCTCTTGCACAGTACCATTCTGCAGCACACACAGACAATGGAGCATGCTGGTGCCAGCCCAGTGTCTGTGGCATTGATGTTTACCTTGGTCATGAATCTTACGAAGTTGAAGACATCGTACTGAAGTATAGAATTATCTGTGAAGTGGGAATGATGGTCCCTACTTTAGAAAGGGCTGGATTTGAAATGCATTCACGTCCCCCAACTTTCCTTTGCATCCAGTGACAGAACAGTAACATTTAGGGAACAATAGGATTGGGAAACCATGATCGCAGGGCATGAAAAAATGTTTTTAAAATAATCAAGACAGCCTAATATGTTAGGATATTTTATACAATTTACAATACCAGTGCAATACTTACTGCACAGTAGCTAAGGTGTAATATAGGCATGGGAGTGTGATTGCTTGTGTCAAATCTAGACTTTGCCACTTAATTACCTTTAAGCAGTTAGTCAACCCATCAGAATTTTCAAGTTCCCCAACTAGAGAATGTAGATAATAATTTCACCCATTTATAGGGTTGATAGAGGGATTAAAAATTCATGTAAAGTGTTATAACCTCGTGTATGAGTCAAGGCCCTGGGAGGGAACGCTTTGCATACTCTATGGAGTGATTGAAGAGAGTAGTGGAGGGACCATTTACAAAGAGTGGGTTTGAAGGGAACCAATGAGGGCGAAGTGCCCCAAGGCAACAGCAGGGAGCAGTGACTACCCTTAGATAAGAAGTAAGGGGACAGGATATTGACCAGCAGCTGGGGAGAAAGCCATAGGCACAGAAGAGGGCCTCAGCAGAAACTGTGGCCCTCAGAAGAGCAAAACCATAACTGCCAATGTGTGGCCCAGCAGGGAGGGAACCAGGGGAATAAACATCCATTATTCCTGACGTCATCCATTGGCCAAACTCAACCACAGTACAGAGTGGATCTGGAGGGGCAAGTGGATATTTAGCATAGTAAATGTTAACTAAGGTTGATGGGTACTATGCAGTTAATTTCCTTTTTCCCCCTTGGTCACAAGAAGTTCTATAGGATTGCTATTACTATATGTGTAACTTTTGGAAAATTGAAAATTACTTAACCACATGGTGCCTAAGCTTTTTCTGTCTTGGTAAAGGAGATACTACTAGTATATTCCCATGATGTAAGTAAGATAATGAGTTAATACACATCAAGTGCATAGAACAAATAATGTCTGACCCATAGTAGGCTCTCAATAAATGTGAAGCAGTGAGCTGTTTTCCTTCTTCACAATTTCAAAGAGATGTTGACATGTACATTCTGCTTTGTTTCAGAGACTACACACACATACGTAAGAAGGAGCTTATTTTCCTCCTGGGTCTGGCCCTCTGTCAGAAAGTTGAATGCCTTTCTCATTTTCGTACTCGGAGTGGTTGAGTCTCCATTCTGGGCCTCAACCGAGTCTCAGAAATCCAAATACATTTTTCTGATGCTGATGGTAACTTTTCTGTAACGTACTTGGCACGGCTGAGAATATGTTGTTCTCATTCCCTCTCTATAGCCTGTGGTTAGCCCTGCCCATTAAATCTTGGTACTAAAGCACATATTATCAGCCCTGCTGGCACATGCCTCGCTGCCTCCTTCCCCACAGGGGCCAGCACAGGGCAGCTCGAAGGGCCTGTCCCCTCTTCTCAGTCTCCCTTCTCTCTCCCTTTTTCCCAAGGCTTCATTGTGAAACCCCTACTGTACTCTGCCTTGTATTTAACCCACTCCTGTCCCCCTCCCTCTTCCATTCCTATTTATCATAATAGGAGGAGGGGGAGAAGGAATCTTCTTGTTTTTCCAGTTTTGCCAGGAGCAGCCTGAGTCCTTAGTTTTGAGGTCACTAGGGTGGGGAGCAACAGGTACCCTGATTAGTCCCCTAGCAGGTGATGGAAGCCTACACAACCTTTAGGGAAGCTGAAGGCTTTTGCATGGTGATGATAGGAGGCCCCCAGCCTTCTCTGTGCCCAGCCAGTGCTCTGAGCATTTCCACTGTGTGCGTGGGAGGTTCTGATGCGGTGGGACTCAGAAGGTAGCAGGTCAAATACTTGAGGTATGTGCTCAATGTTTAGTTATGAGGAGAAACTGACATTACATTAACAAAGCCAGTAAGCCGGTTTCTTTATATTCAAAATAAGAGATTAGATTTGTTTATTTCATGTCATTTTCTGCACTAGGCAATGTCTTAGAAAATATAGGAAAGGAGTTAAAATTTAGCTACTCAGATACATTGCTCATTCCCACCAAACAACTCTAATGTCTAGGGTTAGTTTAGTTTCAAACTTTCAGCTGACCTGCACCTCCCAACATCAGGTTCTGTCAGCCAGCTGGTTTTGGGGTTGGCACCTCTAGTTACACCTTGCACCTTGCACTTTTGGCAGTGTAAACATGTTCATCCAAAGTAGCTCTCAGAGAGAACTGTGATTTTTAACCCTCTCTCACCAAATGCACTATCTTCTTTGACAGAAATGGAAACAATTTACACTTTACCAGTTATGGAAGAAGCAGCATGTAGAAACCTGAGTTAACTGGTACCATATTTCCAATTTATTCTAGGGATATTTCAGCATTTCTTATAAACTCGCACCCCAGGCAGCTGCCCAGTTGGCTCACCGTTTAATATAGCTCTTTTTTTTTTTTTAATCACTGAGAAATGCTTGGATAGGAGGCTTGCCAGGACCTCAGTAGTATGGCCTATGTGTAGTCTATTTATTCATTTTTTCAGCAAATACTAGAAGTTATCCCAGCCTGCATTACCATCAGGTCTTAGGGTTGCAGATTATAGCAGGATATTCCAGGGTACCAGTGCTTAGGAATGAAAGGCTTATGATTTGGGGAGATGAGTCCATTTGTTGCAGGGATGCTGATAGAGCAAGGTCCAGTTCCTTGGGGATGCAAAGGAGAGCATGAGGGCCCCAAAAAAGGGTCCAGTCCTAAAGGGATTCAAGAGTGCGCTCAGTCTGGGTGGGCCCAGGAGGGAAGAGGGAAAGCCCTTGGTGCTAGGACCCAATCAGAGCCTCCACAGAAGCAGAATTTGAAGTTGCTGGCAGAAGGAGTTCCTTTTGTATCCTAAATCTTCTGCAGTTGGGCTATCCCTTCATGGGCATGGGATGGCAGGTGGCCAGGGCCATGTGCCAATAATTAGATGGGGACTGGAGAGGCTGCTGAGACTGAAAGAAAGTGCTGAATTTGGCCCCATTTAGGGTAGCGCGGGTGGCCCTGTTTGCTTACAGCTGTGGAGCTTGAGTCATTAGGGGTCCTGGCCAGATGCTTTGGACATGTGGCATAGCCCAAAGCACTTTTGGTCCTGGCACCTGACCCTGGCCATCGTTACATCCTCATCTTTTCTGGAGCTTAATGACCCATTGTCTGAAGTCACTGAAGAAAGCTGTGGAAGGCCAAGGAGAAAACCCTGTAATGTAATTGACATGGTTCTCCCAAGGTCCATATGGGAGCAGTAGTGAAAGTCATTCACATGTGTCTAGTTTTACAGTTTACAAAGGTGGGAATCTGGGCTGGGTCAGCTACCGTCTGGGTATCTAGGTGCAACTCATTTAAACCCTTTTAGCCTCAGTTTCCTCATTTATAAAACAGATAATAAAAGTCTCTGCCTGACCCATCTAACAGGTTTTTCATTTGAGAGAATAGGCTTTTTCCTTCTGGGCAAGAAAAAAGAGTCCAAAGAGAAAGGAACAAGAACAACAAAAAGGTGGGGCTGGGACAGGTCCAGAGGAAAGGCCAGGAATCAGATTTTTGATGTGAGATGGTAAAGAAGCATGCTGTCTTCTTCAGATTGCCTAAAATTGCACCATATACCTTTGAGTGGGCATTGAAATTGCTTCACTGAATTCAAATTACATTGTAATTATGCTTTCCCTGATTACAAATTTAACACATGCGTATAGGAAAAAGTTTAGAAAAATATATTAAGTATAAAGAAAAGCCAGGAGTGTTGCCTCATGCCTATAATCCCAGCACTTTGGGAGGCTGAGCGGGAGGATCACTTGGGCCCTGGAGGTCAAGGCTGCAGTGAGCCGTGAGTCCACCACTGAACTCCAGCCTGCATGACAGAGTGAGACCCTGTCTCAAGAAAATAATAATAAAGACAAAAAATAAACCATAGTGTTTTTGCTATTAATATTTGGATATGTTTTCTCTTTCATTGTTCATATATCTAATATTGCAATAATAGAATTAGAGCTGGACACAGTGGCTCACCCCTGTAATCCCAGCAATTTGGGAGGTTGAGGTGGGTGGATCACTTAAGGTCAGGAATTTGAGACCAGCCTGGCCAACATGGTGAAACCCCATCTCTACTAAAAAATACAAAAATTAGCTGGGCGCAGTGGCAGGTGCCTGTAATCACAGCTACTTGGGAGGCTGAGGCAGGAGAATTGCTTGAACCTGGGAGGCGGAGGTTGCCATGAGCTGAGATCCTGCCACTGCACTCCAGCCTGGGTGACAGAGAGTCTGTCTCAAAAGAAAAAAGAATTGGAATCATACTATATGTTCAATTATGAGACCCAAGCTTTTTCAGTGTTATTTATACATGTATATGTTTTTAGCTTTGTTTTTACAAAAATGAAATCATACTGTGTATTAGGGTTATCCAGAGAAACAGAACCAGTAGGGAAGATATACACACACACAAACACACATTGATTTTAAGGAGTTGGCTCAGGTGATTGTGGAGGCTGGGAAGTCCAAAATCCATAAGCAACCCAGCAGGCTGGAAATTCAGGCAGGAATTAATTAATTCTATTGTTTTACGATAGAATTCCATTTTCTCTGAGAAATCTCAGTTTTTATTCTTAAGGCTTTTGACTGATTGGATGAGGTCCAGCCACGTTATGGAGGATAACCTCATTTACTTAAAGTCAACTGATTGTGGATGTTACCCACATCTGCAAAATACCTTCAGAGCAACATCTAGATTAGTGGTTGATTAAATAACAGGATACTGTATCCTAGCCAAGGTGACATATAAAACTAAAGTATAACATGCTGCATATCCCACTTTTGTATTTTGATTTTTTTTTTTACTTTACATGTCATGAACATTTTCCCGTAACACCAAACGTTCTACAAGAATTTGATATTTAATGACTATATTGACTTTTCATCAAATGGCTTTCTCATGATTTATTTAAAATTTCCACATTGTTAGCTATTTAGGTTGTATCTGTTTTTTTTTTTTTTTTTTTTTTTTTTTGAGACGGAGTCTTGCTCTGTTGCCCAGGCTGGAATGCAGTGGCGCAATCTCGGCTCACTGCAAGCTCCGCCTCCCAGGTTCATACCATTCTCCTGCCTCGGCCTCCCAAGTAGCTGGGACTACAGGCACCCGCCACCATGCCCGGCTAATTGTTTGTGTTTTTAGTAGAGATGGGGTTTCACCATGTTAGCCAGGATCGTCTCGATCTCCTGACCTCATGATCCACCTGCCTCGGCTTCCCAAAGTGCTGGGATTACAGGCGTGAGCCACCGTGCCTGGCCTGTATCTGGTTTTTATTATAAACATTCTTATTGACATCTTTTTGTGCATTTTCTTCTTATGTATGTCTTATTAGACCCTAGAATATATTCATTAGCCTGGAATTACTGGGTCAAAAGGTATGAAGATTTTAAGCTTTTGATGTACATTGCTAACATTTCCCTGGGATGTTGCTTCTCAAAGTGTGATCCTTGGGCCAATATCATTAGTATCAAAGCAGATTCACTGTTTTGATGTTTAAAATGTGTATATCTGTGATATATTAGCATCTGGAAATATCAATTCCTTGGGAGGCTGGAACCATCTTTTTTAAGGCTTATTTCTGATGTTTCAGTTCTACCTTGCGTGCCTTCAGGAAAAATAGTGGATAAATTTAGTTTTCTACTGTAGGCATCATAGATAGAACTGATGCTAGGGAAAGCCCATAGACATGTACACTGCTATTCTTTGGAGTTGAAGCATAGAGGAGATAAACCATGAAAGGATGTTTTTTAATGTTTCATTTAAAAGATGCCCAGTAAACAGTTCTTTCCAGCCAGCTTTTAAAGGTGTTTTTTGAAATCAGGAAATTGTAAATATTCACTATGGGGACATGGGAGAAGGGATTTCTTAGGCTCCAGTTACATGTTACAGTGTCCAATTTTTTCTCCTCTTGGTCTCTTCTCACACCCTCCTAAATGTCCCCAGCTGCTCAAATGATCACCAGCACAGAGGAAAGCAGTTTGATGCTCTAAGGCCTGGAAGTATTAGGTTCTCCCTGCATCACTCTCAGAGTGTACATGGCTCAGCCCTCTTGAAGGACCTCAGCATGAGGACAGAGCCCTGACAGGTGGCTTTGAGGTGCAGAAGTGTTTTGTGATTGGAGGCCTTTTTGCACCTCATAAGGAGTAGGTCTCCCTGCCATCTGATCCATCCTGCCTTCCATTGCTAAAATAAATCTTCCTAAAACACAGGCTTCTCTGTTGTTCAGGAACCTGCGATGAGTCCCCATCCTTTTAAAGAGGAAGTATAAATTCTTTAGTCCAGGTTTAAGGACTCTAGAGTCTGGCTCTTACTTGGCTTTGTTTTCCTTTGCTTTATAATAGCAATTTCTACTGACTGTTTTTCACGTGTGTCCTGCCAGTTCTAAGGTCTGCACCTTTGCTTGGGCATTCCCCTGTTGTCACCACATGCCCCCACCCCGACCTGGCCCTACTTATTAAATCCAGCCACTGAGACCCCATTGTCTCTCACATGTCTGGCCCTGCAGCCTTTCCTGTCGCAGCAGTGAACCCAGGCTCATATGCCTCCTGTGCCACTGACCGTTTCATGTTTGGGGTTGGTTTTCCCAAATTGATTGTGCATTCCTGGTTTGTGGTGAGCACATCCTCTCCTGTTCTCAGCCCTCTCGGTTGGCTGAGCTGCAGACCATACCTAGTGATGCACTGATTACTTGGGCCACAGCAGCCTCTCAGGAGGCCTCTGTCTTGGTTTCACTGCACTTCACAAAGCTGGGGACTGCTTGGGAGCTGGACCCAATGTTTTCATCCCTGTGCCTCTCAGCCAGACCCTGTGATGAAGAGGTCAGGGATGGTTCCTTCGGAGGCTGGGGTGTAGAGTACATGCTTTGTTGGAATCCCAGCTAACTAGTTCTGGGAAGTTGGCCATATCACTTAGTTTTTTTCATTTATCCAGTTCAGAACTGCTCACTTAACAAATATTTCTTAAGACCCTACTATTTACTAAGCCCTATGTTAGGGGTTGGAGGATATAGCAGTGAATAGGGTAGACTAGGTTTCTGACCCCATGGACCAGACAGGCAATATAAAACAAATAATGATAATTTTAGATAATAGTGGCTTGGTGGGAAGCGGGGTGGTCACTTCAGAGCAGATGGCTAAGGAAGGCCTCCCTGAGGACAGATATTTCAGTGGGGATTGGAATAGTGAAGTGGGACTAACTATGATCTTGGGAATGAATGTTCCAGAAAGAGGGGTCAGTAGGTACAGCCACGAGAGTTCAAGGAACCAAAAGGAGGCCCCCATGGCTGAAGCACGGAGGACCTGGGAGAGGCCGAGGGGGATGGTGCTAGATGTTGGGCCAAAGGTAGGTCCCACAGGGCCTTGCAGGGCCACTGGAAGCCTATGAATTTTCCTAAGGACATATGGAAAGTCATTAGAGGATTTTAGCAAGTGAGTGACCAGTTCTGGTTTCTTAACAGTGCCTGCTTCATTAAACATCAAATACAATTAAGTAAGGTTATATATATATAATATGTAGTGGTGTGCCTGGTACACAGAGATGCTTCAGAAGAGGTAATTATTGTTTTCACATTTTGGAGACAGAATGGTTATCTCCTACAGTTTGACCTTAAAATCTGGGGTTGTGGTAGGCTGAATAGTGGCAGCCCGAAAGTGTCTATGTCCTAATCCCTGGAATTGTAGGTATGTTATCTTCTATGGTAAAGGAGAATTAAAGTTGCAGATGGAGTTAAGGTTGCTAATCAGCTGGCCTTAACATAGGGAGAGTTTCCTGAGTTATCCAGGTGCACCGAATGTGATCACAAGTGTCCTTAAAAGTGGAAGAGAGGACAGAAGAAAGAGTCAGAAGGAAGTGTGACTATGGAAGAATGGCCATGAAGATGTGACATCACTGGCTTTTAAGATGGAGTAAGGGGCCACAAACCAAAAAATAGGGGTGGCTGCTAGAAGATGGGAAAGGCAAGGAAATGGATTCTCCCCTAGAGCCCTCAGAACGGAATGCAGCCCTGCCAGCATGTTGATTTTAGCTCGACTTCTAACCTCCAGAATTGTGAAATAATAAATTAGTGTTGTAAGCCACTAAGCATTTACTAATTTGTTAGAGCCACAGTTGGAAGCAAGTACGAAGTTTTTGCACCAAACATTGTCAACTGCAGTTTAGTACATTCCAGTATTACCCTTGACCCATGCAATTTTAATTCTTTCTTGAGTTCACTGCCTATTAATTGGTACCTGCTACATGCCAGGCTGTCTGAGACAGCATCTTTGCTTTTGCAGAGTTGACTATCTAGGGGACTTGCTATTGTTTTCTGTAAACTCTAGGAGTACCAAATTCCAAATGTGCCTCTAGGTGGCACATAGTAGCCTCTCAAGTACACTGGTGAAGTGACTCCCACTTTTAATTGATCCAGGAGGGCAGGAGAGACTACAGAGCTCATGGTAAGGGATTAGGCTCTCAGCCCTAGGCATCTCCGGGCTGGGCCACCCAGGCCCCCGGGACTGCAGGGCAGGGATCAGGTTTGCCTTGTGCTGGCCTGGGCTCTGCTTGAAGTCCTATCTGCCCTTTCCTCATCTTCAGGGCTCAGCCCACAGGCCTCCTCCAGGAACACCCCTGCCTACCCCAGGCCACAGGAAGCATTCCCTCCAAGGTCTGCCTTTCCCCCCGGCAGGGACTCCGGGCCAGCTGCTCCATCTCTTGGGCTGCGGTTATTTTCTCTTTACTGTCGGCTCCTGTCTGTGGAGACAGGCCTGTGCCAGGCATACATTCAGGGGCTCAGCAATGCCTGTGGTTTGATTGGTTGGGTCTAGATCCGAAGGATTGCTATACGAGGGCTTTTGCTTTATCCTTTTAGGGAAGTTCATTCTCTCTCGTTGCTTCTCCTCCTCCTTTTGGAGACATCACTAGAAAATCTCAGCAGCAGGAGCCCAGTGCCTACGCCAGCCCATCTTTCACACTGTAGCTGCCAGAATGTTCATTCCCAAACCAAACTCTGACCTAGTTCCTCCTCCAGTGGAAAACTACTGAGGATCCCTTCTTCTCCCCACCCCATCTATAGCTATGGCTTTCAGTGTTAAAAAGAAAGAAATAAATGAAAGTTATGTGGACCCTTCTTTTTCAATAAAGTATCGCATGGAATGTTCATCATTAAGCATCTGGACTCTGGCATCAGACAGACCTGGGTCCAAATGCAGGCTCTGCCACTTACCTGTATAACCTCAGGCAAGCTGTCTAACCTCGCCGTACCTCACTTTTCTCAGCTGTAAAATGGGGGTGTGATACTGACGATCCCTAGTTCATGAGGCTGTTGTGGAGATCAAGTATGGTACTTAGCAGAGTACCTGGCCTGGTATAGCTACCAAATAAATGTTAGCTAATGTTACTAGAGCACAAGTTAATTTTCTAAGTTCTAACTTATAACAGTTATAAAGCTTATCAGTGACAATAATTTGGCTGTTTGGATGAACAAAGGATTTTTAAAAACAGATTTCACTTTTTATTAGGTTGCTGCAAAGGTAATTGCGATCTTTGCCATCTTAATGGTAAAAACCACAATTACCTTTGCACCAACCTAATAGAACAGTTTTAGATTTACAAGAAATTGTGGGATAGTGCAGAGAGTTCCCATAGGCCCTGTACCCAGTTCCCCTATTGCCAACATTGTACATTGGTATGGTACATTTATTATAATTAATGAACCAATGTTAATACATAATCATCAACTAAAGTTCATACTTTATTCAAAACTCCTTAGTTTTTCCCTAATAGATTTCTTTTTCTGTTCCAGGGTTCCACCAGGGAAGGTACCATAGTACATTAGGTTGTCACGCCTCCCTAGGTTCCTCTTGGCTATAATAGCTTTTTTACTTTCCTTGTTTTTGATGGCCTCGGCACTTTTTAGGAGTACTGGTCAGGTGTTTTGTAGGATGCCCCTCTACTAGAATTTATCTGATATTCTTCTCATGGTTAGACGGAATTGAACACAGAAATGTAAAGTTAGCAGATTATGGATGACCACTCCAGTTTTCCCTTGGTCTCAGCATCCATGAAATTAGAATCAGATGTTTATGGGGAGTCTAAAAACATGGTTTGAAAAATCACTGGAGAAGATCAAGTCTACACTCCCTGGTGTGACCTACGAGGTCTTCTCACTCCAAGCCCTGCCCACATCACCAGCCTGCTTTATCACTCCTTCCTGCTGCAGGCACCCCCAGCTTCTCAGCATTCCCCTAATAGGTCCGGGCATTGAGGCATATCGACTCATCCCCCAGGAATGCCTTCCCTCCTTTCTCTGCCTGCCTAGTTTCTTTCTAATCTCTATGCAAAGACTCTAAGATCCAGTTTAACTTATCCTTCCTCCCTGATGCAATTCCCACTTTCCTTACAGAGACTGACACTGTCCCTAGGGTTCCCTGGGCACATCTCTCTATTGTCTTTCTCAGCTCTCATGTCTGCCTCTTCCTGTACACTGGAAGCTTCTTAAGAGCAGGAGCTGAGTCATAATCCTCTATTCCTCATGTCCAGCGTGAGCCTGGCACACAGTAGGTGCTTAAGAGATGCTTAATGAATGACTCTTGATGTTAGAGAAAGGTGCCATTTCTATACCATCTTTAACACAGAGCATGTTGCCTTCATCCTAAGAAAATGGGGTGCCCCAGTGGATGATGGATACCAGAGATTAACCCTTGGGTGGGTCTTTTAAGGCCGTTTTCTCCCTGCCCCAGAGGGTGTGGGAATGAGGTGTGAGTATGGAAAGGACCACCAGGGGGCTCCGGGATGCAGTTCACCAGCCCAGGCCGAGAGGAAGGCTCAGTGGTGGCTTCAGCAGCAAGCCTGGGTCTGGCAGAATCCTCAAAGAAAGTGTGTCAAAAGAGAGGTCTGTTTTGCTACTGATGTGCCAGGCTCTGTAGCAAGGACAGGATGTACCAGCCTGTTCTTTAAACATGTGTGGGCCCCTCACTGTCCTTTGCCCCAGAGGTCCCAGCCTACAGAGAAAGGGACAAAAGATCCTGAGAGCCAAGAAAATAATATTTGCAGGAAAAATGGTCTTGTTATATGCGCAAGCAGACCTTTACTTCATTCAGACTTCCTAATTTCCCTTTCCACGCCAGTGTTAATAGTTCTCCTTGGATCGCAAACTCTTAATAGATATTCCTAAGGCCAAAAGTATCACTGAGAAGTTGGAGCCAAAATCTCAGGGCTTTTCTTTTGAATTCTATAAGAAGAGGGGAAAACAGCTGAGTTAATCTGAAATAATGAAGCTGGAATTAGAAATTGCTCTGGTCAGTAACATCCACTGTTTTGTTTTTTTGTTGTGTTATTAAGAGTAATAATAACAATAGCTCTTGTGCATTGGGTGCCAACTCTGTGCCAGGCATTGGGATGCAGGCGTCTGCCTGTGCCAGGCATTTGTCTTTGGGCATACAAGGGGAATTAGGCCAGGATAATCTCTGCCCATTCTGCCACAAAGATATTATCTCCATTTCATAGATGAGGAAATTGAGGCCCGGGAACATTGCATGATTTGTTAAGGCTAGAAATCAGATTCTGTCCAGCTTCAAGATCTGAACCCTTTCCAATCACCCAAACATGCCTCAAAAGGATATAAAATAGTTGCCAATCTTAAAACATGACTGTGCTCCAGGGGAAGGGAAGGGATTATCACACGAGGCAGAAATGTATAGGCATTACAAGTACATCCATCATTAATAATAATGACAAAAGGATGAGAATATCTTACTGTTTTGGGCCATGGGCTTCCTAGCATTCATGTAGGCAAATGAAAATACAGAGGGATGTCTGCTAGAATGCGATATGGTTTGTATTCAAAAGATTCTTGTAGTTTACTTTAAAAGCAGTGTTATGATGGAACCTGTACACTCACACATTTTTAAGAAGCAGACTCCTCCTTCCAAGGGTTTTGACCCAGCTGCACATGATCTTACGTGCACCTCTCCTCTGCTTTAACCTCAGTAGTCAGGTGAGGTGCCCCGTAGGCTCCAGGGAGCTGGCACAGGCGGCTCCTTGTCCTGAAGGCTCTCTTGCCTCTATTTCCCAAGGTGGGGATTCTAAACAGCAGAGCCCAGAACCAAACTTGGAGAACACTCGAGCCCCCAGCTGAAAGACATTAATCACCCATGGACAGGTTTCTTGAACAGGAGAAAGTTTGTAACCAGAGAACAAAGCAGTTTCTGCACAAAACAGTAACTTAAGGAGGATATTCAAAAACCTCTTGGACTTTTGTCTCATGCCATAGCCTAAGTCCCTCTCAAAGCTGCCCACATTCTCAGGACCAGACGTGTACCCTGCCTTTGGCTGGGCCCCTGGGATTCCAGGGCCACACGGCAGCCGTGCGTGGCACATCTTCAAGTTCACTTCTCCAAGCTCTGGGACTCTCCCCGTGCCAGCACAGAACTATTAATTATTTTTCTCTGTCAAACCTTTGTCAGCAACTTCATCCCAAAAGAGGAGGTTTATTTTCCCTTCGGCAGTGTTTGTGACTCTTGTAAATAAGAGATAATTACACTCCAGTTTTTAAATTAAAACAAAAAGAGCTAGAGATGCCCGTTAGGAGTTTACATTTTACAACAGCCCACTTCCTTAGTCAAAGATCCAACAGACTTAGTTTGCTGAGTTTTATGCAGATTCTGAGAAGTTTGAGTGGTTTAAATGCGAAACTTTTGTGTTAGCCGCCTGAAATGCCTTCGCTTTTGCTTCGAGTTAGTATTAAATAATTTTTAAATTCTTTCATCTTTCAGCGCTGCTGGAGGATCTTAACGCTCTAAAACTGCAATTAAAATGTGAACATTAAGGAGTTATAAGGTTAAATGAGAGAATGTATCAGAAAGCGTTTGGAGATGTTTTTATTGCACCATGATCTGACTTGGTAGCCGGAGAAATGCATTCTTGTCTTATGGCTGCTGAAAATTTCATTTTTTTTTTTTTGTCTCTAAGTTTGTGCTTGGAAAGTGAAAATATATTCAAACGAGTCCTTATAAACATTTGATCTTGTTTTCATATGAAGTGAAAAGAATTGTGAAAAGTAATTCAAAACATGGAATTAGATTCTTACAGCGTTAGTTGCGTGGAGCCATCTGCAGGGCTAGGCCAGGAGTTCTGTGGGTTATGGCCAGCCCTGGATCGATGTGAACTAACATCTAATTAGTGGGCCTGGTGGAAGTTGGCAAGCCTTTGGACAAGAAGGCTTTGGGGAGGTGAAGACATCTTTCCTCCCTAAGGAGGAATCATCCCACAGTCTCAAGGGCAGTGTTCTTCACAGAATGTAAGGGTGGACCTAGCGTCGGCTGTCAGGAACCAGCCTGGGCACTGGTGGGCTGGCTTAACCCCTTGTTTTCCATCCCATCCCAACACCTTGATGAAGTGATGTGTTAACAACAGGAAAGGCAATATTGAGAATGTCATGACTTAGGGAGAGAGTTTATTTGACATGTCAGCTGCAGGCTGTGCTTACACAGATGGGCGTTTTGGGACTGGAAATCTGTGAATACCCCCAAAAGACATTATGAGGCTCATGGGAGCAAAGATGGCATGAGAAACTTGAAACTAGGATTCCAGCATGGCAGAATAAGAGTACACAAAGTTTCGTGTGTCATATGCTAAGCTTTCTCCTAGGCCTTTCATTTTTGTAAATCAGAGGAGAAAGCCGTATGTTGACAACCCTGCATTTAAGACATACCAACCACTTTGACAATGAAGTGGTGTGGCCTTGCCCTCCCCATCCCCTCCCCCACCCCAACATGTGCTTCAATAACCAGGCAGCACTCCCTGATGTCATCAATACTTAGATTTATTGGGAGGGACCAGGAGAGCTTTAGTCTATGAGAAACAATGGCCAGACTTTACTCTCAAGGGGAATCAGCCTTTACATCATCTGAGCCTAAGATGTTTTCTGGACTACAATATATATTATCACAGATCTTAATTTGAGACATACATGTTAGAATAATTTCATTTTGAAATATGGTGGTAGTAAAATTCAGCATTAACATGAGCAGTCAGTAATTCAAATTTTATTTGCTCTGATATCAAAGGGATATCTTTCTGCTCCCACCAGCCAGGAAAAAGAGAGAGAGAGAGATTAGGCATTTTGCTGAGTACTTTTTCAGCCCAATTTTATTTAAAGATGAAGCCTTGTAATTGATTTGTTTGGTCTCTGAAACCCACAAGAGTCCCGCATAGCCCCCTGGATCTTGGTGAAAAGGCGTAGCGCCTTCTCTACTTAGCTGTTGGCACTAATCTATGCTTGCCTTATTGGGGGCAGAAAGTTTGAAAACTTAGAACTGTTTATAACCTCCATTTGTTTTCCCTTTCAACATCATAATGCTGTGGTGAACTGGCTGTTTTGGGAAAGAGGTTGAAAGTGGAATGATTGAGGGGGAATTTTCCCCCTTGGTGAAACTGATGGACTAGCACAGTTTTAGAAAAATTTTCATCCGTAGAATAATTTTGGCCATTATGAACATAAATGGCTTTGTCACCCGTTAGCAGGCAGATAGAGCATGTGTTTCACATTATTAATTCGAGGCAACGTTAGGGCTGGTTGAGGCAGCTTTTAAGAAAGCAGAGTCTACACATCCCCATCTTTCATCCAGTTCCACCTCAAGAGACAGCATTCAAACTGTCCCTAGCGGTAGAACAGCCCCTCTGGTGGAAATGCTGTGTGACATGAATCTTGCCAAAAACTAATGGATCATTTACAGGAAATAAGAAGTTGAAGAGAAGGATGAGTTAGTAGACTTCAAAGCAAACTCATTTCCACAGAACCTAAATAATGAATACCAAAACCTGAAGATTTCACAGACAGCTTATATGGCTCTCTGTACAGCTGGAACCTTCGCCGACTCCAGCGCCATCTGCCCTGATGAAGGGTCCCTGCTGCTTCAGGAAGGAAGGAAGAAAAGGAAAGAAGGAAGGAAATCAGGGGAGAAAGAGAAAGAAGCGAGTGGAGAGAAAGAAGGAGAACAATTTTACAAAGAAAGGGAGAGGAGGAGAGAGGAAAGATAGGGAGGAGGCAGAGAAGGAAGGAAGAAAGCAATGGAGGGAGAAAGAAGGGAAGAGGAGGGAGGGAGGGAGAAAGGAGGGGAGGGCACGAGGGCAGAGAGATGGAAGGTGAGAGCATGAGGGCTGATCACAAGGTGGGTCGTTAAGTCTAATTTTGCACAAATGGGTTTTGTATGGCCAGTATCTTGGGACATCTGTCTTGTGGGTCTCTAGTAATCTTTAGATTACTAAAGTCAAAATAAAATTGTGTATCTTTTAAATGCCCCTGAGTCACTTTGTTGGAACTACTTATAATGGAGAACTGTGTTTGAGAAGGCCAAGGGCTGGTTCAGACTATAAGCACAATTCCAAGGTCTGTCACTATAAGGAAACTTGTATATCAGTGAAATCGACTGATTAGGGAGATTTATGCATATTACAAAAACATTTTGATCCAGCAATTCCACCTTTAGGAATTTATTCTTAATAAATAGTTGGACGAGGTTGTAAATCCTGTGTAGATAACAGCATTGTTCACACTTGTGAAAAACTTGAAATAAACTATAAGTCTAATATGAAAAGATTGGTTAAATAAATTATGGTGTATCATAGTAAAATACTGTAACATTAAAAATATACCGCAGTTCTATATTATTTTCTGGAATAATTTTTATGCTATATTAACTGAAACTTTTTAAAAACAGTATTTATATATTTGTAAGGGTATATATGTAAAAATATATATGTTTATACTTGCATTGAATAAAGTCTGGAAATGTGTACCTACAGTATTAACAGTGACTACATCTGGAAGGTAGGATTTGGAGTGATTTTAATTTTTCTGTCTGCATTTTCTAATTTCTACCATGAATATGTATTACTTGCCTAATATAAAAAACAATCAGTAGGAGAGGAGGATTTTTCACTCTGCAAGACTGAAAAATGCAAGAGGATTTATTTAAGTGTTTTTCCACAGAGAAGGGCCCAAGTTAAGTTTGTATTTACAGAGTCCCTCCCAATGTTGGGAAGGGAAAAAACTTTCCCAAATGTCAAAATCCTGTTTCTGGATCTTTTTTGTCCTCAGGGCCCCCCGGGTGCCAAGCCTTCCTTCTTGCTTATGGCCTGACCTGAGTTTTCTTCTGGAGCCAACAGCCCCTTCTAGCTGGGCAGCTCCCAGGGGCGAGGCATCTCTGGCCAGGGAGCACCTCCTACAAGGCACCCTTTCCTCCAGATTAGAGACCCCAGCAGTGCCAGATGCTGATGCAGAGTGCCTGTAGGCCACCTAAGGCTGGCTTGGAGTGGGGTGGGGAAGAGAAGTCACTTGAGAGAAAAAAACAAAAAACATCTGAAACTGCAAGTCATTGGAAGGTTCCTGCTGGCACCCCCACTGGGCTCAGATAAGAATCAGGAACCGAATTCCTGCCACATTTCAGAAATTTTCTGAGGAAATCAGCATGGGCCAAGGGGCCCAATGAGAGTCTGAGGTGGAAGTGGGTCATTGGAGCCCAGGCCGCCTACCTGGGCCTAATACTCTGTGACAGACACTCCCAGTCCCTGGGTGGGTGATGTGAGTTTTGTTCCCTTAGTTTGGGCTGGGTGATGGTGCCCAGCAGGCCCCGCCCACAGGCCTCTGTGGCTTCCTGTTTGGGTCTTGCCCTTCCATCTGCTTGAGGGCCGTAGTGGTGACCTCTGGATCCAGCTTCCCACTTTGGGCTTGCGTTCTCTTTGTTGGATCCAGCTGGTCTCATCCCTGGGGCAGGATGGGTGTGGGAGGAGGACGAAGACAGTTGGGATTCTTTAGCGGGTGGGTTGTTGGCTTGGAGCAGAGCCCAGCTTCTCAGCGTGCCTGCCACAGCCTCCCCCACCCAGTTCATGGTCTGGGCCAGCGTGATGACTGCTTGATTCTCTATCAGGCAACTGCACCTCACTGGAGCCAAATTCCATCTTTATTCTGCTCCCCATTACCACCCCGCCACCGGCTTTGTGACCTAGACTGATCACTGAATGCCTCTGAGCCTCTATGTCCTCATCTGTAAAATTTAGCTGTGTTGAAAGTGGAAGTGGGGAGTTGAAGACTAAATGCCACAACATAGGAAAGCACTTTGAATGCTGCCTTGCACCCTGTAACAATAATAACCATTATTGCTGTGATAACTGATGTGTATTGAACAATACTTTGCACCAGGAACTCTTAGAAACCCTTTACATGTAGTAATTTACTTAATCCTCACAATGGTTTATGAGGTAGGTACTAATCAATCCCATTTGCAGATGAGTAAATTGAACCATGAAGAGATTGAATAACTTGCCGAAGTTATTAAGTGGTTGAATTTATGAAGTAACCAGGCTCTGACCAAGGAGCTGCTTTTTTAAAATTTTTTGGTTTTAAAAAAGTCTTTCCAGCCATCTTAAAAAAATTGTAGTAAAATACATATAACTTAAATTCTTAACCATTTTAAGTGTACAGTTCAGTAGTATAAAGTGCATTCACACTGTTTTGTAACCAACCTCCTAAACCCTTTTCATCTTGCAAAACTGAAACCCTATACCCATTAAACAACTCCCCATTCTCCCCACCCCCCAGGCCCCAGCAGCCAATATCCTGTTTTATGTCTCGATGAATCTGAGTACTCTTGGTACCTCCTATGAGTGGAATCGTATGATATTTGCCTTTTTATGACTGACTTACTTCACTCAGTATAATGTCCAGAGCTATATCTGTGTTGTAGCATGTGTCAGAATATTCTTTCTGTTTGAGGCTGAATGATATTCCATTGTATGTGTATACCACATTTTGTTTATCCATTCATCCATTGTCGGACACTTGAGTTGCTTCCATCTTTTGACTATTGTGAGTAATGCTGCTCTGGACATGGGTGTACAACTATATCTTCAAGACTGTTTTCAATTCTTTTGAGTGTATGCAGAAGTTAAATTGCTGGATCTTACAGGTAATTCTATGTTTAATTTTTTGAGGAACGGCCATACTGTTTTCCACAGTAGCTGCACCATTTTACATTCCACAGCAGGGCACAAGGGTTCCAGTTTCCCAACATCCTCACCAATACTTATTGTTATTTTTGTTATTAATAGTAACCATCCTAATGGATATGAAGCAGAGTCTAGCCCTACCGTGGTTAATGTCAAACTGAATTCTTCTTACGTTGTTGCTGAAGGTGTGGTGGCAAAACCTAGGTAAATGCTGGCGGAAACACTTTTAAGATTCATATATACTGCTGTTCAGAATGTCTCCCATCATTATGAGGAAAATATATTATTTTTAGCAGATGTTAAATCAACTATATTAATTATAAGTTCTGTTCAGTAATGTTCCGAATACATACGTAGCTAGTTCTCAAAATGCATTCCTTGAAGTCTTTGAGTTTCCACTAATAAAGAAAACTAAGGAAATCAGGCATTCATGGCTCTAGACAGGAATGAAGACTTTAGGAGAAAAAAAGGGTTAGTTCTGGGAGACTCAGCTTCTAATGTGGACCCATTAAAAATTCCTAATAGGCATTTATTGTACACATCTGTTATTCCTTTTGGAGGCACTAATTTCAGCAAAGAATGTAGGTTTGTGGTTTTTTGAAAAACACTAGATCAAATTATTGTGTGTTTAATTTGAACGGGAACTTCATGAATGAGATGTCTCCCAAGTGCACCAAGCAAGAGTGAGGAAACGTAGGTTTAAACCTTTTGTTCTGTTTGGAAGTGTAAACAGTGTATTCAAATTCTTAAATATAGAGAAAAGATCTAGAACAGAGGGACAGTGAAGCTAATGTGTCTTGAGAGATTGGAGCAGACACATGGAAAATACCTATACCTAAAAGCACTGAGGATGTTTCCACCTAATAATAAGGAGTATGGTTCTGTAAGCTCCTGGAAGTAAGGATTGTCCTTTAGGCTCAGATCCAGAGCCCAACACCTGTTTTTAGTGGATGATGAGAATGATAATAATAGCTAACATTTATTGATTGCTTACTACATGCCAAACACTGTTCTAAGCACTTTACAGGTCTTAAATCACTTAATCTTCTTACCAATCTTGTGGGGCAAGAACCGTCATTATTCTCAATTTATAGATGAAAAAGATGAGGCCCAGTGAAGCTGTTTGCCCATGTTCACACAGCTAGTAAATGGCATAACTAGCATTCAAGTCCAGGCGGTAGAGTCCAGAGCCTGTCCTCTTCACACCACCCCACCCAGCGAGAATGGAAGGAGTTAGCTGCCAGAGGTCTTAAATTCCTGGATCCTTCAATGATCACTCAAACGGTGGTCAACCATCTGTTTATATCAGCATGTTAGGACTTTTTTTTTTTTTGTACTTCTCAATCAGTACCGGCTCTAAAGGTGATACTACCATGATTTACTACTTGGGGTGTCTTGGTGGTCGGAGCTTGCCATTATGGATTGCTAGGCATGAGATGGACAAGGTGGTGGGCTGGTAAGAGGGGCAACTAAGGATCTGACCCAGCTACAAAAAGTTGCACAGATGAGGCTATCCAAGCATGGTACCCAAGAGGGATTAGAAATATCTCTGCCCAAAACTGAAGTGTTTACATTATATACTTAGGAAGTCCAAGTAAAGACATGAGACTAGACTTTAGGTTGTGGGGCTCTGGTGGTGGCCAGTAAGCCATGAGAATGGATGGACTTTCCTAGAGAGAGTGTGCAGGATGGTAACCTCAACACCATTTATCAGATTCTTCCTCTGAAAGTCTAAATTCCAGAAAAATCCCAGCAACAGATTTTTTTTCTTTAATCTGCCTTTTAAAATCTTATACCTTTGAAGTGATTGCAGAGTACAGTTTTGCTGAAGTGGACTTCACATGGTCTTAAGATAGCCAGAGGGGCCTCTGTCAGCTGCCCACATGGTGGTATCACAGCTGTCCAGGCCGTGCTCTGTGGACAGATCAGTGATGATACCATGGGCTGTCACAAACCAGGCTCTCACCAGCAATGCTCTAGTTGTAGTGTTTTTAGTTATTGATGTGTTTCAGGGGCCAAGAATGGCCTTAATTCTTGAATTGCAATTGTGCAAATATAGTTTGTACACTCCATTCCTTAATCCACATAATAAAAGGAAAAGCCAAAAGGATGCATTCAACAAATATTGGGGCTGATCAGATCTTTATCTGATTATGTTCTTTTGGAGTTAAACTAAGTTCTAGAAATATGGAACAGGTCAGGCCCAGAACATTCTTGATTGAGTAGTTCAAGATCTTTTGATAGAATTCAGAGCCTCCATGGTGGCTAAGCCAGTTATTGCTGCTTTAACTTGACTTCTCCCCACATTTGGAGGATATTCCAGCCAAGAAAGGACTTTGATTCATAGTCATCATCTTCTATGTACAATTTGAAATGTTTTGCATTTAGGGTTCTTATGCTTTTTTCCTAACTTAAAATTGTTTTGTATTTACATTTCTATCCATAGGTCAATTCACATGATCACTTAAAGTTTTAAATAATGTCATAGAAATCCTACTGAATTGCTATATTGAATTTACTTAACCCATTTCTCTGTGGTTGGATATTTAGACAGATTCCATTTTACTTCTTAATAATATGCTGTTAGAAACATTGCTTACATTGGTTACATTTCTTTCTGTGGGTCTCTTTTTTGAGCATTTCTTCAAGATATAGTCCCTAAAGAAGAATTAAGGATAAAAAATATGGATGGTTTTATAGCTCTAGTTCCATATTGTTAGACAACTGAGAGAAACACTAGAGTAATGTACAATGCCCCTGGCAGTAGTTGAGTGGGCTTGTCGTCCAACAGCTCTGCCCAGTATTTTACCATTGTGTTTCTTATTGTGTTCAAGTAGGTAAACAGTTATTTTCATTCATGTTTCTTTAATTGTGAGACTGAACACCTTCCCTGTGTTAGCTTATAGGGTCATTTCCCAGTGTGTGTAATGCAACTATAAAGTGCCTGGCACAGGGCTGCCACCTGCTAGTGTCCTTCTCTTTCCTGCTTTCCCCCTTTACTCTTTAGCCATTTGTCAAATGAAGTCTCATTACTGATGACAATATATGTTTATCTCACACTATAAGATTTTATTATTATTTTGGATTATAAATATTTATCCATTATATTTATCATAATTTAAAATTTTGGGGGGCTCCCTTTGTATTTGTTTTGTTACTTTTCTTATTTATTTATTTGATACTGAGTCTTGCTCTGTTGCCCAGGCTGGAGTGTAGTGGCACAATCTCAGCTCACTGCAACCTCCACCTCCCGGTTCAAGCAATTCTCGCGCCTCAGCCTCTGAGTAGCTGGGATTACAGGCTCCTGCCACCATGCCCAACTAAGTTTTGTATTTCTAGTAGAGACGGGCTTTCACCATGTTGGCCAGGCTGGTCTCGAACTCCTGACCTCAGGTGATCTGTCCACCTTGGCCTCTCAAAGTGCTGGGATTACAGGCGTGAGCCACCTCGCCTAGCCAGATGTTTTGTTACTTTTCATTAAGGAGATTTTTTTTTTTTTTTTTTGAGACGGGGTCTTGCTTACCCATGCTGGACTGCAGTGGCGTGAACACAGCTCATTATAGCCTTGACCTCCAGGGCTCAAGCCATTCTTCCACCCCAGTCTCCTGAGTAGCTAGGACCACAGGCGTGCGCCACCATGCGTGGCTAATTTTTGTTTTTTTTTTTTTTTTTTTGGTAGAGACAGGGTTTTGCCATGTTGGCCGGGCTGACCTTGAACTCCTGGGCTCAAGCAGTCTGCCTTCCTTGGCCTTCCAAAGTGCAAAGAGACTTTAAATAGACTTTATGATATTCGAGTTCACCTACCTCAGTCTTATAATACTATTTAGTTTTTTAATCATGAATTTCTCTCTCTGCTATAGCTGGGATAAATATGCTCTCCTTTTTTTCTTTTAAATGCTTTCCATGTTTAATTAGTTCATTAACCAATTTAGAAAGTACTATTGTATATGGTGAGTTATGGATATAATATACTTTTCTTCATATTGATATCAGGTTGTTCCACCAGCATTTATTAAATGGTGATTCCGACATCTATTGTCGTGATTCTTAGTTTTGTTTTGTTTGCCATGTCCTCAGGACTTATAAGTGCTTGAATCCATCTCTGGAATCACTATTTTAGTAGAGTCTTTGTCCTGGCTTTGATTCAGCAAAATTCAGTTTTGATGAAGATCACTTTATAATATGTCTTAAAATTTGATTATTACATCCTCCTGCAATCTTCTTTGGAATTATTGTGTATTTATTTTTCTTTATTAATTTTGCCAGTCATTTATCACATTCTAGAGTATTCTTGCAGGAATATAATTGTTATTATGTTAATCTATTTTTTGTTTTATGGATTAATGTTACTGGTATTACTCTAAATTTTCTAAATCAAGAGCAATGGATATAACTTTGTTTCTTTAGGTATTCCTTTATTTTTCCCATTATAATTGTATTATTTTTATCTCACTAGATATTTATCTAGATATATAAATTCTCAGATGTTCTTTAATGTTGTGAATAGCACCATTTTTCATTGCCTTTTCTAACTTCATAGCAGTGGTATGCATTTGGTTAATCTTGCTTTTTCTATTTACACTTTTATATCATCTGCAAAACAAGTGATATGTCCATTTCCATCTTTCCTGTATTTATTCTCTATTTATTTTTCATCGTGTCCTGCAGCATTTCCTATTACCTCCAACATGAGTACTGAGAGGAACATCTTATGCTTCTACCTGTGTTTGCAAAGTGAAGTCTCTAAGACTGTGCCATCATTACAGTAGCTAATAGCCACTTCTGGCTATTCAAATTTAAATAAATTTAAAAATAAAATAAAAAATTCAGTCCTTCAGTCACATTAGCCACATTGAAGTCTCAATAGTCATCCATAACTAGTTGCTACCAATACTAGTTGTCCAGTTGTACTGGACAGTGCGGAAATAAATATTTCCATCATTGCAGAAAGTCTTAATAGATAGCATTGCTCTAGAATTTCCACATAAAGAATAACACTCAAGCCCAGATTTACGTCTATAATCATTGTTTTATCCTAAGGAATAAATCTCCTCTTCTGATTTTGAGTTCTTTTGAAGATTTAATGTTGAATGTTATTGATGGCCTCAGCATCCACCAAAGAATTCTTACAGTAAAACCCTTTTTTTCTATCAAAGTTTTGAACTACCCTAATCATTTCCCTATGTGCTAGCTCTGTCTTTGTAGGATAGCTCATACTTGTTTGTTTTTGAAACATTTCCCTTTTCTGTGTGTAGGATATTATTTGTGATTAAACTATATTTATGAATTAAATGGCCTGTAATCCACATGCTCTGTCTCCCCCTCTTTCAATTGGTGTTGTCCTCAGGTGTTTCAGATCAAGATCTTATTTATATAACATATAATCTTGTCTGTATTTTGAAATCATTTATGTAACTGGTATTTGAACAGTTCGAGATGTTCTGAGAATCCATTAGGGGCTTCCTTTAGAAGTGTGTAGAGAGGACAGAACTTTCCCTAACAGTTTCTCTGTCATTTGTCTGTGTTTTAAATTTTTTATTCAACATAATTAGTTCAGCAAGCACTGCTGAATGTAAACCACCTGTGAAACACTAGGCAACATGCTGGAGGATAAGACGAACACAGTTTTGGCCATCAGAAAGAAATGAGAATGGTCATATCACCTCTTCATTGGATTCCTCAAGGCCTTCCCTCACCCCGCAGTTTCCCCAACATGAATCTTACCAGGTCAGTCTTCTAGTTGCACCCCTAACCCCAAAATACCTTGATCTCCTCATTGCCTCTTCCCAACACAAAAGTTCTCTTGCAGAGAATGCCCTTTTTCTTTTCACCTCTCACTCATCCCAAAGTTCCTGTCTTTGTGATTCTCCCTGAGTGATTTCTCTCTGCTCTCATCTTAATGTTTCCCTTAAGTGTGCCTTCATCTTGGCAAATAATTATTCATAGCCTTGTCATATTATCTAGTTACCTCCTGTGTTATTATGTACATCTCATATGTCTAATATCCCTGTAGGGATGGGGCGGAGGGAGATCTGAAGTCTTCTATTTCTTTTGTTTAGCAAACAGAGTCCACTATACAGTGCTAAATATATGGCAGACGTTAAGAAATACTTATTGAATAAGTGTGTTGAGGCGTTAACAATTCTTACTTCGTTACCAGGCAGAGCCAGTAAAATCTGTGGCCAAGGACACGTTTTATTCGCTTTAGTAAACTATTATAACCTATTTGGAGATAAAGGCAAAAGTTTCTACAAAGAACCAAACTCATCTTCCAAGTTCATTAATCAGCCATCCACTCCCATTCATTCAACAGATGATTGAGTACCTCCCATGTGCCAGGTGTTGGGGAGACAGGGTCAAGCAAAGCAAACATGGTTCATGGTGTTCACAGTACCGGGGGAGACGTATTAAACAAGTCAACCGACAAATAAGTGTATAACTTCAAATTTTGTTAAGTACTATAAAGGAATGACAATGACATGGACCATTAAAGTTAGCCTGGGTGGTTGAGCAGGGCCTCTGTCAGATTAGGAAGTGACATTTAAGCTGAGAGCTGAAGGATGGGTCACTAACCATGTGAAGCTGGGTGAAGAAGCCTGTCTGAGGGAACAGCATATGCAAAGGCACTGAGGTGTGAAAGAGCTTAGTAGGCCTGAAAGGCAACCAGGAGCCAGTGTGTGGCTGGAGCATGGTGAGTAAGGAGGGGGAGTGGCATGGGGTGAGGCAGGCCCTGATCTTGAAGACCCTTATGATCCAGGGCAGAGTATTTGGGTTGAAGTGGGTTTTAAGCAGTTTGATATATATTTTCAGAGATGTTTCAAAGTGCCTAAAGCCAGTTTATTGCTCCAAGCAATAAATATATTCTCTCATTTAATACTGAGAGCATCCAGATGACGTATGTGCTTTTAATTATGGGATTTTAATATGC
This sequence comes from Homo sapiens, assembly GCF_000001405.40. Lineage (NCBI taxonomy): Eukaryota > Metazoa > Chordata > Mammalia > Primates > Hominidae > Homo > Homo sapiens. Next base: position 12,426,625 of record NC_000011.10, read on the forward strand.
TCATTTTCAGTGGAGGAAACCAAGGCCCAGAGATGTTAAGCAACTAGCCCAGGGTCACATCGTATGTTTGTGAAAGGGGCCAGGGTATCACCAGGTTGTCTTGTGCCTCCAGAGCCTAAGCTCTGCCCGCTGCCTGACCACCACAAGATTACTTGGCCACTGTGTGGCTGGAGGAATTGGTCAAGTATAGGAGCAGGCGAAATTAGGAGGCTCTTTCAGCAGTCCAGGTAAGAGGCCATAGCTTGGACCAGGGGTTGCAGTGTGACTGGAGAGGAATGGATATTCTGGGGGCAGAATGAGGATGGGGCAGAGAAAGGGAAATATGTGTTGAAATAAATAGACATGATTTATTTGGACCAAAAAAAGGCTTTGAAGTCTCATTTTAAAGAATTTAGAATCTAGAAAAGAAACAAAGTAGTAAGCTAAAGCAAACAGCATGAGAAAGAAAATAAAAATATGAACAGAAATGAAGTAAAAATCAGGCTAATAAGACAGGGTTTTAAATTTTAATTAATATAGTAGAGCTACTGAATGAGAAAGGAAATATAATTATTATAAAAGAAATCTGTCATATGTATGGCATATTATTTATAACTCTTGCTGAATTAGCTAACCCAGCTGAAACAGATACTTAGATAGCATGAGATAATGAAATTGGTCAACAATTTATTGTCGTAAAATCTGATATGCAGTCTCCTGCCCTGCATGTGGCCTACCCTTTCACTTGCTCCCCTCTCCCTTCCCTGCCTGTTGAAGTCTGACCAGTCTTCATGACCCTGTTCAAATCCCTTCCTAGCACAGAAAAATGAAAATCATTGACATGAATACATGGCTATTTTAGCCCAAATCAACAGTTATCAGCGTTAAGGATGGCCTTGAATTAGTGGAGGCAGAGGTTAAATTATGGACAGCCTTCTCTGTTGATGGAAGCAAGTGTGGGCTTAATCTTCTTTAGAAATGTTTTCATCTACAACAGACATTTTTTTTTAAAGCAAGTTTTGACACTTTTAAAGGCATACAAAAAAACAATTATCTTGAAACTTTTGTCTTATGGGTCATCAGCAGGGTTGAATAAGGTCAGAATGAAGTTATCTGTTGGCAAATTGAAGTTGTAAGCTTTAGGTAAAAACATCAAATACAGCTGCTATGTTCCTAACTTTTACTCTCTTGAGAAAAGGTGAATGACAGTGGTTAGAAGTCAGTTGCCCTCAGGTTCTCAAACTGAGAGATGAGGAAGCCTGTTCCCGATTTCTAGGTAACACAACTGCTTCTGGTCCAGGCGTGTGTCCCCGAAGCTTGTATACTGACCAGGGCGGAAAAGGGCAGCAGAACCTGGAGGGCAGCTGACATTGCCCACTGCATGCCCATCTCCAGGCCTCCCCTCCTCCTGGGAGAAGTCTCCCCATTTGTGGAGAACTTCACTATTGGGACAGGGCTCACTACCAGCCTGTGAGACCTCCCTTAGAGAGTGAGCAGCCATTTTAAATGGTGCCATGTGCTTTCTGTGAGGGGACTGGGAAATTTACAGAACAGTGGCAAATGATGAGCAGAGAAGTTGGGCAAATGTGGAGTCTCTAGCCATGTGCTGCATTAGGTATTGCCGGATTACCAGTCTTAGGAAAGTAATATGGTTTTTCTATATCGTGTGCAGGCCACTTCAGCTTCCTTTTCCATATAGAGTCTCTCATATGAAAGGAGGGAAGGAAGGAAAGTAAGAGGAAAGAAGAGAAGACACAGCAGATCTATAACTAAATGCTAACAGTAGGGCACTCAATCATTCATGCAGACATGTATGCTTCAACATTACTAAGCCAGGACAGGGCTGGGGCCTGAGGACTGAGATGACCAAGACCCAGTCTCAAGTCACTATCTTTGACCAGTTAGCCACATGTTCACAGATACCGCTGTATCTAGATAGTATATGCAGAGTCCCTGGCATAGTATCTGGCACCTATTTGGTCCTCAGTAAACTCTGGCCATCATGGCATTACCATCATCTCCATCATGATGAGATATTCATGCGTGTCTGAATCCCTGATTTGGCTCAGTGTCGGGTGCAGAGGTCGAGATGGTAAGTTGGCCAATTGACTAGCGGAGCAAATACAATTTTTTGGTGCTCACCCCACGCAGGCACCTTTCAAAGGCTCGGAGAAAGCTTCTGAGACTGACCTTTGTCTAAAACGAGAAGGAACATAAATTTAAAATGTTATAAATTGAAAAGCCAATACAGGGGTATCATTTGCTAAGTGAATAAAAACAGAAGGAGCTTCAGGAATTTGGGGGAAGGGTAAATTGTGTGGGTTGGTAAAAGCATGATGTGTATTATTAATCTAGAATCAAATCAGGTTCAGAGTTTTTGTTTGTTTTGTTTGAGACACAGTCTCTCTCTGTTGCCTAGGCTGGAGTGCAGCAGTGCGATCATAGCTCACTGCAGCCTCGACCTCCTGGGCTCACGTGATCCTCCTGCCCCAGCTTCTTCCCAAGTAGCTGGGACCACAGGTGCACATCACCATGCCCAGTTAATTTTTTAATTTTTGGTAGAGACAGGGTCTCACTTCATTGCCCAGACTGGTCTTGAACTCCTCGCCTCAAACAGTCCTCCCACCTCTGCCTCCCTGGGATTATAGGCATGAGCCACCATGCCTGGCTCAAAGTTTTAAAAGAAGTACTAACCCTTTAGCCCTTTAGCAGTGAGAAATAGGGAGAACAAACCCCTCCCCGAGGCCTGCATTTGCAGCACCCTCAATAAGTTGCACGTTGGTAAATGTTTAACAACCAGCTTTCCAGTAAAAAGTGTGTGTACAAATGCATATATAAGTTAATTATAAACTTCACTGATATAAAGGATGTATAGCACACAGTTTACAAATAATAATAAAATATCAACACTGTTTATTGTAAATTCCATATAGCCAATCCATTCTCACAGAATACTTTTGATACTTTGAGCTCTTGTAGCCATAGCTAACCTATGGTTAGCCATGATTTGATGCGTGGAATTTCATCAGTCCACTAACCTTTTCCCAATAAATTTATTGTCATTAAATCTGACATGTGATCACTAAACTATTTTTCATCTTTGTATCTATTAACCCATTTATGCCGGTGGTTGCAAATTTTTTTGTGAAAAATCAGACCTTGGCGATGACCTTGAGCAGTAGGATATAAATAACTCCCACAAGCTTAGCGTTCCAATAATGGAACACTAGGCATAACTGGGATAAACTGAAACCTCTTTCAGCTTCAGTACTGAGTATAACTTCATTCACCAATGGCATGAGCACCTTCTTTGCTGATCGTATAACAGTTTTAAATACTGGAAGAATATTTTCCTTTTTTTAATGTTATTCATGATATAATGACTACAGACACTTTTAAATTTTACAGACTCCCTTTAAGTTTAATCTGCATCATTGACATTCCTTCATCATTTTCTTAAGTCTAGATAATCAACAGAATGAGAAATCAAACCCTGATTTGCAATGTTGGTTGATTTCCAAGAAGTAAATACCCCCACTAGGGCCAATTTTGTGGTATCCCTGAACATGGAATTGGGAAGAGCAGCACACCATTGTGTAGTAGTACTTCTGCCATATAGATGCAGAACATCATCTCAAGAACGTAGATCATCAATATAAGTGATGAGTTGTGAGTATTACCTTTCTCAGTATAATTTACTTAATTGCAACTTTGTATTTTAAATTTTAATAATAACTGTATTTAACAACTGGCTCCCTGAATCCCTGAAAATTTAACATTTGAGAGCTGGTAGGAGCCAGTTCCAACACACCCATTGCCCTCTTTCCTAACGAGGGTAAAAGTCTCCTCTTTGGGTGAGTGAGTACCTTTCGTCACCTTGCCCCTCCTGGACACACAGGTCTTTGTTGCTCACACTGCCTCCAGCAGAAAACCCACACACAGAGGCTCCTTTCTTTCCTGAATCTCATACCAAGATGCTGTGGGGGGTTTGACATGGATCTTGCCTAAGCCTTATTACTCACATGAATCATGACGTTTAATGCATTTACTAAGACCTTTCCATCTCACCCTTATTTTCCCTTATATCTTAAAAAAAGGAATAAGAAAGAGGGCCCATGCCTGGCTATAATAGAGGATAGTTATAGACATATCACTTGGGCAGCTGTCAAATTAGTTACTCTAAAGTGTTCAAAAGTTCCCTCCTGATCTCACCTCCTAAAAGAAATCCAAACGTGCTTGACAGGGCGGAGAAGTCTAGGACTTTCTTTTCCCTCAACCATGCCACAACAACAAAGAGACACGATTCCTAATCGCAAAAGCACAAGCTTTTGTTTGTGCTAACCAGCAAAGCAAATGTTCGAGAAATTTGACAAAAACAAGCTCCTCCTGGCTCCACCCTCAGCCTTATTTTCCTTTCTTAAGCAATATCCCTTTCACACAGATGTGGACAGAGTGCCAACTGGAAGGCGGGAATAACCTGTCTGCCCCTGCTCCCAGGGCTGACTCACAGCAGTTTATTTTAGCAGTGGTTGATAAATAGCTGATCCCCCAATACCCCTGCCAGTGTTTCCCATCCTGTGTAGGCAGCCTTGTCCCCACTGGGGCCTGCCAGACCCTCCCATAATCTAGCAACAGCAAGTGCTTCCAGACCCTGCTGTGGTATCAGACTGGATAGTGCCTGGATGTTACGCATTGTTACATATCTGTCACCCCTGCGTCCATTCTTTCAATCTTGGCCTTGAGCCACTTAACACCCTGTGCATTCAGCCCCTGCCTGCAATCCAAACCAGGAGGCTCAGGCCCACCACGTGGCTGTGGGACCCATCTGATTTTTGGTTTTTCAATAGAGAAGAACTTAGCAGCTTAGAATGAGGCAAGAGTCTGCAGAACCCAAGGCCCCTTCTCTGAAGTTCTTGCCCCACATTTTCAGTCCTGACATGTTCCCAGATGGCTTCACTCATTCATTCCCACACCCTAGGTCTTTTAAATGGGTTAAAGGACCTGTGTGCTCTCACCTGACCTGAAAGGCCACCTGTCCCATGCTAGGGCCTAACCATCTATTGGACCATCTAAATGCAGACCCTGTGCTCAGCTGGGCCTTATGCCTGTATCTGCATGGCCCTGAGGCCAGTGCCACCATGGGCCCCCCACTCCCTGCCAACTTCCTTCACTCATGTTACTCTTTTTGCCACCATCAACACTTAGCCACACTGCCTTGCTTGCCCTTTGGGACTTTTTTCTCATCTCGTTCTGTGGCTTCTAAATCTAAGCAACCATTTGAATCTAGCAGTTGTTGGAAATTCCCAACTTTCTTACTCTGGCTGCAGCCTTGGTCCTCACAGAGGTGAGGATACTAGTTTACACTGGGGTTGCTTGTCCATTGAATCAGAATCATAAACGAAATGAAACTCCTTTCTCCAAAAGGGAAGAGCTCTGCAAAGGAGCTATAATATGCCCAATATCTGATTATAAAATCAAAATAAAATTCTTTTTACAATTAACGTAAAATTTTTCCTACTTTGCTTTGGGTTGGGAAATTACTACTATAGTTGAGTAGTGACTCTTTTTTCCTCATTTTCTTTCTCACCTGTCTCTTGAAAAATATTGCTCACACATGTTAAAGAATTTATATTAAAAGTGAATTCCAATAAAAGGCCTATTAAATTAGCCTGATTCATTAACTCTTTTTGAAAATAATGTGCATGTTTAGGACAGTAGTATCTTTCAGTTTTTATTTCATGAGATAAATGTGTTGGGAAATGGAGAGAGTACAAATAGATGTGAATGTCATTTTATCTAATTGAAGATGAATGCTGAATTTGGGAGCTGTAGAATTTAGTTTAACTTGCCTTGAAAGAGATTTATGATCATGGGATATGATGCTTTGTCTCCCAATGGCTCTGCCGTTAACCGTTCACCTCTTGTCTTTGTGAATCCAAAGAGGTAACTTGCAAGGTGGATGGGGCAAGAAACAAGGATGTTGAAGTTTGTTTGGCAAGTCAACAGAACCAAACCAAACCAAAAAATAACTGCTTATCTGGGCCTGTGCAAGTTAAAGTAATTTGACAAAGAACCACGTTCTGTCATGTGTACGTTATTTAGGCTCTTGCGTCATTTTTTTCTGTATCAAGATTTTCGAGAATATTTTAAAAAGTGGAGAGCTGTTCTAGCACAGTTGGTGCTGCATTGTTGAAGCCAGGCATAGCCATTGTATTTGAACCTGTTTTCTATCATGACCTCTGAAAATCCATTCCCAGAAAACTGATTGCTTAGGTCCTGTGGTTACACCCAAAGGAGATGGTGGCTAGAAATGAGGGCTCTGTCGTAGCCGTGGTACTGAAAGATGCTTCCTTGATGGAATGTTGCCAGACACGATTTAAAAAATTAAAAGGTATATTAAATTGAATTGTTTTGAATCGTTTTAATACCCATAGAAGAAGCTAGGAAAAGCTAGAGTTCTTAATGACCTATTTGAAGAATAAAATACACCCGAACCTCTAGGTCAAATGCTAAATTCCTTCTGCAGGTGGAAAGGCTGCACCTCACAAGGGAGGCCAAGTTTCATTTTTGCGACGACCTTACCCAGCTGAAACTTTCCCGGAATCTTTTATCATTAGCTCCCCACCCAAAGGATGAAAAACACCATCTGATTTACAGTTTTCCCATCTCTTATTTGAGTTTGCAACTTTCTTGGATAACAGATGGCCACAAAATGTGTAAGCCCAAATAAAAGCAAAGCATGGGCTTCACTGGTTCTTCACTGGTATCAGCTGCTTCTTAAAATTAAAATTATGTAAATGATACCTTAGTTTTAAGTGAGAGAATCAGCAATGAAGGAAGCAACCCCAGCACTTGAGAGTATTTCAGTTTGGGTTGTGTGGAAGGTTTGTTCTGTTTTGTTTTGTTTTTTGTTTTTTGTTTTTTTAAGCTTCTAATGTTTCCTTTTAAAGAGAAATAAAAGAGGCATTTCATAGAAGCACTTTGCAAGTTGCTCATTCACAAAGCTTGCAGTTTCACCGGCAGCCGGCCTAGAATCAGAGAGAATATTAGGATTGGCAGAGACCTTAGAGGTTGTTGTTTTAACTGACTTGAAGAGGGAGGAAAAGACTTGGAGTAAGAGCCCCGAAAAAGGCCCCGGCCTCTCTGGGTTTGGCATCTTTCTTACCTCAAGGAGTTAAAAGTCTGGGCCTGGGCGTGATCAGCCAGATGGTCTTTAACAGTAACATGGTTCATATTGTTTAGATTATCCTGTTGCAAGTACCGTGCCTCCTTTACCTTTTATGGAATAAAGTGTGGAAAATTGACCACAGATGTAAGTAACCAAGAATGACGGGGAAGCTGTTGTTACCAGGCCTCTCTGTTTCTCTCCAACACGCCTGATCCCACAGATAAAAATAAGGAGAAAAATGTGAGGCTGGCCGAGAATGAGCTTGCCTTACCTCGATGGCTCAGGTCTGAGCACCGCGAGCACTATGTTCTACGTGTTCATAAATCCAAGGTTGGCCTTAGGACTTGTGTGCAGGCTACCTTCAAATTCTGATTTTCCAAGTGCCCTCTGGTTAAAATATCATACCACGTAAGCAGTTTTTCCATCCTGTTTTGAAAGGCAGTGGGGGGCAAGGCCCACATACTGACACCGAGGAGTTTTGCAGCCCTGCGCTCCCTGAGGGAGAGCAGTGAGTGGCATTTTGCAGCCTGAGAAGTGTGGATAAATTCTGCATTCCCACTGCTTTGATGGCTATCTCAGCTGCAGGTCCCGCCTGCTGGGACCCCCAGTACTTTTCGTACTTACCAGGGACTCTGGCGCTTGGTCCCTATCAAACAGGCCTTCTCTTTCCCGGGTGAGTTTAACAGCCTCCCTCCTGACCTGTCTCCCAGCCTTGGAGTTCCTCCTCAGCTTTTCTGGCTGTCACAGCCCCCAACCATGTGACTTTGCTCCCATGGTTCATGGCTTGGATCATTCTATGTCTGAACACATAGTGCCCTCTGGGCTTCCCCTTCTTGACCACAGTCCTCCACCTCCTGGTCTCTTCTACTCTGTAACTCCCATGAAGACTTGCTCTCAGCCTCTAGCTTCTGGGCCTCTATCCTTCCAGACCCTCCCAACCCAGCCTGGTTATCTGTTGATTATTCTAGCCACACTCACAGCATCCTCAGTGGCCCCCACTGCCAATCCCCAACCCCTTTTGTTCTTACTGCTCAAACTGAGCAGTCCCCAACTTGAATCAACCCAGAAGGCATTTTTACCGAGCCTGCTCCAGGTCTGAAGATAATCACTTAGTCTGCCTAAGTGACTTGGTTACAAACCCCCAGCTTCTAACATAACCCCAGTCCTCAGTCCGCCACCCCACACACCAGTCCCTTCTCAATCAGCTTCTTTCCTGCCCGTATTCACCAAATGTCTTGAAAACTCACGTATAGATAAGGTGCTGCTTTTTTGCTTCTATTCATACACCAAACTGCCGTCTGACTTGTACACCCATTGAAACTGTTCTGGCAAAGTTTACCTGGGACTTCCCAATTTCCAGACTTTCTTTCCTAATCTTACTTGATCTCTCTCTTCAGCTGCCTGCTTCTTGAAGCTCTCCTCTTCCTCAGCTGTGACAGGTGTTGCTCAAGGCTCCCCCCTCTCTCTGATCACTTGTTCCATTTTCCCCACTGACTCTCCCTTTTCTTCTTAAAAATTATTCCTCCCTTAGTTCCCATCCTTTTCCCCTTCTCCTGTCACTCCAGCCAAGATCCTGATTCCAGAACATGGGGAAAAGTACAGAGGGTTGACCATTCCAAAGCTGCTTCTGAAAATATCCCTGTCATTCAACACAGATGAGATGTGAAACACACAGATGGGTGACAGAGCTTCCGGTCTATTTCTAAGTCCCAGGACCGAAGAGTTCTTGTTTTTGTCATGATAGCAAGTGCTTGTGTTTGATGCTCCAAATAGCCAAACCCGTGGAATTACAGGGGGGTTTGAGCTGCATGTTGAGTGTACAAACTCTCATAGGTCATAAGGAATGATGAGTGGGTGGTTCCTAAACTCTGGAGAAGAGCTTCCATTTCAAAAGCTGGGCTGTGCAGTGGAAACAGTGTAGGGTTTGGAGTTACACATTAAATTTAGAATCCCTCTCTCCTCTCAACAGTTGTCTGATTTTGGGGCAAGTGACTTCTCCTGGCTATATCTCTGTTTTTTTGTTGTTGTTGTTGTTTTGTTCTGTTTTGCTTTGTTTTGTTTTTTGAGATGAAGTCTTGCTTTGTCGCCCAGGCTGGAGTGCAGTGGCGTGATCTCGGCTCACTGCAACCTCTGCTTCCCGGGTTCAAGTTTCCGGATTCACCTGCCTCAGCCTCCTGAGTAGCTGGGACTACAGGCGCGTACCACCACACACAGCTAATTTTTTGTATTTTTAGTAGAGATGGGGTTTCACTGTGTTAGCCAGGATGGTCTCGATCTCCTGACCTTGTGATCCACCTGCCTCAGTCTCCCAAAGTGCTGGGATTACAGGTATGAGCCACCTCACCCAGCCTCTGTTTTTATTTGTAAAATAGATAGCAATATCTCCCTCTTCTGAGGATTAGGGATAATGTGCATATTAGGAACATACTATTTGCTAGACTTAATTCGGTAGGATGATTGAGCCCATATAGTGAAATTCTCTTAGACTAATTATAAACCTGACAACTCACCAAAAATTTTTTATTAACCTGTCTCATACACTGGTATCAGAGTTGAAGGGAGAGAATTAGCAGAACTGGTTGCTGGTCTCAGACTACGGAAACTACACACAACACAATTAGAGCCCATTCAGTAACAGTCTCCCATCAAGGTCTCAGTGGCCTTGGGAAGTAAGAGTCCTGGAGATGGAGAGAGATCTGTGTGGGCCAGAGCAGAGGGACATGTGACAAGTGGCCTAGGAGGACTTTTGGCTGCCTGTATAAAGTGAGTAATGAGTGATAAAGGCTTCTATGAAAGTTAGGGGAACTAAAATTGATGTCAGAGGCCACAGGGAGACATTGAGTATTACTGAGGGAGAACACCAAGAAACAGTGTTTTGGGAAGATCAGTTTAGCTTCCTTTTATATATAAGGCATTTTTGCTTGGGAGGATGGGGGCAGGAAGGGTATTCAGCAGGTTGTTGCTGGAACCAGACCCTGATCTGAAGAAGTGTGGGGTTAGATTGGGAAGGAAAGGATGGAAATGCAAACTATTTCAAAAGAAAAAATGATTAAAGGTACTGATGATAAATTTGGTATTGGAGATGAGAGCAAAAGTGGCTTAAGAACAACTCCAGAGTTTCAATGAAACTTGAAATATGGGGATACTATGAAAATGAAAGGGAAACTTTTTTGTGTGTTGAAGTATACATTACATAAATTTTGCTGTTTTCACCATCTTTAAGTGCCCAGTTCAATGTGGTATCATCACCACCAAGGGAGAAACTTTTACAGCAATTTGACATTGTTGCAACATCTGAGCATGGGATTGGCATGCTAGTATTTTGTGTTATAATCCAATATTTTATAGTAGTTTATTTTATTATATTTTTGCAAAGTATCAGTCTGCAATTATTTGGAAATAAAAAGAAAAGAAACTGGTCCTTTACTTCAGAGAACTTAAGGAACCCTCTCCTAGAAGAACAAGAAAGGACTGCAGAAAGAAGAGGTGAGGTACAAGAAGGATATCCTCTCCCTGCCTTTGCCAGGCATGTGCCTATTCATTCTGTGAAGCCCAACTCCTGGGTCCCTCCTTCCAGGAAGCCTTCTCTTCCCTACATCCTCCCCAGCCTCCTAAGCCTCCTATCACAAGTTAATTAGCCTTTGTGGTGCTATTGTGCCCTGGACGTATTTCTATTGCCAGCATCATCACAGTGTATGAACTGGCCATCTTGGCAGTCTTCTCACTAGAATATGAGCTCTGTGAGTAAAGACTATGGCCTCTTCATCTCTATATCCACTTTGTCTTGCACATCTTAGGTGCTCAGTGAAGGTTTGTTCACATGAATTGAATTAAGAGAGCAGACTTAGAGAGTGGATATAGGGATGATGCTATGTTGGGGTTGGGGGTGGGAATAAAAGAGCATCAAGGCTGTGCTTAGTGTCCAGGTCTCCTTTGGGAAGGAATCAGATGGTGTGGGGAATACGCTGAAGCTGAAGACAGAATCAGGTTGAGCAGCCCATGTGGGGAATGTGCAGGGGAGGCAGAGAGAGAGTAAAAAGGAAAGGTGGCAGCTTGGTCGGTGCTTCCCATTCACCCCGTGACTTTGTACCTCTGCTGAAGCATTCATCATGGAGTTGCATCAATATCCAATCATCAGATGTACTTCCAACCTTGTCATTCATTGTCTTAGTCTGTCTTCTGGTTCTATAAAAGAATACCATACATAGGCCGGGCGCAGTGGCTTACGTCTGTAATCCCAGCACTTTGGGAGGCCGAGGCGGGTGGATCACGATGTCAGGAGATCGAGACCATCCTGGCTAACACGGTGCAACCCTGTCTCTACTAAAAATACAAAAAATTAGCCGGGCATGGTGGCGGGCGCCTGTAGTCCCAGCTACTTGGGAGGCTGAGGCAGGAGAATGGTGTGAACCTGGGAGGCGGAGCTTACAGTGAGCAGAGATCGCGCCACTACACCCCAGCCTGGGTGACAGAGCGAGACTGCATCTCAAAAAAAAAAAAAAAAAGAATACCATACATAGACTGGTTTTTGGCTCATGGTTGTGGAGGCTAGGAAGTACAAGATTGAGGGGCTTCATCTGGTGAGGAGCTTCTTGTTACTTTATCCTATGATGAGAGAGCAAGCAAGCACACCAGAGACAGGAAATCAGCCCAAACTCATCCTTTTTATCAGGAGTCCACTCCCAGGATAACTAATCCACTCCTGCAATAATGGCATTTATTTCATCATGAGGGCTGAGCCTTCATGGCCTACTCACCTCTTAAAGTCCCCACCTTTTAATACTGTTACAATGGCATTTAAATTTCAACATGAGTTTTGAAGGGGACATTCAAACATAGCATTCATTAATTTATTCATTTATTCAATAAATATCCACTAAGGGCCTACTTTGTCTCCAGCTTCATGCTAGAGACTTGACTTTTATTGTTCCTAACCCCTAAACACCTCCTTAAAGTAGGTATTATTGTTCCCATTCATAGTTGAGACTCAGGGAGGTTTAGTTATTTGCCCAAATTAAGATAGTCAGTGGCAGCATTAGGTTTTGAACCCAGGGCTTAAATCCCTCCTGCCTTGTACAGTGCCACAAGGTTGGCACTCAGTAAACATTTGCTGGATCAATTCCAGGAAAATTTGGAAACCAGGATGGGAAGAAAGAGGCTCTTTGGGATTAAAAATTGGCCCAGCAGTTCAGAGGAAGATTGAGGCAAAATGGTGTTAGGGTAGGTACTGTAGTGCCTGGGATGGCTCATGTCTTCAGAAGGGCCTAATGATATGGGAAAGAGAGGATGCATGAATAAGACTGTGTTTGGGATGGACAGTAGACTGGTTTGGGAAAGTGACAGAGGAGACCACTAGTTCTGATCCCAGGGGCACTTTAGGAACAGTAATTCTTTTGGAGTCCCTCTCATGGTTTCTGAGCTGTGTTCTTTTGATTGGATGCATCTCACTAGGAATATGAGGGTGAATGGGGAAGGGGACAACTCCTTGGCCAGTGGTTCTACTAATTCTTCCCCCAAACGACACTGCAGGAGAGATGAAAAGAAGGCCCAGCTATCTCTATAGACTTTGGTATAGACACTGTCCCTTCATTTGCCACTGACCTTCCATTACCTCCTGTGGACTCTGCCCGTTTGATTCAGTCCTCCAGCTTGAATCAAAGATGGTTGAGACATTATTGAATTAACCAAAGTTGTTCTTAGTGATAATGGGAGCATGAAGTAGATGTCTAGCCTGACTCACTCATCACCCCCATTCTTTGGGAATGATGGCACCCAGAGGCCCAGCTGAAGGGACAGGCCTGGGTTGCCATGTTTGAGACCTTGTTTGGATCTCTGACTGAAGACCAGCAATCCGTGTCACTACCTCGCAGTAAACTCCTTGATGGTTTTCCCATATTGGCCCTACCTGTGTTGGCCCATGCTGCTCCTCCCACCCCACTTCCTATCCTCCTCCCTCTGCTTTCTCTGCCCCAGCTGCCCTGGCCTTCTTGTTCCCTACAGGAGCAAAGTACATTTACATTTCAAAGCCTCTGCACTTCCTGTTTCTTCTTCCTGAATGTTCCCTATGTATTTGCATAACTGGCTCCTTCACTCCAGCCTCTGTTCAAATCCTCCTTATGCACAACCCTTCTTAGAGAGGCCTATGACCACCTGTTTAAATATAGCACTTCCTGGTTCTCTTTATTCCCATCGCCCTATTCTGCTTTCTCTTACAACCTGTCACTGCTGGCGTAGCATGCATGTTTCCTTGTTTGCCTTTCCATTGTTTCTCTCCTTCACTAGAATATAAACTCCCTGTGAGCAGGATGGCATCTTGTTTATTGCTGTATCCCCAGCACCTGGAACAATTCTTGACCATTGTATATGCTCAGTTAACATTTGTTGGATGAATAAATGGCCAACGACCAACTGGCCATTCATTCCAAATTCTCAGAATTTGAAGTAAGGACACAGTGGCTTTTTTGGTCAGTGATTGGTGCTGGCCCCGTGAGTTCAGTTAGGGTTGGGGCCAGCAGTCATATGTCATCACAGATAAGTGTAGGAAGCCGGTCAAGATCAAAAGAGAAGCTAAGGGGGAGAGTCCAGGTGGCCGGTGGAGAGGTTTTGCTTCCTTGGGACTTCTCTCCTTCCCACTGGGGCCTGGCCACATTTGGGTTCCTGTGCCCGTGAACTGGGGCTCTGTATTAGTTTTCTAATGCTGCGTAACAAATTATCACAAACTTAGCAGCTTAAAACAATCCATGTATTATATCCCAGTTCTATAGGTCAGAAGTCCAGCGGGTTCAACTGGGTTCTCTGTTTAGAATCTCACAAAGCTGACGTCAAGTTGTTGGCTGGGCAGGGTTTTTATCTGGTGGCCCTGGAAAAGAATCTGCTTCTAAGCTCATTCAGGTTCTTGGCAAAATTTGTTTCCTTGCATTGTAGGACTGGAGTCCCTATTCCCTTGCTGGCCTTGGCCAGGGACTGTTCTTACCTCCAAGGGGCCACTCTCAGCTCCTTGCCATAGGGCCCCTCCATGTCAGCAACAGAGAATCACCTACAAAACGAATCCCTCTCATACTAAGTCTCTCCGACTTCCTCTTCTGCTACCTGCTTTTAAAGGGTAAGAATGATTAGGTTAGGTTTACGCAGATCATCTCCTTTAGGGTAACTCAAATCAAAACTAGTACCCATGATTACATCTACATAATCCCTCTATCAGGTAACCTAACATAGCGCATGATATCTCATCACATTCACAGTCCCAGGATTGGAGCAGGAAATCTTAAGGCACAGGATTTTGCCTACCACTGTATTTTTAAACAATCTCCTTTAATTAATTAGCTTAGGGGAGGGGGATTCTGTTTCTTACAACTAAAGAGTAATGGCCCATAATCCACAGAGGCCCCAGCCTTGGGGGTGGAGGTGGGGCTGAAGTTACAAACTTTGCGTTCCTGACCTCTGCTAAATTGTGGTTCTTTATTTTTCCTCTAGAATTGAGTTCAGACTATAGAGATGCAAAAGATTAGACCATCTGCCATGCTTCAGATGCCAAAAATAATGAAAATTTTTGCCTCTATACTCTGGTAGAAAACTTTTTTTTTTTTAATTGCTTTTCCTTGCAGATCACTCTCCAAGTGAGATCATTGGTGATCCTGAGCCTTTTCCCATGACTTAATTGACCAAGAGAAGACCGCCCAGCTAAATCTCACAGAATACATTCGGGGGTAATTGGCTTAAAGCCTCCAGGATCTTGTTAAAATGAGTGGTTTTGGTTAATCCACACCATAAAGCCGAAAAGCTATTATGTATGTATATTTTTGTCCTGAGGTATTATCAAGAAATTCCACATAGACGGGAATAAAGTATGGTTTGAGAATGAAAAAAAAATTAAAACGCAAGACATAAACTCTATTTCCTACAGATGTAAATCAGAGCAAGTTTTAAAGCCTTTTTATGACTCAGAGAGAGGTCACCAACCAAATCTGCTGAGGGAGGCAGGATTAAACAAAAACGACTATATTTTAATGATTTTTCCCCCTGCTGCTGTTAGCTCTTTCATTTGCCCAATGTAACACAATTTTCCACAACGCTGCAGGAAATTGGAGATAGGGAATTGCTATCCAGTTGACTGCCTAGCTCCACAAAATGTATAGTAATAGTTGAGTGTCAAAAAATAGCATGTGGTAAGTTGGGGGGAGTTGAAGGGAGAAGCTTGCTTTGTGGAAAATTGCCGACAGGTCGAAGGATTGTGGGGTTAGAGAGTCAGAGAGACTCAGAGTTGGAAGGGGCCTTGCCCCTTGTAGCCTACCAATCCAAACTTTACTTGATGCGTGGACCAGTTCAGCAGCATGGAGGCAGGAAGCCATCAGCTCTACTTAATCATACTCTTCAGAGCAAGTGAGAAGTAGCGAGGCAGCAACTATGACTGAGGATAAGGAGTCCTGGACAGGGAGGACCTTTGGGCAGTGCCCGATGCTGCTGTCCAGCTGAACAAACTTCTTACCTCTTTTGAGCCTCAGCATCAAATGGAGATCACAATACCTACTTAGCAGGATTGCTATAGAGTTAAATAAGATGCATATGTAAGCTTTGGGAAGCATTAAGCAAATGTAAGGTATGGTATTCATACTATTAACAGGAAGAAAGTGAGACTCTAACTTAGGATGGTGGATGGCCAGTGCCTGAAGAAAAGGTATGTGGAGCCCAAGACAGGTATTGAGAGTGCAGCAAAAGACTGCATTTTCAAGGTCAATAGCTGTGACACTAGGAGCTTGAGGCTGCTTTAAAGAGGGAGATGTGGAGGAGATGTAGGGCAGAAGTCTCAGGTACAAGACAAAAAGCCCTCATTGCTTGGCTGTCCACAGGTACATTGACTAAGCTCTTAGGGGTGCAGCCTAAGAGCAGAGCCCCTATGATCTATTCACCAGGCCCACTGAGAATCCAGGCACCATGAGAACCGAGGGGAAAAGAGCCTCCCCACGAAGCTTCAGGAGGGTAGAAGGCAGAGGCTGCTACACATAAAATAAATGACATAAGGGCAGTTTCCAAAAGCCATGGGACAACGTGGGATGCTATATATCAAGGTGTTTTGTAATGTTTGCTGACTTGACTTCCTTTTTTTTTTTTTGAGATGGAGTCTCGCTCTGTCCCCCAGGCTGGAGTGCAGGGTGCGATTTTGGCTCACTGCAAGTTCCGCCTCCCGGGTTCACGCCATTCTCCTGCCTCAGTCTCCCGAGTAGCTGGGACTACAGGCACCTGCCACTACGCCCAGCTAATTTTTTATATTTTTAGTACAGATGGGGTTTCACCGTGTTAGCCAGGATGGTCTTGATCTCCTGATCTTGTGATCCGCCCGCCTGGGCCTCCCAAAGTGCTGGGATTACAGGCGTGAGCCACCATGCCCGGCGCCCCCCTTCTTTTTTTTTTTTTTTTTTTTTGAGATGGAGTCTCGCTCTGTCGTCAGGTTGGAGTGCAGTGGTGCAATCTCAGCTCACTGCAACCTTCGCATCCCGGGTTGAAGCGATTCCCTTGCCTCAGCCTCCTGAGTAGCTGGGACTACAAGTGCGTGCCACCAAGCCCAGCTAATTTTTTGTATTTCAGTAGAGACGGGGTTTCACCATGTTGGCCAGGATGGTCTCAATCTCCTGACCTCATGATCCGCCCACCTTGGCCTCCCAAAGTGCTGGGATTACAGGCGTGAGGCACCACACCTGGCCAACTTGACTTCTTAAAAGCATCTGTCACACACCACTTCTTCTCTTGGGTGACCTGTTTCCCCTGCAGGTGTAGGATTCAAAGGAACTACTGAACTCTTGGCTTTTGGCAATAACAGAGTTAAGTATATTCATTCATGCTTTTTAAGTATATTCATTCATGCTTTTATTTTACTGATACTTTCTCAACCATGTTTCTAGGCTCTGGGGATTCAGAGATGCAGCCTAGTGGATATCAGATGGGAACATGAGGTGCTTGGATGGAAACAGGTGTAGCATAATTTTTGTTTTCCCTTGCCTGTACCCTTAGGCAATATGGCCACCATTGCTGATTCCTGCTCTGAAGACTTTGCTTCTGGGCTTGCTTCTTCTCCTCTACCTTCAAGTTCTAGGTTGAGCCCTGCTTCTTCTCCAAAGCCTTACCAGTCCTGTCACCACTTGCTTGTTGTCTGTGCTCCCATTTTACTGCCTTACTATCTCATTCCTGTTTGCCTCATGTCATTTTCAGCGTGCCTTTGTAGTACTGAACCTGGCTCCATGAATGCTTGTTGAGCTGAATCTTGAGGTCCTCACTTCAGACACCATGTGGTGGCTTCAGGGAGGCAGGTTTGCAGCTTCCTACCCACCCCCTAACCCCCCAGCATCCCTTTGCTCATGGTTTCCTCACAGAGAGGGGCATGTTGAGGTTGGCCCCAAATGGTAAGGATTTGGCAGAAGCGGAATCCAGATTGTTAATGGGAACACACAGGAGGACATCAGGCAGTGCTGTTGGTAAGAGGTGGGTCAGTGGAGGCATTGCAAAATCTTCCAAAGAGCACCAAAAGCAAAATTCAAGGACCCAGAAGAAATGGATAGCCCATAAAGATGGGTGTTGAGGGCCAGAACAGGCAGCTTAGACAATTAATACTCACTAATTCATGGTGATGACTGAACCAATCCTTATGTATAATACTCAGCCCAGTATATCTTTCTTTGCTTTTCTTTTTTTTTTATAGAGATATAGGGTCTCACTCTGTTGCCCAGGCTGGAGTGCAGTGACAAGATCAAAACTCGCTGCAGCCTGGAACTCCTGGGTTCAAGTGATCTGCTCACCTCAGCCTCCTGAGTAGCTGGGACTACAGGCATGCATCACCTCACCCAGCTATTTTTTAAATTTTTTTGTTGTTGCCCAGTCTGGTCTCAAACTCCTGGCCTCAAGTGATCCTCCCACCTCAGCCTCCCAACCAGTTTATCTTAAATGCATTATATAATCTCTGGTATTCTGGTTGCCCCTGAAGGAAGAAGCCACTGGTTATTACTACATAGATGAACCCAGAGGCATGCTGAGACCTCAGCGTTGGCCCTAGGGGAAAAGAAAGCAGCTAGGACAGGGTAGAACCAAGACTGGAATTCAGGATTTCAGGTCAGCATGAGCAGCTGGATTGCTGTGCCTGGTGGTCTATCTGGAGTGTAGCAATTCTGCTGTCCATAGGTGGAGTTGAGAGGGCTTGTCGTATAAAGAAGGGGCTGGCAAAGTAGCCAAGTAGGCAGTGGTCTAGGGGAGGGCTGTACTTCTAGGAGGAACTAGATTTTTAACCCTTGAGTGCACAGAGCCAACTGTAATGGGGTCTGGGGAAAACTAACTCTGATTGTATATGTACTTGTTCACTGAGGCAGCCTGGGTACTGGGTATATGAGGAAGGGTCCCCGCTGGACACCATGGCACACTCCAATTGATTAACATAACTACAGTTTAATAAAGGGTTTGTTCACATAGGAATGGGCTAAGTATACTCTATCCTGGGGCTGGGAACTGTGGGGAGCTGTTATTGCTCCTAAGCCTGAAACGGGAGGGATGTGAATGGTTACTAAATTCCAGGATAGAGAAAGTGGTGTGGGGAGGGCCACCCAACAGACAAGGCCAATGACCTTTGATCATGGTGACCTTACAGCAGGGGAATCAGGACATAAATACCCTGATTGTCTCTCCCCTCTCTCCCAGATTTCTTGGGGTACTTCCCATTGATCTAATGGGAGCTGAGGACAGACAGCAAGTGTGCCCACTGAAACATGGAGAGGGGAACAAGGTGGGAAGGCCTGGATCTAGAGGGGCAAATACCAGGCTCTTTGTAACATAACTAATTCTGGATCCTTCCTTCTGGTAGGAATGGCTGTATTGCCATTCTGCCTGCCCTCGTAAGGTTGGGCTCAGGACTTGGGTGACATTGAACCTTAGGCTAAAAAGCTCTATTGCTTAGAGTTGATAGGGGCTGAAAAAAGCGGGACGTTTAAAATAACAGCCGGCTCCATACATATGGGGGCCATATGTCCTTAATTTTCCAGGAAAGTCTCAATTTCAAATATTCTGTCCCATTTTACCCATGAGAACACTGGCATTTGTCAGATCACATGTTCCAATTTTTGACTCAGAAAATATGGTCAGTGTATCCCTATACCGCAACAAATGCCAGATGGTTTAAAGAGCTAATTTTTTAAATAGTATTCTTATCCCAATTGTTGAGGAAAGACAATTTTCTGACTATTGAAGCAATTGAAGAAATTATCAGTGACAAGTTTGACGGGTTCATTTACTTTAAAAAAAAATACACACCTTTTTTTGTACAAAGAAAATCAACAAAACAAAAAGGTGAAAAGAGAAGCAACAGATTGGGGAAATAATTGTAATAAACATGACATCTAAAAACATAATATCCAAACACTTCGAGGGAGTTTTAGAAAAATCTGAGAGGTCCCAATCAAGACTTCATTGGACAGATGGTCAAAGGTTATGAGTAGACAATTCACACAGCTGTACACAAATCCTAGGGAGGTAAGTTAATAAATTCAAGTTAAAACAACTGTGAGTTACCACTCCCACCTACTACAATATCAAAAATAAAAAGACCTACAAAATCTAACATGGGCAGAGATACACCCATACACTCAAGAAGGCATTATAATTTTTTTTCCTTCCTAGAGAACAGTGTGATGATATGCAAAAAAGATCACCAAATCAGTCCTCCACTCTGACCCAGCAATTCTACTTTTAGAAATATATCCTAAAGTAATAAAAACTTACATGGAGAGTTTTACCTAGACTGCAACAACCCAATGGCCAACAATTGTGTGATGACTTAAATATATTAAAACAGGCTAGGATCAATGAATATTATTAAAATATCAAATAGGTTCACTTTGTAAGTATGTGGAGAGATACACTTTAAATATTGACAGAAATACAATAATATAGCAGTAATGATTGTCATCATGTGAAAGCTAGCCTTGTCCAATTATAAGGATCAGATGAGTCTAAATTTTGCAGTTCATTGCTTTCCTGTGGTAAAAGTGTATTCTGTGGTTTCTGGCCCGTTGTTTCATGATTGTTGGTTTCGTACATTCTCAATGTAGCCAGGTTTTCCATAAAAATAGAGAAAATTAAGAACATGGCTATGACTCCTATAAGTCTATAGGTTAAGTCTCAGGGTAAATGTTGGTTGTGTCTTTAGAAAAATTCCCATACAGGATGAGTAACTTCTTCCAGGCCTGTGTTATATGCTTGGCTCTCTGTCTCCTCTCTATGTCCTAAATGTGACTGATGAGCATGCCCAGGCACCTGGCTGTAACAGGTGATGAGGTTCCATCTATGTGTTACTCAAACCCTGTAATGTAGCAGTTTATACTTGACTGTAAAATTGCTCAGGTCAACCCATGTAAAGGTCAATCTCATGACACAACCCTGCCATGTCTCACTGTAGGGAAAAGCCAGTATAATCTCTAGTGTATTTTTTTTGGTGGTATTTTTAAAGCCTTAAATGCTAATCTTAAAAGTGAGGGTGGGGTCAGGAGAGGAGATAATTCATTATGCAAATGTGATGTTTTCAAATACCTTGCCCTGTGTCCCTTTCATAAACAGCACCCCATCAGGGCTGGTGTGTAACTCACCATGGGCAATCCCTGGCATACCTCATGTCTTCAGCAGAGAGAGAGAGGGACCAGAGCGCCTTGCCGAGCCCCGAGCCCGGTAGATATGGTCCCAGTCAGTATGGGTGCATTGACTTCCTTCTGGGAAATCCAAGTCTCACTCATGCCTTGCTTGCTGGGACAGCAGCTCCCATAAAGTTATAATACTTATTTGTACTCAGCTCCCTTGAGAGAGTTTGGAGAACACATTTCATCTTCTGTGTGACCTGAATTTTAATAGTAGAAAAAAACTGGGAGAGGATGCTGAGAGCAGTTTGTATGAATACTCTGAGTACAGTCACTAACCCTGAAGGTAGATGCCCAATATATTATCAAAATTTATAAAAGGAAGAAAGAAAAAGATAAAAACCTCGTAGGGTTCCAGGCACCCATCAAAAAGACCACTCCCAGTGTTGGGGAATGAACATGAGGTTTGAAGTCAGTAGGACCCCTGTTGAGGGCCCTGCCTGATGCTTTGCTGGCTCTTTGAACTTAATCTTCTCATACAGAAAATGTTAATGATGATATATCTACCTCTTGGGTTTGTTATGAGTTAAAATAATTGTTTAAAGCAAGAAATCAATGTCTGGTACAAAATAAACCTTCAGCATTAGTTCTCCTCTCTTTCCCTCACCTGTCAAGGTATCTTTCATATAGGAGGTGCTCAATTTATAATGTGTATAAATTACAATTGAATCACGTGCAGGGCTGACATCTGATTAACCTACCTTACAGTAGAGATAACCAAAACTCAGAGATTTTGGTCGTGTTGCAGCATGGCCAGTTACCTACAATGGAATGAGGAAGGCGGGGGGTCATAGAGATCTGACCCTTCTGCCAGGCTAGGATTGCACTAGGATTGCTGGCCTGCACGCTAATGGGGAAGATGCAGCCTGGCCAGCATGGGTGCAGCCGTGATCCTTCTGAGATTCAACAGCAACACAGAAGGATCCAAGACAAAGTAGTAGGATGTTTCCAAGGGCAGATGAGTGCGGCAGCAGTTGGATGGGATGATGCTCAGATGTCCAGAAAGGCAGGCTTAGGACACCCAGGAGTTGTAGCTCCAGACATTGGGTAAGGGTGCTTGGCAATTCTCTGGGATGAGGTGCTCAGCAGATTCTTGGACAGGGATTCATCAACAGGGACCAAGGCAGAACTTCAGTTATAAGAACGTGAGTAATGGATTAGAACTGTCGTTTATTGGAATGAAGCAGTGCCCTGGGATCAGACAGTGATGCTGTTGAGCCCGAGTCAGCCTCAGGTCAAGATGTGTCTTAGAAAATGAGGCAGAACTGAGTTACAGCTGAAGGTCAGCTGGTCCCTGTCATGGGGAGGGGATGGAATGGGATACAACAGCTGGAAGCCAGGGATCATTGTCTATCTTGAAAGCAGACTCACTACTACTTGGGTAACATTTAGACTCATTTCCAGAGATATCAGCAGACGTTGCTCCAATGTTCTCCAAGTTCTTCAGGGATGACCTAGGTTCTCTGTACTCTCTCCCTTCTCTCTGTCTGTTATCTCTTCCCAGCTTATTTAAACCACTGTGAGTTGACATTTAGCTAAGAAGCTTTATCAGAATTTTAGTGAGAGGAAGGAACTGTTTGTAATGGAAAATAATATTCACTATATTATAGTTGCTTTAATTTGGGTTTAGGCATGATGTTTGTTTTGAAATTTCAATCTCAATAAAAAGATTTTTATGTTTACCAAAAGGGGCATTTATTTATTTATTTATTTATTTATTTTTATTTTATTTTATATTTTTTGGAGACAGTCTCCCCGTCGCCCAGGCTGGAGGGCAGTGGCGCAATCTCGGCTCACTGCAACCTCTGCCTCTCCGGCTCAAGTGATTCTCCCGCCTCAGCCTCCCTCCACGGTAGCTGGGATTACAGGTGTGCACCACCATGCCTGGCTAATTTTTGTATTTTTGTAAAGACAGGGTTTTGCCATGTTGGATAGGCTGGTTTCAAACTCCTGGCCTCAAGTGATCCGCCTGCCTCACCCTCCCTAAGTGCTGGGATTACATGTGTGTGAGCCACAGCACCTGGCGGGACATACATTTAAAATGGTCATGAAGCACCATTTAAGGCTCTGTCTTCTAAGGAACCTTCCCTGTTTCTGTCAATGAGTTCCCTTCATGGACTTACTGCTGCTCTTTTACCACAGGTTCTAGCTCCGCATTCTTCTTTCTTCCTCTCTGTATGTGGTACTTCCCAGCTAGATCAGTAGTTCTCCATGGGGGTGACTTTGCTCCCACCAGCCTCTCCTCCGGGGAACACTAAGCAATGTCTGGAGATATTTTTGGTTGTCACAACTGTGGGAGTGGGGGATTGCTACTGGCATTTAGTGGGTAGGGGCCAGGGATGCTATTAGACATTCTACAGTGTGCAGAACAGCCCCCCACAACAAGGGATTATCCTGTCCAAAGATCAATAGTGCCTCTGTTGAGAAACTCTGAGCTAGATTGTAAGCATATTATGAGCTGATGTATTGTCTTAGGATTCTACTCCCCAGATTCTTGCAAAATAATAATCACCACTAGCGACTAACATTGATCAGATAGATTCTTACCATGTGCCAGGTATTGTTCCAAACCCTTCCTGCATATTTACTCATTTAATCTTTTTCACGAAGAATTGTTGTTATCCCATTTTACTCAAACTGATCATTATGGGAAAATTGTAACATGAGAAAACTGAGACATGAGAGAGTTAAGTAACTTGCCCAAGGTCACACATCTGGTAACAGCTGAAGCTACACATTAGTACTAAGAATAATAGTAGTACCAGTAGAATTTTTATTAAGTCAAGATCTTTGTACATATTGACTCATTTCATCTTTGCCGCCACCCCATGGAATAGATATTCTCTAAATCTATTTCAGATATGCAGAAACTAGGACACAGTAGAACTTTGCTTGTATTTATTAATTTGTGTATTTCTTAGATTAATGTCTGTTTTCCCCACTGCACTGTAATCCAAAGAATGCAAGGACCTTGCTGATCTGGTGGATCTTGTGTTAACCCCACTATTGAGCTCTGGGTCTGCCAATACTACATATGCTAAGTGATTAAGGGAAAAGAGAATGAAGCCTCAGGGTGTTGGATGCCCATGTGTATTAGTCAGGGTTCTCTAGAGGGACAGAACTAATAGGATATAAGCATACATGAAAGGGAGTTTATTAAGGAGAATTGACTCACACTCTCACAAGGTAAAGTCTCACAATAGGCTGTCTGCAAGTTGAGGAGCAAGGAAGCCAGTGGTGGGTCAGTCTGAGACCCACGGCATTCAGTCTGTGGCCAAAGGCCTGAGAGCCCCTGGCAAACCACTCGTGGAAGTCCAAGAGTCCAAAAACTGAAGAACTGGAGTCTGATGTTTGAGGGCAGGAAGCATCCAGCACAGGAGAAAGATGAAGGCCGGAAGACTCAGCAAGTCTGCTCTTCCATCTTCTCCTACCTGCTTTATTCTAGCTGTGCTGGCAGCTCATTTAGATGGTGCCCACCCAGACTGAGGGCAGGTCTGCCTCTCCTAGTCCACTAACTCAAAATGTTAATCTCCTCTGGCAACACCCTCACAGACACACCCAGAAACAATATGTTACCAGCTATCTAGGCATCCTTCAGTCCAATCAAGTTGATACTCTATGTTAACCATCACACCCTGGAAGGACCAGTTGAGGCCTAGCTGTGGCTTGGTCAGTGTGCTGTGTTTTTCTTGCCCTGATGCTTTCCTGTGGCTCTTTCTTTCCACTAGACCTCAAAACTGCCCCATGAGAGGATCTGGTCCTTATCACTATACAGGGTCCCCAAACTAGTGGAAGTTTATTGAGAGTTCTCTGGTTTCTCCTGGGGCTTGTCAAAACAAGGAGAGCATCTCATCTCTAGCAGCTAAAAGCTCATGAGTATGTTAAACCCCAGATTTTCAGGCACCTTCGAAAGCCTTATGACTTGCTCTCAGAGGAGGGAAGGGTTTTCCTGCTGCTGGATACTCACGTCCCTACCTAATGAAATTTGATGACACATGAGGCTAGGTAGAGATGCTTTTTTTTTTTTCTGTCTGATATCTGGATATTTTCAGAACCTAGATAATTTTATCCTATTTATATCAAACATGCAGGTAACTCTAGACTTTTATATCTGTATTATTTCTGGGGAGGTATAATATGATTATGAATGACAGTAATTGACATTACATGCTTTAATTAAATTTCCTTTGCCATGAATCAAAACCTTTTAGTTCAGTCCTACAGTGCTATTTCTAGATTTCTCTTTTACATACTCTAATGCATTAGGCAGTAGGTATGATAAATTCATTTACAAAGTCTGCATCCTATAGATTAAATGAGATAATGTGTGCAAGAGGCTCAGCCTAACAGTTACATAATAGTTATTAATCCAAGAATGTTAGCTAAATTTGCATACTCTGTACCTTTTAGCCATTGGCTCCTTGAAGAATATCGCGCTTCTTAGCTGATCATCATAAAGCCGATGGTTATGGAAAGAGCCCCTTTCTCAAATGATCATGGGTAGCATAGTAATTACATCTCGGGATTCCTCCTTCTAGGGCTTTTAGGGGATCTGTGGAGACTTAGAGTTTTGTCCTTTTCCAAAAGGGTGAAGTACCCCAGATAGTCTCCTGCCACCACCACCCTGCAGGGCTACTCCAGCAGGGTGCAGATGAACTGGTCCCGGCACCTGAGCAATCCATTTAGCCCAGGGCCAGTGCTGCTCATCTCCCTGCCTTATATGCAAGCGGAAACAGGTATACGGTTCCAGGGCCTGCCTCCAGGCAGGGCTTAGCATTAAGCCAACCAAGCAGCAAACCCAAAGGGCCAGAATGACAGTTATTCAAAAATGAGAAAGTTTTCTTCTTTTCCTTAATGCATGCCTAAGATTACACACTTGTGCTTAGAAAAGTGGATGTAAATGCCCTCCTCTCCTGTGGGGAGAGCCTGTCCTATCATAAGAGACAACCTAAACTAGTAGTTAGATCTTCGTGATCTAGTTTAAGTTATCTCACCTGATAGGACAGGCTCTCCCCACAACAACTGAGAAAAAGCTTTGAGAGCACAGCATAGCCACTCTGTGTCCAGTGTGGCCTTGGGGTCACCCAGCTATACCCACAATTTACCTCTGCCTTTGTCAGATCCCCATGACCTTGAGTCTGTGAGTCAGCTAAGAAATTTCAGATCCCCCAGGTGAGACTCTTTTCTCAGTAGCCCCCAGCATTTGAGTACCCAGCCCAGCCTTCACCCCTACCCTGCTCTACAGGTAACTTATACCCCGAATGAGCAGAAACAAGCAGGCACTTCAGATTTCAGGTTGCCAAGAGGCGAGAGGCAGAATCCCGCTTGCTTTGCAGCAGGTCTGTGAGTCTCCAGTGGCATCGTATTAAATTATATAGGCAGCCACTTGTTTGCAACTGACGCACTGAGCTGAGAGTTGTGCCGAGCAGGAGGCATTCTCTTCGGGAAGCATTTGAGAAGATCCTATAGCTTCACAGACCTCCAGTTGGTCTGAAAGCAGAAGGGTAGAAACCACAGGGAGGGGGTCAGCTCTGGGCAGAAGATGCCATGATTGCCATGAAATCCTAGACCATGGGCTGCGGGGCACTTTGCCCTCAAGGTAGGTCAGAGCCTGGACAAAGTTGAACGTGCTGTGGTGGGAGCGATTCTTTGTTGGGGGGGCGCCCTGGCCACCTCCCAGCTCGTCTCTGGGGTTTGAGTTGAGATGGTGAGTGCTCCTCCTCTTGCATTTGAAGGGTTTTTATATCATCCTGACCTGCCTTATTGTGGCTCTGTTGTTAGAGGTAGCTATGGGGGGTAGGTGGGGGTGTCTGATATTTAGAGATAGGAGGGAAGGGGTGAAGATGAACAAAGAAATGAAGGAGTAAAGGACTTGCGGAAGAAAAGCTCTACCTAAGTTTACTGCTTGCTGTTCTGTGCTCCTACATAATGGTAGGATTCTGAAACAATACAAAGAAGCTTTGGGCCTTTGTGAGCTGTGAGCCTGCTACTTGCTTTTCCTAAGACCTGACAGTGAGCTCCACTCCATAGCTGGAGTAGAGAGGGTGTTGTCATTCTGATTAGTGACGGTAATAGGAAAAGTACAAGTATCTTACTGTAAGAGCTCCTAATCAGTGAAGGCTAATAGGCCTTTCCAATTCTCCCACATAGTTTGGAATAAATAGATTAAAACAGAAACTGAGGTGGGTTTTATTGATGTGCACATAAGTTTTTGGCAAGATTTTCCATTCGGCTTCCACCCATAGGTTAAACATGGTTTTGAAAATTCATATGTTTGGGTTGATGGCTGAGCTGAAATGCCTCCCTGTAGATTTTGACAGGTTAAAGGTTACATTGGTTTGGGCTCATTGATTGGGTTCTGAAAACACACATAACTAATAAAGGAATAAAAAGGGTGGCTCTAAGCAACCTTCAGCCACAGTGGAGCCCAAGGGATGGCCATGGTGAGCGAGCCCTCTTGGTTCCCCTGAAGACGTATTGTGGGGGACACAGCATCTCCCTGGGGTCCTTTGTGCTGTCATCACAGATTAGCAGCCCCTTCCTAACGGATGAATGTATAAACCACAAATCCACTCCTTTGCCCCTTCCAGGAAGGCATTTGTATTGAAGGTCACAGCCAGAGAAGACAGTAACTTGGGGGGAAAACAGGAGACTTTGAGGGATCCAGAGGTCACAAGCAACCCCTGGAGGCTCCTCAGCAGAGCTGGTGTTTGCCCTTGGATCCAGGAAGTGGGCGGAGCAGATATGAAGGGAAGAAGGTGGTGAGAGGACCCTGGGCTGCTACTCATAGAAAAGAGCCCTTTCACTGTTTCACCTACATTTCAGTGGAGACCAGTGAAGATGGATATTTTCTCCAATATTGACTAAATAGTATAATTTTTTTCTTTACACAAATTGCCACTTAATGTAATTTGTTGACTTTCCTTAGGGGCTTTGATAGACTTTCATTATGGATTTTGACAGTAAAGTCATTATATATTAAATATAGTAATCTGTGCTTGCTACATTAGTTGAATATTTTTTTCAGATGGACATTATTCTGAGTCTGAAAAGCTTCTTGCTTTGATCTGCCTCCTTATGTTACAAAACAAGCCTGTGTGTCACTTCTGCTTTACCCCCGCAATCCAGTTCTAAAGTATCATTTAAAAAAAAAAAAAAGAAGAAGAACTTCTGACTGTGGAAAACTTCTAACAATTACAAAGGTAGATAGTGTAATACACTACCAATGCACCCAGCAGCCAACAATGATCAATCCATGGCCAATCTTGGCTTCATTCACACTTCCCATCTGACCCTCTGCCCCTGCTGGAAGATTATTTTATTATTTTGAAGTGGTTACCAGATATATCATTTTAGCATATATATTTATAGCTCTTAAAAATAAGGATCCTTTTTAAAAAACACAACTATATTCATGTAAAAAAATTAATAATTCCTTAACATGTTCAGCTATTCAGTCTCATAGTTTTGATTGTTTCATCAGGCATGAGTCACATGCCCAACTTATTATTTATTGTTTTTCTGGTTTGTTAGAATCAAGATTGAAATAAGGCCCATGCACTGCAGCTGGTGGACATCCTGTCATAAAATATATTTATTAAAGAAACCTGTAGAGTTTTCCACAGTCTAGACTTTGCTACTTGTATCTTGATGGTGTCATGTTCCCCTGACCCCTGCATTTCCCAAAAACTGATGGGTAGATATAGGACTGATGGTGGTGTGTCTCTTCAGGGAAGATGGGGAAGCATTACTTCTGGTTGTCTCTCTTTTTGTGATGTTAGGAGCTATTGATGATCATTGCCTAGATAATTAATCCATTAGGGATTTCCAAGTGGTAATACTCTCATTCATTAAACATTTCCTCATTAAGTATTTGACCAGCCAGAGATACATTTCGATTTAGAAAAACAGGATAAATGTTAGATTATTTCCCTTTATTTACCAGTTTTCAAAATGAGTGGGTTTCCTAGCATCCTCCAGAGGTGAGTAGCAATGTGTTATATATTGTTTTTCTAGTGTCATTATTAACTCATGGATTTAAATATTTTTGATGTGTTTTGGTCCATTGCTGATATCCTTATTGATGCTCAAATTTTTCTGTCCTTGGCCATTGGAAGCCTCTTTGATACAACCCTATCTAGTAGAAATCTATTGCTTACTGGTTTCTAGTTCCAGGCTCTTCTCATCTATTTTTTGTTCTATATATTTTTAGATCTAAAATCAGCCATTTCTCCAAGGAGCTCTGATTGCTTTTAGTGGGTAATAGCATTCATATTTATTTAGAGACCACAGTCCAGGTGCTGTGAGAATTGAGCACCATTTTTTTTCTGCTTCTTGCCACCTCTGAAACTTCATCTCAACACAGTTTCCACTATCAGCACCACCACCCATTACAGCCCCCAGGCCATCACCATACCATCTTCATCTTTCCTCAAGTGTCCAGCTTCCAGACTCCATTAACACCTGTAAAATATTCCTTCTCCAGTCTGCCTGGGTACTTTCACCATGCCACCTGTTCCAAAATGTCCTTCAATGTCATGAAGCATTGTGTGGGGCTTTTCTAGTCCCTTTTTCACCTTGCTGTCTCTTTGCATCTGTTTGAAACCCAAGACAAGGAGATAGATGATAATTTCTTAAAGTCTCCTCCAGTTTTGTTTTTGAGCTCTGCTGGCTTGCCAAGTCATTCTTATTCCACTAGGTCATCACTGGGCAGTCCTTCCCTCCCTCCCAGTATGTATGCGTTGTTGGCATGTACTGAGAAAAGGCAGGGAAAGGGTAAACCAAGAGTTAGAGGATGCTTACGAAGGCATGCACTACTGTGCTGGGCATTTCGTATGTGCCATGTCATCTACGCTTCATTATAAACCTGTGAGCTAAGTATCATGATTCCCACTTTAGAGGGGGAACAAGTTAAGTAATAGTCAGAGCTGGGATTAATCCAAGATCTACCTTTCTACAGAGCCCAGGCTAATTCAAACTGTATCATCAGGGTAGTGTACATCCTATGAAGACTTCTGCTTGAATGGATCCATTAGGGAACCTGTTCCCAGCCATCCTACAGACTTGCAAAACTCTGCTTGTATCTTGTGGCTCCCCATTGCTTTCAGGATTAAACTCATACTTGGTATGTTCTGGCTTGTATGGCCCTGACTTAACTCTCTAAGGGCACTCCACAGTTCCATTACCCTCCAGCAAACCTTCCCAAAAATGTTCCCTGTTCTCATGTCTCCAGCCCTTTTGTATGTCTTGTTCCCTCTTCACCTGGTGAACTCCTAATCCCCTTTAAGAAGCAACTGAAGCATGTCCTCCCTCTTGAGGCCCTCCCTGATTTCCACTTTCAGATGACTTAAGTGATATCCCCAGGCTCCCATAGAGTACTATGCTGTACTCTGGGGCTGGTTCTTACTCATCCCTTTTACCCCAGGACACAGCACAGGGCCTGACCTGGGAACATTGGTCAGCAATGCTGTCAAATGCACATTTAAATGAATGAGTCTGTACCAGCTACCCCACACTTGCTCACATGGGTAAAATGTTATCTTCTTTGAAATGGTTTTTATAGTTTCTTATGGCCTTTGCCACTCTATGCTTATATTGTGCGTGTTTATTTTTGTGTACGAGCTAAATTATGCCTAGAAGATGCAACTGGAATGAGGCTCTCATCACATTGCCTTGCCCACAGTCAAGACTGAATAATTATCCATTGAATCGAATCAAATGGAAGGTTGTACAAAAGGAAGCTATAGTGGAAGTGTCAGGCATGCAATCAGCAGAACGTCAGACAGGCAGTTAAAGCATCTTCGATTTACTACAATTTCTTTTAATAGGTTCTCTGTACAGATTTGCTGTCAACATGAATTGTTGGTTTAGGAAAAAAAAATCAGGGTGCTGCAATGGGTCTGTGCTGCACAGTGACTGGCAATGTTTTGCTGTTTCCAATGCAGTAGTCCATGGATTTCCAGTTGCTGACAGGGCTTAGTCATTCATGCTAAAGAGGCCTAAGTTATAAGCAAAAATGCTTCACAGTCAGTGTCCTGAACCCCTCCTCTCAGAACCAGCACTTGCTCACCCTCTCTGCTTCCTCCATTGCTGCCTCAGTTCCTCAGCCTTCCCCATTCCAGCTTCTTTTCTTAAAGCCCAGACCCTCTGATGATTAACGTCCTGGCTCTGGTGTAGAAGGGAGAGCTGTGTATTTGGGCTGGAAGGGGAAGACTGCTCAGGGCCAGCATCAACAGACCACTCATCCATTCAGTAAATATGTATTTAGCATGTGTTGTGTGTCAGGTCCTGGCAGGACAGTGGTGCACAAAGCCTCAGTCCTCTTGGACCACTCAAAATAGTGGGGGGAGACAGGTTGTCCTTCAGATATGCACAATTGCAAACTGTGGTGAGTGAGATAGAAGAGTAGAGATCTGTCCACAAAAGGGTCTGGCACTGCCTTTGCCATGAAGCCCTCCCTGGTCCCCCCTGGCAGTGTGAGGCTCACCTAGGGGTGCTCCTTCACCACTGGAGCTAGACCAGAGTCGGCCCTCAGCCCACTGAGACTGGGGTCATGTGTGACTGTGAGCTCCTGGGGCCAGGGTTCATTCTTTCCTAGAATAGTGTGTGGCATACAGTAGGTACTCAATCATTCTGTAAGACTGGGAGGAAAGGAATGAGTACATTTTCCAAGTCCCCATTCCATCAGATGAAGGGGTCACTGGCTTTCCCCAGTGCTGTGATCACGATTGTATTAACATGACGCACAAGCTCCAAAACTTCAGCCCCGTTCCCAGGAAGGTGTCTCTTCCCAGAAGAGTCGTAAAGCATGAAATAATGAATGGACAGTCCTCGGCGCAGGGCCTGGCCCCAGGAGTTTTCTCAGGACAGTGTCATACCCTACTGAGAGTGAGCTGCCCAGCCAGCATGGCCTGCATTTTCTCAGACCAGACCTGAGCCAGGCTAGGGACAGGACTGACATCCTGATCATCTCAGCAGCATGGGCTTGCCATAGAGTTGGGACTGAGGAAATGCTGTTTTTGCATGGCATTGGCCTAGTGTCATATATGAGGAACAGGATTCTGCAACCTGCTCATTCTTGGTTGCTTCTTCCTTGGAGGAAAAGAGCATGTTCTGTTCCCGGATTTGCTCCTAAAAATATACTAACTCCCCACCAGTTTCCTGTGATTTCTCTCCTGGGGAAAGGGGAGAAAGACTCTGGCCCCCAGTTCTCTGGGTGGGCACAGCAGATGCTTGTGCACCCCACATCCTACCCCCTCTGTGGCAGCCCAGGGTGGCAGCTTCTCACACCTCCCCTTTTCTGTCTCAAGGCTTTGGCTTCTGAAGCCCCCTCAGCCTGCACTCTGCACAGCCTGGAAGTGTGGAGAGAGAGAACTCCCTGGGGGTAACCTCAACTAGTGGGAAAGTCGCCTTGAGACACTTTCTGCAGTTTCTCAGAGAGCCCCAGTAGGGATTAAGCCCCAGTTACCCCCACATGACCAGCTCAGAAACTCACCTTTATTGTCTCTTCTTGGGTCTGTCATACTTTCTTTGTTCTTCTTTCCTTTCCTGGGATTTCTTTCCTGCTTTCAAGCAACTCCAAACTAAGACATTGGAGAAAGGAGACAACTCACTGTTAGGATCATCCTGTTAGGGATCTTTTCAGGGAAGTCCCTGAAGTTTTCCGGATGTTGGCTTCCTTACCCATGA
The DNA here is from genome assembly GCF_000001405.40 of Homo sapiens. Lineage (NCBI taxonomy): Eukaryota > Metazoa > Chordata > Mammalia > Primates > Hominidae > Homo > Homo sapiens. The sequence continues at coordinate 12,459,121 of NC_000011.10, forward strand.
AAGAGAAAGGATATAGCCTGTGCCAGCTGGGCATGGTGGCTTGAGCCTGTAATCCCAGCATTTTTGGGCCCAGGGGTTCGAGACCAGCCTGGGCAACATGGTGAAACCCTGTCTCCACAACAAAAAATACAAAAATTAGCTGGGCATGGTGGAATATGCCTATAGTCCCAGCTACTCAGGAGGTTAAGGTGGGAAGATCACTTAAGCCCAGGAGGTCAAGGCTGCAGTGAGCTGTGATCATATTACTGCACGCCAGCTTGGGTAACAGAGAGAGACCCTGTCTCAAAAAAAAAAGAAAAAGAGAAGAAAGAAAAAAGAAGAAGAAAGAAAATAGCGTGTGCCCTAACTCTCATATAGAACTGTGCACGAGTTCCCAGAGGCCCCACATTCCTTGCTGGTCTGCCTGTGAGCACCCACTCACCCTTCATAGCTGGGAAATGACCCAACTGTCCCCTTCCAAAAACTGGAAACTACCTAAACGTTCAACAGTTACGGAATGGTTATGTACGGTGTGTACCTTCAATACAGATTGAGAAGCCACTTAAAGTGATATTTTTATGGCATATAGAAATATAACAAGATTATATGACATGAAAAAAGCAGGCTATAGAACCCAGTATGTTTTGAAACTATATATAAAACATAGACACACTTGTGAGAAAATATAACATGTAACAGAGTTTAAGCAGTAGGATTATTTTCTCTTTTTAAAAATATTTTCCAAGTTATCTTAAAGAGCATGTTTTTCTTTTATAGTCAGAAAAAAAATCAACCATTATTTAAAACAAACAAAAACACTGCTCAAATATCACCTCCTTTTTAATCTGTCCTTGCAGGGGCTGAGCCTCCATAGAATGACCAGGCAACCCCTAGGGCTTAGCTTATGCAAGATTATTCTCCATTAAATTTTCTCCTGGCTTTACGTGGGAATGCAGAAGTGACTGTGTTCCCATGCCTTCACAACAAATGTGGTTTGCAAAAATGGTGTGATATGTATTTTCAGGCCTTTTTTAGAGATATGCATTGTGTTTGGGGAGCACTTCCTCTGCCTAACCTAATGGACGAAACATTTTCGTATAGAAAGCAAATGTTGCTACATAAAACTGGGACAACATATAGCATAGTGTTAAGGATGTGAGAGCTCTGCAGCCAGCTGGCTCAGGATCAAACCTTGGCTCCACTTTCTAGCTGTGTGGCCTTGTTCAGATTATATAACCTCTCTGGGCCTCATTTTCCTCATCTGTAAAATGAGGATAATAATAGTACCTACTCATTGGATTGTTGCAAAGATTATATGAGTTAATACATGTAAAAAACCAAGTGTTATATCGATGCACCTGATACAAGGGACATACAATGTGTGTGCCCTCACCATCATCATCATCGATGACAGGAGAGAGTTTCCACAAACAGTGCTCTTCAGGGTAAACCACCGACTCTTCAGACAAACCCAGAATTAACTCACCAGCAAATCGATCCAACCAGAACACAGCATGTCTGTTTGCTTACTAGCCCCACTGAGAGCTGTTTCCAAGGTTACCTCTTAGGAATTCAGTGGACTAGTAGTTGATGTGGCACTTTTTAAGCAGCACTGAGCCACTGCAAAAATAAATGACTGGCTGTTCAGGATTCATAAATAAGAAGGATATAGACATGAAGGTCAAAGAGCCACAGAGAATGAGATGAAGAGAGGAAACTTAACTCAGGTGATGCATGAAGACGAAGGCCAGTGAGATGACAAGGCTTCACCAGGTGCCTTTGCTTAGGGTTCTGCTGACAGCCTGTGGCTCCAAAACGCTCATCTATTGCTGCCTCAACCCTGGAAGAGTACGCTGCTCTCAGGACTTGGTTCAGGACTGTGTGAGGGCCCTCATATTGCATTGCAGTTTGCGGGATGCAGCGTCCCCCCCTCTCACATTAAAACATCCTCCAGGTACTTAATAAGTGCTTATCAGGTACCTGGCACTGTGCTGGGCTCCGAGGGCCAACAAGGTGGCTGCCCTTTAGGAACCAACTAGCTCTGGAAGGCAGGTCCTTGTCTTTGTATTCATAGCTCCTGACCCATCTCCTAGCACCAGAGATGCCCATACATGCTTATGAATCTGTGAGATAAGTAATGCCAGCTCCACCCTGGCTGTCCTTGGTTTAGGTGGCTTATTGTATCTACATTTCCTATGTAATTAGCCAGCTTACCAGGTCAAGTTCTATGTTCTCCCCAAGGCCGTTACAAATGCTCAGGGCATGTGGACACACACAGATGCACACCCACGCACAAAGGCATGGCACTTCTTCTCTAAGTAGGAGCAGACTTTTAAACCAAGGAAATGGTTCTCATTCTCAATCTAAAAAGATAACAGGGTATGGCATGGCAAAGGACAAAGAACAGTGATGAATATTGTTCCCTGGGCCCTGTATGCCTGTTTTGTGTTTAAATTTAACTCCCATGGCTTACATGAGACCTCAAATAATGTTTCAACTCAAATTGTTTCGACTGCCTGAAGCCATCCAATGGTGCTTCCATCTCCTTCCATGCCTACGAGCAATTGGAGGACAGCCGCATCACATGGTTGGCTAAACAGTGAATAAGTGCCTAGGGGCCATTTGCTTGGCAGACTTCCAACTCTGCAGAGCCTATGAAACAGACCAAAACAAAGATGGGTGGAAACTGTAGGACTTGGGACTATAGATCCTGCTGTCAGCTCCCATCACAACACCGCCTCTAAGTTCTCTTTTTTGGCTGTGCTCCAAGGGCCATATGTCAACCTCGGTGACTAGACTAGCTGTGTCAAGTACAAGAGAGTGTGGTGAGACCCCAACATTCTGCTGAGGCCACCAAGAGCTGGTTCCCATGTTTACCTGAAGCCACATATTATAACCACTGAAACAAGTATCCTTTTAGTTAAATGTAGTAAAACTTCTCTTGTTTAAGGGACTGGGTTGGGGGGTGCAGATTTTGCATTTTCTTCTGGCAATCTCACATGGGAAAAAAGTGAACCCATATGTTGTAGAGAAGGGTATTAAGAACAGAACTTGTTCCCTTAACAGAAAAAGCTATTGTAGGCAGAATAATCACTCTCCCAAAGCCATCCATGCCCTAATCCCTAGGATCTGTAAATATGTTACTTTATGTGGCAAAGGGGAATTTCAGTTGCTAATCAGCTGATCCTAAAATAGGGAGATTGGCCTGGATTATTCAGGTGGGCTTAATAAAATCACAGGAAACTTAAAAGTAGAAGAGGAGATTTAGAGTATGCAGTGAGAGGGATTTGAGCCTTGCCCCCACTGCTGGCTTTGAGATGGAGGAAAGGGACCACAGACCAAGGAATGAGGGCAGCCTCCAGATGCTAGAAAAGGAAAGAAAATGGATTACCCGCTAAGCCAGTAGAAAGGAACACAGCCCTGCTGACACTTTGACTTTAGCCCAGTGAGACCCATGTTGGTCTTCTAACTTACAGGTCTGCAAGGATAATACATTTGTATTGTGTTATGCCGCAAAGTTTGTGATTTGCTACTACAGCAATAGAGAACTAATACAAAAGCCCATGGTATAAAGACCTCCGTAGGTGACCATGGATAGATGCAATTCCAGAGAAAAGTCATTGAAAAGACCACCGAACTTTCAGTGACACTTGTACTAGTGAGACAGACCCCTTTTTAATAAAGTAGAAATGACCCTGCCAGGCATCCCTAAGTTAGGAGGAAGCTCTGTCTTCTCCTAAATTTTCTCATCTCAGCCCTGGAAACAACCAACAACTTTGAGTTCTCAGGTGCTGTAGTCATCTTTGGGCTTTGCCTCCTGTCCAAATGCTTCTACAGAGCTTAGTCAGATAAGTTACTACTATCTTCTTGGTGATGGGAGGAAACATTCGTGTCTCATAAAATCTTGGATTTCCACCCCCAACCCTTCATGAACACTATATATTTTTAGGATAGTTTTAGATCTACCAAAAAAAAAAATTGCAAAGGGAGTACAGAGTTTTCGTATATCCCACGCCCACTTTTTTTTCTTATTAACATCTTAAATTAGTATGGTACAATTCTTAAAATTAATGGACAGTAGTGATATATTATTACTAACTTACAGTTAGTGATATATTACTTTTGTTATATTATTGATATTACTATATTTTGTCTAAAGCCATAGTTTATTCAGATTTCTTTAGCTTGTACTTAACATACTCTATCTGTTCCACATTACGTTTTGTCTTCATGTCTCCTTAGGCTTCTCTTGGCTGTGACAGTTTCTCAGACTTGGTTTTTTTATGACTTTGACAGTTTTGAGGAGTACTGGTCAAGTATTTTTTAGGATGCCCTCCTGTTAGAATTGACATTTTTTCATTCTTAGGCTATAGTTATGGGTTTCTGGAAGGAAGGTCACAGAGGTAAAGTGCCATTTTCATCACATCATATCAAGGGTACATAACATCAACATGGTTTATGACTGTGGATATTGGTCTTGTTTTCCTGGCTGAGGTGGTGTTTGTCACATTTCTCCACTGTAAAGCCTAACTTTTTTCCTCCTTCCTATACAGTACTCTTTCAAAGGAAGTCACTAGACGCAGCCCACACATAAAGAGTGGGGAGTTATGCTCCATTCTTTCAGAACAGAGGATCTATGAAAATTTGAAATTCTGCACAGATTAGTTTCTTCTCTTCCATGTGTTAATTTATTCAATTATTTATATCACTATGGATTCACAGACATTTATTTTATCTGTGGGCTTCAGATTGTTATAATACAATTTATATGATAATCCACTTTATTATAATCCAATACTACTTTATTTTGTTATTCAAATGGTTGCAACTTTGGCCAGCTCTTTCAATCAGCTCCTGTGAGCCTCTGACATCCCTCCTTTTTTTTTTTTTTTTCCTGAGTACTTCCTTCCTTTCTGGCTCCAAGCTTATCTCATATATTTTCTCTGCAGTCCTAGAATCAGCCATTTTTCCAAGGAGCCCTGGTTACTTTTATTGGAGAACAGGACTAGAAACGAACATCTGGGCTCTATGTACATTCATTGCTACTGGAGTACTGATGCATCTAGGCCCTCTCAGTTAACACAGTAAGGAAATATATGTGTGTGCACTAATTTATAGAAATACTTAGAGAGATATACACATATCTTGTAACCATCTGTATCTATATTAAGTTAAACATAAGTTTTTACTGATGTCTCTAACTCCAATGCATTACCACATGGACCATTCTAGCTTTCTCCCCTTGTTTATCTATAACCTCCCACTCCAGTGAGAAAACTGGCTCCTACCATCCACCATGCATTTACTTAATTGTTCAATTCCAGCATACACATATAGCAGTATCAGCACTGTTAACCCATACCCTATGGGAAACAACTTTATCAACTAGAGTGCCGTGCCTAAATGCAGTTCCTTTTGCCTTTGGTCTTATAGAGTCATCTCATTTCCAGAGATACTTAAGTTCGTACCATTCCCATCACCCCTTTCATTGAGGTCATCTCATACATTTGTAATACAGTTAGATTCTATTGTCACAATCTGCATTCCATCCTTGGGTCCTCTAACCTTCTAAATGATTTTTTAATTTGCTTACATTAAGGTTTACTCCTTGTTAGGGTTTGAATATTTGTCGCCTCTGAAACTCATGTTCAAACTTAATCCCCAATGTGGCAGTATTGAAAGGTGGGGCCTTTAAGAGGTGATTGACTCATGAGCACTCTACCTGGATTAATCCAGTAGTCCCCAACCTTTTTGGCATCACGGACCAATTTCATGGAAGACAGTTTTTTCCATGGACATGGGGTTGGGTCGGGGTTAGTTTCGGGATGAAACTGTTCCACCTCAGATCATTAGGCATTAAATTCTCATAAGGAGCACACAACCTAGATCACTTGCATGCACAATTCACAATAGGGTTTGCGCTCCTATGAGAATCTAAGCCACTGATCTGACAGGAGGCAGAGCTCAGGTAGTAATACTCACCTACTGCTCAGCTCCTGCTGTACAGCCTAGTTCCTAACAGGCCATGGACCAGTACTGGTCCACGTTCTAGTTCATATCCTGGGGGTTGGGGATGCCTGGATTAATCCATTAATGGATTAATGAGTTATGGAATAGGACTGGTGGCTTTATAAGAAGAGGAAGAGAGATGTGAGCTGGCACACTCAGCCCCTTTGCCATGTGCTGCCTCAGGACCCTGCAGAGAGTCCCCACCAGCACAAAGGCCCTCACTAGATGTGGCCCTGCAACCTGGGACATCTTAGCCTCCATAACTGTAAGAAATATTTTTTTTCTTTATAAGTTACCCAGTTTCAGACATTCTGTTATAAGCAACAGAAAATGGACTAAGACATTTCTTATACTATAAATATCATGTGTCTGCCATTACAGTATCATACAGAACACTTTCACTGCCTTAAAAATCTTCTGTACTTTGCCTATTCAGCATTTTCCCCCATTTATCTTTTTACTCTCTCTAGTTTCGCCTTTTCCAGAATGTCGTATAATTAGAATTGTATAGCATGTAGCCTTTTTAGACCAACTTGTCTAGGAATATGCATTTAAGGTTCTTTCATGTCTCTTCATGGCTTTATAGCTCATTTCCTTTTATCACTAAATAATAATTTTCATATAGATGTACTACAGTTTATCTACTCACCTATTAGAGGATATCTTGGTTGCTTGCAGTTTTGGGTGATTATGAATAAAGCTGCTATAAATATTCACATTCAGGGTTTTGTGTGAACATGTTTTCAAATCAGTTGGGTAAATACCTAGGAGCTTGACTGCTGGATTATATGGTAAAATTATAGTTTTGTAAGAAAACACCAAAGTGGCTCTTACTATTTTGCATTCCTACCAGCAATAAATGAAAGTTCCTGTTGCTCCACACCCCTTGCCAGTGTTTAGTGTTGTCAGTTTTTTTTGGATTATAGCCATTCTAGTTGATGTCTAGTGATATCTCATTGGTGTTTTGTCATTCCCTAATCACAAAGGATAATGAACACCCTCTCATATGCCTCTTTGCTATATGTACATCTTCTCTGGTGATATGCTTATTCAGATCTTTTGCCCATTTTGTAGTTGAGTCAGACTTGCATACAAGTCTTATCAGATAGGTATTTTGCAAATATTTTCTCTCAGTCTATGCCTTGTCTTTTCATTCTCTTAACAGTATCTTTTGTAGAGTAGAAATATTTATTTATTTAGTTGTTTTTTTTTTTTTGAGACGGAGTCTTGCTCTGTTGCCCAGGCTGGAGTGCAGTGGCCTGATCTCAGCTCACTGCAACCTCTGCCTCTTGAGTTCAAGCAATTCTTCTGTCTCAGCCTCCCAAGTAGCTGGGACTACAGGCATGCGCCACCATGCCTGGCTAATTTTTGTATTTTTAGTGAGACGGGGTTTCACTATGTTGGCCAGGCTGGTCTCAAACTCCTGACCTTGTGATCCGCCCGCCTCGGCCACCCAGAGTGCTGAGATTACAGGCATAAGCCACCACGCCCGGCCTGTAGAGTAGAAGTATTAATAAAGCCCAACTCACCAAGTTTTCTTTCATTGATTATCCTTTTGGTGTTGTATCTAAAAACTCATTATCCAACCGTAGGTCACACAGATTTTCTGTTTTTTTTTTCTAGAAGTTTTATAGTATTGTGTTTTAACTTAGGTCTGTGATCATTTTAACAATTGATGATTGTATGTTTTTAGTAGTCTTGAAGTATGGTAGTGTTCGTCCTCCAACTTCGTTATTCTTCCATATTTTGTTGGCTACTCTAGGTCTCTCGCCTTTTTGTGTAAACTTTAGAATCAGTTTGTCAATATCCACAAAATAGCTTTCTGTGATTTTGACTGAGATTAACATTGAATCTATAGATGAAGTTGGAAAGAATTGAAATCTTAAGTTTTCCAGTCCATGAACACTGAATATCTCTTCCTTTATTTAGATCATCTGGGTTTTATAATCTTCTGCATATCAGAAGATATAGTGTGCCCATTATTTTAGATTTATACCCAAGTATTGCATTTTTTGTGCTACTATAAATGATACTGTGTTTTTAATTTTAAATTTCAACCATTCAGTGCTAGTATATAGGAAGCAATTGATTTTTGTAAATTAGCCTTGTATCCTGCAACCTTGCCAGAATTGCTTATTCTAGGAATTTTAGGGGTGAGGAGCATTGGTGTTTTGTTTGTTTGTTTTATGGTTGATTCTTTAGAAATATCACCGGCAAACAAAGACAATTTCTTCCTTCCCAATCTGTATACCTTTTATTTTCTTCTCTTGTGTTATTGTACTAAGATTTCTAGTATAATTTTGAATAGGCATGGTGAGAGGAGACATCCTTGACTTGTTCCCATTTTTAGGGGCAAAGCATCCAATTTCTCAACATAATGTATGATGTTAGGCTGTAGGGTTTAATTTTTTTGTTGTTGTTGTTGTAGATGTTCTTTCAGATTGATTTTTCACATAGAGAAACATTGCTGGGACTTGCTGACCAGACAATATAGTTGTCTTTAGCTGCCAAGAGCTTCTGTATAGGCCCTGGAACTATTTAGAAATTAAGGGAGCTTTAATAACTTTCAAGGGGACTAGAAATTAATAATCAGAGTTCTGATAAGGATCTAGAGCAGCCTAAACATCTCACTGGGGCCCACTGGCCCTGAAGGAGAAAGAACATCCTGGTTCTTTTCTTGCCCTCTCTCAGAATGGTTTTTTGCAAGTACAGATACAGTGGGCGTGGTTCAGGGAATGTGGAGAATAGATGAATTCAAGACCCTAACACTCTGGAACCCCGCCCTACTTATCTGCTATTCCATTCCTCACCCCCTTCCCCTGTGCACATTTATATTCCCTGTGCTCAGACATAATCACTACTCCCTCAACACCTGCCCTGTTTTTCCACATCTTGCTATTTTTACACAAGATGTGCCTTTTGTAGTGCACCTGTGTTGGTTGAAAATTTACATTTTCAAGGTCCAGTTCAAATGTTCCCTTTTTAGGACTCCTTCCCAGTCTTCTCCATCCAAAGTTAGCCTTGTTCTACATGAGCCCTGTGGCTCTCTCCTTACATCTCTGTCACCTCTGAGTGTAGCACCGTGTGCATTGCATCTGCGGGCCTACCTTTCCCACCACCTTGAGCAGACTGAGGCAGGCCTACGTCAAATCCCCAAACCTGTATCACCAGTGCTGGCATGGGGACTGCTTCAGGGGAGGCACCCAGTAATGCTTATTGGTTGAATGAATGAAATTACTGGCCTTGCATATTTAGAGACCTCTGTCTATTCTCTCCATGTTTGCTTTTCCCCTGGTATTCTTTGAGTCCCTAGATGTATTCCGGAGTAAAAGAGATGCCATAGCATTTCTTTTCTTCATGAACAAAAATCAGGGGGAAATTACCATTCATTGCAGACCTACTCTATTCACCCATTGACTTTAGAATCCTGGTATCCCCATGTTATCAGTTAGGGAGTTTGGGCTCTGAGGCCTAGAAAAATACCTCTTCTAATTGGCTCAAACAGTAAGGGAATTTATTGTATCTCCTATAACAAGACATATGAGCTTGAGTGGTTCCAGGGGTTGTGGCTTAATAGTATCAACAAGAACCCCATCTTTCTATATTTTTTCTCTGCCAACCTCAACACACTAGCTTCTTCCTTGAGCTTACTCACTGCATGGCTACAAAATGGCTGCAACAAATCCAGGTATAATATCCTGACACAATAATGATTAGAAGGAGAAGGTTGCCTTTTCTTCCTTGGGCCTTTCTTTAGAATGAAGGAAAGTGATTCCAGAAGCTTCTAGAAATTTTCTGTCACAGTTCATTGACCAGAATTGACATGATGATGCTTGAGCCAACCACTGCTACAGGGATCAAGATCATCATGATTCGTTTAAACCAATAGCGGCTTTACCTGGAGGCATAGGAGGGAGGGGTGTATACTGGAACAAAATGAGGGTTCTTTCAGCAGGGAAAACGGATAAATGTTGGGGAGCAAACCACCAATGTCAGCTATACCCTTGTTATGTACAGAATTGTTTTATACCGAAGTTCAAGGAGGTTAACCTACTTACATAAGGTTCCACAGCTGATAAAAATAGAAGTAGGGTACAAATCCACACGCCAAAGCCCATCCAGGTACTTTCTTCTGCTCATGTGGCCTCAGAGTCAGACCACATATCCCTGGAAACAAAAGCCCCTTTTCTCACGGTGAGCACTTCAGGGGTTCAGGCAATCTCCCTGCTTTCCCTACCCCGACCTTCAGCTGGGCATTTGATCTGTTTATTAAGTTATGACTTAATGGCGCTGCGAGACATTCGGACCCAGTTTTAGATTGTTAGAGGAGGTTCAGTGGATAAACATCAGATTCCCATTCTGTGCCGAGAAAATTCAGTTGTAGCTCTTTCTCTTTCAGTGCGTGAGGATTGGCAAGGGGCTTCTGCTGGGTCCTGCTTTGGTTTAATAGAAATGAAACCTCCAAAGCAGGAGGGCTGTTTTGGGAAAGTGGCCACTAATGGGGCCCCATGGGGCAAGGGCCAGGCCTGCACTGGGCAGTTTGCATATTCACTTTTACAAACAGTTGGCTCAGAGTCAGCAGTTAATGGAATGGGAATGATGTTCCTGTACCAAATCGTTTCCTGAAAAAAACATTTCCAATTGCAAACATATCTTGGCCTTTCTTCTTGGATTTGTTATGTCTCTGTGAGTGAATTAAAGAGGCAGGGCAGAGGGGAATGTTTCTGACTGGGGATTCTTCATCTGAAAACATTTTTAACAATGATCTACACAGAAAAAGAGATCCTGTTCAGACCCACCTTTAGGAGTCCTGGCTTCAAATATTGCGTTTCTAGTCACACTTTAGAGATGTTTCAATACCTCTCCATTTACAAATTGGCTCACTTTGGCTATACAACAAGTCTTGGGACAGGTGTGACTTTACTTACCTTATAAAATGTAAGCTGGAAATGCTGCCCCAGAAATGTGCGTGCATGCGTACGCACATGTGCGCACACACAGTCAGGCTAAAATGGAAATGTATTTTGTTTTTCTGGGAAAAAGGTAAAATCCTTTGCATCCCATTCTCTGCTTTGGCAAATTCTGCCTCAACTCATAACCTGTGCAGTTGAAGGGTGGTCTTGACAGTTTGGATTATGTATTCAGCAAATATTTCTTGAGTGCTTACAATGCTTGAGGTGTTGTTTTAAGTAATAATAATAGTTGCATGTATTTACCTAGCTCTTACCAGCTGCCAGGCATGCTTCTGGGTACTTTGCATATATTAACTCATTTAGTCTTCTCAGCAACCCTTGGAGGTCGGCAATATTGCTGTCACTCCCATTTTGCAGGTGAGGAATCTAAGGCATGAGAGGTTGATGAACTTGCCCAAGGCCACAGAGCTGGTGAGTGGTAGAGTCTGGATATGAACGTAGGCAGCTTGGCTTCTAACCACTGTGCCCTCTGGCCTCATGGGGGATCTAATAGTGAACAAAAGAGAAATAGTGCCAGTCCTTACAAAACTTACATTCTGGTGAGGGAGAGAGTTAACAGCCATATAAGTTTTTATTTCAGATCATGATGAGAAAATAGATCATGATGAGAAAATAAAACATGAGAGGGAGGTGGGAGGGCGCTAATCAGAGTCTCATAGAATAAAACCTCAGCTCCTACCTATGACCTGAGTATGATGGGAAGTCACAAGAAAGCTTGAAGTGGGAGAATGTATGATCCTATTTACATTTTTGTAGAACATTCTCGCTGCACTGTGGGAAGTAGGTGAGAGTGGGGGAAATGCAAGCAAAGCAGTAGACCAGTTAGAAGGTGGTTCTGATAGGCCAGGCAAAAGATAACGGTGGCTCAAGTCAGGATGATAGAGCAGGGAGATGGTGAGAAGTGTTTGGAATTGGGTCCTGGTTTGGAGGCGGAGCCCACAATACTTGCCAGTGTTTTGGACAGATGCAAAAGGTGAGGAAAATGAGAACTTAAGAGTGATTCCTCGGAGCTTGGCGTGAACCATGGTGTAAACAGTGGTGCCATCTACTGAAGAGGATAAGAATAAAGAACAGGTTCATTTTAGTGCTGGTATGGTGGGTATGAGGGTGTTGAGAATCACAAGTTCTGTTTGGATGTGTACATTTGAGATCTCTATTAGTAGACCTAAGAGGAGACATTGAATAAGTGATTAGATTCATAAGCTTGGAGCTCCAGGCTGGAGATTTAAATGTGGACATGGACATTAGTTGAATGGGATGACCTAGGACATTATCCACTTACTCTTTTAAAAATTTTATTTTTTAACTTTAAGTTCAGGGGTACATGTTTGTTACATAGGCAAACTTGTGTCCTGGGGGCTTGTTGTATGGATTATTTTCCCATCAACTATAGACTGGATAAAGAAAATGTGGTACATATACACCATGGAACACTATGCAGCCATGAATAAAGAAAGGATCATGTAATTTGCAGCGACGTGGATGGAGCTGGAGGCCATTATCCTTAGCAAACTAACAGGAGCAGAAAACCAAATATGGCATGTCCTCACTTAAATCATGAGAACATACTTGATGATCTTGTGATGGAACCTTTCTACATCCATGCTGTCTGGTGTTGTAGGTACCAGCCACCTGTGGCCATTGAGTACTTGAAATGTGGTTGGTGCAGCTACGGAGCGGAATTTTTAATTCACTGAAATTTAAATAGCTCAAGTGGCTAGTAGCTACTGTATTGGACAGTGCCGATCAGTGTAGCTACAGGAGAGAAAGTCCCAGGCAGGAGCAAGTTCCTTCATTGGCCAGTAAGCCTAGCCTTGCAGCCACATTTAAACATGACTTTATTTCCACTGCTCACTCCTTGCGTAGCAATGCTTGTTAACAAAGTAATGAAAATTGTGCTTCTTTGTGAGAAATAGCCTGAGAAAGAAAGAAAACTGGTAGTTCTAGGGGAGATATTAGAAGAAACTATAGAATTTTAAGGAAACAGTTGTGCTTAGCTGGAAAACAAACACAATCTGTACCTACAGAATCATTTAAGCCAGGGATGTCCAATCTTTTGGCTTCCCTGGGCCACATTGGAAGGAGGAGGATTGTCTTAGGCCACACATAAAATACACTAAACACTAATGATAGCTGATGAGCTATTAAAAATCTCCAGATAATGTCATAATGTTTTAAGAAAGTTTATGAATTTGTGTTGGGCTGCATTCAAAGCCATCCTGGACCACATTGCAGCCCGTGAGCTGTGGGTTGGACAAGCTTGATTTAAGCTTTGAAGGTACCCCTTCTGTGTTTCTGTCATGTTTTATGGAGAATTCTATGAAATAGTCGGTGTCTGTGAATGTGGAGATCAAGGTGGTGACTGGCTGGTACCCTATGTGAATGTCAAAGACCTGCTGCAAAGGTACTAAATACCAGCCTCGCCATGCAAGTTGTGTCTCTTAGGGCGTAGAGAGTGTTTCACTCCCTTTGTTTCTCAGTCTCCTTCCAGTCCAACTGCAGCTATCAGTGAGTGTATTGAGGTGAAAGAACTCTTTGTAAGTGGCTGCCTTGTGCTTAGGATTTCTTGCAAGTCTATGCTGGCAATTGGTGAGGCCAGAGTCAATAAAAAAAATAAAATGGAAAGATGGGACGCTGCTTTTATTAAGGTTGATTGCAGCTGCTGTATTAGCTCTTTAAGAACCTCTTGGTGACCAACGCCTTCTGAGAAAATGGCCTTTCTGTGCTTAATTGGCAAAAAGCAAGGGGATTTAAGTCACTGCTTTTAGGAGGGGTAATCCAAGGTCAGCACTCACCAAACGTCTGTCACACAACTGGTTTTGTGGGAGGAATTCTTTTGTACTAAGGCTCCATGTGGGGGCTGGTCACTTGGAGGAGCGTGGGCTGGTAATCTTTGGTAGTTTTTACCTGTTTTTGTTTTTCTTTCTGAGGAAGGTGGAATTACAGATTTCTAGGATTTGAAGACTGTAAAAGAGCTTACTGTTCATCCAGTCAAACTCTATTTTCAGCTGAGGAAATGGGCCAAGAGAGATGAAGTGCCTGGCCCCAGGTCCCACAGCTGGTTCCATCTCAAGGGATAGGACCAGAGCTCAGGGAAGGGCCAGAACTGAGGTATTTTTGAGCAGTGGCTGGGGTTGGGTGGAGGTGGGAAGGCAGATAATCAGGAGAGTACCTCAGGGAAGCCAGGAGAGGTGAGAAGTCAGAGGACGGTTGAACGGAGGATGGAAATGCCTTACAGCGTACATATAGCCTCAAACCCATGACCCCATTCATCCTGTCAGCACACAGTCGCCGGGCACCAGACAGGAAGTCCTGGAAGATGGGACAGGCAGGAGGTAGAGACTCAGAAAGAAGTCAGTGCCCACCTCGCTTCCATTCATTCCGAAATCTTTTCTGAGAGGAGGGAGATTTCTGTGCTTTTGAGACCTCCCTGCTTCCCTGAGGAAAGCAAGTGAAGTGACAGCTGGCAGAGGTGAGATTAAGGGGACAATTAGGTCCTTTCAGCCAGGCGAGGCCATGAATTGATCGTAGGCTGAGTAACAGCTGTAATCTACCCTTAGTGGGTTTTTTTCTCAATGTCAATATCGAACACCCTTGTTACAGAGCTCCAACCCCCTGCCGTCCGTCAGCTGAAATGTGACCCTGCTCTTCCTTTTCTTCCAGTGTCCGAGCTGCAGGAGGAGGGAATGAACGCCATCAACCTGCCCCTCAGCCCAATTCCCTTTGAGCTGGACCCCGAGGACACGATGCTGGGTAACTGTGCTCTTGTCTCTGAATTCGCTTAAGCTTTCCCATGCCAGCACCCCCACTGAATTCCTTTTCTTTTTAAAGAGGAGAATGAGGTGCGAACAATGGTGGATCCAAACTCACGCAGTGACCCCAAGCTTCAAGAACTGATGAAGGTAAGAAGAAATCAGGAGCGGCTTCAGGTGCCTCACTGACCCACCATGTGTCCATATGCCACCTGCTCTGTGCAGGTACCCCACGAGCCCCTGAGAGAAGGTAAAAAGTCATGGCAGCCCCTGCCTCAGGCAGTGAGTTGTCTAGCAGATGGCCATCGAAAACGTAACCGATTGTTTAAGTGTGGGATGTGACAAATGCCCAGTGAGTGGTGCTGGTCACAGCACCAGACAGTTCAGTACAGGTAAGCTCACGATGGCCAGGATTCCAGAGTGCACAAAATGCTTATTTTCTCAAGGACCCTCAAAAGCAGGCAGTGGAGCAGTAATTAGTCTCATCCCCATTTTCCAGATGACAAAATCAAGTTTCAGAAAAGCCAGATGCTTTGTTTATGGTCATAAACAAGGAGCTGGAACTCAAGCAGAAATAAAGGAGATGAAGTGACATACTGTGCATTACGTACCTGCGCAGTGGCTGGCGTGCGCTTGTCCTTTCAAAACTGTTCATTTCTCCCCTGCGTCTTATTCCCTGTCCTATGTTCCTCCTCTTCAGCTTAACCAAGCTGCACTTAAGACAAAAGGCACTCATGAGTGTCATCCCAGCACTCTGCGGAGGCCAAGGCGGGCGGATCACTTGAGCTCAGGAGTTCGAGACCAGCCTGGGCAATGCGATGAAACATCATCTCTACTGAAAGTACAAAAAATTAGCTGGTGGGTGGATCACTTGAAGCCTGGGCAACAGGGTGAAACACCATCTCTACTAAAAATACAAAAAGTAGCCAAGTGTGGTGGCGCATGACTGTAATCCCAGACCATCTCTACTAAAAATACAAAAAGTAGCCAAGTGTGGTGGCGCATGACTGTAATCCCAGCTACTCGGGAGGCTGAGGTGGGAGGATGGCTTGAACTTGGGAGGCAGAGGTTGCAGTGAGCCATGACCACGCCACTGCACTCCAGCCTGACCCTGTCTCAAAAAAAAAAAAAAAATAGCACTGGATGTCAGAGTGATTCATTCCCCCATGCAAATCTGAATACACGGTTCCCCTGTGCAAGACCTCTCAGAGTTTCTCATCCACCACAGGTTGCAGTCGACTCCTAAGAGGTGGTGTTTAGACTCCTTGCTCTAGCTGCCTCTTCAACCTGAGATCAGCCACTACCCAGCAACACAAGGATGCCAGAACTGCTGCTCCCAGCAGCCGATGCGTGCTCCCAGCGCTCCCCACCGCCAAAGCCTGGCTAATGCAGTCCACTCTGAGTAGAATGCCTCTCATGCCCCTCATCTGAAAGTCTCAGCACGGCTGCTTGCTCCAGGAAGCTTGCTCTAAACTCTAGTGCCATGGCTCAACCACTCCACGGCTGCTATAACCCTATCCTTAGTTCTGTTGTCGTCTCCACGTAATATTATAGCTTCTCATGCACTTCTCTGTCTCCTTTACTAAATGGTGAGCTTCTTGGGGTTAGAGACTGTCTTTTTTTTCTATCATTGTACCCCAAGGACCTAGCACAGAATGTCACATATAGCAGGTATTTAATAAACATTAGAGGATGGAAGGAGGAAAGGAAGGGTGGGTGGATGAATGGGTAGGAATTTCAAAGTCAGCCAGGAGTATTCAGAAGTAAAATCAAACCCATGTGAGGGTTGGGCCATCTCACTAGGGACTGGAGGACTGAGGGCAGTCATCTCAGAGGAGATGTGTAAATGTCCCTTCTGTCTGCTGAAGGGAGTCTGTGCCCTGACCCCAGAGTTTAAGAGAAAGGAGGCAGCCTTGGCTAGGCCGCCATGCAGCCCCTTGCTCCCCTGGATCACAACCGGAGCCTCACAGGCAGCTGGGCTGTGCATGTTGGGTATCTGGCCTTTCCTGATGCAGTCTGTGCTGCATCCATAGATGACTGCCCCTGCCCAGTGAGACCCTGAGCCCTCACCTTTCTGTGCAGGAAGAAGATGGAACAGTTGAGGTGCAGGCTGTGCCTGCCGCTGCACACTCTCCGGGGTGCTGGGCCTGTGTGGGCAAGGGTAGGGGGAAAGGGGCTAGCCCTGGGCTTGCTCCTATCAGAGGGCGCTCACCATGCTAGAATGGGTATGCTACTACTTGCTCAGGAGACCTCTAAGGGTAAGGACGGTCAGAATGGGCTCCAAATGGTTTAGGCTTCAATGTTGATCTCCCAGACCTAGACCTGCACTCGGGCCCTGTTTGAGAGAGTGAAGGATTGGAGATGCACATAGGCCTGAGCCCTGGGGTGCTGACCAAAGGCACAGCTACCTCCGTACTTCCAGAGGGAGGTTCGATTTTCTAGATCTAGGCTGCTTTGACCACCTTGAAATCCTACTCTTTCTGGTCAACTCCTAGTTTAAGAGTCTTCTTAGGAGCTGGGCACAGTGGCATGTACCTGTAATGCCAGCTACTTTCAGATGAAGGTTTGAGGCCAGAAGTTCGAGGCTATAGTGCACTATGATTGCACCTGTGAATAGCCACTGCATTCCAGCCTGGGCAACATAGCAAGACCCTGCCTCAAAAGGAAAAAAAAAAAAGTCTCCTCAAACACAAGGCTTTCTGGAAGCCTCCCCTCATTCCTGATCTCTCCTGCCCACTCCCAGCCTGTTGGGGCCTCTTCTCTACTCTCTCATAGCACCATGTCCTCCCCACCCCAGGATTTGAACTCTTTATGTTATAATCCTTTGGTTGACCGGTTTTCTGCCCCCATAAGCCTCTCCAGGACAGAGGCTGGGTCTTACTCTACTGGATACAGTGCAGTGCCTGGTATACAGTAGGTATTACAGTTGCCATCCTCTTGCCTTGGGACAGCAGAACAAAAGCCTCCAGACTCCAACATCAGCCCACCCAGGGATGGCAACGCTGTCTGGCTATTGCTGTGTTATAAAGGCAGCATACTTATGCTAAGGCAAAGACGTCCAACACAAAGGACGATGTCCACTTATAAGAAATTGGAGAAATGTCAAAACTGTAGTGGTTCCCCCAGGCCTGTGGTCAGGGATGAGGATTGAGTACAAAGGGACCTACGGAAGCATCCTACTGGGGAGGGAACTGTTCTGTATCTCGATTGTGGTGGGGATTAAACTACTGTGCACAATGACCAAGACATATCACTGTATACTTAACTTTTTTTTTTTTTTTAGATAGAGTCTCACTCTGTTGCCCAGGCTGGAGTGCAGTGGCACGATCTCGGCTTACTGCAGCCTTGACCTCCCGGTTCAAGCAATTCTCCTACCTCAGCCACCCAAGTAGCTGGGATTACAGGCACCTATCACCACGCCTGACTAATCTTTGTAGTTTTAGTAGAGACGGGGTTTCACCATGTTGGCCAGGCTGGTCTCAAACTCCTGACCTCAAGTGATCTGCCCGCCTCGACCTCCCAAAGTGTTGGGATTACAGGTGTGAACCACCACGCCCAGCCTAAAATTTTTTTTATGGCCGTACACTGTGAGTGTTGCTTGCCATTAGAGTAAGGAATAATAGGGGACATAGATATTAACAGGGACATGGCACTAGCAGGATATACATCTGAAAATTAAGAAGGCCAGTAGGGCTCACACTTACAGCTACCTGTGCACACACTGGGTTATGTGGATAGTTCTCCTGCTTTTAAAATCTGAAGTTCAAAGCAGGGCACAATGGAACACTCCCATAGTCTCAGCTATGCAGGAGGTTGAGGCAGGAAGATCACTTGAGCCCAGGAGTTTAAGTCCAGCCTAGGCAACATAGTGAGACCCCATCTCAAATAAAATGAAACTTAAAATCTAAAGTTAATTTGGATTTTAATTGTTTAGGATAAGAAAGCTGGTCTGTAAGAAAATACCCCATAACTCTTTTCTTACTATTGCACATTCCCTTTCTCTCTCTCTGTAGGTATTAATTGACTGGATTAATGATGTGTTGGTTGGAGAAAGAATCATTGTGAAAGACCTAGCTGAAGATTTGTATGATGGACAAGTCCTGCAGAAGCTTTTCGGTAGGAGAGTTGAGTGCTGCAATGGATGTGTGTTTAATTGCAGGTGGTTGGATCACCTACTTGTAGCTAGAAGGAGTTATTCTCAGTTTACAGTGGCTTACCTGGAAATGGATTACAAATGTGTGGAGCATGGAATAACAGCTCAGTGAAGGCTTTAGATGTCCTCTTGGAATGTTTCATATGAATGAATTGTAGAGGGAGTCTCCATGACTAGGTGGGCCTGCTCCTTCTAGCAGCCAAGAATCATCAGCTAGATGAAAAGACCCCACTGTATATTAATAACTAGAAAGCACGCCTCCGCCTCTCCAGAAAAGCATGCCTGTGTGGCCTCTGTCGGTATATTTACATGCATGGGCCTGAGTATGCATTTTTAGACCTCTGTCACCTTCAGATGCATGTGTGTGTGTTCCTCTGTCATCTGTGGACTTGTGTGTGTGTGTATTCCTCCCTGGGTCACTTTGCAGCTGTTCATGTGAAAATGTAAGGACAATGGGGAGAGAAAGGAGAATTCAGGGGTAATCTTAGTGTTGAAAGGACAAATTTTAGCTTGAATGGAGTTAAGGTGTCCCCCACTGCTCCTAATCTAACTGTGGCCCAAACCGTCCCCTCAGATTCTCGACTTCAATCCTTAGCTGCCCTCTGGGCACCTCTACCTGAATCTGCTTTAGACTGAATTCATCCACTTTTCTAAAGCTGTTTCATCCCCTCTGAGTTCATAGAATCCTCTCCCTTCCTCCTCTGCCCCCATGTATACAGGGATCAGCAAGACCCATTTCTACCTCTCCTGAATACATCCTCTGCCATTTTGACTTCTCTGAACTATTGAAAAAACTTCCAAACTCACTTCTTTGCTTCCCATCTCACCTCCTCCAACCTATTCCCTACACAGCTAGCAGAGGAAACTTTTAAAATCACAAGTCCAGTCTTGCCTGTACTTATTTATAACTCTTAGTGCCTCTCTCCTGCTGGACAAAGTCCAAACCCCTTGGCACAACATTCAAAGCATTCCATCATCCGATGACCCCCAGCTGTCTCCTTGGTCTCACCCACACATGTGGCTCATCCGTGTAGTAATACGTGTAAAGTGCTTAGGATAGTGCCTGACACATAGTAGATGCTCGATAAATGTCTGTCATCATTGGTTTTACTATTTTTTTTACATACCATTGCTGCATTTTTATATATGCCACACATATTAACATGCCTGTACCTTTGATCATGCTAGTCCTTCTGCCTCTAAGGCCTGCCTTCCTCCTTTACCCACCAGGGGAGACCATTATTGCTCATCCTTCTGATCTCTAGAATTAATCAAATTAATCAAATGTGCCTCCCTATTATAGCCTTTACAGTACTGTCACTTTTTTTTTTTTCTTGAGACAGATTCTCGCTGTCACCCAGGCTGGAGTGCAGTGGCATGATCTTGGCTTATTGCAGTCTCGACCTCCAGGGTTCAAGTGACCCTCCTGCCTTAGCCTCCTGAGTAGCTGGGACTACAGGGCATGTACCATCATGCCCAGCTAATTTTTGTATTTTTTCTGGAGACGGGGTTTTGCCATGTTGCCCAGGCTGGTCTCAAACTCCTGGGCTCAAGCAACCCGCCTCAGCCTCCCAAAGTACTGTGATTACAGCAGTGAGCCACTGCGCCTGGCCCTATAGTCACATTTAGAAAAGATAGTCATATACTTTTTTTTGTGTTCCTCCCCACACACACACAAATGTTTCTCTCTCTGAGGGACTATATATACACTTGCACATATGTGCATATATGTATAGGTGTGTAGATATAAACGTGTACACACATATCTGTATACATACATGTAAGTATATATACATGCCTTATTATAAGACTTTCCATGTCATCTGTAGCTGTTTAGGTAAATGTGTATAGGCTTCCCAAGGGCACGAGCCATGTCCTATATATTTATCCAGGCTTCTCCAGCACCATCAGGTTGTCTAGCATATGTTGCCTAGCACTTAATCAATGTATATTGAGGCTGGGCGCGGTGGCTCATGCCTGTAATCCCAGCATTTTGGGAGGCCGAGGCAGGCAGATCACCTGAGGTCAAGAGTTTAAGAGCAGCCTGGTCAACATGGTGAAACCCTGTCTCTACTAAAAATACAAAAATTAGCCGGGCATGGTGGCGGGTGCCTATAATCCCAGCTACTCGGGACGCTGAGGCAGGAGAATCACTTGAACCTGGGAGGCAGAGGTTGCAGAGAGCGGAGATCACGCCGTTGCACTCTAGCATGGGGGACAGAGTAAGACTCCCTCTCAAAAAAAAAAAAAAAAAAGTGTATTGAATGAATGAATGGCTAATGTAATTTCTAGGAAGTTAAACTGATTTGGTTCTCAGACATCAGTATTAATGAGTGTTAATATTTAAAGGCTTGTAAACTCCAACTGAATACAGAGAGGAAATGAAAAAGCTTCGGCACATGAAGACATGGCTAAGCCGGGAGCCTCACCACGCATCTGTCCCAGTGACTACAGCTTTTAACTCCTCCAGCAGACATCTAGTCAGGATCTGAAACTGCCAAAATGTTCTATGCTAGGCTGTCAAAGCAAGGTAGAACATGGCCACAGAGTAATGGAACATGGTTGTGGAGGAATCTTGCCTCCAGGAATGGTTACAAAACCATCCAGCATCACATCTATGCAACCCCACGTTAGGCATTGCGTACAAGCAGATTAGATCATTTCACATTTCACCCTTCATGCTGAAAAGGTGATTCACTATGGAGGTGATGCTTCTTTTGTGAACTTAAGTTTAGACCCTAATCTCAAAGGTCTGAGGCAGGGCATACACATTCAAAGCCCATAATGGGTAGGATACTCAGGTGGAGGGAACCAGTTTGCGGTAAAAAAAAAAAAAAAAAAAAAATGCATCAGGAGCTCCTGGGAGGGATCAGTCTGGAAGCAGAGATTTTGGGGAATGTTTTGGTTTGTTTTCTTTTTTTAACGACCCTGTGAGTATAAAGGAGGCAGAGTTTTGAGTGAGCACTCTGACCTTACGTTCCCCTCTGGCTATTTTTCGTGTCACTGGTCATGTTAACCTCAATCACATTGTCAGGGTGGTATCTGCCAGATTTCTTCATTATAAAGTGACTGTTTTTCTCTTTTTAATTAATTTTTTTTAAGTGGGGAGAGATACTTTGAGACCACGTAAATATCCTGTTTCTCCTTAAACTTCTCCCTCTAGTTTTTGCATCCATTTAGAATGCATCTGCCGCAATTCTTATGGTAGTGTTCTAGCAGAGATGGTCTCTTCTCTGTATTCCTTCTGCATTTATTAACTGGAATTCTAAAAGGAAGAGTTGTCATTTCTATTTATTTATATCACTATGGACATATTTATTTTATACTTTGGGTTTAATCCAGTACTACTTTATCGTTCACTTTTTTGCTCATTGGCCTCCAGCTTCGGCCATTGGGAGCTCTTTCAGGTTGCCTCCTGGACACGTTCAACAAGCTGCCCATATTTTTTTTTTTTCTGAGCATTTCCTTTGTTTCTCACATCATAAGATACTCCAAGACCATCTTATATTTTTCTTACTCCAGTCCTGAAATCAATCACTTCTCCAACGAGCCCTGATTTATTTTATTAGAGAATGGAATTTAGATATCAAGATGTGGGTATATTAGTGGATGTTTTTAACTTGTTGTCTGCAGCATAAATAACCAAACATCTGTACCTAGGTACAGTGCCCTTACGTGGTGGTATTAACTAGGCATGACTGTTCCCAGAAATCCAGCTTCTAATCGTACTGGGGGTTGAGCTTCCTTAATACTGAGTTGTTTGGGCAGCGAGCTGGAGGGGTCTGAGTTTGAGATTAGTAAAGTAACTATGAAACACTAGCACTTAGAAGATGATGGAAATGGCATAGGGGCCTCTCGTAGCCCAGGAGCATACACATCTGACATCAAGAAAAGGATACAGGGCCAGGCGTGGTGGCTCACACCTGTAATCCCAGCACTTTGGGAGACTCAGGCAGGTGGATCATCTGAGGTCAGGAGTTCGAGACCAGCCTGACCAACATGGTGAAACTCCATCTCTTCTAAATACAAAAAATTAGCCGGGCATGGTGGTGCATGCTACTTGCGAGGCTAAGACAGGAGAATCACTTGAACCCAGGAGGCAGAGGTTGCAGCAAGCCGAGATCGTGCCATTGCACTCCAGCCTGGGCAGCAAGAACGAAACCCTGTCTCAAAAAAAAAAAAAAAAGAAAAAGAAAAAAAAAGGACATGGAATCCAGGAAGCCATGTTGATTACATTGTGGAGCAAAGACCCAGAACCTAGAGGCAGAAGTGTGTGAGAAGGTGTGGCAGTGTATTAGTCTGTTCTCACACTGCTCATAAAGATATACCCAAGGCTGGGTAATTTAAAAAGGAAAGCTGGCCGGGTGTGGTGGCTCACGCCTGTAATCCCAACACTTTGGGAGGCCGAGGCAGGTGGATCATGAGGTCAGGAGTTCGAGACCAGCCTGACCAACATGGTGAAACCCCCATCTCTACTAAAAATACAAAAATTAGCCAGGCGTGGTGGTGGGCACCTGCAATCCCAGCTACTTGGGAGGCTGAGGCAGGAGAATCGCTTGAACCCAGGAGGCAGAGGTTGCAGTGAGCCAAGATCATACCATTGCACTCCAGCCTGGGTGACAGAGCAAGTCTCCATCTCAAAAAAAAAAAAAAGGAAAGAGGTTTAATTGACTCACGGTTCCACATGGCTGGTGAGGCCTTGCAATCATGGCTGAAGGCGAATGAAGAACAAAGTCATGTCTTACATGGCGGCAGGCAGAAAAGCTTGTGCAGGGGAACTCCCATTTATAAAACCATCAGATATCGTGAGACTTATTCACTACCCCATGATTCAGTTATGTCCACCTGGCCCCACCCTTGACACATGGGGATTATTACAATTCAAGGTGAGATTTGGGCAAGGACACAGCCAAACCATATTAGGCAGGGACTTCTTGGCAGAGAGTTGTATATGTTTCGTTGCTGTGGTGAAAGCCTGAACAGGTGAGCGTCCTTGAGATGCCATGTGACTTTGGCTGGCAAGGACTGGCTGGGTGTTCTCCAATTGTGAGCTCAATGGGGAGCAATAGCATGCCTGGCTCACCTCTGTGTGGCCACATGCCCCTTGCTCACAGCAGTGTCTGCCTTCCTTGCAGGAAAATCACCCTTCTCACAGGCCCCAGGCATTTCTGGTAGATTCTATCAGAACAGCCTCTCCCTAGTCCTTTCTTAGCTGCCCAACCCAGCTGCCCCATTGCTGCCTGTATTCCCTGGGTCTTCCCACTTGCCCTGGCAGCAGATCTTAGTTTAGGTTTTCCCAAAAGCAGACGCCAAGACAAGGATGTGGGTGGAGGAAGCTTATATAGAAGGTGACCTTAAAACGTACAAATAACTGAGTAGGGCACGTAAGAGGGGAAGAGAGAAATGCCAAACACGAGTATGTTAATCAGAACAGCAGCTCTGTTTCAACCAGGGCTCATAGCTGGGCCCTCTGAGAAACCACGTAACAACACATCTCAGAATCACCCTTCCCAGTGCAAGGTAGCAAGGGCATTTATCCTATGGCTCCTTTCCCCCTGTGGTTGAGGGTGACCTGTGCAGGAAATAAAAACTTCCAGGCTGTGCTCCTGTGGTGACAGAGGAGAGAGCCTTGGGGCCAGAGATGGCCATCAGTGTGCTAGGAGCTGTCTGTAGCTGCAGATGAATGCAGGTGGGCCAAGGAGCTGGGGGAAGGGGCATCGCTGTCATCCAGAGAGACCACAGAGACAGCAACCCCGCTGTGGGGACACTGGCCACTTCTCTGCGCTGTTGATGTTGCTGCCAATAAAATATTAGCTGCCAGCAACGCTGGCCTGCCTCTTCATGACATACACTTCATCCTCTCATGGGAGCAGCCCTAGCCCTTTCCAAACCTCAGAGCAGAGGTTTCCGAACCCCAGAATGAGGAGGAAGTTCCTTCCTACCCCAGCCAAAAAGTCACCTCATTTCTTGTCCAGGATTACCCCCTTCCAGGGTGATTGATGGAAGAAAGAGCCTTAGGTCTCCCAGAATATACTCTTACTCCATGGCATCAATAAGAAGTCACAGAATCATCCAAAGTTGGGACACATTTCCAAATACCTCAGTTATACAGGTATGTCCATGGTCACCTGGTTATATTTACATTCACAACACCTAGGCAGTAGGCATGACTGAGTGAGAGATGGGATAAGCGATTCCAGGAAGATGCCTATACAACATAATTCATCACTTCATTTGAACATGGCCCACTGCCTGCTTCTTATTGAGGTTTCCTGGCTTGGGATGTCTATGTGAATTTCCTTGTGGTATGTTTCATTTGACTGATCCTTATGTTTGAACATGTACATGTGCTGGGAACAGAAAAGGCCTATTTTCAGAGATGAGAGTCATAAGCTTCCAGGGCTCTTCTTTCTGGTTTTCACAGTAACATGTGACTGAAACAGGATATCATTCTTCAGGCTTGAGACCAAAAGTTTCCCTGTGGCAGTAAAGTTCTGCAGGAGGGTGGTTTTGTTTTGGTGTGTGTGTGTGTGTGTGTGTGTGTGTGTGTGTGTGTGTGTGTGGTTTTCTTTTTCCCTGATAGACCCTAAAGAGTGCATTTTACACTGATCTTAATCAGTCAGATAATAATATCCACTAGGCAAAAACCATTTGGTGTGCTATATGCTAACTGCTGAGTTCAGGAATATAAAAGTAAATGTGTCATATGCTGTCTTGTGGAAACTCACAGCCTGGTAGTATACAGGTCTGTAAGAGATCAAGTAGGAGTTTGGGAAAGGTTTCAGGAAAGAGGGGGTATTTTGGTGTTTGATTTTTGTTGACTTTTTTTTTTTTTTTTTTTTTTGAGATAGGGCCTCACTCTATTGCCTAGGCTGGAGTGCAGTGGCACAATCATAGCTCACTGCAGCCTTGACCTCCCTGGGCTCAGGAGATCTTCCCATCTCAGCCTCCCAGGTAGCTGGGATCACAGGTGTGTGCCACCACACCCAACTAATTTTTGTGTGTTTTGTAGAGATGGAATTTCACCATGTTGCCCAAGCTGGTCTTAAACTACTGGGCTCAAATGATTCACCCACCTTGGCCTCCCAAAGTGGTGGGATTAAAGGCGTGAGCCACCTCACCCAGCCAGAGGGGGCATTTTGAATGGGGCCTTACAGAAAAAGATTCTCAACCATATGAGGAAGGAGAAAGGGCACTTTAGCCAAGACAACAAAAGAGTTTCCAGGAAGCCTCTGTTAATTTTGGTGCTAATGGAGGGAAAATGCTGTAGAGTCCAGGAGCCAGTGGGTAGATGACCATCAGGGTTGGGTGACTGGGATATGAGGCTAACAAAGAAAATGAGACCCAGCTCCCAGGTCGTGGTTTTTAGCACCATTTCCAACAGGAGAAACCAGGACTTCTTGGAGAAATGGCTAATTTTAGACCTGGGGCAGGGAATGTAGATGAGCCTAGAGCATCTTGCAGTACCAAAAAGAAGTGCTAAGAAAAAATATATATACAGGGCCACACATTGAAAATGTCCAAAACCAACCTGAGGGAGCTCCCAGTGGCCAAAGCTGGAATTATTTGGGGGAAAAATTAATAATAGCAGTATTGGATTATAACCCAAAGTCTAAATACCCTTAAATTGATACTGATATAAATAACTGAACAAATAAGCAAATGGGAACAAAAAGACAACTCTGCCTTATAGAATTTCAAATACTTTGTGTAGATATAACCCCTTCAAAAAAGGTGGCAATTAATTCCACAATCCTTGAGTGGCTGAATTTAGTGACAGGCTTCCCATGGTTAGAGTGTGGAAGTGGGGACAGGGTAGGGGGAGGGTGTAATGAAAGGGTACTTCACTTCTGTGGTCTTCCTCCCCAGCCTACCCATGAGAAAAATATAGGAAAAATCAAGCAGTCCTGACCATCACTTCTCAAAACTGTCAAGGTCATGGTAAAAACAATGCAAGTGTGAAAAACCATCACAGAACAGAGGACGCTAAGGAGACATGAAGAAAAGAAGTGGTATCCTAGACCGTTTCCTGAAACAGAAAAAGGGCATTAGAAAAAACCTAGTGAATCCAGATAAGATATAGAGTTAACAGTCATGTACTAATGCCATACATAAATAGCTGTGACATATGTACGATAGTAATGTGAGCTGTTAACAATAGGAGGGGAAACTGAGTTCGGAGTGCATAGGAATTGTCTGTACTGTTTGTAACTTTTCTATAAATCTAAAAACCATTCTAAAATGAAAAGTCTATTTAAAATAAAGGGCTGGGCGCCGTGGCTCACACCTGTAATCTCAGCACTTTGGGAGGCCGAGGTGGGTGGATCACCTGAGGTCGGGAGTTCGAGACCAGCCTGACCAACATGGAG
Source organism: Homo sapiens (assembly GCF_000001405.40). NCBI lineage: Eukaryota > Metazoa > Chordata > Mammalia > Primates > Hominidae > Homo > Homo sapiens. The sequence continues at coordinate 12,486,356 of NC_000011.10, forward strand.
AAACTTTGTTTCTACTAAAAATACAAAATTAGCCAGGCATGGTGGCACATACCTGTAATCCCAGCTACTTGGGAGGCTGAGGCAGGAGAATCGCTTGAACTCGGCAGGCGGAGGTTGCAGTGAGCCGAGATCACATCACTGTACTCCAGCGTGCACAACAAGAGCGAAACTCTGTCTCAAAAATAAAAATAAAAATAAAATAAAATAAAGCTGGGTGCGGTGGCTCATGCCTGTAATCCCAGCACTTTAGGAGGCCGAGGCAGGCAGATCACTTGAGGCCAGGAATTCAAGACCAGCCTGACCAACATGATAAAACCTCATTTCTACTAAAAATACAAAAATTAGTGGGGCATGGTGGTGGGCGCCTGTAATCCCAGCTTCTCAGGAGACTGAGGCAGGAGGATCACTTGAGCCCAGGAGGCAGAGGTTGCAGTGAGCTGAGATCGTACCACTGCACTCCAGCCTGGAAGACAAAGTGAGACTCTGTCTCAAAACAATAAATAAAATAAAGGAAGAAGATGAAGCTCACATTAGAGGACCATGAACTAAGAGTTTTAGACTGTATTGTTTTGGTAGCGGCAACTAGTGGTGCCTTATGAGCAAAACAACACAGTCAGAAATGGGGCTTTAGGAAATAACATAGGAGCAGTATGGGAGATGCTCAGAGAGAGTGGAAGGAACTCCAGCAGAGCATCTCCTCATGAGAAAAGGATAGTGTCAAATAGAGGAGTGTCAGTTTGGATGGGGAAAAGCTTGAAGAGGACCTAGAGATGTAGGGAGAGTAGCTAGAGTAAACCAGGCTGATTCTATGTGGTGGATGTTGAACAGGTATGACTCCATGAACCCCAGGAGGAGATGCATCTTGAAGAGTTTGATCTTGTTTACTTTGAGAGTCACTTTTCTATGCCCTAAAATGCTGGGCTGAAGTGGCAGCTATGCTAAAATTGAAGCAGGAATGAAGAAACAGGAGATCTCAGTTCCAATCTTGGTTTCACCACTAAAACATACCTCTGTTACTCCGATCACTCTCCTGTAAAGTCAGGAAGGTGGCTTTAAAAACCTCTATGGCTGAGCTATTCAATTCAGCAACCAATAGCCATATGCAGCTGTTAAAAGCAATTAAAATGGAACATTCATTTTCTCAGTTACACCAGCTAGATATCAAGTGCTCAATAGCCAAATGTAGCTAGTAGCTACCACGTTGGACAATTAAAAAAATGAACATTGCCATCATACCAGATAGTTCTGCTGAATAGCCCTGCTTGAAGATCCTCCTCCTATAATCTGATTTTAGGATTGTTGATATATGCTGCTATTCTTAAACTGAAAGAGTTATTTTCTCATCTCAAACTCAAAAGTTAGATGAAAGTTTTTTATTATTATTCTTTATAAATAATAGAGAAGCTCTCTAAAATGTCTTACTACATAGAAAAAGGCATGGTAGAGAACGACTGTGTGTGTGTGTGTCAAGGGACACATACAATGTTTGTATGCATAGAATATTTCTCGTAATAGTCATAATAAACTGTCTCTATGAATGGGACTAGGGAACTTGGGACTGCCATGGAAAGGAGACAGTTTTCACAGCTTGAATTTTCTCTGTTTGTATATTATCAGTCTTATTGAAATTGGTTGAGTGCATATGTAAATTTCAGGAGCAAAACTGAATTAACCCATCAGTAGATATCAAATAACATTTGATACATATTTGAACAGTCATTTCAAGTAAAATAGAAAGAGGAAACTACTTAAATATGATAAAGACCACTAAATAAAACCTAACTGAACATATTAAATAGTGAAATATCAGAGATGTGGTATTAGGGACAAATGAGAAATAATGGCTGTTACAACTATTATAAGTGTTTCAGAGGTCCTAATTAATATGATAAGAAAATAGATTTTCATTTTTAGCATTATGGCTGATGACTAGATGTTCAGATAAATCTTATTGGTACCTCATGCTTTAAAAATCTGGATAAGCCTTCAAGAACATATTTTTGTATGGGATGGCTAAACTGGTGTGAAAAGGAAGGAAATTCTTCTGATTCCAAGAACAAGAAGGAAGTATAAATCTAGTGGGATAAGTGCTAATTCCTAATAACCTATCATTCCTAATGGCCTATAGCCTGAAGTTTAAAGGGTCACACATACAGGGTCAGGAGACAAATCTTGGGTAGAGTCTGAGCAAGAAAGAGGGTTGGATTCGAGCCCCCTGAATAGAGCCATGGTCTTGAAAGGGCAACTCTTTCAATGAGTACAAAATTTGTCCCACAGAAAGAGGCAATAAGGATAAATTATCTTAGCCTTGGATGTGAACAGAACAATTAAAAAGAAGTCTGCTTCAGATAACTCCTCATCAAAAGTCTATACTCACACAGATTTAAGGCTAGGATTCACAGTACTTATGTGACTTTAAAAAATCTAAATTGAAATTTTAGTTACAAGTTGTCCCAGGTCACTAGTGCCCCAAGACAGAAGCAAACATATGTCCTTCTTTTAAAGAGGAAGGAACTCTAAACTCAGACCACAAAGAACTCCCAGAGTTAAAATTCCAAGGAATATGACCTCAAAATTAGAAATCACCAAAGACATGAGCGTAAGCCACCATGAGCACTGTCAACAGAAACAATAATCTGTAGATTCATCCCACAAATACTATAAATATTAGAAACTGTTGAGCTATAGACTGGGTATGGTGGCTCATACCTGTAGCCCCAGCACTTTGGGAAGCCAAGGTGGGAGGATTGCTTGAGCCCAGGAGTTCGAGACTAGCATGGGCAATATGGTGAGACCCCACCTCTATTTAAAAAAAAAAAAGAAAAAGAAAAAAAGTGTTCAGTTATAGAATATAAAATGAGTATGTTTAATATGTCAAAATAAATGTTTTTAAAGACTTAAAAATGATAAAAGAACAAGAAACTATTAAGACTGGAAGGTAGATATGAAAAACAACCAAATAGAACTTCTAGAAATGAAAAAGTGTGAATAATAATGAAACTAGAAACCTCAATGGATTAGACACAGCTAAAGAAGGAATTAATGAACCAGAAGACAGCACTAGAGAAATTACCCAGAATCCAGTATAGAAAGACAACAGAATAGAAAACGAGAAAGAGAATTTGAAAACATAGAGGTTAGTCTAAGTAGATGCAACATACATAGCTAACTGGAATTCTAGAAGAAAAGAAAATGGAGTATAGTAAATATTTAAAGAAAACATAATGAATGAGAATTTTCTAGAATTGATGAAAGACATGAATCCTCAGATTCAGGGAGCTCAGTGAATCCCAAATAGTATAAGTAGTGACAAATCTACACCTACACATTTTACAGTGAAACCTAAGAACACTGAAGACAAATGATTAAAAGCATAGAGGAAAAAATCAATTATTTATAAAGGAACAACAGACTGAAAGCTGTCTTTCACAAGGAACAAAAAAAGCCAAAAGATATTAATACTGAAGATATCAAAATACTTTGATGTCTTTAAAGTGCTGACAAAAATGATCAACTTATAAGTTCATACACAGCCAAAAAAACTGTTAGGAGAGGCGGCTTTAAAAAGTTAGGAGAGGCAGCCAGGTGCAGTGGCTCACGCCTATAATCCCAGCATTTTGGGAGGCCAAGGCAGATGGATCACAAGGTCAGGAGATCGAGACCATCCTGGCTAACATGGTGAAACCCCGTCTCTATGAAAAATACAAAAAATTAGCCGGGTGTGGTGGTGGGCACCTGTAGTCCCAGCTACTCGGGAGGCTGAGGCAGGAGAATGGCGTGAACCAGGGAAGCAGAGCTTGCCGTGAGCCGAGATCGTGCCACTGCACTCCAGCCTGGGTGACAGAGTGAGACTCAGTCTCAAAAAAAAAAAAAAAAAGTTAGGAGAGGCGGGGCTCAGTGACTCACGCCTGTAATCCCAGCACTTTGGGAGGCTGAGGCGAATGGATCACCTGAGCTCAGGAGTTCAAGACTAGCCTGATCAACATGGTGAAACCCCATTTCTACTAAAAATACAAAAATTAGCCAGGCAATAGTGGCGCACACCTGTAATCTCAGCTACTTGGGAGGCTGAGGCAGGAGAATCACTTGAGGTGGAGGTTGCAGTGAGCAGAGATCGAGCCACTGCACTCCAGCCTGGGTGATAGAGTAAGACTATGTCTCAAAAAAAAAAAAAGAGAGAGAGAGAAAATAAAGGCATTTTCAATAAACACAAACTGAGAGGGTTTATTACCAATAGACCCCCGCAAAGGAATTTCTCAAGAATGTAAAATAGGAAGGAAAATGAACCCCCCAAAAATACCTAAAATGCAATAGTGAACAAAGATTATCATGGTGGGTAGATCAAAGCCATAATTAAATGAATATAAAATAATCACAATAATGTCTAATTTGTTAATTAAAACAAGATAGAATCAGAATCCCATACAACCGTAGCACATAAATCAGGAATTATGTAATTGGAGTCAACGCGTGCTGAGGTCTTTGTATTGTTTAGTATATGGGTAAAGATACCAATTAGCTTAAGACTTTATTAAGTTAAATATGAATGATAAATTTTCTATCATAAATACTGAAATAATAGAAACAGAGTATATAACCTCCCTACTAATCATGGGGAGAAAATGGAATGAGAAAGAATGAAAACATTAATCCAAAAAAAAACAAGGCTGGAAGTGGGAGAAGAATCGGAAAACCCACTAAATAGAAAGTTCAGAATAAGTTGGTAGAAGTGAATCCAAGTATACTGGTAAACTCAATATCAGACCAAATAACAAAACAAATTCTTGCCAAATACTATATACAAGAGATAGTTTTGTTTTGTTTTGAGACAGGGTCTTGCTCTGTTACCCAGGCTGGAGTACAGTGGCACAATCACAGCCGACTGTAGCCTCTACCTCCCAGGCTCAAAAGAAATCCTCCCATTTCAGCCCCCCAGGTAGTTAGGACTACAGGTGTGTGCCACCATGCCCAGCTAAGTATCTTCTTATTTTTTGTACAGACAGGGTCTCGCTATGTTGCCCAGGCTGGTCTCCAACTCCTGGCCTCAAGCAGTCCTCCTGCCTCAGCTTCCCAAAGTGCTGGGATTACAGGCATAAAGCCACCACGCCCAGCTGAGATAGTTTTAATAAATGAGGGACACGCGAAGGTTGAAAGAAAAAGGGTGGAAATAATTATGTATACAGGACTAATTTTTTTAAAGCTGGGGTAACTATTTTACATCATACAAAATAGACTTTAAGGCAAAAGGCATTACTACAGAGAGTCACTACATATTAATAAGAAATTAAAGTCACTAGGAAAATATAGAAATTTTAAACTTATATGTACTTTTGTATATCAAATATTTAAAAATTTAAAATGATAATCATTACTTCAAGAATTTGACAAACCTATCACAGTGCTAGTTTTTAACATACTTCTCTTAATAACATATTAAGAAAAAAGTTCATAGAGAATATTTGAATAATACAGTTAATCAGCTCTAACTAATCTGTATATAGCATATGATACCCTGCAAACTGTATTCTTTTCAACTGCTCATGGAACACTTAACGAAATTTGACTATGCCCATAAAGCAAATCTCAACAAATTAGCATACAGACCAAATTCTCTGACTACAATGCAAGTTTCTCTCCTAATATACTTGGAGACAAAAGTATTTTTTAAACAACTCAGGAACTGTTCATACTGGAAAGAGTATTTTACATATTTTAGTTCTTGAAGGGTGGTTACGTTAATATAGTGTGGTATATATGACAATTGTGTTTGTTAGAACATCTCAGTTCTCCCACCATTCAGGGTAATTGAGTTTATTCTGCCTTGTCTTTATGCGTCAGAACTTTTGACTACTGTTTCATTGTTTTCTATATATAATCTCTCCAAAAGCAAATTTGGGTAATACCTTCAAAAACAACTCAAAGATTCACAAAATAATCCACCTGAGAAAATTTTCTAAATCACATCCTATCAATTTCAAAATCATGCCTAATACTTATGAAGAGTTAAACTAGTTATGAACAATTTGTGTAACTATGGAAACATGAGAGAAACAGTTTCCTGGAAGAATAAAACTTCAGCAATAGAAAACTTTATGGAGCTAGCTGAAATTAGCCCACAAAAGAACATTATCTTTAAATCCTTAGTAATGTTGAGTAAATTACTATTAAGCTATAGAAATATTATTTGAGGGGGCCTCTTATATTTTAAGGGTTGAATACCTTAAAGATAAAGGAGGTGGTAGGAATAGCAGAAGAAGTTCGCAAATTAATCTTTTATTTAAAATGTTAGAAAATTAAAATATGTCACATAAGCCTGCAAAATAGAGATAATGATGTTTTATTTGTATACCCAGAGAATGCTGAAGACTCAAACCGCAATAGGACTAATAAAGGGATTTGGTAAGATGACAACATACAAGGAAAAAATCTGTAAGGCAATAGCTTTCATGTTTACCAGCAGTAATCAATTAGTAATACATACACACACACACACACAAGATGTTTATTGCAACTTTATTACAAATACAGAAAATGTGGGTTATAACCTGGCTGTATGTCAAGTTATAAGTCATATAATGCAATATGCAGTTTTGAAAAATAATGAGTTATATTCATATATTGACCTGAAAAGACTTATGATATATATATGAGTGGAAAAAAGCCAATAGCAAAAATATATATATACTATAATCTCATTTTCATTAAAAGAGAAAGAGAAGGCTGAGTGTGGTGGCTCATGCCTGTAATCCCAGCACTTTAGGAGGCTGAGGTGGGTGGATCTCTTGAGTCCAGGAGTTCGAGACTAGCCTGACCAACATAATGAAACCCCATCTCTACTAAAAATACAAAAATTAGCTGGGCGTGGTGGTGCATGCCTGTAATCCCAGCTACTTAGGAGGCTGAGACAGGAGAATCACTTGAACCCGGGAGGCAGAGGTTGCAGTAAGCTGAGATTGTGCCACTGCACTCCAGCTTGGGCAACATAATGAGACTCCATCTCAAAAAAAAAAAAAAAGAGAGAATATTAACACACACACAATAAGGATTACTTCGATATATTTTTATGCAAATCCATTTAATACCAATATCAATGCCTAAACTAAAATATCGAACAGCAAAAATTAAAAGCAAGAATATAAACCCAAAGCATAATGACTAAAATGGAAAGAAGTAAAGCAGAATTACATTTTATAAAACATTTGCAACACAAAACAAAGCCACAAAAATGCTTCTCCTAAATAAGAAATACCAGACGCTAAAAAAAAAAAGGAAAAAAATTAATTTTAGGAAGAATGCACTACAATTTTAGTACCATAGACTAGTTAAATATATTAGTGGAAACAGAAAAACAATGGATGCTTCAGTAAGTAAGGTGTGAAATCCAATAATGGAAAACACATTTCTCTATACTCCTAACACTTCTGACACCAAATATGTGGGTTTTCCACACTAAGCAATTTTCCAGTTCTCTATGGACAGCAACAGGGTGTCCTACAATTTAATTTTGATACTACTGTCCCAAACTTAGCACAGCCCTCACAGGTTAAGGGCTCAGTGCCACAAGAGTGTCCCCACTTCAGTTGGCATTCGCCAAGTTCAGACCTCTGGTACTTCTGACCGACTAGCTATAATAGATCAGGGGTTTCCAAAACCCTTTCCTCAGATATGATCATTTGCTAGAATGGCACACAGAACTCAGGAAGGCACTTAGGTTTACTAGTCTATTATAAAGGATAAAACTCAAAATCAGCCAAAAGGAAGAGATGCATAGGGCATGGTTTGTGGGAGAGGCACAGAGCTTCCATGCTTTCTCATGTGCATGACCCTCCAGCACCTTTATATATTTACCAACCAGGAAGCTCTCTGAACATTTTCGGCCAGAGTTTTTATGAAGTGTCATTAAGTAGGCATAACTGATTAAATCACTGGCCATTGATAGTTGACCTCCAGCTTCCTTCCCCTTTCTCATGGGTCGGGGGTATGAGGCTGAATGTTCCAATCCTTTAATCATATGCTTGGTTCTCCTGGCAATCAGCTTCCCCATCCTCAGAGCTTTCTAAAAGTTGCCTCATTAACATAAACTCAGATGTAGGTGAAAGGGGCTTGTTATGAATAACAAAAGATGTTCCTTTTACCTTAATCATTTCAGAGCTTTTTCAGGAACTGGGGACAAAACCCAAATATTATAACCATAGATGCCACTATCATCTTTCAGAAAGTTACAAGGTTTTTAGAAGCTCTGTGCTAGGAAGGGAGATCAAGGAGGCAAGATGTATATTTCTTCTTATGTCACACCATTTAAAAAAAAAAAGAATGAACTAGACAACTGTGCAAGAAAAAGTTATTGACCTAGAAAACAGACTCAGAGACCTAAGCTGAAAATCTGTTCAATGCCAGATTTTAAATATGAAAATGTATAGACAATGATGCAACACAGCAGAGCTAGCAAATAAGTGGCTCCTCCTCACTCCTCTCCTCCCCACCCAACCCTCTCTCACAACAGTCATCAGTAATCTTTGCCTGCAATCTTTGCCTCTGAGCCAAGATAAGACCAGAAGGTTCTTAACCTAGCATTTTGGGCAGCCTCTATCCAATGCTTGTAGTTGCAAAGTAAGATTAAAATAACTTGCTTCTATAGAGACAATTACATCATCTGAAAATAATGGGAAAAAGTGAAAGAAAATAACTTGTCATTTTTTCAGTAGGAGAGGATCCAAGATAAGAATTCAGCCTAAAAATGGATAAGGCACACACAAGGTCTCTTCAAGATGTAAGAAGAAGACATTTAGATTTATTCTTGTTAAATCCCTGAACTTTAGAGATAAAAATGGCTTAAACAACTAAAGAGAACATTTCAGGCCATCACAGGTAAGAATAGCTTGAGATTGTCCTACTGAGGTGCTTAAAAAAATTCGCAAATCCACAGAACCTGCATAAATTCTCCATTGGGCAACTTTATCTTCAAAGAATGACTCAAGGGGCATTTGGCTTAGATAAACCACAGTTACTTAAAAATAAATTATGTAAGCATTAGGGAAAATATTGATACATAGTAAAATTTAACTTGTATAGCAGCCCTTAAAAATTAGGAGAAAAGATATTTTAAATGTGTGCAGTTCTGTCAATCTTAAATTAATTAGAAGTGATTGGGTGAGTTCCAGTGGTAGGCAACCAATTTCCTGTTAAGGAGTCCAAAGTTGTTTTTTTCTTTGTAATAGATTAAAATATGAATTTAGATTAACAAAATGATTAGACTGAGTTTTTCCTTTTTTTTAAGTATTAAGGTGTTATGTCATTGCATAAAAAAAAACTATTGATTTTAAAACACACCATTATATAAAAACCACTCAGAAAGAGAAAAATCACTTTAAGCTATTACTCAATGCTTTCTTGTTGCTGAGAATTTTTATTTTATACTTTTTGAAGGTGCTCATGTAGGCTTATTGAGACATGTAAGTAATCATACTGTGAAGAGCTACAAGCAAGTTCATGCCCGTGGAGACAATGATAACTCTTAGACCTTCCACCTAGCTGGCAGCCATTGTAGGATGCCAGTAAAACACAACCTGACTTTAAGGATGTTAAAATGTGAAAAATATGTGCCTTAGAATTGATTAAATATGACACATTAAGTAAGTTACCTTCCAGGTGGGTTTAAAAGGAAAGAAGGTACTTAAAACAGATAAGTATGATTGGACCTGACCAGACTGTACTACAGGAATGTACAAAATGCCTTGACTAACTCTACAGAGAAGGCTTTCCAGTCGGAGCACAGAGATGTCCTTGGAGAAGATAGAATTGAAAAGAAGGAGAAAACTCCAGAATGATAGAGTTCAAATATGACAGGCTAGGTTAAATGCCCCTGGGATCTGGGGATTCAAGTCATGATCATGAGGCTCTCACAGTACTGATGCTGCTGGTGCCACCATAAGGTGATGAGGGGACAGCAGTGTCCCTCTGCTGGTAGGCATCCAGTATCTATTGTTGCAAGAGTGCATGCATGCATGAGTGCATGAGAGACCGAATAACTGAGTAAGTGCATGCAGTAGGGTTGTCTGGGGCCCAGCATAACAGCTGTTCTCTTTTCCCTTGTCACCCTCAGAGAAACTGGAGAGTGAGAAGCTAAATGTGGCTGAGGTCACCCAGTCAGAGATTGCTCAGAAGCAAAAACTGCAGACTGTCCTGGAGAAGATCAATGAAACCCTGAAACTTCCTCCCAGGAGCATCAAGTGGAATGTGGATTGTGAGTTGAACAAAGGAAAGGGGCACCATTAAACAATGCCTGTGGTCCCTGCCATGGGGCTTCCCCAAGAAGCCATCCATAAGCTTGGCAGGCTTCAGGGGAGGGGGTCAAACTCATTTATCTTTGAACAAGTTGCCCCGCTTCCTCAGAACTTGGAAGAAGTTCCATCCATACCCTTGGGGAAAAATAACAGAATGTCAAAATCTCACGTTCCTCTTCTGTAAAAGGCTTTGCATAGAAACCTCACGTGAAATGGGGAAGGGAAGGAAACTCATTCACTGAGCTACTTCTTCTAAGTCCCAGCACAGCCTTTTGAGAAAGCTGTTGTCTGCAGCTTGGAGAGGCTTGGGAAGCTGAGGTCCCCACATTCACACAGCTGAGAAGCAGGGAGCAAGGATTCAGTTCTGTCTATTCCAAAGCCCGCGCCCTTCCAATCCCCCTTCATTTTCTAGAAAGAGCAAAGATATGGCTGAGATCATAGGCACTGAAACAAGATGTTAAAATTCAGCTTTTTACAGGTAGCATAGCTCAGAGACCTCAGAAAGCATAAATTATTAGTTTATAATAATTATTAGTTTATAAATTATTAGTTCATTTACTGCTCCAAAGGCCCGGTGTCTAATACAGACTTAATGAGTCCCTATCAGAATTAATCAAGGGATTAGGTGAATCTAGCAGTAGCAACTGGATTCCAAAGTTTATTGTAATAGATAAAAATATGAATTTAGATTAATAAAAGATTAGATTAGACTGTGTTTTGCCTTTAACTATTAAGGGGTTAAGTACTATGCTTTATTGCGTCTAACTTACACAACTTAAAATCAACAGCCCCCTACAAAAAAAAATACTTTTCAAACTTGGGAAAGCAAATGGAGTCTTCACCTCTAAAGTTAGAAACCCAGTAACTGCCAGTCACAATCCCTCCAGCAGGTCTCTAACATCTGACGTTGGGGCTGAGACACCAAGTGCCTCCTCGGCATAATTACACGTTTTTGTGCACAGCATGATCAGCTGCTTTGCACAGCAGTGACGCTGGGAACAGGGCACAGGGCGTTCTTTGCCCGCAGAGGGAGACACCTGAGGGCAGGAGGAGGGGAGGCCGTGCCCTGGGCCCTAGATGCTATCAAGGAGAGGGGCTCTGTTTCACTGTGTTCCAGGAATGCTAGTATTGTCAATGGGGGAGAACAAGGCAGGGCAGGGAGGTTGATGACTAGTTTGGGAAATGTATCTGCATTTTAAAAATCCACAATAGTCATAAACATTAGAGAAGTCCTCTAATGAAGACTGCTGTTTAGTTTGGTTTGATCCTATCTCCCGCTCCTTTGAATAGGGACCACCTCCCTGTACCCCTCCAAAAAAAACAAGTCAAACATATTTAACTTATCATGGCACCCAATTTGGGAAAGTCTGAGATAGAAGAACAGAGTCTTTTATTACTATTATTATTTTTTTGTAGAGACAGAGTCTCACCCTTGCCCAGGCTGGAGGGCAGTGGTGCAATCTCAGCTCACTGCAACCTACGCCTCCCAGGTTCAAGCGATTCTCATGCCTCAGCCTCCCGAGTAGCTGGGATTACAGGCGTGTGCCACCAAGCCCAGCTAATTTCTTTTGTATTTTACTAGAGACAGGGTTTCACCATGTTGCCCAGGCTGGTCTCGAACTCCTGAGCTCAGGCAGTCCACCCGCCTCGGCCTCCCAAAGTGCTAGAATTACAGGCACAAGCCACTGTGCCCAGCCTAGAACAGGGTCTTTTAAAGCCACATCAAGAACATTGTCTCCAGTGGCTTTGAATGATTTGTTTGGTTTATGCTTACTTTAATTTCTTACGGGGAAATGTGTGCAAGAAAAATCATCACTCGTATTACCATGCTAATCTAGCTTTTCATTTGTTTGTTTTCATTTGTTTCATTTCACTGTTTCATTTGTTACTAGTTACATCACTGCATCATTTTGCTTGGTCAGGTCATATACACTTTTTTTTTTTTTTTTTTTTTGAGATGGAGTCTCGCTCTGTTGCCCAGGCTGAAGTGAAGTGGCACAATCTTGGCTCACTGCAACCTTCGCCTCCTGGGTTCAAGCAGTTCTCCTGCCTCAGCCTCCTGAGTAGCTGGGATTACAGGGATGCCCCACCACGCCCACCTAACTTTCGTATTTTTAGTAGAGACAGGAATTCGCCATGGCCAGGCTGGTCTCAAAGTCCTGACTTCAGGTGATCCACCCGCCTTGGCCTCCCAAAGTGCCAGGATTACAGGCGTGAGCCACTGCACCTGGCCCAAGTCATATACATTTTTGTGTTTTGTTATTTTTCGCTTGATCTTACATCACACGTATTTTCTACATTCCCTCGTGGTCTTTGTAGTTAAAATTTTTGATAGCTGTTTCTATTTCATAGGGTAGATATCCCACTGTTAACTTAAACCCTAGGTTGATGCCTATCCTTTTAGGATGTTTCCCAACCTATTTCTAATATCAGATAGCACCAAACTGAATGTCTTAGCTTGTGCCTCTTTTTGCTTGAATTACTCCCTTTAGATAAATTTCCAGAACTGAGATGGATTACTAGGTCAGAGGGAATAATTATCTCATCTTGGTGGCTAGCTCCCTGTGATGCCTTGGGGCTTTTGAAGAGCTGGGCTTATTTACAAAGTCATAGTGGCTTGTTCCATAAGGAATGTGGCAGGCTCAGCTCCTGGGGGAAAAGCTCTGTCTCCTCTCTCAGTTACCTTCCGTGGATGTAAACCTGAGGACACTGTGGCGCCTCTCCGCTCAGGATGAGGGTGGTAGGGACAGGCTGCTGAGTTACCAAGGTCCTTGATCTGGGGCTTTAGGGATTTCTTCCTTTTTTTTTTTTTCTAATTCACAACAGTAATTTTCATTATTGAAAATTTACAAAGTGCAGATAAATTTAAATATTAACGTTTAACACATGTATTATGCTTATTGTATGTCTTGTATTCTTCTAAACACTTTATGTATTTTAATCTTTGTAATCTTCACTCACCCATCTGAAGTAAGAATTCTTTTATTCCCATGTTACAGATGGGAAAGTCAGGGCATAGAGAGGTTAAGAAACTATGAAGGTAAACTTCATGAGGGCAGGGACTTTTGTCTTTTCACTGCCCACCTAGAGACAAGAACCGTGAACATTGTGCTGTGTTCTTCAAGTTCTGTGTGTGTCTGTACGTGTGTAATAAGTAGTGTATAATATTTTATATATGTATATATAAAAAACTTTTAGCAAAAATGAGATCAACCTGTTTATGTTGTTTGGAAGATGTATATATTGACAAATCATTAAATATTCTTCTGTATGTCACTTTTAATACTATATAATGTGACATTGTATGGATCTACCATAATTTACTTAACTGATAATGGATTTTCAGATTGTTCTCCGTTTTCCCACTGATATCAATACAGCTGGATGCATTCTCCCTGCTTGTAGCCATAATGACTTCTTTAGGATAAATACCTAAGAGTGGTATGTTAGGGCCAAAGGGTGAGAGCATTTTTAAGGTCATAGTACATAATGTTAAATTACCTCCAGAAAAATTACACCAATTTCTGTTTCCACCACAGGACGTGTTTGGAAGACTATTTCTAACTCAGCAGCCCTGTTTTAAATACTGCTTTCCAGCCCTAGAGTGACACTCTTAGCCTTGCAGCTGCGGTTCCCGGCTTGCACAGTGAGGCCTGGGCGCTTACTCTTATCCCATATGTTCCCTCCTGACTTGACTGCGGGCACATGTTGGCCTCAGCTTCTGTTGAGCACAGGGAGAAAATTCCCAGGAGACGTGTTGAGAGGCAGCAATGATGAGGGTGCACAAATGTTCAACAGTGGGTAGAATCTGTTTTAATTGGAAAAATGGCATATTTTTGTTCTAAAGAATATTTGAAAATAGGCAAAAAGGCTGGGCGCTGTGGCTCACACCTGTAATCCCAGCACTTTGGAAGGCCAAGGTGGGTGGATCACCTGAGGTCAGGACTTTGAGACCAGCCTGGCCAACATGGCAAAACCCCGTCTCTACTAAAAAATACAAAAATTAGCCCAGCGTGGTGGCAGGTGCCTGTAATCCCAGCTACTCGGGAGGCTGAGGCAGGAGATTCGCTTGAACCCAGGAGGCGGAGCTTGCAGTGAGCCAAGATTGCACCAATGCACTCCAGCCTGGGTGACAGAGTGAGACTCCATCTCAGAAAAAAGAAAAAAAGGGGGAAAAAAAACCTATCTGGCGGGGCACGGTGGCCCACACCTGTAATCCCAGCACTTTGGGAGGCCAAGGTGGGTGGATCACCTGAGGTCAGGAGTTTGATACCAGCCTGGCCAACATGGTGAAACTCCCTCTTTACTAAAAGCACAAAAATTGCCAGGTATGGTGGCATGCACCTATAATCCCAGCTACTTGGGAGGCTGAGTCAGGAGAATCACTTGAACCCAGGAGGAGGTGTTTGCAGTGAGACGAGATCTAGTCATTGCACTCCAACCTGGGCGACGAGCAAAAATCCATCTCAAAAAAAAAAAAACAATCTTTCCACTCTAGCATAACTATTTTCATTTGTTTTAATATATTCCTTTCCAAATGTTGGCCACAAGCACATGTTTGTGTGTGTATATGTAGATATACATACATATGTATATGCTTTTATGTATGCATATATCCATAAATGTATATTTATAGCTATGTATATTACACACATATACACATGTGTATATAGATATATACACATATACACATATATATAGCTATACTATCTTAACTATGATTTTCAATGCATGCAAACTATTCATTATGTGTATATACCATAACTTCTTAAAGCAGTGGTTATTCAACTATGGTTGGTCCAAAACTAGGGATTTGCAAGGAGAAACTCTAGCATCACCAAGGAGAAGACAAGAAGTCATGGGTAGGCTGCAGTTAGGACTCCAGAATCCTCACTTTAAGCGGAGCAGTTGTACTTTTTTCATCAGTTTTAACTATCAACTTTTAGAACAAAGGATTTCTGTGCTTCATATTTAAAAGTTTGAAAAATGCTGATCTAAACCATCCTCTTGTTATTGGACATAGTGTTTTCCAGGGTTTTAAAACATCATAGTATATTACACAGTAACATCTTTGTACACGTAGCGTAGTATGTATGTGTGTGAGACTATAGACTATTTCTTTCTAAAAAAAATCCCAGGAGGATAGAGCATTCATTGAATGAGTCTGACATCTATATGATGCTTATGGTATAGCTCTGCATTGCTCACTAAGACAATGGAGATGGTGTACAATGTCACCAGGGTATAAGAACAACTTACTTGATCACAACTTTTCTAGCATTATATTTTGCCATTAAAGGGGAGAGGGGTAGCAAATGTTCTTACAACCCTCAGTGACGCCAGGTGGTGGGCCGGTAGTTCTGATGAGAAGAGCAAACCTGGATTTGCCTCTGATGGTGACCACACCATGTCAGTGGGTCACAGTGGGTCAGTGCCACATCAGGATCTTTTTTTGAGGCTGTAAGTCTGGGTAAAACTTAGTTAACAAGGCCCGAAAGCCCAAAATTGAAACCTTCTGGAAGGCTAGGAGTTCAGAGCAGTTCAGCTTCTGTTTGTGGTGATGGTGAGCTGCTGTTCATAATCAGTAGAAAACCTTCTTTGAAGTAGCAGTGATAACCAGAAACCCTAATGAGTTACAAAGGAATGTCTGAATCATTCTCTTTTCTTAGTGATTTCTCAAAGCTTCTGCTAAATCAGACTCACTGATCCCAGGGAAGACAGAATGACATCCTAATAATGGGCCTAGTGCATGCGAAGTACACAAAATAGGCATTTTTTTTTTGTTATTCCCTTAAATGCCCCCTGTAATGAAGAGCCGTGAAGCTGGTAGGACTGTGAAGGCAGGCAAAATATCTGATGAATCTTCCCTTTGATGAGAAAGAAAGGGAATAAAGCTGGCATGTTTTAGTTGCCTAGGTGCCAGGTAATTTCACATAAGGTATAATAAAAAAAAAAAATCAGCCATTCCTGGCCACCTGTTGTGTTCCAGGAGCATCAGAGAGAAAACTCCCAGGAGACATGTCGAGAGGCAGGAATGATAGGGGCACACAAATGTTCAACAGTGGCTAGAATTTGTTTTAATTGAAAAGATGGCAGATTTTTATTCTAAAGAATATTTTGAAATAGGAAAAAAATTAAGACTATCCACTCTAGTGTAACTATTTTCATTTTTTTTTTTTAATGAAGGCTTTTGGGGAATCTTTACAACCTGTACATCCACATAGGTTCTGTTACCTCCATTTGTAAAGATGAGCAAATTAAGGCTCAGAGGCCTTCGGTGGCCTACCCTACCCAAGGCCATGTAGCCAGTAAATAAGTGGTAGATTATAAAGTTAGAATTCAGGCTCCAGTCTGCCTGACCCTCTGTGCACCTCACTGAGTCTTTTTCTCCTCATCTAGTGAGAAAACTACAACCCAGTGTGACCCTGCCTTCTCTGGTGTAAATGGCTTGACTTTGAGCACATGACTCAGCAGCTTTGGCAGCCCCCTGGCTCAGTAACATCCCGTCCCAGCTGCTCCTTAAAGGGCATTGCCTACAGTGACCATAGTGACACTCAAGCCAAGTAACATAGCCCTTTGAATGTCTCTCTCATGGCTTCTTCCAGGGATCTTAAAGCCCTGAACCAAGGAAGAGACCTAGTGTTCCTGACTCAATGTTTATTTATTAAGGGCGTGCTTTATGTGCAGTCTTGAGACAAGGGTAGTAGTGATAATCCAGAGTTCATGGTTAAGTGGGAAGGGAGAGGGAGTGCAGAGCAGACATGCTTATGGTGATTGGAGTGGAGTGGGCAGGGACATGGGACCGGGAGAGAGCTGATCTGAGCTCAGAGCTCAGCAGTTGTCAGGATCCTCATGGGAACCTGGGATTAGAGAGGTGCCACATTGGAAATCTGGCAATAATATGACCCAAGAAGGAGCCCCATGGGACCTGGCAAAGAACTGAGGGGGCCAGGCATGGTGGCACATCCCTGTAGTCCCAGCTACTCCACAGAGGCCAAGGCGGGAGGATTGCTTGAGCCTAGGAGTTCGAGGCTGCAGTGAGCTAGGATTGTACCACTGCACTCCAGCCTGAGCAACAGAGCAAGACCCTGCTTCAAAAAAAAAGAAAGATTTGAGGGGGCCCAGAGTGAGGCCTGTGATGACCACAGGTGTCCCCTGACCCTCAGGCATGGTATAAAGGGACATTGGGTGGATATATTAGGCTGTTCATGCATAGCCATTAAGAAAGGCTTGAGGCTGGGTAATTTATAAATAAAAGAGGTTTAAACTGGCCGGCATCTGCCTGGCTTCCAGGGAGGCCTCAGGGACCTTTTACTCATGGCAGGAGGCAAAGTGGGAACAGGCACTTCATATGACAAAAGCAGGAGCAAGAGAGAGAGTGGGCTGCAGGAAGGTGCCATATACTTTTCAACCACCAGATCACATGTGAGAGCTCGAGTGTACTTATCACCAAGGGAATGGCACTAAGCCATTCATGAGGGATCCACCCCCACAATCCAAATACCTCCCACCAGGCCCCACCTCCAACACCGGGGATTACATTTCAGCATGAGATTTGGGCAGGGACAAATATCCAAACTCTATCAGTGGGGTACTACTACACTTTGAACATCTGCTTATATTGCCTAGAACCTGGAAGAAGATGCTGTAATTTTTCAATCTTCTTTCATTTCAGCTGTTCATGCCAAGAGCCTGGTGGCCATCTTACACCTGCTCGTTGCTCTGTCTCAGTATTTCCGCGCACCAATTCGACTCCCAGACCATGTTTCCATCCAAGTGGTTGTGGTCCAGGTAAGACAGGTAACACTACAAACATCTGTGTCTTTAAAGAGTCGTGGAGGTCGAGTTCCTATGGTGCGTCGAGTAGGTCATTAGAAGGATGGCTGCATGAATGTTGAGTGAGCCTGGGTGTGCAGTATATTGGGAGGCACTGAATGAGCTTTCTGTTGCATGTTGGCTTCCCCTGGTAAGTGTACACAAGATGGAAGAGCGTGTGCTTGTGTATAGATAGCTTTGTGTGGGGTATGTGCCTATGGTTTATGTGTTTTTGTCTGAGTTTTCTGTGTAATGTGTAGATGAGGGTGTGCGGTATGTATGTGAGCTGTGTGTCATGGGGTCAGGAGGAAAGGTATGTGGGTGTGTGTGTGTGTGTGTGAGTTTGTGTACAGGAGTGTACAGGTGCCCTGCAAACCATGGAGAACCATAATATTTTGGTTAAACAAATGATACTTAGGTATGGGGAGAACGATATCTGTGCATATAAGGGAATGTGTGTGTACATGTGCATGTGTTTGAGAGAGACCCCAACTGGCCATGTCTGTAGTGAAGGTACTGCCACTGTTCACCCACTCACAGAAGCACAGCTGGGATCTCAAGTCATCTTTTCCAGATTGTTGGATGGAATTTCCATTCACATATGGCTGTGTAATTTCCACAATGAGGGTGTGCTCTCTCCCTGTGACTATCTCACTCCGCTCCTAACCCCATTAAATACCCAAATTCAATTTTATTTTCCAACTTTATACCCATTTAGCAAAAGGTCATCCTTTTGTTTGCTTGTTCCTGTTCTTTTCCAAATAAACATGCAGCAAAGGAGAGCTCTCCATCTAAGCAGCTCCCTGGCGATCCAGGCTCTGGAATAGGGAATGATAACAGTGGCTCTGCCATCCCTTGATAAGAAAAAGCCTTGAGGGCTGGTAGACTTTGCCCTGTCAGACCAGGCCAGTTTCCAAGACAAAAGGACTTTGAGTTGAACTTCCAAGGATCAGCTGTCAACAGGAGGAGACAAGGAAATGGTCCTCCTAATCAACTGATCAGTTGTCCCCCAGTGAAAAACTATTTATTCCACACCTCTGGGTACTTAACTCCACTAAGCATTAAGAAGGTATAACAGGAATATGACACCTCGGCCCTGCCTGCTGAGGAGATAGGACTACAAGTAAGAAGCAGAGAGGGCTCATAGGAAATGGGAATGTGTGTGGCTCAGATACCGAGTGCCACTGGCCAAAAGGTCCTAAATGTCCTCGTTATTGAGCTCTTCACTTGTCTCAAACATGGCACTAAGCATTTTATGTCTGCTATGGATATGTGGCCAACTCAGACTACTCTGGTTCAAGCATCTTCCTAGTGAGTCCAGGTCATCTCTGTCATGTTATTTTTACCAATCAATGATGTGTGAATGCAATTCTTTATGTTTTTAAAAACTACAATTAGGGAGGCAGAGATGAATAGGTGGACATCGTCCCCATAGGTGGGAGCACAGAGGATTTTTAGGTACATGTCACTATACATTTGTCAAAATCCATAGAATGGACAGCACCAAGAGTGAACCCTAATGTCAGTTATAGACTTTGGGTGATAGTGACAGTATCAATTATAAGCTCATCGGTTGTTAAAAGTGTATCATTCTGGTGTAGGATATTGAAAGTGGGTGAGGACAAGTATGTGTCAGGGCAGGGAATATATAGGAAATCTCTGGAAATGTCTGTACCTTCCTCTCAATTTTGCTGTGAACCTCAGACTGCTCTGGAAAATATAGTCTGTTTTTTTTTAATCATGGTTCCTGAAACAGTTCATGAAAGAGTACTTTAAAAGTGACCACATATCACTAACATTGAAATTTTTAAAAATTATTTTCATAAGTAAACATACTGCTGTTATATTCATTTATAATAGCTCTCTTATCACTAGAGGAGATAAATACTTTTATGTAAATTGCCCTTCTTTATCTTCTCTTTTGTGACAAATCCAGTCCAGTTCTTTGTGCATGAATTTGTTGAACATCTTAAGACTTTTCTTATCAGCTAGAATAAACAGCCCTCTAACAGAAATAATAAAATCTGCCTGCTGGAATTACTACAGACTGAATGATGACTGAAAATGTGAGCAGGAGAGAGGGGGCTTCTATTTTGAAACAGTGGTCATTGCAAGCCTGTGTCTCCTGCCTTATTTTGAGCTCAATTATAGGCCATCAGAAGCCTGTTGTCAGTTTAATTTCTCCTGTAGGCTGTTTTGTTAGCATGAGGGAGAAAAGAGGACATGTTCCATAAAATGGCATTAATGCACATCAGGTTTTATGGGGTGTTTTTGCTTTATCAAGTTGAACAGGCACAGAAGCAAGACTCAGAATTGGTGGTGAGTCACAGACTGAACCACAGGGAGAACTCTTTAGGGAACAAATAATGGGTGGAGGTGAATCAGGATGCTGTGTGAGGGGTTATTGAACCCAGATTTCTTTTCCATTCTATGCAGAAGCATTTAATTTTGCAGAAAGTTGGAGATGAGGTTTTACGTCTATGAATGGCCATGCAGGACAAGGACACAGATTCCATTAACCCCACATGAAAACACAGCCTGTGTTGAAACTGCATGTGGAAAGAAGTCCTGATTTATCTTCACCTGGTCCTCTTTAAATGATAGATTTTTTTTTTTCTTTTACCTCCTTTTTTGTTTTGATTAGTCCATTCTTAATCTAAGCCAGATAGACTCTTGGTCTTATCCAGTTCTTCCTTTCTTCTGTAAAAGTATTTTGCAAGGACTCTGGGTTCTGTGGAACTTTGGGCAGGAGGCTCGAGAAGGCAGGGCTCAGATGAGCCACCCAAGTTCAGAGGCTCCTTCCTTCTTCACGCTCATCTCAGCCTTGGGGAAGATGCATTTGCTTGGTCAATCGCTTGCTATGTCACAGCATCCTCCAGGTGTCTGGTGCTGGTGGTGGAGGGACGTAGTAGAATGAATCTCCCTCCTCACACCCATCAGAAAGTCTTCCTGCACCCCAACATTACCTCCTTCGTCAGCTCCCATGCCCACACAGTGCTTTTTAAACCCTCCAAACTGGCACTCAGAGCTGCCCCCTGACTGATGGCAGCTGCCCTCCCCTGGATGGCCTCTGGAACACATTTGTGCGTCCTGCCTCTGCCTCTTGGCTGGGGCCATTCCTCCCATTGAAATAACCCCTTCTCAGTGTCCAGCTCCAGGGCCCCCTCCCCTTGGAAGGTTTCTCTGACCATTCTAGCTAAAAGTGCTTGCTCCTGGCCTGCATTCAGCACTTTCTGCCGAGGGTGACCACGTAATCTATTATTCATAACACTTTTGAGATGAAAGGGAATCTTACTAATATGCTGGGACATCAGGGATAAACCAGGACTGTTTTGGGGAAACCATTCTCAGGTGTCTACTTCTTCTATCCCGATTGACTTTAGCTCCTCAAGGGCAGAAACTATATCATATACTCCATAGTATTTGTTCTAACTCCAGCACAGGGCCTTGTACATAGAGGGCACTGATTAATGAAATAAACAAGAAAGAGGATAAGTTGATGGGAGAAGTGTGGACAGATGGATGGATGGATGGATGGACGGACGGACGGACGAGTTTCTAACATGCTTAACCTTTTCTCAGAGAATAAGCTAGTTACCTGAGTGAGGACTTACTACTTATTTAAAAGCTCCCATATTTATCAGTTAAAAAAAAAAAAAAAAAAAAAAACCAAAAAAAAAAACCCTCTGCCTCTTGTCTGAATTCCTAGTTGGCCTCAGTTCCTCCACCCAGCCCCCCAGTTAAATGTGTTTCTCAGCTTCCCTCTGTGGCCCCAGCTGGAGGGCAGACACACCCTGGCCTTCATTTCCATTTGGTTTATTGTGGATTACTCCAGGAGGCAAACAGTTTGCTTCCAGCAGCATGTCTTCCAATAAAGAAAGGAAAGATTCACCATCCAAGAAACAGCCTACTTGTTTGGACTAAACACTAATTGCACTTGCGTCCTAATGGTTCAGTCCAGTCCCTGAAAATCAGGACCTCCTTTCACTTCCAGCATTATCTTATCTTGGGTGCATTTCTTAAACACCAGTAACTTTCTCATTATCAGGAATGCTCATCAGTGTTTCTGTATTTTTCTAAAGCATAGTTTTCTCTTCTCCTCCCAACCCCTTTCCCCACCCCCATTTCAGAAACGAGAAGGAATCCTCCAGTCTCGGCAAATCCAAGAGGAAATAACTGGTAACACAGAGTATGTCAACACCATTGTTGCCAGCGATTCTGTAATGGAACACAGATGTTTCTCTGAAATTCATCCATTTGCTGATATTTAGTTTTCATTTATTGGGATTGCAGGAGGGATTAGACTTCAGCCAATGATTATAGTTTAGCCTTTTCCATGCATTCAAAACATGCCTCTCAATGCTTAAGGTACAAACTTGGGTGGGGAAGTAGGGAGACGGAATTAGCAGTGATTGAAAACTTCTAATTTTGTGCCACTCCAGGAAAAAGTGTGCCCAAAAAAAGCCAACCCAGCATGAAATCGTCATGCCATAAACACTGGGTTGAATTTAAATTGTTAACCTTCAAAAGGACGTTTTTCTTCCTTTTCTGAATCTGATTTGGGCATGTGCCATGACCCAGAAAGCCTCTCTACCTTAGATTTGTCTTTTGGTTTGGGGTGGTTTTTTTTTTTTTTTTTTCATTTATTTTTAGAAATTGGGATATCAGAACCTATCAAAATTTTGCCATGGGGAACAGGAGTTTTCTCCTCAAGCAGAAAAAAAATTCATAGTGTGGGGTGAGTTTGTGATCCCGAGAACTGCACCCTGGCCCCATGCAAAGTCAGGCAGTTAGCTTTCAGCATTCCCTGCTCCCCAGACTTTTCTCTGAGTCCCCCTTGAACAAGAGCAGCATAGTGCAAAGAGCAGAGGCTGCTAAGCCAACCCAACTTGAGTTCAAATACAGGCTCTGCCACTTACTCACCAGGTGAGTCCCTTAACCTCTCTGACCTCAGTTGCCCCACCCAGAGAGGTAGGAAAGATTTACTGTGGTCACAGCTGTGACTTCGTTCCCTTGCCCTCTGTAGCTGCTGTTCCATCTTTTCTCCAGCACAGCTGACCCGTACCTGCCAAGCCCATCCAGTCTCTAGGAGGTTCCTGCCCTCTGCCCAGCCATGACTGACAGGAGTCTGGGGCACTGCCCGTCTAGATCACATTGTGTACATGGCTTAACAAGGACTAAGGGGCGTGGGCATTCCAGGCCGAGACTAGGGGCCAGAGATGTAAAGTGGCCTTTCCCAAGATGCCCTGTTTATGGCCTATAGAGACCCCATCAAGCAGCCTCTGTATCACCTCAGAGGCCAGTCTTGGTAGCTGAAGGGTCAACTGATCTATAGGGCACACCTTGGCCTTGGTTCTGTGAGGGATGGGAGGAGCCAGGCCTGTTGGGAAAGGAGAATTCCTCACTGTCCCACCGCCCACCACCCCTCCCCTATGCTGGGCTTGCCTGTGCCCACTATTTCACCTCTGGGAAAGAAGACGACAGAGCAGAGAGGAGCATGGCCTGGGAGAAACTCCCAAACCAGGGAGTGTGAAGTTTCAGATTATTGAACAATCTCTCGGATGCATGTTATGCTTTCTATGGTCCCTCTCTCTGCCACAAAGACATAAACATGGATGCAATGTCCTAATAATGACAACACAGTACAATTTATGGGACACTTTCCTATCTATTGATATTGATAGTAAACACATGAAGCCATGATTACACCCCCTAAAACCCCACAGCCCAAGGGTGAGGAAGGAGACTGTGCCCTTGGTTTATCCAGCACTTAACTCCAAGTTCATTATTCTTTCCAGTGCACTACTTGCAAGTGCTCACTTAGTGGGTGACAGGTGTGCTGATGGATAAACCAATATAATAATCATTATGAGAACCAAAAGTGTATTTGGAAAAAAGTGTTTTGAGCATTTACTACATACTAGGAATTATGCTAAAATATTTCTAGATATTAAATCATTTAATAATCACAACATCTGATTTAAGTATTTACCATAATTATCTTCATTTTAGAGATGAGAGACCTGGTGCCCAGAAAGGTTCATTAGCTTGCCCAAAGTCACTGTATGAGTTTTTTTTCCACACTTCTGATAAAGACATACCCAAAACTGGGAATGAAAAATGGTGAAAAATGGTTTAACTGGACTTACAGTTCCACATGGCCGGGGAGGCCTCAGAATCATGGCAGGAGGCAAAAGGCTCTTCTTACATGGTGGTGGCAGAGAAAATGAGGAAGAAGCAAAAGAGGAAATCCTGATAAACCCATGGGATCTCATGAGAATTATTCATTATCATGAGAATAGTATGGGAAAGACCAGTCCCCATGATTCAATTACCTCCCCCTGGGTCCCTCCCACAACACGTAGGAATTCTGGGAGATACAGTTCAAGTTGAGATTTGGGGAGGGACACAGCCAAACCATATCAGTCACACAGCAAAAAAATCACTCAGTGCAATTTAAACCTCAATGATGTGTCTTTAAAGCTTGTGCTCTTGATACTATGCTGCTTCTCTGCTATGAGTGTGGTTCCAGTTCCTGCACTCTTTGAGAAAACCTACCCTGGGTCAATGGCAGGTACATCTTGGTGGGTACTACAGGGTGGACAGGAGAGAGACAAAGCTGACCTGCCCACAGCAACCTAGGCAGTAAAATTCTGCATTGAGGGGTTGCTTGAGCTCACTCGTAAGAATTCTAAGATTTTCTGGTTGGAAATCTTCAGCCCCTGAGTCCAATATTCTTTAACTGCAGGCAATAATATGACTTTATTTAAGGCAAAAAGTGATCCTTTAGGCATCACTATGCCAGGCTTTGCATTACACCACTATATGGGTGTAACTGGGGGGAAAATGGGTGGTAATGTGGTAAAGTCTCAATAATTGGAGGCCGTGCAGAATAAAATGCCAATGGAAGGAGGCTTTTTGAGCTCCTCAACCAAGGGCAGGTGGGTGGCAGGCAGCATGGGGTGGGCTTCCAGCAGTGATGGAGTGTCCTTTCAGAGGACTGGCCTCTTATAAGGGACAAGAGAAGAGTCACACTATTTTCTTTCTCTTTTTCCTCCAGGGCTCTTTCCGGGAGGCATGGTAAGTCACATAAGATTGTCCTCTGGCACTGGTGGCTGCACTGGGGCTTTAGTTAATTCCGCAGCAGCTGGGAGGAACAGGCTCTCAGCTTGTCACCTGGATATACGTCTTCACCAGCCTGGGTGACATGGCCAATTGGGTTGGGAGGGACAGCTTACTGGCGGGAAGAAGACTACCTACACCTGCACAGTTGTCTTGAAAGTTATCAGGCCATCATTGACCTTGCCATTTACAAAGCACTTTTGTAGCTATTGATGTTCACAGTAAACACATGAAGCCACGATTACACCCCCTGGGACCCCACAGCCCAAGGGTGAAGGAGGAGATTATGATCTTGGTTTATCCAGCACTTAACTCCGAGTTTATTATTCTTGCCAGTGCACTACTTGCAAGTGCTTATTTAGTGGGTGATAGGTGTGCAGATGGATAAACAACAATCAAAAAGAACCAAAAGTGTCCTCAGAAAAAAACGTTTTGAGCATTTACTATGTCCTAGGAAGTATGCTAAAATATTTCTAGGTATTAAATCATCTAATGCTCATAACATCCCACTGAAATATTTACTGTAATTATCCTCATTTTAGAGATGAGAGACCTGTAGCCCAGAAAGATTCATTAGCTTGCCCGAGGTGTCTGGATGGGTCCTGGGCATTTTCAGGGCAGTTCTGCTCTAATTGTCTCGTGGAAATAAAGGAAGACATGCATGAACACAAGGACTGTCCCCTGTCCCCACTCTGTCCTTCTAGAGACTGTCTTCTCTTTCTTCCCTCATCACAGCTCTTATCTCTTCCATTTATCACGACTGGGTTTGTTTGTTTATGAAGTCCATGAATGTTAGGGATCACCATCCCCTTCCTGGTAGTCTCAGATTTACCCACTGGTGCCAGAGTTGGAAAAGGCAGGCCTCAGGGCCTCGCACCCTCCCAGCCCCAGGTTCACCTTGGAGACCCTTCTCCTTTCCTGAGTCAGATCCCTTCCACTGTGTCACCTCTCAGTTCTGAGAACACGGAGGCTGCAGCAAGGAGAATCCCTGCAGGGAGCATGGCTTTGCTATTTTCTATGATCCTGATATTTACTGTGGGTAATATTTTGAAATATTTCAATCATGCTAAAAATTATTCACTTCAGGAGAACATGTCAGAGTTTACAGAGCACGCACATGCTTGTTCTCACACTTCATCCTCATGACAAACCTGAGGGAGGGTTATTTTTAAAATGACATTTTATAGAAGAGGAAACTAAGGCACAAAGAGTTGAAGTGGCCTAGATCACTTAAGAGGAAGAGCTCATATCCCATCCTGGAGCTCCCTGGCTCCCAGCCCTCTTCTCTGTGCCCTCTGCCAGCTTGTTTGTCATGGGTCTCCTGTTTTTGAAAATTGGGGGGTGAAATTATTTAATATTTGGATAACATTCTCCCTCTACAGAGGTTCAGAAACACCTGAACAATAGCTACGTTAGGATATAATGGAATACAATGAAGGGAAATGACTAATCCCGGGTCACACTACCTAAAAGAGCCCTGAGCCTGCCCCAATCCAATAATGTACACATGCACGGACACAGACACAGGCTCCCAGGGTGAGAATCACCCCAAATCTTAGCCCCAAATCACATTCCAGAGTTCCCGGCACAGTCTATACCCCAGAGGCTTCCCATCGGTAGTTGACCTTGTGACCTTGAGAGGCGCGTGGCTCTGGGACCCAAGGTGGGCTTCCCTGCCAGGGATCAGCTCTTGTGCTCCACATTGTGTTTCCCTCTTTTTCAGAACGTGATGCCTTTGACACCTTGTTCGACCATGCCCCAGACAAGCTGAATGTGGTGAAAAAGGTGGGAAAGGGGTGCCTGGGATGGACAGAGGGAAGCGAGATGCAACAGAACATTGGGAAAACCCATCCCTGCAGCTTGCGAGCTTCCTGCCAGAACTGGTGGCATCACCTAACCTCTGCACACACAGGGCTTTCCCCCTTGCCATCCATGTACCTGTCTGTTCCTCACTGGATGTTGCACCTGGGCCTTTTCCCCTCCATCAGCATGAACAGCCTGTCTTCCCACCCAGGCTAACCCCAGCAATCTCAGCCTTCCCCACTCCTCACAGAATTCCCTGTCTCCCTGGCCTAGGCACCTGTGCCGAAGAAGGGACAGGAAGGAGAGATCCAGTGGAATCATTTTATTTCAGTTCCCCCACCCAGACACTGGCTCAGACACTCCACCTATCATTCTGCCTCTTGGGACCTCCTTGTTCCTTACACGCCCTGAGTTGTATGGGACTGCAAAGTCGAGCCTGTGGCCCTCCCTGTGCACTCAATGGCCTTTGCAGAGAGAGCTCCTGGGCCCAGGGCTCTTGGCTGGGCCTGATCCTCTGCTTTCACCCTCACCCTTGCCCTCACGGGAGTCACGGAGCAGCCACAGGCTCCTGCACTAGTGCGAGTCCCCAGCTTAGGGCCTGCTTTGCTTCTCTTTTAGACACTCATCACTTTCGTGAACAAGCACCTGAATAAACTGAACCTGGAGGTCACAGAACTGGAAACCCAGGTGGGTGACAGACCCCAGCACAGGTAGAGGCAGGGCCCTGCCCTACAGCCCCTGTTCCAAGTGGCCCACCACACTTGGCCAGGAGGGCTTTCCCAGCTGAGGGGGATGAGGGCATGGGAATCTGTCCTACTCTGAGGGGTGGACTGAGTCTCTGTGGATTTTTTCCAACTTTTTATTATGAAAATTACAAGAATGAATACTCATATACCCTTCACTGGGATGCACCGATTGTTAATATTTGGCCACACCTCTCTCTCTTTCTCTGCACCCCTAAATGCTTGAGCATATGTCTCTCAAGAACAAGCACATTCTCTTAGGTAACCACAACACAATTATCAAAGGCAGGCAGTTTTAACATAATACATTAATCTGTTTAGATTGAATCATATGAAATTGCTGACATTCGACTGTTTTTGTTTTCTGTTTTGTTTTGTTTTTTGAGATAGAGTTTCACTCTTGTTGCCCAGGCTGGAGTGCAGTGGCAAGATCTCGGCTCACTGCAACCTCTGCCTCCCAGGTTCAAGCGATTCTCCTGCCTCAGCCTGCCAGGTAGCTGGGATTACAGGCATGCGCCACCAAGCCCGGCTAATTTTTTGTATTTAGTAGAGACGGGGTTTCACCATGTTGGTCAGGCTGGTCTCAAACTCAGACCTCAGGTGATCCACCCACCTTGGCCTCCCAAAGTGCTGGGACTATAGGCATGAGCCACCGCACCCAGCTGACTGTTCTTAACCTACTAAAATGGCAACATCATGTGGTTAGAAAAAACACTCTGTTCAGATTTTGCCAGTTGTCCAGTTTGCTCACATGCTGCATTTACTTGTCATGTCTCTTTAGTCTCTTTTTAACGTAGAACAACTCCTCGGCCTTTCTTGTTGTGGCACTGACACTTTTTGAAGTGTTCAGGCCAGTTGGTTTATAGACTGTCTTTTCTGCACATATTAGATTCAGGTCATGCATTTTCATTAACAGCACGTCCCAAGTAAGGCTGTGTTCTTCCCGGGGCATCCCAGGAGGAGGCACTCTGTCCATTAGTCCCACTGCTAGTGATAACTTGGATTATTTGGTTAGGATGGTGTTCACCGGATTTCCCTATTATAAAGTTATTTTTCCTCTCTTTATACTTAACTAATCTTTATTGGGGAGATATTTTGAGCCTGATGAATCCTGTTTCCCCACCTCCTTTCATTCTTGGTGAGCTTCTGCCTTATACTTCTCTTTCAGTCATCTGGGTACCTCCTTTTATTTTAAAGACAAATGCCAGCCTGTCGCTGAGCTCCACCTGAGTGTGTCTAGACTGTGTGAAATGAGCTTCATGTACTCTTGTAGGAAATAAGGAATGTTCTGGAAAAGTGACGCTTCCTTGAGTGAGCTAGAATGGGCCCTGGAATGATCAGCTCCGTTTTCAAGGGCAGGGAGTGCTATGACAGGGGTCACTGCCAAGCACTTTGGGTCTCTACAGTTTTATCTACTATTCCTACCAAGTCAGTGGAACCAGCCATGGGAGGTGAGGAGCAGTCTAAGCCTGGCACTCAGAGCTGTGAATGACCCCAACCCTAACCCAAGGTCACCCCTGAGCTCACAGATTGGATTCTTTTACTCCTAACTCCTTCTCACCACAGCTTGAATGAAGCCCAGTTGCTCAGCTCCCACCAGAAGGGCCTTGATTTTGACAGACTCTGGGGTCTGCTCTCCCGTGTCCACCTAGGGTGAGTCATGCTCAGGCCGTTCCCACCTGAGTTGCAGGCCTGATGGATAGAAGCTGGGAGGAGCTACCCTTTTGTTTTTGAGACAGGGTCTTACTCCTGTCATGCAGGCTAGAGTGCAGTGGCACGATCACGGCTTACTGCATCCTCAACTTCCCAGGCTCAGGTGATCCTCCCACCCCAGTCTCCTGAGCAGCTGGGACTACAGGCATGCACCAACATACCCGGTTAATTTTTTTGTATTTTTAGTACAGACAGGGTTTCACCATGTTGCCCAGGCCAGTCTGGAACTCCTGAGCTCAAGCGATCCGCCTGCCTCAGCCTCCCAAAGTGCTGCGATTACAGGCATGAGCCACCGCACTCGGCCAGAAGCTGCCTTTAAGGCAAGCGCAAGCTCAGGGTCTTGTGCCCTTAATGACGGCTGAGCCGCAGGCCGGCTAGCTGGCTACCTGGAAAGCTCTCTGAGCAGACTCTGGGCTCCTAAGGTGATTCCAAGAAATGTGGCCTTCTCTAAACCCCAGCAGCTATATACACTCATAAACATTTGGTGGCCCAGCCTCCTTTGAAAGGGTTCTAGAATGTCGGATGTGCATCTGACCTCTATGTCTTTGCTAGGCCATCCCCCCTACCTGGAACCCCCTACTCCTCCCAAGGTCCATCATCCCCGGCCTCCACAAGCCTGTCCTGAGCCCTCAGTGTATGCTCACTTCACCCAGCCCTAAGCAGAAGACCAGCAGCCTCCGCACTTAGCTGAGGGACTCTCCTGTCCCTTGGGCCTGGTTTCCCAACCCATCTGGCCTCTTCTGCCTAGGAAGGGACCGGGCTGCAAGCCTCCTGCCAGGGCCCTCAGCACATAGTTCTGCTTTTGCCAGCAAGAGCAAGTAAGTCATGTCCTGATTGCTTTGTTGTTTTCCCAGACAGTAATAGCAACATTTAATATTTATTCAATGCTACATGCCTAGCAGTTTACAGGCCCTCTCTGCATATTTAACTGGCTTAGTCCTCACGATAACTCTGTGACATAGATACTATTCTATTACCATCCCTGTTTTACAGATAAGACATATGAGTACAGAGAAGTGACATAACTTGCCCAAGGCATATAGCTAGTAGGTGAGAGAGCTGGAATTTGCACCTGGGAGGCCTGGCCCCAGAGCCCACATTCATAACAGCTGCACTCTGCTGCTGTAATACTGAAGAGAGATGGGAGAAAGAATGCCCAGCCCTGTGTGACACTAGTCCTTTCTCTGTTCAGAAAGCACAGATCTCCCCAGGAACCTCATGCCATTCACCTTGGACATCACCTCCCCCTCCTCCCTCTGTCCCACTCTAGCCAATCCTGCTCATCCTCAGCTCTCCACTCAGGCTCTGTCCCCTCCAGAAGACTCCTCTGATGCCTTCAGTGCTTGTGGGCGACCTTTCTCAACCTCACTCAGGCCAGCGAGCTTCCTTCCATCAGAGCAGCTGTGCCTTGCCCCCACACCAGTTTCCCTATTAGACTGTGTACTCCTCCAGGGCAGGAGCCACACTGACCACCCCCCACCCCCCACCCCCCACCATGCTCTGGTCCCCATGCCTAGACCAGGAGTTGGTACACAGCCTCTGTTCAGTAAATGCTGGGTCAGCTGAGATCAGGGCCTGGGCTTGTGGCTCCTGTGCCAGCCAGACGTGGGGCAGAGCAGACCTCCTTGTCTCGGGCCACTGCCCCTACCCCCGAGCTAGCAGCCTGGCTGGGGTGGTAGGCTTCAGGTGGCATAGCACAGAAGTTGATGGGCCCCCTGGATGGGGATTGGCTGGGAGGCTCAGGGGCCAGTGCCATCACCTGGCTCTTCCTCCAGTTTGCAGATGGGGTGTACCTGGTGCTGCTCATGGGGCTCCTGGAGGGCTACTTTGTGCCCCTGCACAGCTTCTTCCTGACCCCGGACAGCTTTGAACAGAAGGTAAGGAGAAGGGACATCAAGGGAGGCCCCCTAGCCCACATCCCCTGACTCATGTGCCCACACCCATGCTGGGGCTATCCAGAAAAAAGGCAGAAGCTTCCCCTCTGCTCAACGTCTTCAGTGCCTGGAGGTGGGACCCATTATAAGAGCTGAGCTGGGAAGGAGCTACCTGCAGACCACTGGGCATCCCTGACTGCCTTTCCCTTGCCCTGAAGCCTGGCCCGGGTCCCCTGCCCTGTGTCCCTGTCAAGTGCCCCAGCCCAGCCTCCTCTCTCCCCAGAGATGACAAGGAAAGTGACTGTGAAGCTGGTCAGCCCTGAGGCTCATGCTTAGCCTGGTTCTGATGGCCTCTCGTAGGCTGCCACATCCTGCTCGCTACACAAAGGCATTTGACCAGAAAGCCTGCTCTGCCTGTTGAACATGTCCTGCCATCTGATTCTTCCAGACGTGTGCACTGACACCCCCAATTTGAAGTCCTGGCAGTTTACACAGGAACACAGTAGGATATGAAGGGAGTTTTGTGCTTCTCCAGGAGTGCTTCTCCCAACAGCAAGCTAGGATCAGCTAGCTCACGCTCCAGGTGGCCTGCCCATTTTGGTAGCCATATTTCTCCTTGAAATTAGTTCAGCCTCTGTCCCTCTGGCTACAGTGCTGGGCTCCTTCACTTCCCAGGGCCAGGTCCTGGGGCTCCTGGGTGTGCAATGGTACATGCTGTCTGCATCTCTCTTGCCAGGTCTTGAATGTCTCCTTTGCCTTTGAGCTCATGCAAGATGGAGGGTTGGAAAAGCCAAAACCGCGGCCAGAAGGTACTTTGCTCTTTCCTGGGTTTGTGACAACAGAGTGAGACCCTCTCCCTGCACATGAGTACTCAGATTTTGTAGCAGAGGGAAGCATTTTCTGAAGCCTTCGTTGCTGGGGAAGGTGGGACTCGGTGCAGCTGCTCAGTCCCAGAGACCCTTTGTGAGCTGCCAGCTGCACAGCCAGGGGAAGAAAAGAATCTGAAATCCCACACATGCCATGCGTGGGATCGCGGGGATCAGGGACCGAGCAGAACTGCTGCTGCAGGAACTGCCCTGTGCCCAATTTCCAGGTTTTCCTGTCCCTGCACAGGGTGCTGACCTGCCAAAGAGCTGTGTCCCCGCCAGTCGGGGTGAAGGTGCAGCGCAGACAGTTCTGGGCTGAGCAAAACTGCTTCTCTCCTTACAGATGCGGAGCTCTGCCTGCTCAGACTCTGTCTGAGGACAGGCCATGATTTGTGGGGTTTGGGTTGTAAATATAAGTCTGAGGGGAAATGCAGAAGGGACAAGTGCTTCTGCAGCCCCTGCATACTCCTGCTAGGAGTGCACACGTGCATTCGTGAGCAGAGGAGGCACGCTTCTCTTAGTAGTCTTGGTACGGATGATTGCTTTCTGCCCCTTACTGACTGAAGTATTCCATTTCACCAGAGCTGGCAGGTCACCACTGTGTTGCAGATAATCTCCTGCATATGTCCCCTGGGAACACTGAGAATGCCATCTGTGGCCCTTTTGCTCGCACTTTTCTGGTAGTTTATAGGCAAGTGGATGAGTAGGAATGGTGGGCTCTCATGCCCCCTTCCTGCCTCTGCTCTGAGCTCCTCTATCCAAACCCCCACCTAGTGGGGGCCATGCCCTGGTCTAGTGGGCTTGAGACCCTGTAGACCATGATATAACAAGAGGGGTAAGACCTTCCTGAACCTCAAGGCACGTGTAGCCAACCAGGGAAGAGAAAAGTTGGAGCCAGTTAGCAAAATGAAATGACAGTCATGGGAACTGTTACGAAAGAGGTACAAGGAAGAGTCTGTGAGGACTGAGGAGGTGATACCACTTCTGTCTTGGGGGAGGAACAGTTTGATGGAGACAGTGGGGCTCAACCATAAGGACCAGGTAGGGCTTTGGTGTATGGAGACTGGGAGAGAAGTGTGTGCATGCCAGACAGAATGACAGCATGAGCAAAAGTCCCCCCGGGGAAGAATGGGGACCCTGTCTCATGACTCCTTCCAGACTCGTTATCTATTGACTCTAGCCAACAAAGGTCAACTCCTGTTCTCATTTATTACCACCTTGTCCTAAGCCCCTGGTCAACTGAGACCTGGGGGAGGACCTCTAGCAAGGCTGGTGTCCCCCTGGGGCTCTCTCTTTGGCAAGGCCACTCCAGCCTTCCTAATGCCATTAGGAATGGACTCTTCTTGTTCTGTGGGCAGATGATGAGCACCCTGCTTCTGGGAGGACAGACACAGTGAGAAAGTTCCGACCATCATTTTGCTTCCACTTTCTTCAACCACTTAATATGAAACTTCCTGGTTACAGATTGGAAGTACTTCTGCTATTTTAGAATTGGGATATTTCTTTCCCTTGGGACAGATAATTTTCCCAATATAAATCAATCTATGGGAATATTTTGGAATATAGGTGATATTTTTATGCAATTATTAAGTTGCTGAATGTGAAACTAACAGACTGATGTGGATGGAAAAACACGTGTTTTATTTGTTATGACACAGGGCATTATGCCCATGCTGCAAATTTCCAGTACGTAAAGGGGAATGGAAATAGCATTTTATGAAATTGTACTTTGAAAGAAGTGAATCCCAGCATTCCGTCTGGTTTTTATGCTTCTACCTGGAAAGTGAGATTTGGAAGTAAATGATGCAGACATTTCAAAGGGTGCCAATGTGGGTAATTCTTTGAGGGCATTTCAAAATCAAACTGGTTGTGGTGGAGGCATTTTTCATGGCAACATGTTTTTAAGGTCAGGAAAATGCATTCTCTGCTGTGCTGTTTAACACTCAAAGCTCTGTTGTGCCTTGAAATCCCCTAGAAACTGGGTTTGTATCTGAGATGACTTGCTGCCCAGGCTTCATGACCGTTTAGTGCCTGAGTTAGTGTAAGCCAAGGGTTAGCATCAAGTTCCTAACCAGTGGAGCAGTCGAAATAATGGCCAGGCATGGAAGCTCACACCTGTAATCCCAACACTTTGGGAGGCCAAGGTGGGCAGACGGCTTGAGCTCAGGAGTTTGAGACCAGCCTGGGCAACATAGTGAGACCCCACCTGTACAAAAAATACAAAAAAATTAGCCAGGTGTAGTGGTGCATGCCTGTGGTCCCAGCTCCTCGGGAGGCTGAGGTGGAAGGGATCGCTTGAGCCTGGGAGGCGGAAGTTGCACCACTGCACTCCAGCCTGGGCAACAAAGTGAGACCCTGTCTCAAAGAAAGGAAAAAAGGAAAGAAAAAGAAATATTGTCATGCAGCTGGCAGCTTTTTATTTAGGGCATCGTGCCACATGTCTTCAAATGCACATGTCCACCCTGTTATCACCTTTCAAGTAGACTCATCATCAATTATGGTTAAGACTCCAGAATAACAGGCAGGCAGGGACTCAGAAGACATCTAGTACCAGGCAGGATTGAAGTCTGTAGGACTAAATATCTAAAATTTAAGGAGTCTCATACCTGGGACCAGATGGCAAGCAATGCTGAAAAACCAAGCAGGTTATGGCAGCTTAGTTCCAGGTGATCACTTCATTTGGGGAAGACTTGGTCAGTGGCTGATAACATGGAAAATGTTCAACTCCCCCATTCCCCTAGGAGATAGTGTACAGAAGCCAATGGTGACAAACATTTAAAACTCTAATCATACCAAGTGTTAGCAAGGATGTAGAGCAACAGAAACTGCTGGTGTTCTAAATTGCTAGAACCATTTTATTTTTATTCAGTCCCTATTTAGCCGAAAGTAGAAAACAGTTTGTTCTCATCTAACATAGTTGAAGATTTGTAATACGCTATAAAATAATGTGGTAGACACCCCCTGCCAAAATAATGTGGTCTCCACCCCTGGCCAAAAACGTCCAGGTCCTAATCCTCGGTACCTGTTCATGTGTTATCTTACATGGCAAAAGGGACTTTGCAGATGTGATTAAATTTAGGGTCTTGAGATGATGACATTATCTAGGTGGTCCCAATGTCATCACAGGGGTCCTTATTATAAGTCGAAGTGGGAGGCAGGAGTGTGAGGGTGATGTAGCATAAGAAAGGCTCACCCAACCATTGCTGGCTTTGGGGATGGAAGAGGTCTATGAGCCAGAGAATGCAGGCAACCCCAGAGGGTTAGAACATGAGTAACTAACTGCCTTATGGCCACCTAACTTATTCCATCCCCCACTTGGAAAGAACAAGTGTAACGATCTCCATTTCGAGCCTCCAGAAAAAAATGCAGCTGTGCTGACACCGTGATTTTATCTCAGTGAGATGGATTTGGGGCTTTTGATTTCTAGAATTCAGAGATAATACATTTATGTTGTTTTTAGGCCACCAAATGTGTGCTAATTTACTACAGCAGTAATAGGAAGTTAGCACACTCCTTGACTTAGCAATTCCATTCATAGGTACGTATGTCCATACACCAGGAGACAAGCCCAAGAATACCCATGATAGCATAGGCTGGAGTGTACATCCCAGTAGACTAGCTACATAAATTGAAGCATATTCATATCATGGATTATAATACAACCATGACAATAAAAAAGACTGAACTGAGAAGTCAGGGCAGGAACTTCTAGTTACTGTAGCCTGAAGAGATCAGTGACTATTCTCTGCAAAAAAGCAAGTGTAAAACTGGACAAAAATCATCAAAACAATGATTTTGAAGCACTGAAAACCTACCAGAGGTAGACAACAAATCAAGAGCTTTATTCTTTTTTTTTTTTTTTTTCTTGAGACGGAGTTTCGCTCTCCAGGCTGGAGTGCAATGGCGTGGTCTCGGCTCACTGGAACCTTCCCCTCCCAGGTTCAAGAGATTCTCCTGCCTCAGCCTCCCAAGTAGCTGGGATTACAGGCTGCCACCACCACACCCAGCTAATTTTTGTATTTTTAGTAGAGACGGGGTTTCACCATGTTGGCCAGGCTGGTCTTGAACTCCTGATCTCAGGTGATCCGCCTGCCTCGGCTTCCCAAAGTGCTGGGATTACAGGCGTGAGCCACCCTGCCCGGCCAAGAAGCTTTATCCTTGAACAATTATAGAATTATAGTTGGATAATTATAGCTATACCTCAGTAAAACTGTTAAAAAAAAAAAAACAGACAGCTCATGTAACAACATAGATGAATCCTGTGAAATACAAAAAGAGGCAACATTTGAAGCTACTGTTCAAGGGCACGTATGTTGATGCTAGGACTGGTAAGAAAAGCAAGGAAGTAATCATAAGTGTCAGCACAGTGGTTATATTTGGGGAATGAGAGAGGGAATGTAGAAGGGGGAGGGGATGCTTCTAGGATACTGACAATGTTCTATTTTTGACGGGCAGGAGTTCATTTTCAAATATTTAAAACAGTACATATATGTTGCATGGGTTTTTTTCTGGATGTATGTCATATTTAAAAAAAATTTTTAATGACTTAAAAGTTTTTAAAAATAAATAAAGCAAATGGCAAACTCACCACCAGATAGGGCAGTAGGTCACCACGAAAAGGAGCATCTGTACAGCATGGATCCTGCCCCGGTGGGGAATAGAGAGCAGGTAGAGATGCGAGACAGGATGAGATAGAGGCGCAGGGAGGTCGGCTGGGGGCTAGAGCATAAGTAACCACCTAGTGGCCACCTAACTGATTCCAGCCCCCACCAGCTGCCAGCCCTGAGCCAGCAGGGGCCTCCCACCTTGGTCAAGGGGTTCAGAGACCGTGGGGGAAGGCTTCGGAGAAGGGCCTTCAGCAGTGCCTTGGGATGAAGGAAACTGTGGTGTCACAAATGGCCACAGAGGGCCTTGTCCCTTTGTGCAAAGACAGTTTCTGCTGGGAAGAGAGTTCCTCTCTTTCCTTTGGCCTCTGCATCCTTTAGAGATTCATGAACTCATTTTCGATGGTCCTCTCCTGATAGAAAGAGTCACTAATACCTCTGGGGGGGAGGAGCAAACAATGAGCCCTTTCCCCTTGGCCAGAAGCTGTTTTATCTCTAGAGCCACCTCTTCCTTGGCCCCAGGCTGTCAGACAGCCTCTGTTCTGGTGTATCTGACCAGAAGCCCCATAGTCCTGGCTGTCTGCCTCCAGAGAGGGGCCCTGGGCCAGCACACAGAGGCTATCAGAACTGAACTGAGTTGCTAATCACACAATTTATGAGAACAGGGCTTTGACGTGGCTCTGTTTATACAGCATGAAGTTACAATATATTCCCAGGAATCCAC
Organism: Homo sapiens; assembly: GCF_000001405.40. NCBI lineage: Eukaryota > Metazoa > Chordata > Mammalia > Primates > Hominidae > Homo > Homo sapiens. The sequence goes on from NC_000011.10 coordinate 12,523,903, forward strand.
AGCCCTTCTCCTGGCTGAGATAGTCCAGTCTCCTTTTGGCCTACTAGTCTGCCTGGGACTACCTGGGGGCCCAGGTCTTGGCTTTCTTGATAAGAACAGGTGATAAGTGATAGGCAGTGTCTCTGACTGCTGTCTCCCCTATTCACCCGGCCCATCTGTTGGCGTTAGTGGTGAAGGTGGTGAAGAAGCAACTCAGTTTTCCAAGGAGCAGGGCTTAGTCCACGTGAATGATGCAGGCATTGTGCAGTGCACAGACTGCACGGCTATACATAGCAGCTCTGCTAATGGGCAAAGATGGGAAAACAGAAAGAAAACTACCATTTAGGGGACCCTTAATATATTCTGGGTGTTTTTCATAAAGGTATTGCCCAATTTTACCAGTGAGAAAACTGATTCAGAGAATTTAAGTGACTGCCAGGGTCACACAGCTGTAGTGGAGATGGACTTCAAACTTCTGTGAACATAAAAATGTCACTTAGTAACCATTAAAATGGCCAGTTTAAAACATTCTCCCATATTGGACATTTTCTTTTTCTAGCAACCTCAGAACTCACCCACCTTTCAAAAGGGAAAACAAATCCCCCTGCCTCTATCAGTATCTGTCCTTCACCAGGCCCCCAAATTCCTCCTTTGCGACCCGTGCTCATGCCTCCACTTCTGATCTGCCCGTGCTGTTATTAACATTTTACCTCCACCTGCTCTTGGCCTTGCTCTCTCCCAAGTCACCTGCTGGGCCTATGTTCCCTGGGAACTCTTTTCAGTCCTTAACCTCCTCGCCCTCTTGGGAGCGCGTGGCCCTCTTGTCCACCCTCTCTGGAATTTTTTTCCTTGGCTTCCAAGACGGTGGGCAACCATTCATTCATGGATCTGTTAATATCCTTGGAGGGTCCATGCTCTCTGTGTTCAAGGAACCTACAGTCCAGGACAGAGGCAGATGTTAATCAATAAGCATACAAGTCACTGATTTACACCTGGAGTGAGTACTATGAAGGAAGCATGTGGGAGTTTTGAGAACATAAAACAGGACCCCTGCGCCCAGGCGGGGGTCAGGAAGGCCTCCCTCCAGGAGCCTGTGCTTTGAGCTGAGGTCTGCAGGAGGACCTAGAGCCAGCTATTTGGGAAGAGTGATCTAGATGTTGTAACAGCATAGGCGGAGGCCAAGCATGGCCCATGGGGAGGGTAGTGAAAGGAAGCCACAGTGACTGTGATACATAGTGAGGGAGGCAGTGTGGTACCAAATGAGAGTGGGAAGGTAGGCAGGTCGGGTCAGGTTACGCCTTACAAAGCCACAATTTAGGATTTTGGACCTTCTAAGGGAAATAGTTGTATGGCCATACAAGCTGTGAGCTACACAGCTCCAAGAGGCCCTGTTTACCTTGCAGTCCATGACAGTGGTGCCCTGGAAGTGTGAATGATGTGCCTTGGAGTTGTGCAGTGTACATCCTGCACAGCCATGCCTGGAGGCCTATCATAGTCTGGCTCCAGTAGGTAGAATGGTTTGGAAAGGGTAAGGGGAGCTTATTAGGAGCCTGTTGCAGGAGCTCCAGGCCCACTTTACCTTCCCCTTTACACCCAACTCCCTTGGCAAGCTCACCTTTGCCCCTCTCTGCCTTTCTAGCAGTTCCTCCCTGGAGTAACTTCCTGGTATTTGACTTGAGTAGAATTTAAGAAACACTCAACACCAAGCAGTCAGGGGAGGACAGGAATTGGCCTAGAGGGCATGGGATTCCATCTGGCAGAAGGTGATTCAGGGTGGGACTCCTGGCTCAGCATTAGCAAGGCAAGGTAGCAGGACTCAGCCTCAGGCCAGGGCCCCAGTTAGAGGCTCAGATATGTGATGAAGCACCATGGGAGCAGAAACAGAATCTGGGAGCTCCAGGCCACTCCAGGCCTCTCCATGGGTCTCTGGAAGCCCCTGGTCTATCAGTAGGAGACCTTGGGCCCAGCCAGGGTGGAGCAGGGTTGGTCTATAACCAGGATAAGGCCTGGAGGGAGCAGGCAGGAGGGGCCTTGGGGTGGGGGGAACCTAAGGAGGTTCCCCCAAGCCCTGGGCCCTAGGCCTGGAGCTTGGGGCCTGAGCATGCCAGGCTGTGGCAGTTCCAGTTGCAAGAATCCCAAGGCTAAATACAGAGTGATATAACGGACTTTAGAGACTGAGAATGGCACAGGCAGGAGCGGGCACAGGGATAAAGGAACTAATACATGTTAGGTACAATGTGCAGTACTTGGGTGATGGGCACACTAAAATCTCAGAATTCACTGCTATATAATTCATTCATGTAACAGAAAACCACTGTACCCCAAAAGCTATTGAAATAAAAAATAAAATCTTTTTTTTTAAAAGTCCCAAGGCTAAGACCTGGGAGCCCCTGGCTCCCCACTCTGCCTACTCTTGAAGGATCCCTGTGGGTATTGACCAGAGCATTGCTAGAATCCTGACACCTTCCCCCACCCCTTCTTTCCCAGTGGCTTGGTGTAATTTCTCCCATCTTTGAATCCCAGGGCATTTATTACCTTCTCTTAATCACCTACTTCATCTGACCTCCCATACAGTTGTTTTTTAATCATTTTTATTGTGAAAAATATCACATATACAGAAAGGTGCATGAAACATAAATGTACAGGTTAGTGAACTTTTACCAAGCGAGCCAGCACGCAGCCACCACCCAGGACAAAGAAAAAAGTAATGCCGGCTCCCAAGAGCTCCCTTCAACTTGCCCTGCATCCTTTTTGAACATAACCTCTCCCTTCTCCCTAAAGGTAACCACTATTCTGAGTCCAGTCATCAAGGTTTTGCCTTGTTTTTGCTTTTCTTTATAATTTTATTACCTAAGTATGCATTCCTCAATAGTAGACGGAGTTCCATTTTTTTGTTTGTTTTCTCTTCTCCCACTCTTCAAAGGTTGGCTTTCTAGGAGAGTGACAGCAGAGGGACAAGAGCAGAGAGGGGGTCTTGTTGGGGGAGGGAGGAAGGTAGAGGAGCCAGCAGAGGGTTAGAGGAACAGCCAGAGAAGGTGGTGACCAGTAAATAGATGGATGAAGGGAGGAAGGGCTAAGCACAGTGTGTCAGTGAGTCATAGCTAGCCTGCCAGCTGCCAGTTTCCAGCCTCTAGCCTACAAAATCATGCAAGCTCTGTAACTTGGAATTCAAGGCCTTTCGGGATCCAGCCCCATACACCCCAACCTCTCTAGCCATGCTGGCCTATTGGGAATTCTCCAGCATAGCTGGGTTTAGTAAGATACACTAAACTTTCCACATGGAATTCTTTGCCCACTTCTGTACCTGGAAAGCTCCTATTGCAAAGGAAGGAAGGCAAAGAGGGAGGATGGGAAGATCCGGGGGCACGGAAGAAGGGAGGAATAGAGGGAGGGAAGGAGGATGGGAGGATCAGAGGAAAGGAGGGAGGGAGGGAGGAAGTGAGCGAGAGAGGGAATGGTAGCATAGAAGCTGAGGAACCTCCAGCTGAAGTTTTAGCACCTCAAACCCTTCTGCCATGCTGTATTCTTAATCGGAACCTGTCTGTCCCCCATGACGCCTATTTCCTGAGTACTCCTTGCAAGTCCCCCTTCTCTGCTAGGCAAGCTTCTGTGAGGCAGCTTGAGTCCTAATGCACCCCCTGGTCTTCCACTGCAGCCCCAGGCCTTCCCCTCCTTTTCACCACCCATGGTTGGTTCTATGATGGAGGTTGGAGGCAGTGGGCAAAGAGCCCCTGGGACAGGTGGGGATTGTGGGGAGGGTCAGGCCTTCTTATCTGGAGATGCTGTGCCCCAGCACCTCTACCCTCACTGCCCCCTGCTCTGAATTCTCGCTGCCCACTCTACCCATCTGCCCCGAACATGCTGGGTACATGGGATTGGGTGGTGGGTGGAAGGGAGGGGCAGTGTATGCCAGCTTTGGAACATGTGGCCCCATGGAAACAATTGGTGTTTTTTGTTTTCTACGCAGACATAGTCAACTGTGACCTGAAATCTACACTACGAGTGTTGTACAACCTCTTCACCAAGTACCGTAACGTGGAGTGAGGGGCTGCCCTGGGCCCACCACTGCCCAAGAGTTCTTGCTGTTGGCGTACTGGACCCTCCTCCGAACTGCCTTACCCTGCTTATTCCTGTCTCTTGCACTGTGCTCTCCCACAAGTCCAGCTGCAACCCAGAGATAGTGGAAACTGAAATTAGGAAGGAAATCATCAATAACTCAGTGGGCTGACCCATCCCTCCCAGGCGCTGGGGACCAACCTAGCAATGAAGGTTGGGAAGGTTGTTCCCTTCCCGGTGCCAGGTCCAGATTTCCCTCCATGATTTGGGAACCAGCTTAGGCAAAAGAGTCCCCACAAGATGAAAATAAAGATCCTAGTTACCATTCAAAGGATGCTAACTGTGTGTCAGGCCCCACACTAAGTGCTCTGCTCTGATATACTCAAGGCCATTAATCTTCAGGACTCCCATTGACGTAGGTGTTTCATTCCCCTTTTACAGATGAGGAAACTAAGGCTTGGAGGTTAAATGACTTGCCAGAAGTTGGAATTTTTTTCCTCTTTGAACATAACCTCTCCCTTCTCCCTAAAGGTAACCACTATTCTGAGTCCAATCATCAAGGTTTTGCTTTTCTTTTTAGCTAAGTATGCATTCCTCAATAGTAGACAGTACAACATGTTTATAACAAGCCAATTACATTATGTTCTTTGCATGTTCTAAAGTTGTGTATGTGTGTGCACATCTGAGCACGTGCACATGTACACCTGAGCCAAAAACACGAGAACCCACTGATCTCACCACTGGGGCAAGCTAGGTCAGAGCTTAGTGATTCACACTGAAATTGGCAAATTGGATTTAACCCAATTAATAGTGTGTGTGTGGCAGGAGTCATGTCCCTCACATCCTTTGTACAAATGAAAATTACTCTTAATTCCTTCAGATTTATAATAACTCTGTACTTTGGTTTCAGGGTGACATTTGGGAAGGATTTTGTTTAGAATTAATGGAGTGGCACATTTTGCAGCCTTTTTGCTTGATTGCATGTAATGGAAATGCCCTATATTTTCCTGCAAAATAAGTACTAAATTCATTATCGTTAAGCAAATGTACAATATGCTCAGGCACCGCAGAGAGCTGGGCACGGGCCCATGTGAGCATCACTTTGGAAGTAGGGCTCTTCAACAGGGACCCTTGAACTTTAAAGAAAGGAACTTCTTTTTGCCTTCTAATTGATCATTTAGACTATTCTGGCTAAGTCTGCCCACATGTAATTACCGGCTAATTCAAGCGAGGAAAAATGTAAGTCATTTAGACCAAAGCCAAGCAGTTTCTTTGCGTGGGTTACTCAAGGGCTTGTGGTTACTTGTATCTCCTCTATGTGAACTTGACTTTGAAAGACAGAGCTCTAGTGTGCCAGCCTGCTAAGTCCTGTAAGAATAGGGAAGGGCGGAGGGGGGTGGGCAGTGACTAGGGGACGAGAAGCATGGGGAAAATATTTGCACTCTAAACATACAGAGATAGAGGTGGGGCTTGTGGTACTTAACACTTGTAGCCATCAACTGACTGAGACCTTGGGCTAAATAATCAATTGTGCTGATATTACATCTCGTTATGGAATGTTCCTAAATATGCCAGGTAGACACCAGCCCAAGTACCCTCCTCCAGAAGTCTGTGACTACCTTGTCACTACTTTAGGCCCATTCCACAAAGCCCATCTCTGGTTTGAGAATTCATTTTGATCTGTATCTACACCACCCAAAGTTAGGCCTCCTATAATGTCCAAAACATTCCTTTCAGCCTTTTTATTTCTTACTGTACTGTCTCTTACTGTACTGTCTATCTGCAGTAATTGAGGACCCATAAAATTTAGATAACTACATGTCTTTGCTCTTAGAATTGTCACTCAGCATAATGAGCATTTAACATACAAAGGCAATGTACTGTTTTGTGTTGATCTATGTAAAAGAATACAATTCTTTTTTACATAATTAGTGAAATTTTATTTTTTATTAGGAAACACTAAATAGTGTAATATTTCTTTTGCTTTTAAAAAAATTCCTGGTAGCAAATCAAGATAAATAATTGCTTCATTTTCTTGAGCAATACTGAAGCAGGATGAAGTAAGAGGAATGCATTCATTTAAACATGCTTTGCTTTATGAATTTTGTCTCTTTTTTGGTCTCTTTTTCTTATATTCAAGTTACAAATGTACAAGTATCCTTACTAAGAGTGCTCCTTTTGTATTTTACATATATACAGTATGAAAATACATTGGAACACTAGGAAAGTTTTTAAATAACAGTTCTAATTTATCAGAAAATTGTGTTTTGGGATTGAGTTCTTTGTCTCAGCCCAGAATCCCAGGTCCTGGGCCTGGTTTTCTAATGCTGTCATCTCAGTTCGATATTTTACTTTAGAACCTGGAATCTCCTACTTAATATATGACCATGACTTTGAAAGGCAAAAGAGGAATCAAGAATAAATAAAACAAACTTAATCTTCATCTTTAAAAAAAAGAAAAAAGAAACCAAAATGAGAATCAACACTTCATAGGCTCACTGGGTTTTCTTTTCTTTTCTGTTAATTTAAACTCAGTTATTTTTAATGCTTAATACATACATGGTGCAAAATTTAAAAAGCGCAAATAGGTATCTAGTGGAAAACCTAAGCCTCCCTCTCTCCTCCGGCACCCATTACCTCTCCCTGGAGGCAACTGTTTTGATCCATTTCTTACACACACTGCCAGAGATACTCTAGGCATGTAAAGCACAAACATACATATAAAATCTGCGGGCTTCAAAAAATATAAGTAGGATGTCATCTATACTGTCATACACTTTGTTTTTTATCACTTAATGTTATATCTTGGATATTGTATTACCCTGGGTATTAAAAAGAACTCCTTTCACATTTTAAAATAACAATCTGAGCACTTCATAAATCCAAATGCGTATCTCCAGTCTGCTCGAGCTAGGAAAGGAAAAAAGCCCTAGCCGAAGGAGGAAAGGCTGCCTAGACAATGATTTCAAAAGTAGAGTCTAAAACCTATGGGGTGCAGGACCAGAGGCTGGGGCACATTATCAGAGGCATCCTCATGTGCCTCGAACCGAATGTTTTTAAGTCCTCTTTTGGAACCTTATGGTGAATTGTATGCAGATTGATGAAGGTTTCATTTTTATATATTACCAGGACTACGAATTTGTAATCCACTAAGCATCACAAAGGTTACTACATACGCTATAATACTGTACTATAAAGTCTAGCTGCCAGCAATGCAGTGCTCGCCTGCTATATTAGAAGGCTCCAGTTTCACATGTGCAGGCACAGAGATGACATTTCCCGATCTGGGAGAAGGCTTCTTTATCAGCACATCATCAGTGTTGCCTCGAGTTGGTTGCAATTTTCAATTGCTGCTATTGGTGCTTTTTAATTATGAATTACTGTTAGCTTGCATTATCATCAGTTTGTTTTGTTGTGGGTTGCTTGGTTAACCCTACAGAGTATACTTGAAGCTTATTTGCATCAACAGTATTCTGGAGCTGTAATTTTTCAATAACTAGACTCTGAGACATGTATACATTGTGGTTCAAATAGGAATCATCCATAGTCCAGTGCTAGAACAAATGTATACATAATCCACTCCCCACAAATTATCACTCATTTATTTTTCCACTGGAAAATAAGACTAGATGGAGTCGGTAGGTGAAACAGTTTTGCCGTGCCTAAGTGGAGGCTGATCAAAACTAATTTGAGATCCGCTGCCTTTAATAGAGCTCCACCTCAGGAATCTTACCTTTATAATACATCCTAGATAGGCAAGAGGGATATGTCCTGAAATCTTCACTAATTCCAAGATTGCGTGTCATTTCCCCCAAAAATTTGCTTAACTCTATTGGAAAATCCAAGAGAATTGCTGCAGCTGCTGAAAACAAGAGAGCTGCATTAAGCTGCAAGGCCGGGTAGGGTAGGTAGACTGACTCACCACCTATGGGACCTGCCTCCACACATCAGCTTCCCAAATACTTGCAGATTTGGGTCTTACCAAAAGAAAAGTCAGTATGAGTTACTCACAATCCTAACTACAAAGGCTACATTTACAAATACCAGAGTTTCGACTGTGTTTTTACTCTCTGCTCCCTGAAAACTGTAACCCCAGGCTAGCTCCAAACTCTGCTTATAGCCCATGCTTTACTACAGTGGTGGTCGCATATGTGAACGTGTGCATGCGTGTTCACGTGTTCATGACAACAGCAATGCAGCCATGAGGGTGCTGCCCCCAAACCAAGCCTGATGACCTTGAGAACCTCAGGCTTCCCAGTAGGATCCTGCAAGAAAGCATCTCTTAAAAATAAATTCTACAGGATATTAGTAAATGTTAGATGAAAAAAAAAGTCACGTTTAAATATGTTTAGGAAACATGAGGTGAAGAAAGTTAGCTTACTGACGCTTTTTGTTTTCTAGTTGGAGCGCACCTCAGAGTCCCCTACATAATGCGTATTAGGACTTTCTAAGGGAAGACGGGGTACGATGGGTCCCAATCTTGTTTGATCACAGGATGTATCTGTCCCCTGAGAAATTTCTAGGATGAGTACTCTGAACTCAGGACTTCATTTAGTCATATATTCGGCAAGTATGTGTTGAGTGCAGCATGTCCAAGGGTGAGTGAGAGATTATAGCTAGCAGGGGAGACAGATGAAAAATAACTATGAATCGACGTTAGTTACAAATTGTGACTGTCGCGATGGAGAAGTACTAAAATCTATGAAAGAGTTCTAATGTAGATTTAAGGTCATGAGAAGTCTCCGGCAAAGTGGCATTTTAAAGTAATCCCTCAGTCGTGGAGCTACTCCAATGAGAAGCCTGCCACTCCAGGGCGCACCACGGAGGAGGATCCCCAGACAAGAAGACCTGGCTCCCCAGAGGAGTGCGGAAAGCCAGCATGGCTAGAGGACACAGAATGAGGGAGAAGACGGATCCGATCGCAGGCATCGGGAGTGCTGATTTTTCTCCTTTGAAAAACAGGTTGCCATCTACCTTTTTAAATGTCCCACTGTGTAGGAAAACTCTGGGGAAAGCTACGTCAGCAATATGGAGTCTGGGGTTGCCTTTCTCATGTCATACCATGGTCCTGGCTGGGGAGCGGAGGAGACCAGGAGAGGAGATCAGACCTCTGCCCACCCCAACACCAATCTGGTCTTAGCAACCTCTGGGCATCCCATAGCTCCTCCTAACCTGCTGCTGCTGATGGACAGGAACTCCTGGACTACCCCCAGCCTCTCCACAATGTGTCCTGAGAAGAGCTAGGGGAACTGGACAGAGTGGACGAGGCTGCATGTGTGGAGGGAATGAAATAAGGGGCCTACCAGGCCAGAACGCTGATCCATGGAGACCAGTGCTTCCAGCCCTCTCACCTCGGAGGAGGACTCCTGTTTTACCAACGGCAGGAGCAGGAATCCCACCATTCAGCCTGTGGGCTTGACAAACTATAAGCAAGCCTCCTGGATGTGGAATAATACATTTTCAAAATTCATACTAATCAGCATGAACTATAACTGCTCCAATGCCCACCACATTATATAAAATCTACCAAAAGGGGGTCACTTAATGTTTCACAATGTTTGGTGAAACAACTTTCATATGAAAGTACGGTTGATCCTTGAATGATATGGGCACCGACCCCTGAGCAGCTGAAAATTTGCATGTAACTTGACTCCCCCAAAACGTAACTATAATACTAATAGCCTTACTGAACACGGTCAATTAACACATAGCTAGTATGTTATGTGCATTATATACTATATCCTTACCATACGGTAAGCTAGAGAAAAAATGTTACTAAGAAAAACATAAGCAAGAGAAAATATATTTACTATTAAGTGAAAGCAGGTCATCATAAAGTCCTCATCCTCATGGTCATCACATTGAGTAGGCGGAGGAGGAGGAGGAGGAGGAGGAGTAGGGGTTGGTCTTGCTGTCTGAGGGGTGGCAGAGGCAGAAAAAAAATCCATGGGCCGAGCACGGTGGCTCACACCTGTAATCCCAGCACTTTGGGAGGCCGAGACGGACAGATCACAAGGTCAGGAGATTGAGACTATCCTGGCTAATATGGTGAAACCCCGTCTGTACTAAAAATACAAAAAATTAGCCAGGTGTGGTGGTGCGTGCCTGTAATCCCAGCTACTCAGGGGGCTGAGGCAGAAGTATTGCTTGAACCCAGGAGGCAGAGGTTGCAATGAGCTGAGATCGCATCACTGCACTCAAGCCTGGGCAACAGAGCAAGACTGCGTCTCAAAAAAACAAAACAAAACAAAACAAAAATCCATGAACAAGTGGACCTGCCCAGTTCAAATCATTGTTGTTCAAGGGTCAATTGTATATTATTTTCACTGGAAGTTTTGAAATTCCAGAAATATGCTTGGAAATCCCCGCTTGAAATCTCCTTGGTTGGAAACCAGTCCAGTGGGTGACTGGCCCAGAATGATGCTTCTCCTCGGTGGACCCCCTGGGCTGAGCAGCCTGTGTTCCTGCCTCAACTCCCCTGAACCCTCCTGAACTTTCTACACACATGTGGGCACTGGCTTTGATACTGGCATTTGGAAGGGCACTTGGGAAATTCAGAGAAGTACCCATTATTAAGATAAATGATGTTTTATCAATGAAGCAGACTTTTCATTTCTTTTTATTGATCTTCATGTTTTCACATCTTGAGATGCAATTTGTTAGCACAGGCTGTCATTCCAAGACACACAAATGTCATTAAGGCAACCGCTTAAAGGAGTGTGATATTTTATTGAGGTAGACAGGACAATAGATAAATATTTAATCTGTTACATGTTTGCTCTGTGTGGAGCCAGGGTTGGGGCTGCACAACTCTCTGGCTGCTATGTGTCTTCCTGGAAACCCTGTCAAAGGCCTTACCGCCTGCCTGGAGAAACACAGTGCCTGCCCTTGGCAAATATATGTTGGTGTATCTGAAAAACAGCTCCTGGAAGCTTTTTCTCATTCAGGCTTTAGGGGTTACCCCATCTTTCCTTATGTGTGTAATATTGGAGAATGTACACTCTCACTGAACTGGGGATGTTTGACTTAAAATGATGGACAATAAGATAGTGAGCAGTAAGTGTGCTCTAGGCTAGGCTACGAGAGGCCATGAGCTCCTCATCTCTTCTCTGTTCTGAGCTCTCTGATCCACTGCACTTGGGGCAGGGGGTGCATTCTCTGTGCCTCTCCTGAGTCTACTTTCTGCATCATTGGTTCTCCCAGCTCACTTCCATAATGTCCTCCTAGGCTGCATTGGAATTGTGTGTTGTCTAGACCCATGGCCAAGACTGTCATTGCCTGTGAGGGAGACCAAGCTCACCACCAAGGGCTTTTGCCAGATTGCTTTCATTTACAGAATTTGCCCATTCATGTGTCTTTGTGTTTATGGATTAAATGGCTTTCTGACCAGCATCCCTTTGGTGTGCTTTGTCAATAAGATACAGAGCTTTCTCTCCCATTCTTTTCATGTGATTCCAATTCCCACATGGCAGCACAGACCCGCCCTAACACTGATGAAGTGGAACTCCAAACACCATGGGACAAGAATTCTTGTCACTGCCCTGGGCTGGACCCCAAACCTCTCACAATCAGAATGCAGTCAAGTCAGCGAATATTTGTGGAATGTCTGTTCTGTCTTCAACCCCACTCTCTGCACAAAATGGGTTGGGAAAGTCTCCGCACAAAATGGGTTGGGAAAGTCCAGGGTCTCTTCCCAAATGACTCTCCCATCTTAGTGGGGATGACAGGTGCAGCTCATTTGAGGTAATTCAATGACATGATGAGATAGCATCAGATACCACTGAGGGTCCCTAGTTAGATTCTTCCAGAAAATACCCCAGCCACAGCTGCCATGGAATCTTTGGGAGCATCTCCCTCCAGGATCAACAACTTCATTTTCCACACAGATTTGCTGCTCCAAAAATCACACAACTCACCCTAAAGCCAAACGGAGACTTGGGGTCATTCTTCTAAAGTACTACTTGTTGCTAGGAAATCACTGGCTTTATGCTACAGATTCCAGATGACCAGCAATGACCCAAAGTCCAGCCTAGGCTCTACTGCCAGCCATTTCGACTTTGTCTTCACACACAGCTTCCTTGCCTCTCTAAACTCACCGTTTGGTCATCCCCATTGGCAGGCATCTCTACTCTTGTCCCAGAACATAAAATTACTGCAGAAAATTCCAGAATGGACATGCATCAGCCAATTACTTTGTCATTTTTCAATTGCCATTGCGTGCTCCCTGGCTTCTGAGAGTCCTCTAATTCTCACGGATTGCCTTCATCTTCCATACACCTGTGCCCTACCTAATCCCCATGTCCTTCCACTTTCTCCCCGCTTATGTCTTCATCTCTTCCTTCACCAAGAAAGTCAAAGCTATTTGCTTCATGTTCTTTCCATAGCATCTCAACATCTTTTCTCACTGCCTCTCTCACTACCTCCTGCCCCAATTCTGAGGCTGCCACTTCCTCCACCTGCCTGCTCCAGGACTGACTCCCTCCTTCTCCAGCATCTTGACTTTCACTCCTAACACATACAGGTTCCATTCTCACTGCAGTTCCATCTTCTGCCCTGTTTTACTTTTTCCTTAAGGCAATTTCCTGGTCTCATACAGACCCATGCTAATTCTATTTCCTTCCTTTCTCCCTTCTTTTATGAACCCCTAGATTCTGCCTTTAATTTTCCAGAAGATAAGTTGTCCTCTGAGTTGTCAGCACTGAACCCACTGGCTGGCCCTGGCCCCACTCCCCTGCTCCACTCCTCCAGGAACTTGGCTGCCACAGCCTCAGGGGCACTGCATTTGTCCCCTTCTCACCCGCCCTCTGGCTATAGCTCTGTGTGCTCCTAGGTGGAGGTCTTTCCTCTCCCCACCCCCGAACATGGGTGTTCTCTGGAAGTGCCCTCCACACGTCTCTTCCTACATGTCCCCTGGCTTCCACCCCTGCTTGCCCTCCCTCCAACCCCAAGATCTCACCCATCCGCGTGGGCATGTCCAGCTTCACAGCATCTTTCAAGCGGGCTACCCCTTGTCCCCCTTAGCACATTCCAAACTGGATTTTTATCCTTCACCAGCCCTGCTCCTTCTTAGACATCCCTCATCTCTTCGAGAGCTACCATCTCCTTCCAGACCCACAAAGGAGTTCTACATTTTCTGCTCCCCCCAACACATCCAATCAGTTCTACCAATTGCTCCTTCATGAACCATCTGTTTTGCACTGGTCCTCTCCCTCTGTGGACCCCCAACTAGTCCCCTAATCTAGGCCTCATCCTCTCATGCCCAGATATTGCAATGACTCTTAACTAGTTGCAGGGTTTTTTTCCCCATATTTTTTTCTTTCTATGCTCTAAAATCTATCACTATATTAAGAAGTTTCTCTTTAAGCTATCCATTCTGTGTGTATTCCCTGCCAAAACTTCTGGAAACACAGCTAATTTCACATCCCTCTCAATTAATACTAACAGTTGTGTTTATTGAGCACTTACAGTGTACACTTCACACAAATAATCTCCTTTGGTCCTTTCAACAATCCTGTGAGGTAGGTTCTATTATCCCCATGTTATAGGCAAAAAATTAAAAAATAAAAAACATAATGAAGGCACAGAAAGATTTAGTGACATGATCCAGGTTCCATGTCTTGTAAGTGACAGAGCTTTGAGTCCTGGCCACGTGGCTCCAGAGTTGAGGTTCTAGCCGTTTAAACATGGTGTATCTTCAGAACCTTTGGTGGTTCCCACATTTGTTTCCTGCCAGCAGCTGTTCTCCTTTGCCTTGTTTTCAAATGGAACTCCCGAAACAACCAGGCTCTGAACTGATAAGGCTGTCACTAATTCATTTATTCTTCATTTGTTCAATAAATATTTAAACACTGCCTATGATGCCAGATGCTGCGCTAGGCATGGGAGAATCCACAGCAAACAAAACAGACATGCTCTCAGCCTCATGCGCTTATGCTCTAGTGACTTCCAAGCCTTGACACTTCCCTCTGACCCTTGATTCAGATCCAGATGGAACCAGGCTGCATCTCCTTCCAAGCTTTAGCTTGGTCTGACCCTCTCCAACAACAGTCACTGCTAGGATCCTGTTACTTCCTCCTCCGGTTGTGCCTTGCATAACCTGTGTGCTGCCAGAGCCTAGGGTGTTCCAAGAGAGACACATGCTCCGGCTGCCAACCCCCTTTCTGCTCAGGAGACCGCAACTCAGTGATGATCTCCAGTGGAAAAAGACAGACTTGAAATAAATTCTTGTTGGACTCCAGCCATGTACCATGCACAGAAACCTATCCATCATGTAGATGCTAACCTGTCAGGTAGGTGCTATAGTTACCCATTTTACAGAAGAGAAAACAGAGGTTCGCCAGCTGGCTTCAAATCTAGCTCTGTCTGACTCTGAAGTCTTCATTCTCTCCAGGATGTCCTGCTGCCTCCACATTCCTTTAACCCTGGCTCCCCAACACCACACAGGCTAGAGGTGAGGTCATGATCAGTGTCAACGAGGTTTGATTCCAACTGTGAATCAAAATTCCTTTTACCATCACAAATACTGTTTCCTCTTGACTTTATGTATTTATCTAGTTAATTGACGGAGGGGGAGTGGTGGGGCTTTTCTTAACTGATTGCAGGAAACTCTGAAATTAAACAAAGAGGTTTATCCGAACTCTGAAGTTGTTCCATTTCTGTTTGTTTTTAGAGACAGGGTCTCACTCTATCACCCAAGCTAGAGTGCAGTGGTACAACCATAGCTCACTGCAGCCTCAAACTCTTGGCCTCAAGCAATCCTCCTGCCTCAGCCTCCCAAACAGCTAGGACTCGAGGCACATGCCACCCTACTTGTCTAATTCTTTATTTCTATTTTGTAGAGACAGAGTCTATGTTGCTAGGCTGGTCTTGAACTCCTGGCCTGAGCCTCCCAAAGCACTAGAATTATAAGTGCCAGCCTTGAAGTATTCTTTTAAGGGTATGCTCTGTGTCTTTTTATGCGAAACACTTGGTTATTTGGAGTACTCTGGGAAGAGGCACAGGTATGAATGCCTGAGGAAGCCTCACTTCCTCTCCAACAAACAAGTGGCCTGTCTCTGCCCTTGTGGGGACTTGGGGGGCTGTCCTCCTCTGGGTAGAAAGCTAGAGGCAGGTTGAGCTCCCGGCTTCTGGACTGGAGTTGGGGGGAGAGGGAAGGACATGGGTGGTACAGAGGCTGGAGTCTGCAGCACCACCCCAGCTGACCAGTGCTGGGCCCAGGGAAATAGCCAGGCTTGCTGAGGTCTCATAGGCAGGAACACACAAGCTGGTCACAGTTCAGGCAGGTGTACAGGGAAAGGAGGATTCCAGCAGGTAGGGCTAAGCGACAGGCAGCAAGCAGGGCTTGAGATCAGGGGAGATGGCACCACACAGAGGGGGCTGGCCCAGTCTGCCAGCCTCAGACAGGGGACCAGCTGGAATTAGTAGTGGGCTTTTTGAGTCCCATTGGGCAATTGCTGTGCAGGGCAGGTGAAGGCAGGAGCTTAGGCCCGTGAGAGGGATGAGAGAGCCAGGGAGGAGGGTGCTGTCATCAAACAATGTCCAGGTGCTCCAGGTAGATACTAGGTCTTTAATAACAGAACTTTTCCAGGGCTGTTGAGTTATTGCCTGCCTGTGAACCTCTACCTCCCCACACTGCACATCAGCAGATTGGTTCCTGAGACTGTGGCTGGGAACACCAGTAGACCCAGAGACAGGGGACTGAAAAAGCAAGATGACAGCAATCCTGACTTACGGCCTACTTGAGCCCAGAGCCCTGCCTGGAAGCACACGGCTCCACTGGCACAGCCTGTGCCCATATGTGAATAGACTTTACTGAAAGGCTCTGCTTCCTCCATTCGTGACTCAGCTTTACTCACACTGGCTGTTTCAAAAGTTGAAGATGTACATCAATGCATGTTTATAATAAGCCTATGAGATCATTTTACAAAATCAAATTCCAGGGACTGAGAGAAAACAAGTCACAGGCAGCAAGTTTCTTCTCTTGGATTTTCCCAATGTGAAAATCTGCAGTCAGGTTACACTGCTAGAGACTCGACTCAGGGGAAGCCCAGGGGAGAGAGTGCAAGCACATTTTATTAGGATAGCCAGAACCCCTGAAAACTTTGATTTAGGGGCAAAGGGCCTATGTTCAAGCCTGGCATTTGCTAGCTGTCTGATACTGGGCAAATCACTGTACCTCTGAGCCTCTCCGTCGGTAGTGAGGATGTAAGGGGGGCTTGTCACTTGTTGAATCCTGGTTTGATTTTGCCTGGCTCAGAAGTGTCTCCCACCCCGCCATCTTCAGGCCTCTCTCCTGAACCTATGCTCCAACTATGAGAGTAATCATCCCACACCGAGGAGGGCCACTCCACAACCCAGGGCTGGTGAAGAGGCTCAACAATAGTGTGGCTATGGACACTCTGTAAACCTGAAAGCTCCACAGCAGTAGGGGTTCCTAGTGCTACCGTTATTCCTGCAAGCCTTAGGCCAGGGTTGGCAAATAGTACCATGCTTCCTCTGCTCCTCACATATCTATGGCAGACATTACTAATCAACCCAGCACTCTCCCCATTGCCTTTTGACTAGTGATGTCTTTGGGAGAGTGGGAGGGAGACAGGAATATTACAAGGAAAGCTGCTTGCCATTGTAGCCTTGTACAAATTTTATAGCTCAGGATGCCAATACAAGGCTCCAAATAAATTCTTAATGCCCACTCCTGGACCAATCAGTTATGATTGGGGATGGGGCAGGAGGTAAAATATATAGAAAGATAGTAGCTACCACTCAAACTACATATTTACCAGAAGGCAGCATGTTTATCTGCTCAAGATGTTCTGTTTTTAGCCTCCAGAAAAGCCACGTCCCTAGGTTCTGAGGGTAGTACCAAGTCCATGTTAGAGATGAGCAAAGAAGCCCAGATAGGTTAAGTGGAGTGGCCAAAATAACCCTGTAGAAAGGGGTAGAACTGTCTGACTCCAGCTTCCAAGCATCTTACCTTTAGGCAGGAAGGCAAGGGTTCCAAACACCCACGCATTCCCCAGGCAAGCTCACCAAGGCCCACTGACCCCAGCAGCCAGAGGACAGCCCTGAAAAGTGAGGGGCGGGAGTCCTTGGCTATGTTCTAAGAACTGAGAGAAGCATTCACAATGAAATCCAGAAGGCTCTTTGGAGAAGTCTGCAGTTTTGGAACAATCCTGCTAAGTCATAGATGCTTTGAATTCCTTAGCTTTTGCCTTCAGAATTCCTGGCAGCTGCAGACAGTGGATGAGTATTCGTGGACAGACACTGATTTCTCCCCTGCTGGCGAAGGCCAGGGCAGGCCAGGTCCAAGACTGAGAAGCCAGCAGACTGAATCTCCACTCTAGAGAAGTCTAGAAGCAGGAAGGGCTTGTGCAGTGGATGCTGTGGTACCCCCTGCCCAGGTGGCCCTGAGGGCCAAGGCACTCATTCTTCCCTCTCTCCCTACCCTCCACACCCCCAGCTGCCTCCCACTGCATGATAGGCCCTGCTGAAGAAAGATGTGAGCCTATCTCCAAGATGACACGCCCTTGCATGGGCACCCAAGGACTGGTCGGTGCACACAGTCAGTGCATACACTTTCTTCCATCTGGACATCTCTGAAGGGAAGAGGCTCTTTCAAGATCCTCCCTCCAGCCCCAGAGCTCCAGGTAGGAGCAGTTGAGGCCACCCTCACTGCATATCACAGCCTAGCTCCTCACCCTGAGCTCTCGCTCCCTCACTGGTGTTGTTCCTGGGCTCACTCCCCAGTAAGCCACCTGCTCATATACCTCCATCTCAGAACCTGCCTCCCTGAGACCAGAACGGGGGCTGCTTGAAAAGAAAAGAGAAAGAAGAATCCTGGAGGTGGGACGCTCAGCGTTCTTAGAAATAATCGCATCTAGCCCCACCACTGCAGAGGGGAGAGAGTTTGCCCAAGGTCACAGAGCCCGTTGATGGCAAAGCTGGCTCCAGGGACCTCTGACCCCCCATTCCCTCCATTCTTGGGGCTGATATTAAAACTGCTGACATGTTTGAATGTTATTTGTATGTAAGCATTTTCTCTAATCATCACAGCACCCTCTGAGGTAGGTGTGATTAACTTCATGTTTTTACAGATGATAAAACAGCCTCCAAGAAGTTGTAAGTGAGTTGCTCAAGGTTGCACTGCTTGCACGTGGCAGAGGTGGGATCCAACCCAGGTCTGTGTGATTCCCACGCCCACATTCTTTGCACGATGGCACATTTCCTCTGGCTGTTTTGGGAAAGAGGGGGTCTTTGGATTGTTATGAGGCTTCCCAGACCTGCGTGGGTCCTATGCCCTGCTACTCTGAGCATAGAACCAGAGGTAGCAGGGCACAGGGCGTAGTTCCCTCCCCTAAGAGAACCTCAGGGAGGCCCTCTGTGGAGGAGGCACACACTACCGGCCTCAGCGAGCCCCGGCCCAGGTGTGGCCCCTGTGTGGAGCGTCTCCTTTGGCAGATCAAGTTCCCGCTCATTCCTCAGGGCAGCCCTGTTACTCTACATTCCAGCCCAGGGATGCCGCAGCTTTAGGGCCAGGATTTAAACCAAATATCCTGCCTCTCCCCAGGGATGTCCCCAAAGGTGGTAGAAATGTGTCACATTCACACTCTGTACACAAGACTCAGCAATGTTGTGATCCAAGATGTGGCTCACTGAGGAGGCAGGAGGAACCTCTCAGGATGACATACAATGAGGGAGCTATGAATATAAAATTCTCATTGCATATCAGCCAGAACAGGAAAGGAGGCATTCCCTCTGCATAAGTGAGAAAGGGAAATGGGCAGGAAGCCAGGTGGGCCGACCTGCCATCCCTGTGGGCTCCTGCACCACCCCCCACATGCACACATCTCTGGACCCCGTGTACCTCAGCTAATAAAGCCTCTACCTGCAACTTCCACCTCATCCAGTTTCTGAACATACTTGTGGACCCTCAGTGCCCCAATGACATTATTTTACTCAAGGCTAGCAGCTAAGATCCAAGGGGCTGTGGCCCTAAGCAGTGGTCTCTCCCCATTCCCCAACACACCTGAGTCTCTGCCTTGGTCTCCTTGCCTGGCACTCTTGTTTCCCAAAGGAATTATTGCTGCTTGTGGAGCCAACCTGCTTGACTGAGGTTTTCACATCAGGCCCAGCCCCTGGCTTTCTTTTCTGGGTGTCAGGGCGAAGGATGTCAGTATCTATGCTCCAAAATCTGGCCATTGGTGTTCCTTCTCAAAGGGAGAGAGTGCCCAGAACTGTGCCATGTTGGAGACAGCAGAGATCTGGGGATCAGTAGCCCAAACACAGAGAGAGGGTGGTCAGACGTGGGCACAGTACTACAGGGCTCCTGTGATGCTCCTTCTGAGCTCCTGAAGCTCAGGCAAGGTTTAGATGGGATGGACCTGGGAAGAAACTATCCCATAGGCAGACATGGCATCCAATATCCAACGTCAGGAAGAAAGTGGGGGTTCTGGCTAGGGACCAGGCACTTGGCAGATTCAAAGCGCCAGAGAAGCATGAAAGGCTGAGCCCCAGGACAGAAGAGGCCTCAAGGGCTGGACTCTGAGTCTTAGGTTGAAGGACGGAACTGCATCTGGACTAGCAGCGACAGTCCTGGAGATGGTAAAGCCAACCAGGGCAAAGAGATGAGGGCTCTTGACCCTGGGATGTTCACATTCTATAATGTGTGGCTGAGGAATGCCAAGTGAGCAATCCCAAAAAAGTGATCTGGGTGGGCAATGGAATGTCCAGGGATGCTGCAAGAGACAAAAGTAAAGGTGCTCAGTCTTGGAGAGGACCTGGGGCAGAATGAGACAAGATTCAGACACAAATATGCAGACTAGGGAGCAGAGCCAGCCCCAGGTAACACCATGAGGTGAATCATTAGAAAAACAGTTCTGAGATCTGTGTTTGAAAACCAGCCCCGCTCCTGAGTTGCTGAGAGACTTTGGACGAGTCACTTAAGGAAATGCATGGACCACTCAAACGGAGTGAGAAAAAACTAACAATGAGACGATTGATGAGAATGTAAGGAAGGGGCTATTTTCAAAGGTGGGGTAGGATTAAGGGAAGCAACAAGGGCTGATAAAGCCCTGGGGCTGGCAGCAGTGGGTAGTTGGTGCCATGCCAGGGACAGAGGCTATTACTGGAACCCAGCGAGATCTATAACTATGAGAAAACTGGACAGGAGCCATGTCTTTAGGTAGAGGAATCCACTCACTTCTACCAGACTGAGGCCAGGCAGGGAGGGAGCGGAAGGGTAAACATCTCCTTCCTCCTCCTCCCGCCCTCCAGTCTCCTGCCAGCACCTACCAGAAGGAGGCCAGAGCCCAGGGCAGCCCAGCTGCGCTGTCCATAGGTGAGGCTCCTGGAACACAGGGAAGGTAGAGAGAGTTTCCAAGTGGGCCTGCAGGGGCAAACAGAACACGCAGCATGCCCTCTCTGAAAACTTATCCTTACCCACAAAATGAGGCAACAGTATTTGTCCTTCTTACCTCTTAGGGGGCTATGAGGATGGGCAGGAAGTTCAAGCTTCAGGGGAGGGGAAACTGGATGCCTCTTTAAGTTCCTTTCAGCTCTCAGTGCCCAGGATTCTCAGTAAATAAAATCACTGAAAGAAAAACTGGACAGAAGAGAAAAGCCTGGAGAAGCTCAGTAGACCTATTCCAGAGAGACAGCAGAGTTCAAGTCTGAATTCAAGTGGCCACCACAGTTGGAACAAACGTCCTTAGGAGACAGTGGGGCATATTGAAAAGGAGTGGTTAAAAGACCCAGATTCAAATTCTGGCTTTGCCATTTATTATTCCTGGTGTACCTCCAGGAAAGGTACTAAATCCTTCTGAGCCTTAATATCCTGAACGGTAAAAATGGGAATAACGCCCTCCTAACACATATGTAGACTTGTTATAAAGATCAAATTCAAGGAGAAGATGCACCCCAGTACTGGCAGACAGCAGGTTCTCATTCCGTGTGAGTTCCTTACTTTCCTTGCTTAGGAACACGGGTCATGGAAGGAAATCGCACAAACTTAACATGAACTGGTGAAAGTAAAAGTGAAAAAGCAAGTGAATTCTATGTGACTCTGGAGATGGGTTGCCCAGGAAACCTATCCCACTAAAGGAGGACTGGGGAAGGCCTGCAAGAATCTCAGAAAGGCTGTAAGATAAGTACATGAGACTACAGAGTGACCTGATGTGAACGTCCAGGCATGACTCACACTCAGGGCAGACCAGGACTCTCCGTGTTCCAAAGCATGAACCAGCAAAAGCCCCAGGTCCCCACAGAGGCTGGTCCATCATGTCTCAATGAACACATACTTCAACAGGCATCCAGTGGCTTCCAGGTGCCCTGGTGGTTAGGACAGGCAGGTAGGGAAACCCTTGAGCACATGCTGTCCTCTGAGTCAGGGGCCATGCGCCTTGTTCGTTCAGTAAGGGATGTGAATCGGGTACTGAGGAAAGAGCCTGGATGCAGAGCCAGCAGTTCCAGATTCCATTCCAGCTCTGCCACTGGTTACAGCTTCTCCTTGGGTCTCCCCTTCTTTCGTCTACAGAATAGGGATGACATTATCCCCGTTTCAGAGTCTCCATAAGGATTCAGAAAGGACACATAGAAGAACACGTAAAAGTGGGCAGGGCACGGTGGCTTATGCAGGTAATCAGCACTTTGGGAGACGGAGGCAGGTGGATCACTTCAGGTCAGGAGTTCGAGACCAGCCTGGCCAACACGGTGAAACCCAGTCTCTACTAAAAATACAAAAATGAGCCTGGCATGTTGGTGCATGCTTGTTATCCCAGCTACTCTGGAGGCTGAGGCATGAGAATCACTTGAACCTACGAGACAGAGGTTGCAGCAAGCTGAGATTGCGCTACTGCACTCCAGCCTGGGTGACAGAGCAAGACTCTGTCTCAAAAAAAAAAAAAAAAGTGCATGTACAAGTGTGGTGTGATCAAACAGGAATGCCCCACACTTCCCTCCCCATGCTGCTGCTATATGTAGGGAAGCCACAATGGGGAAATGCCTCTTTCCATTAAAGGCCGAGAAGCTAATCCTCCCTGCGATGGTTAACATTGGGTGTCAACTTGATTGGACTGAAGGATGCCTGGGTAGCTGGTAAAGTATTGTTTCTGGGTATGTCTGTGAGAGGGTTCCCAGAGGAGACTGACATTTGAGTCAGTGGACTGGGAGAGGAAGACCCACCCTCAGTGTGTGTGGGCACCAACCAATCTGCTGCCGGCATGGCTAGAACAAAGCAGGCAGAAGAAGGTGGGATGATTTTGCTTGCCGAGTCTTCTGGCTTTCATCTTTCTCCTGTTCCTCCTGCCCTTGGACATCAGACTCCAGGTTCTTGGGCCTTTGGACTCTTGGACTTACACCAGTGGTTTGCTGGGATCTCTCGGGCCTTCGGCCACAGACTAAAGGCTGCCCCGTTGGCTCTCCTTCTTTTGAATTAGGACTGAGCCACTTTCTTCTCCAGCTTGCCGGCGGCCTATCGTTGGACTTTGCCTTGTGATTGTGTGAACCAATTCTCCCTAAAAAACTCCTTTCTTATATACATATATCCTATTACCTCTGTCTCTCTGGAGAACACTGACTAATATGGTCCCCAAACCCTGAACAGGTGGGAACTTATGCTCACTGGGATTGAGAACACAGGCATCTGGGCCCAAAACTCTGGGGAAAGAAATCATCTGGGGATTTGTGGTGGAACTAGTAGGGCAGACAGATTTGACAGAAGTGACCTCCATGGTGATGAATTCACCAAGATTACACTCAGAGCAAACTGAGCCACTGCAGACTCATAGAAGGAGCACCAGCGAAAGGTGAGCAGTGAGATCCGAGGCTGGGAATGACAGGAGCTGGAAAGAGGAGAATCCTGCCTGAGCCAGGGAGGAGCTGGCTCCCCTTATAATTCCCCTCCTTCCCCGCACACCGTATGCTAGAATGCAGCGTGAACTGCTTAAGGTTCTCATTGCAGAGTGTGGGAGCAATCATTCCCTGCAAATCCTCTTAGCCTCATAAGAGCACTCCAGGTGTTGGTGATAAAGGGAGCCAATCTGGGTGGACACTAACTATAACCATCCTAGTTCTCAGAATGGGCCAATCAAAGAGGTTCCCTTTCTGCTTCCTATTCTTTGTCTGCAAAGATGGCATCTCAGGTAGACTTGCTGCTTTCTGGATGTGCTTCCTGGGGCACCAGATTCCAGCCTGATTCCTGGCCCCTTCTCAGCCCTCTGTAAATGTTCATGCTGCCACTCCTCCATGGGGTACACTGCCATCCAGGCCCAGGACAACTGACGCTCACTGTCTAATTTTGTGCTAAGCCCATTGTAAAAGGGTTCCTCCTTGGAGCAGCCTGGACCCAATGCCCAAGAGAGTGCCCAGGTCCCAGGCCCATTTTAAAAGCCAAGCAACCCAAGGCCCAGGATCTCCAGAACCCAGCCTTGTAGACTGGGCCTTCCTCTGCTGTAGCCTCCTCTCCTGTACACAGCCCTCCCTCACACCCCACTCCTCATCCCTCCTATTCCACTTGCTGGGCCCTGTTGACAAGGGTGATAGCTTTTCCTGCAGCCCCTGAACATCATGGCTGCTCCAGATGCTGTGCTGAGCTCCAGGAGTCTGAAAAGTCATCAGATGCGATCCTTGCCCTCAAAATGGCTATCCTGGGAATTGTAACTAGATCTGTGTGGGAATAGAAGGCTCAGAGTGGGAGTGAGTTTTGAAAGGAGGACAGGAGTTGGGTCATGAAGGACATCGAGTGTCAAACTATGGGACCTGACTTTGTCCTGCACAGAGGAAATCACAGAAGGTCTCTAAGGCTCTGTAAGCATGGAGGTGATACAATCAGATGTGACCATGCAGTAAGGGGCCAAGGGCCCTGCCTGCGCCCAGAGCCCACACTGACATGCTCAGCAACACCCTGGCCACCAGAGTTGTATCAATGCACACATCGATGCCTTCTGACCCCGAGTCCAAGTGTGAGGCCAGCTGTGTCTTTGCTCCCTTACTCACCCCATCCCACAGTCTCCTTACTGTTCTTTCCAACATGATTGAGGGATTTAAATGGTCTTGTTGAAGGCCCAGAAGTCTCCCAGAGTTCAAGATGGAACACAAATGTTACAGCACAGGCCTTGGAGACAGGCGGATTGAGACCTAAAACCAAAGGTCCTTTCTGTGTGACCTTGAACAGGCCACAACCCCTCTCTGAGCTGGGTTCTGTTTCAATACAATGGCTCTGGCTCATTCCTGTGATGGTGCAATGAGATAAGATGTGTCAAGACAGCTAGTGAGTGGCCTGAGGAGCCAAAACAGTTCACTACTGCTTGCTGAATGTGAACCTGACAGATCAGGCTGGAGTCTCTGCGGGAAGAGGCCCAGGCAGGCCCAATCCATTAGGGGAGAAAAAATTCCTAACTGGGAGAATTCTGGGGACCACCAGTTTTCTGCAGACTGTATCAGGCAGCCTTGTGACCCTCTCATGTCCCTGAGGTGGGAGGGGCTTGGGCTGCACTCTAAGGACTTAAAAGCTATTAATAGACGGCAGAGCTGTAGGTCATCGTCCGAGGGACTCCATGGCTTTCACCTCTGCTCTCAGTTGCAACAGCCCTTTAGAACCACTGGGAAAGGGTTGTGTTATTTGCAAAGCTGGTAGGGAGAGGGCATGAAATCCTTTCTAGAGAAGATCACCACTTTCCCCAAATGGTTTGTTTTCCAACAAACATCCATCCATTTCATCTCTCTGTTTCCAGCACAATAAATAAAAGCCTTACTTTTCTGCTCCTTGTTTAGTTATGTGGGTTTTTCTTCTGCATAATTGTCTGTAAACAGGAGCGCACATTGTAAAGCATGTCAACACTTTCTCATTTAATCCTTATGCTGAGGTAGGGACTACTTTTATCCTCATTTTACAGGTAAGACAACTGAGGCCATGAGAGCTTATGTGATTTGACCAAGCTGCAGAGCTGAAAATGGAATCTCCAGGATGAAGCTCAGGATTTCTGTCTCCACATCCTGCATGCTTCCCAGGGCTCCATGCTGCCTTTCATTCTCCTAAGAAGCTCCAACTAATGGCTTTTCAGAGTTGCTTTGTGAATAACACAGAAGCAGAGAATTTCAAAGTTTGAAAGGAGCCACCATGTTTCCCACACAAGGCAGGAATCCCTCCTGCAATATTCCTGGCAGATGGTCTTCCAGAAGGGGAGATGAGGGGAACCAAATTTAAGAACCTCATGAAGGAGTATCTCATCTAGGTTGCTTTCTCTGACTTAACTGACCTAAACCATAAGGAAAATTCATCTACGTAACAAGAATCTCAGGGCTGATTAGATCAGTGGCTCAGATGCTATCAAGGACCCAGGTTCTCCCAGCTTTCAGCTCCGCCATCCTCAGGAGATTGGTGTGGTTCTCCACGTGGGCTCAAGATGGCTGCTCAGTTCCAGCCATCACAGGCAATCAAACAATAGCCAGTGGAAAAGAGAAGACTGTTTTGGGGGCTATTTCTCCTCATGTGTATTCTTCCGCTTCTTTGACGCAACAAGACCTTTCTTGGCAGCCTTCAGTGACATCCTCTTATGTCTCCTTGGCCAGGACAGAGCCTCATGGCCACCCCTAAACTAATCACAGGCAAAGGCAATGAGGTCATCAGGATGCTTCATCTGAAAGAATGAAGATTTACCCGGAGACAGAGACAGGAGACATAGGATTACTGAATACAATTGGGGTCTGTCAATAAGGAAAATAGGGAAAACTGTTTTGAGGGAGCTAACCAATTATCTCTGGTCTCAGTAGATGCATTTTCTCTGTCTTACAAATAAACTAATCTTCAGAAGAATTAAATAACTCAAATGCTTATCTGATAGACTAAGCAGCACTGAAACAATTTCTACACATAGGTGATACTCAACAAATCAGCTCAGTTTAATGCAAAAAACATTCAAGGGGCTGCCTACTATATGCCAAGAATCTGTAGTGTGCTAGGGGTGCAAAGATAAATGAGACAGAGTCTCTGCCCTTGAGCTTACAATCTGGTACTTTTTGATTATTTTTATATGTTTTGGTCTACATTTTTCTCCTTATTACTGTAGTAACTAGCATTTAATTAGCACACATAATGTGCTTGGGATTTTGGAAATATATAACATTCATATCAAGATTCAGGATAATTATTTTCACTCCATTTGGCAGACAAGAAACTGAGGTGCATTGGCTCATGCCTGCAATCCCAGCATTTGGGAGGCCGAGGTGGGCAGATCGCTTGAGCTCAGGAGTTCAAGGCCAGCCTGGGAAACATGGCGAAACCCTGTGTCTAAAAAAGATACAAAAATTAGCAAGGCATGGTGGTGCATGCCTGCAGTCCCAGGTACTTGGGGAGCTGAGGTGGAAGGATCACTTGAGCCCAGAAGTTTGAGACTGAAGTGAACTGTCTTTGCACCACTGCGCCCCAGCCTGGGTGACAAAGCTAGACCGTTACTTGCCCCAAATCATGTAACTCAGTTTCAGACCAAAAACACACTCAGGTCCTTGCTCAGGGCCCACCACTTTCCTGTGAATCACATTCTACATGTCCCTTATCCTACTAAATGTTCCAGAGTATAAATAAAAAACATATAACATGAAGCCAGTATGTGGATATGTAGGTCTCAAAAGTTACTGTGAAAAGACCAATATTTGTCTGTCTCTCATTGTACTTTTTACTCTATTCAGTGGGGGCTCCCCCTCCCCTACCTGAGATGCAAAGTTGGGCAGCTGCATCATTTTCTGCTGGTTCTTGGCTATTAGAATGCCTCACGCATTAAGTTCCCAATACAATAATTCACAGATTAAAATGTTGGCCGGGCGTGGTGACTCACACCTGTAATCCCAGCACTTTGGGAGGCCGAGGTGGGCAGATCACGAGGTCAGGAGATCGAGACTATCCTGGCTCACACAGTGAGACCCCATCTCTACTACAAATACAAAAAAATTAGCTGGGCTTGGTGGCGGGCACCTGTAGTCCCAGCTACTTGGGAGGCTGAGGCAGGAGAATGGTGTGAATCCGGGAGGCAGAGTTTGCAGTGAGCCGAGATCGTGCCACTGCACTCCAGCCTGGGTGACAGAGCAAGACTCCATCTCAACAACAACAACAACAAAAGTGTCTCCCCTTCCCTGATGGAATCTGCTGCCAGGGAGAACCCACAGTCAGGGAAGAGGGTGTGGGATGCTGCTTCTCTCTTTACTTTTTTTTTTTTTTTTTGATGCAGAGTCTTGCTCTGTGGCCCAGGCTGGAATGCAGTGGCACAATCTCGGCTCACTACAAGCTCTGCCTCCCAGATTCATGCCATTCTTCTGCCTCAGCCTCCCGAGTAGCTGGGACTACAGGCGCCTGCCACCACACCCGGCTAATTTTTTGTATTTTTTTAGTAAAGACGGGTTTCACCGTGTTAGCCAGGATGGTCTTGATCTCCTGACCTCATGATCCGCCCACCTTGGCCTCCCAAAGTGCTGGGATTACAGGCGTGAGCCACCACACCCAGCCCTCTTTACTTTTTTGATAAGTCTTCCTCAGGTCAGAACCATTGGTGAATCATTCCTGGAATCATTTCCACCATTTTGAATATCAGCCCTTTGTTACCACCAGCCTCTGGTATCTCTGGGCCTCTGCCTCGGGATGAGCCGAAGAACACGGTCTCAGATGCCACAGGCAAAAATGGAAGACACTTGTTGGCCAGCTTTGCTCAAAAGTGTGCTTCTGGACATGCCATGTGGTTCTGGATCCCATGGCTCCACTATGAACCCATACCCCTGTTCTTCACCAACACAGACTGCTGGATGTTGCTGAGGTGTACTCTGCCCAGAGTTCTTTTCCCTTTCTGGGTTAAAGATGCTTTATTCTCTAGAAACAGATCTACTTCCATTCTCCTGGGTGCCCATAATGGGGCAGGGGTCAGGAGTAGGGGCAGTGAGCCACCCATCTGGTCTAGAAAGCCTGTTTTAATTAGAAGAAATACAATAAACATTCCTCCCTAAACTTCAATGCGTCACACTGCAAGTCTCTTAGTGCCCTGGGACTTAGTGTCTGAAATCTTGAACCTCTTAGAGTACATTAAAACTTCCATGTTGAACGCACCCAGAGAGATTTCTCCTTTCTCTTGGGAGCAAAGAGTTTTGGACAACTTCTCAGAATACTTCAGTCTTTGTGTTAATGGCTGGAAGTTCTTTATAAATAAGTGATTTCTGGGGAAACCTCCCCACTAGGCTTCCAGGACCCACAAGGTCTTCAGAGGTTGGGCTCAGAATGAGCATGAATCTAGCCTCTACTGTTTTTTCCACACTCTTTATCTGCCTACTTCTACTTTCTCCCACGTGGGTCTCAGTTTTCTGCCTTTGTTCACTTTAGTTTTTCTTGTCCGAGTCTCTTTTACTCACCTCTAATTAAGGACTCATTTGCTTATGGCCAGTGTCATAGCGAGCACAAGTAGAGGCCTGAGATTCAGGCTACACTGGGTTCAGATCCAGATACTTCCATTTGCCAGCTGTTTGTTTTAAGGTAAGAGACTAAACGTATCTCTTTTGTATACAGGGATAATCATTCCTACCTCATAGGCTGTTGGTTGATTAAATGAGATCTTCTGTGTAGGAAGCTTGTAACAAAGCCTGGCGTATCACTGGATACACAATCCATGTTAGCCAGTAGTTATACCACGCAGCTCACCTAAATAGACTCACTAAGTACTCAATATAGGTTTCTTAAATTGACCTGAAATAAACATTTTCCAGACTTCTGGGTTGCACTGAACAGGTTTCCTCTATCACCCGTATCTAAGTTAAAATTTAAAAACCAGAAGCTTGAAAGTTGAAGAGGGACAGGAAAGAAGGCAATGAAGTCAGCGGTTGCTAGAAGCCTAGACTGCCTTTGGCTCAGTCCAGATTTGAGGGAAACCTGGAATTATTGCAATTTCATCACAGCAGCTGGTCCAAGCTAAACCTGCCAGAACTGCTTAGAGGCCAGATCTGGATTGCAGTGATAGCTGGGCCCTGCTGAGAAGCAAGAAGAAACTATTTATCTGGCATTTTTTTCAACCCCAACCAAGAATTTTCTTTGGCTCAAGATGCTGTTGGGACCGGTTTTCATTTGCATGGAGCTCATTTGAGGACTGGTGCCTCTGACAGCGGAGACTTCTTAGAAAGACTTCCATCTTCCATCCCCCTGCCTCCTTTCCACGTGTGCCTTTCCCATGATTCAGAAATAATTATTCATCCAGGAAAGCTAATCCCTGGGTCTTATTTGTACCTGGATTGTGCCAGAACCTCATGTATAAGTTCTCTCTGATTGAGCTCCACACACAGCCTGTGCAGTCCTGGGCATCAGCAAAGATGGCCACCAAGGAACATTTGCCCTCCTTCCAAACTGGCAACCTCCATCTAACTGAACCCATGTTAACTGATGTGGCACATTTTAATACATTTCACTGTTTCAAGCTGTGGCAGCAAATTAGAGTGGGAATCTTCTTAACAGCTGCTTCTAGAGTGGCTGTCTGAAATCTCTGCATCCTTGACTCTTTTCTGCCAGCGAAAGAAAGATTTGTCTATGTATTATACGTCCTGGAGGGGTTTCATGGCAGTTCTGTCTGGACTAAAATGTCACCATTCTGTATTATTATTACATAGATTCTGCATTTTTTTCTTTTTTTCTTTCTTTTTTTTTTTTTTTTTTGGTAGAGACAGGGTCTCAGTATGTACCCAAGCTGGTCTTGAACTCCTGACCTCAAGTGATCCTCCTGCCTTCGACTCTCAAAGTGCTGGGATCATAGGAATGAGCCACTGTGCCTGGCTCACTTTTCAAATAAGTAGCATTTGAGGGTGGTATCAATATTCCAGGAATAGAATAATGAGATGTTTTTTGAGAAAACATTCAGAATGTATCCAATCAGATCAGCATTTTCTGCTTCAAGCAGTCACCCAATTCCAGTGACATTGCCAGGAGCTGCCTTAAGAAGCCTGTTGTATTTCTTTAGTTTGCCATTCTTTGACTAGAAGTAGTCAAAGCTAAGCACAAGAATGGGCTTTGCTTTATTGTTGTCATGGTGAAAGATTAGAAAAAACTTAAATGTTTATTGATAGGGAAGTGGCTAAATCAATTATGACACATTCAGTCAATGGACTACCACATAATCATTTAAAAAGTATGAGGCAGTTAAGAATGATCAACTACCCAAAGTGATTTATAGATTCAAAGCAGTCCTTATCAAAATTCCAATGGTGTTGTTTACAGAAATAGAAAAAAAAAAACAATACTCACATAGAACCACAAAAGACCCCAAATAACCAAAGTAATCTTAAGAAAGAAGAATAAAATCAGAAGCATCATACTTCCTGATTTTAAACTGTATAACAAAGCTATAGTAATCAAAACAGTGTGGTTCTGGCATAAAAGCAGACACAGACTAATGGAACAGAATAGAGAGACTAGAAACGCATGCATATATGGTCAACTATTATTTGATGAGGGCACCAAGATTACAAAATAGGGAAAGGAAAGTCTCCTCCATAAATAAAGTTAGGAAAGCTAGATATTGATATGCAAAAAAAGAGAAAGAAATAGAATCTTTATCTTACACCAGCACAAAAATTAACTCAAAATGGATTAAAG
The DNA here is from genome assembly GCF_000001405.40 of Homo sapiens. Taxonomy (NCBI): domain Eukaryota; kingdom Metazoa; phylum Chordata; class Mammalia; order Primates; family Hominidae; genus Homo; species Homo sapiens. Next base: position 12,554,543 of record NC_000011.10, read on the forward strand.
ACTTAAATATAAGACCTGAAATCATAAAACTCCTAGAAAAAATAAAAAAGAACAGAGAAAAAGCTTCTTGACACTGGCCTTAGTAACGATATTTTTACGTATGACACCAAAAGTAAAGGCAACAAAAGCAAAAACAAATAAGTGGGACTACATCAAACAAAAAAATTTCTGCACAGCAAAGGAAACAACAAAATGAAAAGGCAACCTATGGAATGAGCAAAAAATATTTTCAAGTCATATATCTGATAAGGGGTAAATACCTAAAATATACAAGATATTCATGCAACTCAATAGCAAAGAAATCCCAAATAATCTCTTCTAAAAAGTGTTACAAAGAACTTGAATTGATACTTTTCCAAAGGAGACATACAAATGGCTAACAGGTACATGAAAAAGTACTCAGTATCACTAATCATCAGGGACATGCAAGTCAAAACTACAGTGAGATGTCACCTCACACCTGTTAGGATGGCTATTATCAAAAAGATGAAGTAAGTGTTGTTGAGGATGTGGAGGAAGAGGAATCCTTGTATACAGTGGGAGGGAATGTAAATTAGTACAGCCATTATGGAAAACAATATGGAGGTTCCTCAAAAAACTAAAACTAGAACTACCATGTGATCCAGCAATTCCACTTCTGGGTATATATCTGAACGAAGTTAGATCAGTGTCTCTCTGCACTCCTATGTTCGTTGCAGCATTATTCAAATTGCCAAGACATGGAAACAAATGGATAAAGAAAAAGTGGTATATATAGACAATGAAATATTATCCGGCCATAAAGAAGAAAAAAATTCTGCCATTCCTGACAGTGTGGATTAACCTGGAGGGCATTATGTTAAGTGAAATAAGCCAGAAACAGAAAGGCAAATATTGTATGATTCCACTTATATGTGAAATCTGAAAAGGTCAAACTCATACAAACAGAGTAGAAGGATGGTTGCCAAAGGCTGGGGGGGTGGGGGAAATGGGGAGATGTTGGTCAAAGAGTACAAACTTTCAGTTATAAGACGAATACATTGTGGAGGTGTAACATACAACATGGTGACTACAGTTTATACTATTGTATTGTACACTTGAAATTTGCAAGTAGAGTAGTCCATAAGTGTTCTTACCACATACGCACAAATGGTAACTATGTGAGATGATGATGCATTAACTAACTTGATTCTGGTAATCATTTTACAATATATACGTATGTCAAATCATCACATTGTTCCCTTTAAATATATACAACATTATTTGTCAATTATACCTCAATTCGCTGAAAAAAGAAAAAAAAGAATGAGCACTAAGTGTTGCTATGGACCGATCTCTGAGAAATACAGTTAAATCTGGAAATATACAAGAACTTGCTTGTATTCTTTCTAGTGAGGAGAACTAATGGCAAGGAGTAAGGACAGGGAGAAGATATTCTTGTCATCATCTAATTTTTGTATACTTTGAATTTGGTACCTTGTGCATATTTCTCATGCACAGGATGATTAATTTTTCGAAGAGTAAGAGTCTATCTAGTCCAAAAAAAAGACAGTTGAACTAGCTATGTAATTCAAACAATTAAAATCATAAGTGCTCTCATTTTCTGAGCAATTACTCTATATCAGCTTCTGTGCTAAGGCTGCTTACTACATATTTTCCTCTGATTTTCTCCTCAAAGACATCCCATCAAGTAGATTTTACCGTCTTCCTTTTAGAAATGGGGCACTGTGACTCAAAGAGTTTAGGAAAGTTGCCTGAGATTACACAATCTGCACGAGGCTAAACCAGGATTCAAATCCAGGTCAGACTAACTTTTTCCACTGGCCCCTGGGGGCTTCGCATGGTCAAACATTCAATAAGACTGTGCCTCCCCCATTACTCTATCCCCAGAGCTTTACAGAGTGCTTGGCACACAGGAGGTGTCCCATATGTGCTGACTGAATGATAAACAAAAAGCAAAACAGAGCAAGAGTGTAGTAATTTCCTTAAAGGAATTTTACACAGGTTGGAGCATCTTGGAATTGCAGGGTCACAGCCCACTGAGATTACTTGGAAGGCAACAACCTGAATTTGAGTAGCTACAGTTTGGTGTGATTGCTTAAAAAAAACTACTCACATTGTTTTGAATCACACCTCACAAAGCCTCATTGCTTCAAAATGCCTTTCTGGTGGAAGATGATTTCAAACAAACCAAAGGATGTGATTTTCATTAAGCTACACTTGAAAATAGCTGTTTTCCAGATGGGATCATATGAATAAATAAATATCTCTTTTGTTTTATCTTCTGTTTTTTCTTCATGATTATTGGAAAAGTCCAACAACCTTGGTGATTCCTTTCAGGGTGAATTTGGGACCCAAACAGTTAAGCAACCAGCCAATTTGCTTCCCTGCTGCCTCCCAGCCAAGGAGATGAATGGAATGCACATGAGGTCGCTTGGCAGGCATCCACATTCCTATGGGAATGCTGCAGCAGCCAGAGCTTTGGGACATGAAGAAGCAAATGTGTGGGAGTTATGGGGCAAACTGCAAACAATCCAAAGTCCCGAAAAAATGCATGGAGCCTCTTTGGCCCAAGGATGCTCTGCAGAACACCGGCAAAGACCCTGCCCTTGCTCAAATCAATGATAGAGGCAGGACTCGGCACTGCCCTGTTCTTTCTTACTGCTGCCAAGGCCTTGAATCGTACAGGCCACCTCCAGGACTACTGTGGATGTGAGCCATTAAAAGAAGCTCAACAAGGAGTTCCATTTCTTCAGCTGATCTTTATACTCGTTCCTTTTTCTCCCATACTCAAGGAAATTACCTTGAAGAATTTGGCTCACCCCCTTCTTCCTTTTACCTTCCCCATCCCTGTCTTTGTCCTTCCCCATGAAAGAGGGCTTGAACCCAATGACATTTTCATTTTCTTCAACTATTTCCCTTGTGTCCTTTAAAATGCCCTCTAGGGACCAGGTGAGCTCACTCGAATTCTGCATTACAACTCCCTCCAGCTTTTAGAAAAGGCTACATCTGATCAACAATGATGGTGATATGGTGGAAGGTGGACTTTTCATTTAAAATTAGAAACCACGATCCTCACATATTTTCCCCCAAAGAGCAGTTCCTAAGTTTTTTGTCACCACATTAAAAAAAGAAGCTCAAGCCTAGAGTTGTCCAACCAACCAGAGGCCTCTGGGTCTCCCCCAAACATCTTTTGTGCTAGTCATGCTGAGAAATGCTTCCTACTGAGAGAAGGGAGCCCTGAGTTCTGTTTTACCTTCTCACTAAGGTGACTATGGTACATGGGAGTCATAGGCATTTTAGAAGCATTCCCTGTGGTGATTCTGGCTATGAAGACTGCTTTCTCTAGCGCCATTACACTAGACTATGGAGGAAATAGAGCCATTTGAAGCTATGGAGTTCTCTGTTTCATCACATCCCTAAGTTTTTGCAAAAAAAGAGATACATTTCCATTCCATCTACAAAGGCAAAGATAAACCAGCAAGTCACATGTTTTGTTAGCGAAGCCCTGCCTAATAAATTGCCCTTGAAGGCAAAACTAGCAGTCTCTCCCAAGGCCAGCAAGCTAGGCTGAGAAGGCTATAAGGAAGGGATCGTTTTGGGGAGAAAGAGTAGTTTCTTAGGGAAGAAAAGGGGATCTTGGTTTTATTGGTCCTGCAAGGCACCAAAATCCTAGACACCCTTAGGACCAGAGCGAAAAGAATAAAGGGAATAAGATATCATGGGAATGACATTTCGCAGCTATTCAGTTGAAGTCATCTGCCTGGCCCATAATTCACCTTCCTCAGTAGCTGCGTTCCTTTGGCCACAAAAGTAGCTCCTGGCAGCAATATCTGTATGTACGCCCTACTCCCTGACCCTGACAGATTGATCACTAGTGGATGTTGACCGACCCAAACAGACCAAATCAGATTCTGTCTCGCAGGAGTTCAGATTTGGGATCCAGATATGCTAGTTGTACCTGTTGGCCACTTGAACTGAAAAGATGTAATCTGGCAGCCATGGGGTGGCCACCTTCTGTCCTGTGGAGAAAGAGTCTGAAACTCCCTCTGCAGAGAGAGGAGAGGAATGAACTAACCAGGTGAACAGAAACAGAGAGAGACATCACACAGGGCCAGACAGAGGCTGAAAGACCCCAAGCCTGGTTCCGGAGGGCATCCTTGCTCAGGCCTGGTCACAGGATCAGCCCCTGGATTCTGCAATACTCATTTGTTCTTATAATAAATCCCCCCCACACACACACCCTTTTTAAAATTAAGCTAATACAAGTGGGTTTCTGTTACTTGTAACTGAAAGAACATTGGCTACCACAGCATAGGAAGGTCCACAGGCCAAGGTAGGCAAGGTTTGTATGGTCAAGTTGTCTACCTGGGCATCAGGGTGGGACTGCAACTGTCCATATCTGGTCTGGACCTCCCTCCTCCACAAAGCCCGAAGGGGTTAGCTGTTGTTGCCTTCTTACACAAGTCAGTCATATACATATTTCTCATAGCAAAGTTTCACATAATAAGAAGTAAATACAGAAGTGCCTTAGTTGGAAGTCCAAGTGTAACTAAAGAATAATAAAGTAAAAAGTCCCTTATCATCCTTACCCAATCATCAATCCTACCTCCAAGATAACCTTTGCTAATGCCATACTTTATCCAATCTTAGATGCCATCACTTGTAAGACACATTCCAGTTTTGGAAACGTTAAAAGGTAACATGAGGTACAGTAGTATGTTGAGTATCCTTTCAAATATTTGTCTTGGCATTTCACATGTCCATAGTTTTGGGTAAAGCTATTCGTTTTTGTCATTCATAGACTCATTCCAAGAACACTGTTTTGCAACTGCCTTCTTAACATTTCTTGGAGTATTTTGCTTTTCGATAAAGGATTTTGTTCTATCTACCACGGTATCTCCAGTGCCAGGATAGGGCCTGTCACATTATAGGAACTCAATAAAGAAAGGCTCAGCTAATCAATGACCAGTCTCTTTAATTCTTCTAATGCCTATATGGTCTTCAATAATATTTAACTTTTCCCCATTAAAGTAATCATTTTGGTTACTTACTTCTTTTTAATCTTTATAAATAATGCTGTTGTGAACATCCTAGCTCCATTGTGTTTCTATGACCACAATAATTCTCATTGAGTGTTTACTATGTTACAGTTGTTAATCTAAGTACTTTACATGTAGTCACTTTTTAAGTATTCACAACAGCCATCTGAGGTCGGAGCTATGATCATTCACACTTTTCAGATGACAAAGCTAAGAAAGAGGCTAAATAACTTGCAGCAACAGGGAATAAGTTAACAAGCAGGATTCAACAAGCAAGCAACCGTGCTCATAAGTCCAGGTTCTTACCACTGTGCTCCTTTATCTGGATGAGTATCATGAAACTGACTTACTATGTTAGAAGGAAAGAACATTTCAATCCAAAAAAATGCTACATCAATTCAAATTCACCCTATTCGTATTTGACAGCACCAGCTTCT